>NC_000001.11:213809587-214434587 GCF_000001405.40 Homo sapiens | reverse complement strand
TTTCACACTTTTATACTTCCTAATTACTATTTAATATCTCTACTACCATTGGATGCCTTTTCTTTTTTTTTTCTTTTGATTCACTTTCTGTTAACTTACTCATTGCTTTCATCAGTTTTTATCTGTTCCTTCTTGAGTCCTTGAAAAAGCATGTCCATCGTTGATTTTGCTTATATTTGCCTCTTGAAGGTTACCAGAGGACACTGCCAGCCCTGGGCCAGGGGCCTTTTCTCACTTTTAGACAACGTTAGACATGGAGAGCCCACTCCTCAAAATCCTCTCTTTCCTTGGCTTTTGGTGACCTTCACCTTATCTCATCTCTGACCTGCCTATTTTCATCTTGCAATCTCCAATTTACTGGAACCCTGTCCTTCTAATTTTTTCCCTCTTTATATTTGCTGTGCAATACAGCTCAATTGTCTTTAGCCTTTAGAAGTACTTTTTTGGGTTTTTCTTGAGACAGGGTCTTACTCTGTTGCCCAGGCTGGAGTACAGTGGCACAATCACAGCTCACTGCAGCCCTAAACTCCTGGGCTCAAGTGAACCTCCCACCTCAGCCTCCCAAGTAACTGGGAGCACAGGCATGCACCACCATGCCTGGCTAAATTTTTTGAGTTTTTTTTTTTTTTTTTTTTTGTGTGTGTGTGTGTGTGTGTGTGTGTGTGGAAATAATGTCTCACTATGTTGCCCAGGCTGGTCTAGAACCCCTCGGCTCAAGCAGTCGTCCTGCCTCAGCCTCTCAAAGTGCTAGAGCTACAGGCATGAGCTACCACGCCCAGCTCTAGAAGTAATTTTTGACAGATGTGGCCTAACTTTGTACCATTTACCCACATTTTATTCTTGATTTCTTGCTGACAGAAGACAGTCATTCATTCGTTTATATATTGAATATCTGCTGTGTGCTGGGAACTGGACGTATAAGCAGAATACAACCTTTTTCTTAAGCGTATATTTATGGCCCCTCTGCTTGTTGTTACATTCTTGCTTCAGTGTCCTCAGAGTGGTGATGACGACTATTTGTCAATCATCTCTACCCACAATACTCTGGCTCAATCAATCCTTGTAGGAATCAGAAAGGTAGACAGTGATGAACTGTTAGTTACTTGCTGCCTTCTCTTGATTTTAAATCCTCCCTTAAATATCCCATTTTTCTATAAGTAGCTCTAAGATTCTTTCACTGTCACAAATTGCAAATCTGTCACCAGAGCCCCCCACTTCCTCATGTCATTTGTTACACTAGACCCTGCCAGTTTCTTCAAGCTCCACCTCTGCTTGGTAGACATTTTCCATACTTGGAGTCAAATTGTTGTCTTTGTGCTAGTAGTCATTTTTTAAGATAGGCTTTTTGGTGAAATATAACATATGCACAGACAAGTGCAAAAATGAAAAGTGAGGCCGGGCTCACACCTGTAATCCCAGCACTTTGGGAGGCTGAGGTGGATGGATCATGAGGTCAGGAGATGAAGACCATCCTGGCAAACACTGGGAAACCCTGTCTCTACTAAAAATACAAAAAAATAGCCGGGCGTGGTGGTGGGCGCCTGTAGTCCTAGCTACTCAGGAGGCTGAGGCAGGAGAATGGTGTGAACCTGGGAGGCAGAGCTTGCAGTGAACCGAGATCGTGCCACTGCACTCCAGCCTGGGCGACAGATGAGACTGTAAGAAAAGTGTACAGCTCAATGAATCTTTGTAAAGTGAACACACCCATGCAGTCAGTCACTAGTTCAAGAATCAGAGCATCACCAGCCACTCAGAATCCTTCATTGTGCTCCCTCTCAGTGTTTATGGATCAGGATAACCATGATCCTGAATTCTAATATCATATATTAGTTTTGCTTTTCTTTTAAAAAAAAACTTTTTAGGTAGAGTAATACAGTATATGCTCTTTGATGTCTTACTTCATTGATCAACATTTTGTGAGTCATCTATATTGTTGTGTATAGAGATCATTCATTTTCATTGCTGCTTAATATTCTATCAAAGGAAGACATACATTACAATTTACCCATTCTACAAAGGACATTTGAATTGTTTACATTTGGGAGCTATTACAAATGGAACTGTGTTGCTGTGAACATTTCTAGTACATGTCTTATGGACAGTCTCACACAGGCTCTCATGAATGTACTTATTTCTGCTGAATATGCATATGCTAGTTAGTAGTTTTCCAAAAATTGTATTACTGCCAGCGAAATGAAAAGCAAATTGTAAGGCTGAGAAATCTTAAATACTTGGTCTTATGTTTCTTTTTTCTTTCTTTCTGTATTGAATTTGTTATTCATTAAACAAATGTTAAGTACCTTTTATGTTTGAGGCTCTCAAGGGATATCAGTAATCATAAAAGCAAGTATTGTGGCATTTATTTAGTTGCAAATCCTACTGATTTTTTTTTTTCTTGAGACAGGGTCTTGTTCTTTCATCCAGGCTGTAGTGCAGTGTTGCAATCATAGCTCACTGAAGCCTCCTGGCCCATAGTTCCTGGCCCAGGAGATCCTCCTACCTCAGCCTGGGTGTAGCTGGGACTACAGGCATGTGCCACCATGCCTGGCTAATTTTTTAAAAACTTTTTTGTAGATACAAGATCTCACTGTATTGCTCAGGTTGGTCTTGAACTCCTGGGCTCAAGCAATCCTTCTGCCTTGGCCTCCCAAAGTGCTAGGATTATAGGCGTGAGCCACTGCGCTTGGCTGATCTTTCTTAATATTAACAATGATGACTCCTGACATTTCATGAGTGTTTATGGCCAAGCACAATTCTAAGCTCTTCATCCATATTAACCCATTTAGCCCTTGTAACAACTTTTTGAGTTAGTACTATTATTCTGATTTCACAGAATAGGAAACTAAGGCACAGAGAGGTTGAGTAACTTGCCCGCACAGTTTGAGTACATGACAGAGCTGTGATCCAAGCCTACACAGTGTAGCTCCAGAATCCACACATTTACCACTATGTGCCGTACCTTTCCAGTTAAATCCATTCTAGTCCGCTGTGCCCCCAATTTATGTCTTCTTACCTCCAGCCTTAAATATAACGAAATGGTAAAGAGCACAGGCTTTACAGTCAGACAGACTTGGATTTGAATTCTGCTCTGCCATTCACTCTTTGTATGTTCAGGTGAGTTATTTATCCTTCTTAAGACTCAGTTTCTCCATGAACAGAAGCTCTTGTGAAGATTATACTGGTTAATAAACAGAAAAGCACACTTTGTAGTACCTAACACTATCATCATTATTATTTGACCTCCCAATTTGTATCTGTACCACCCATTTATATAATGTGGTGTACATACCAACTCTAAAGCATCCTTCTAAAGGATTGCTTTCATCATTTTCCTTCCTTTGTCAAAAATACATAATGTCTTACCATTGCTTAGAAGATAAAGACAGACATCCAGAGGCATTTGAAGCATGGCAAGCCTCTGTCTTCCTTTTTGTCTTCTGCTTCCTTACATAGCCCTATTTTACTTGTCTGTGCCGTTCAATGTCTCTGGACACCCTGGGTTTCTCACTTCTTCCTCTGCTCTTTGCAGTACTTGAAGTATCTCCCTTTTCCTCTTTCCTTCTTGCCTTAGAAGCCTCCTTTGCCTTCCAGACTCACCTCTGGGCATTCATTCAACACATTAATTATTTTCAAAGTATAAGGTATTCTGCAAGATATAGAGTGGCACAAGATGTCAGTCCTGTCCTGAATGGGGTTTTCAATCTATTTGGGTAGATTAGATGGTCACATAAAAATATTTGAGCAACATATTAGTATGTGTTGGATGCCAGCTGAAGGTACCTTTCATGGGTGGAATGATAAGGAGGAGCTTTGGAGACGGGCATTATTCAGTGATCTCCAGAGAAACAGAACTAATGAGATGTATATGTAAATAGGGAGAGAAACTTATTTTAAGGAATTGGCTCACATAAATGGAGAGACTTGACAAATGCAAAATCTGCAGGGCAGGCCAGCAGGCTGGAGACCCAGGGAAGATTGAAGTTCAAGTCCAAACACAAATTCTTCCTTCTGCGTGGTCCATCTTTTCTCTGTAAGACCTTCAACTGATTGGACGAGACCCATTCATATTGTGACAAGCATTCTGCTTTACTCAAAGTCTACTGATTTAAATGTGTTAATCTCATCAAAAAATACCTTCACAGAAGCATCTAGAAAAATGACCAAATATATGGATATCGTGGCCTAGCCAAATTGACACATAAAATTAACCATGACAAGAGATGTCCCTGGAATTGGGGCTTTGAAGAAGACATTGGATTTTGGTGAGTCAGCATTGTTAGGCAGGAAAACAGCCTGGACCAGGGGCTATAAGCCTGTTATCTCTCCCAAATACCTAAAGCGGTAGCTCCCATCAGTATCAAGGGCTCACTGATGGATGAGCGGAAAGTGTGAAGGGAGAACATTCCGAGCCAAGGAAATTATGTAAGAGGGGAGGAAAATTGCAATGCAAAGTCCTCAAGGATACCTAGAATGTGGTAGGAAGCAAATAATCGTAGCACAGTTAGCCCTGGATTTATATTTCAGCTAAAGAATTTCTTAAAGTTCAAGGTTTCCCTATTACTGTTGGGTCACACGTTCACAGGATGAAATCTCCTTCTGTATCTTGAAACTAAGTCATGCAATTTCTTCTTTAGAATTTTAATCTGATGAGGTCATTAAGGAAAAATATTTTCTTAATCTAGAATTCCCAGTATGTTCATTATAAAATAAATTCCTTTTCTTTCTTCTCATAAAACCCTGTTTTGAAAAAATGTATCTACCTTTAGTACTTCCTAAAATTATTTTGTCAAATACCCTATATTGATCCTTAGCATGAAGTAAGTAGTGTAACTTAACACAATTTTACATAATTAATATTCTAGTTGGCTTGGACAGCCCATTTTGGGCAAAATATCAAGGATTTTTCATTCATTGTTCATGCATGCATTCAATAAGTTTACTTGAAGACCATTTGGGGGATAAAAAAATAAATATTTACTGAGCATCTGTTATATACAAGGAAACTTCTGGTTACTGGTAATACAGCACTGAACAAAACAGATGAAGTCCTTGATCTCCTGAAAGTCACCTTTTTTCAAATATTTGTAGTAGTTTATGACTGTCAATGTTTTTACAGAGTTCAAATTAAGAATTATAAAAGCATGTAGTACTCTAGCTATCTGAATCATCAAAATCAGCTACCAAATTGTATTCTCTCAAACAATTGTGAAACAATGCATTTTAAATACTAAATAATAGCTTGTTTTCATGTAATATTATTACAGATCTCCTTCACTGAGAAGATAATAAACATATAGAAGATGGTCATGTGAACATATCTATTTCTGGGTGGTAAACTATAAAGGAGTCCATTATGTTTATTCTTATTTGCATATACTTATGATCATATTCTTCTTTAGACTTAAATCTGTGATCATGACTTTTATGAGGAAATCATCCTGTCTATAAGCATGGTCATGCCTTTAAGAATTCATGAAAATTATACGGAACGGGCTAACATGAAAAAGTGAGGCAATATTTGGGATTTCATTCTGTGAGGAAAATGTACTGGACTTAGTTTACTAATGTAAAGTCGGTGGTGGCTCTAGGTGAGTTTTCATAGAAACAAGAAACTTCAGATGGCAGAAATGCATGGCTTAGTAACTATATTATTAATTGCACAAACTTGTTTTTTCTCCCCAATCTTTTTAGTGCATGCCTTTTGATCAAGTTATACTGCAAAGACCATTTTTAAAGTTACAAAAAATGATGATGTTTTTAAAGTGTAGTGGTTTGATAATAGGGCTCAAGTGGGAAGAAAGGAAATACCCTTTATTTGGGCCTTCCAGAGATTTTGCCAAACCCTGGGTGAGAGCAGTGTTTCATTTCCTGATTCCTACCACCTGTCCACTTATTCACTGCACATTTACTACATGGTCTCTTTGCCATTCTTAATCTGGACTCAAAAGTCAAATAATAGAAATCAGAGGGAAATATGTGTGGACTTCGTTCTATAAAGATAGTTCTTTTACAAAAATAGGCAGAGGATTTGAGGGACAAGGAAGAGGAAGAAGATGATAAAAAGGAAAAGGGAGAATCCATTACTATATCAAAGATACTTCCTCTTTTAAAATGATTAGATAAAATGTTTGACTGACGTGGTTTGATGACTATTTTGAATATGTAGGTTTTAATGAAAGATTATGTGGTTATAATTTTTAGAAGACAGTCAAATCCGTTTCCCCCAAATCTGTTTTGTCTGTCAGTTTTCAAAAAGTGAGAAGTCTTTATCTGAAAGGTTTAGTTTAGTTGCTCAGGCCAAAAATCTTGCAGTCATCCTTGAATTCTTTCTCCCATACACCACATCCAGCCTTCAGAATATGTCTGGATTCTGACTACTTCCTTCTGCGTCCACTGTAACCTCTCTAATCCAGTCTGCTGTCATTTTTTCTGACTGGCATTTCCGCTTCCACCCTTGCCCCTCCCAGTCCAGTGTCTACAAAGCAGCCAGTACCATCTTGTAAAATGGGTGCCTGTTTATGCAGCTCCTTTGCTCAGTACCTTCCACTGGTTTCCCATCTTACTGTCGTCAGAACCCTTACCGTGCCCTGCGAGGCCTTTTGTGGTTTGTACCACTTCCTGCCTTTTCTGTCAGCCCAACGATTCATCCTCTTGCTCACTCTTTGCTACATTGACCTCTTGAACATTCATGAATGCACGACACTAGCTCTCCTGAAAGCCTTTCTACTTGCCATTCCCTTTGTTTGAAGTGAAAACCTCCATCCCCCAAATATCCACATGGCTAGCTCCTCATTTTTTTTTCAGATCTTTGCTCAGAGTTCGCTTTTATTAGAGAAACCTTTCTTGACCACCTCCTACCTTGCTACTCTCTGTGTCTCTTGCCTGCTTTTTTCTCATTGGACCTATTGTTTATTTACTTGATTTTTGCTTGTCTTCCCCACTAGACTGTGAGCTCCATGAGCAAGAGCAGAGAATGGGTTTGTTTTGTTCACTGTGATATCCCTAGTGCCTAGAATAACTCCTGGCATGTAGTAGGTGCTCATTAAGCTTTTGTCAAATATGAATGAATAAATAATGGAATATATGTATGTATATACTTCTGATATTTTACCAGTAAACTAAGTTGGTTTACTTTTTAAATGAAAGTACTATAAAAGGATAAGAAATCATTATACTAATTTAATAGAATCTGACAGCTTTTATAATGATTTCTATTCAATACATTTTATGCTGGTTTCATGAACATTAACAAATTATAGGAGGCCTTATATTTTCTGCAATCATAATTTTTTTTTTTTTTTTTTTTTTTTTGAGATGGAGACTCACTCTGTCGCCAAGCTGGAGTGCAGTGGCACGATCTCGGCTCACTGCAAACTCCAACTCCCTGGTTCAAGTGATTCTCCTGCCTTAGCCTCCCGAGCAGCTGGGACTATAGGCATGCACACCATGCCTGGCTAATTTTTGTATTTTTAGTAGAGATGGGGTTTTACCAGGTTGGCCAGGATGGTCTCGATCTCCTGACCTTGTGATCCGCCCGCCTCGGCCCCACAAAGTGCTGGGATTACAGGCGTGAGCCACCACGCTGGCCTGTAATCATAATTTTTTTTAGGAGAAGCCTGCTGAGATTTTTTTATTTTATTTTTGTTTTTAAAGAGAGAATTTGAATACCTACTTAGTACTTCTCTTCTGGAGAGTGCTCTCCTTTGAATATGGCCTGATGCCCGCAGGGTGTGCCCCGTACAGCCACTGACTGCCCCACACTGGCATCTTCCCTGGGCTTCACGCCCCTGAATTTTTGGTTCCTAAAGAGACATTTAATGCGCTCCTATTCTGGTTTCTAATGAGAGAGTTTTAAGTTCTTAAGTCTAGGATGAAAAGGAGGAGTGTGTTTGTAGCAGCCTTCTTTCATGAAATGAAAGAATTGAAGAATTTCTCTGATTTGGGAATTATAGTTCTCTGCTTGGCAATCCTCCATCCCTCTACCCATGTCCTAAACAAAAGGTTTCCTATATTTATGTGTAGTTACTTGTCACTTTGGCCATCATTTTTTTTTTTCTCTAGGAAGTTACAGTTTCTAACTTAAAGTTTACTATGTGTCAAGAGTTATAAAAGATGGTCTTGTAGAAACTAAGGCAATTAGAAAACTAAAACTCTAAAAGAAGAAAGGATGTTCAAAATGATTTTTAAATTGCATTTAACAAATGAAGTATCTCCTCCTTTAATCCTAGAGCCTCAAGAAGGGTTTGAAAGGAAGAATTGTAGAGAGACATTTCCATGCTTGAAAATATCAAGCATGATTTTGGCAGAAATCACAGCATAGGAAGATACTAGATTCTTGGGCAGTGAGATGTTTGCTGGTTTGGTATTTTATCTCTGGCAGTTGTTGCCACATTTGATGTCTTCAGCTGCTTTGAAGATTCTGCAAAAGAAAATTATTCATTTCTAACATTAAAAATTCATTATGTTGTCAATGGATTCATGTTGTGATCTGTTTATAGCCTTCTGTAGTTTTTTTCTCTTCTTCCTTCCTTTTTTTTTTTTTTTTTTTTTTTTTTGCGATTTATGCTCCAGATTGTAGAAACTATAGACTAACCTACTACACAGGCACAATGTTGTAATAAAAGAGCACTTGACTGTAAAATCAGAAGACTTGGCAAGTCACCTACCCCCTGGGAGCCTCCGTTTCCCCGTGGATAAATGGGATAGTGGCTATCTTGCAGGGTTGTTGCGAATATTAAATGACAGGAAATATTATACATGACAATTCTTGGAAAACAACTGCGCAAATGCAAAGGGCTATCATTGTTAATAACTATTTGAAGGCTCTGATTTCTTAATATCTAGAGAAATTGATAAAAATTCCAATTGTGGAGAATTCAGTTCTTCCAAAGCTTTTGATAGACATGTGGTGTGTTTTTATTATTTTTTTCATAGTACACTAGGAACAACGTAAAGTTTCTTTCAGCCAGTATGTAATTGACTGTCTTTTAAATATGTGGCCATAATAATATCCTGCTTTAATGTGAATGCATAGTAAGGCGGTCTGTTGGGGGAAATACAGACATGAACAAGGCAGTCTTATAAAACAGCAAAGGAGGCAAAATAGATGCACATAATTAAGTTGTTTGATCAGTACCATGTTAGAGTTACAAAATCAATGGGAACACAGAGGGCGGAATGAGTTATTCCAATTTGTTGACTGGGGAAAGGCTTTATATTATGTAATACCTAGAGTGTAGGTGATTTTGTTTTTTTCTTTCTGCTGAGTCCAGTGTTGTTTTATGCCACCTATTTGGGTGGCTAACTTCCAGAAAAGCATTCTTTTTTACCCACTGGGTGTCTCTGAGTCAGTAAATGATCATAATGCTTTTTGTGCAACTACCAAGTCTAGGATCATCTACTGAGTCTGTGAATTGTAGAATAGAGAGAGGTGGTTCCCGCCTTCAAGGTACTTCTGGGCTAGTAGGGTGCTAAATAGAGATTGATGGGCTGGATGGACCTGGTGGCCCATGGCTGTAATCCCAGCGCTTTGGGAGGCCGAGGCAGGTGGATCACTTGAGGCCAGGAATTCGAGACCAGCCTGGCCAACGTGGCATAACCTCTGCCTCTACTAAAAAAAAAACAGAGATGGATAGGCATGTTATCATTACAAATGCATAAAATCTTTAATATTAAATTGCTGTGATTGGGGAGAGGCTGAACATGGATCATAGTGGCCACATGGAATGTAGGGTGGGCGGGCCGGGCACGGTGTCTCACACCTGCAATCCCAGCACTTTGGAAGGCCAAGGCATGGAGATCGTCTGAGGTCAGGAGTTCAAGACCAGCCTTGCCAACATGGCAAAACTGCATCTGTACTAAAAATACCAAAAATAAAAAATAATAAAACAAAGTTAGCCAGGTGTGGTGGCACACACCTTTAGTCCCAGCTACTCGGGAGGCTGAGGCAGGAGAATCACTTGAACCCGGGAGATGGAGGTTGCAATGAGCCAAGATTGCATCACTGCACTCCAGCCTGGGCAACAGAGCAAGACTCTGTCTAAAAAAAAAAAAAAGAAAGAAAGTGGGGTGTCCCACTCAATTGTCTCACCACAGGTCCATGCTATGGAAATTAAAGTCATCCAGCAGGATCTCCGAATTATCTCTCATATTGCTGACTTCTGAGCAGATAGCCCCTATTTTGCTATTTCTGATAAACATTCCATCCAGCTTTTGTGTTTGTTTGTTATGTCTGTGTTTTCAAACGTTCTTTTAATATGGGTTACTTGTGTGGTACTCTGATTTTTTTTTTTTTTAATAGAGTCTCACTCTGTTGCCCAGGCTGGAGTGCAGTGGTGCAATCTCGGCTCACTGCAACCTCCACCTCCCAAGTTCAGGCAATTCTCTGCCTCAGCCTCCTGAGTAGCTGGGATTACAGGCGCCCGCCACCACACCCAGCTACTTTTTGTATTTTTCATAGAGATGGGGTTTCACCATCTTGGCCAGGCTGGTCTTGAACTCCTGACCTTGTGATCCACTTGCCTCAGGCTCCCAAAGTGCTGGGATTACAGGCATGAGCCACCGTGCCCGGCCAGTACTCTGATTTTTTGTTGTTACTGTTTTGTTTTGAAACTGAGTCTCACTCTGTCACCCAGGCTGGAGTGCAGTGGCGCGAACTCTGCTTACTACAACCTCCGCCTCCCAGGTTCAAGCGATTTTTCTGCCTTAGCCTCCCTAGTAGCTGGAATTACAGGCGTGAGCCACCATGCCTGGCTAATTTTTGTATTTTTAGTAGAGACGTGGTTTCACCATGTTGGCCAAGCTGGTCTTGAACTCCTGACCTCAAATGATCCACCCACCTCGGTCTCCCAAAGTGCTGGGTTTACAGGCATGAGCCACAACGCCCTGCAGGTACTCAGATATTTTTAAGCTGTGAATATGAGAAAATGCGCCTTCAGTGATTAAGAGAGCATGGGGTGAGTAGGGGCACCTGCAGTGATGAAGCACGAAAGCCTAGAAGCCAGCAATTAGAAATTTTCAAAATTTAGACTGGCCAGTAAACAAAGCATCAACCAAAGTTTAAAGTTAGGCTTGGCTGGCTCTTAGGGACAAAACTTGGAAAGTGGGCTCATGGTTACAGTGACAGAGATGCTGGAGTAAGGAATGTAGATGGCACTCCCATCCATACAGAGTCTGTGGTCACCGGAAGTGTGCCTAGCCATATGACTTAACATGGGCTGGGAATTTCTTTTTCTTATCTTTCTTTTTTGGGGGGTGTTGCGGGGAGACAGTCTCATTCTGTTGCTCAGCTTGGAATGCAGTGGTCCAATCACAACTCACCGCAGCCTCCAAACTCCTGGGCTCAATTGGTTCTCCCACCTCCACCTCCTGAGTAGCTGGGACAATAGGTGCATGCCATCACGTCCAGCTAGTTTGGCTGACTTTCCTTCCCCTCCCTCCCCCCTTTCCCTCTTCCCTTTCCTTTTTTGTTTCTTTTGGGTTTTGCCATGTTGCCCAGGCTGGTCTGGGCTGAAGCGATCTCCTCACCTCAGCCCCTCAAAGTGCTGAGATGACAGACATGAGCCTCTGCTTTTGGCAGGAAATTCTATTCTTTCCATTTTTGTCATAGTCTCGAGGGATATAGAATTAAGTATTTACTTCCATTGCCTCATTCGTTCATCAGACATTTATTAAGCACATAGTTTTCCTACTCATTTCTGGGACATTACTTCATCGACAGAGAGTTGACATCTTTTAGCAGTTGCTTACCTGTGAAAAGGTAGGGACTACCTTTAATTAGGGATTCTAGGGAAGAACTTGTGCCCATTCACAGAGATGATCTTCTTGCCTTTCATTTGTTGATTTTTATGTATTTTATCCTTCAGACCAGGCATATCAGTAATAACAGCACTGTATTTCCGCCTGGTAGCTCACCAAAGCTTCAAGGATGTTATGCAGAATCCTTAGCCGGGAACGTGGCCGTTTACCAGGAAGACAGATCTTTGGGCAATTGACTCACCCGGCTTCCAGATATAATTTGAGTTCCCTTTTCCCACAGTGAGTTGTAGGTAATATTATGAACACACGATTTTCAGGGCAGGCAGATATGTATTTTGAGCTGATGAGTCAAGACATATTTATTGCTAGTGTAAGAGGGATGAGGCTCCGTAGTTGACAGCTGCAATTTAGAGGAGTAGTTTTGGTTGGCCGGTTAGCATGGAGCATTGGTGTTCCCTGATCTGTGCTCCTTTTGCCCACCTGGTTTAATGCTGTTGGTCCCTGACTGTGATTCATCCTTGAGTTCTTTCTTTGCTGCATGGTGGCTCAGAGATCAGTTTAAGTCATTTAAAAATAAATAAACATTTCACACTGAATGAGTAGTTTTGCTCTTTGCATAAAGACAAGTTTCCCAAGACTTCCTGCTTGATGTGTGATGAGTTCCATTTCTAGAATTTTTAGGCGCTCTTTCATATTATAGAAATAACATCTAATAGCTTTGCTAGGAGGTGATTAATCTTCCTCCCTTTCTCCCTCCTTTCTTCTGTCTTTGTCTCTCTGTCAGTATTTCATCTACTCAGAAATGTTTATTGAGCTTCTACTTAGTGCCAGGTACTGATCACGACAGAGTTGGGGAGGCGCTGGTGCCAGTGCAGGAGAGGCCTGGGGGAAGTATAGTGGCGGATGTGAAAGGGTTCACTAACTTGTTGAGAGGGTTTGGGAAGCTTTTGGAGAGGAGATACATTTCCTCTGAGCCTTGGAGCATGGACAGATGATTGGGCAAATGGAGGATAGGCAAGGGTGGTTAGACCAAGGAAATGGCGAGGAGGCAGGAAAGAACATGGCAACTATTGGGGAGCACCGCACACTTACGACAGCTCAGGTATGGGGTGTGTGGTGAGATATGAAGTTGGAAAAAAAAATAGTTTTGACTGGATCGTGAAGAGCCTGGTGTATTGTGTCAAGAGTTTGGATTTTTTCCTGATTAGGATCATTGGGTGTTTTGTTCTGATTTTTTTGAGCTAAAATCCACATAATGTAAATTCACCATTAAATTTTTTTTTTCTCCTCACCCTTTCTTATGGTGCTGAGTAAATCCATCATTTTAACCACTTTAAAGTATACAATTCAGTGACTTTTAGTGTTTTAACAAAGTTGTGCAGCCACTGTCACTGTCTAATTTCAAAATGTTAGCAGGCATTCCTCAGCCTCTTCTTCCCTCAACCTCTGGCAACCATTCGTCTATTTTCTGTCTCTATGAATTTGCCTATTCTGGACATTTCTTATGAATGGAATCACACAGATGTGACTCTTTGTGTCTGGCATCTTTTACTTAGCATAATGCCTCAGAGTTCATCCATGTTACAGCATGTATCAATATATCATTCTTTTTATGGCTGAATAATATTCCATTGTTTGAAGAGACCGCATTTTGTTTATCCATCCATCAGGTGTTAGACTTTTGGGTTGTTTCCTCTTTTTGGCTGTTGTGAATAACATTGCCATTCATGTATCAGTTTTGGTGTGAACATGTGTTCTCAGTTTGTGTGGCTATATACTGAGGAGCATAATTGCTGAATCATGTGATAATTGTATGTTTAACTTCTGAAGGAACTGAAAAACTTTCCCAAGTCATTGGAGATTTTTAAGACAGATCAAAACAGACTCATTTCATTTTAACATCAAACACTTTAGCACAGTATTTTCTTTCGATGCTAACTATTTCTACTTCTGTTGGCATGTTTTCCTAATTCAGGGCATCACAGCCCTCAGCAGGGAACCATGTCGGGCCCTTTTAAATGCTATGGATTGATTGCTATAAAGAAATCTGTACCCAATAGCATAGGATAGGACAGAAAGAAGTGGTGTCAGGACATTCTCTCTCCCTGTATGGTGTATTTCAGAAATGAGTTTTTCTTTTCTAAACAGAACCCCTGATTAGATGATAGGCTACTATTAGGGAATTTATTATACTTATAAACAGTACTTGGATTCCCTGTAATTTGTTATAATTAATGCAAGAGTTCAAGAGCAGAAAGCAAGGATCAGGTCGTGGCATGTCTTTCTCTTTTGCAACACCTTGCTATCATTGGCTTTTTTTCACTAGTTAAGGCCTGTGTGTGTCTTTGTATGCATTTAAACAAATATTATCCTTTTTAGGAAATAATTGCAATCCTTTGGCTCATTGAAACTGAAGGAATCTTATTAAGAAGTTGGGTGTCTCTGGCAAAATAGGGTATTTATTGATCAATGAATGTTGAAAACTTCTAGACTTGAACGTTTGCCAAGAAAATCTTGTCTGTGTTTGGGTATATGCACATGCTTTTCTTCTCATGCATGTACATGTATTAGCTTATAGTATGAAAAAGCCTAGAAGAAAAACTTTCCCTTTTAAGGGTATCTTTGCTAGAGTTTTAGTTGTAGCTTTTCCTTTTGTTTGTTTGTGTTTTCCCCCTCCCTATGGGGTTATTTCAGTTTTGCATAGTTGCAGGAGTATTCGCTTTGTAGTTTGTTAGACAGTGCAGACTTTTAATTGACTGTCAACTTGAACAGTCATTAAATGTAAAAGCTTTTAGATAGTGCATGGGTCAGGTACCAAACGCATTATTAGACTTTAATAGTCATAAACTGAAATTCTTCTCAAGAGTTTTGAGGATAGAGGGATGGAGGGAGGGAGGCATTCAGGTTTATCTGGTTGCATGCCTGCATACATAGTATTTATCTGGTCCTGGCAGACAGAGAACAGCATGGGCCACCCTGTCCTTTATCTGGATTTACAGCTGTGAACACCCGCTGGAATGGATGGAATGTGTTGGTTCCTTCCTATGGGTATCTCTGTCAATCTAAGATTTTAAATTATTCCCCTTTGCTCTCCTGTACCCCAGGACTCTAGGACTACTTGTCTCTTTTCCCTCTTTTTTTTGTCTTTTATAGTAGAGAAACGTTTCCATTTGCAGAATATAACATCAGCCAGAAACCAATGCTGTCTGGCACTTTGGTACATGCTGCACTTGGGAGAACTGGGTTCCAGTACATTCTAGCAAGATTCCTCTGATATTGCTAGTTATGAAGAAAGTTTTCTAGTGAGGAAAGCACATTTTAAGTCTTACCCTGCTCTTCATAACAGTGACAGGACAATTTGTCTTTCCGGGTCCTGGTCTGGTCCTCCACTCCAGTAGTTTTATGGAAAGGCTTCAAAAAGTGAGGAATTTAAGGATGGCCCCTCTCTCCAAATTGTCACATCCCTACTGACCGTGCCTATGGGGAGAGATAAGTTGGTTTAACTAAATTTGAACTCTAGAGGAGGGAAGAGCAGACCAGGAGCCGTGTGTGATGATAATGATTCTGCAGGTTGGTAGTTACAGCTTACAGAGTGCTTTCACTAACCTGTTTTTCAAATTAGGAAAGAAAGTTTTCTTTCTTACTCAGACCTCCTTGAGAGTAGGGGGAGAAGGAGTAATGAATAGTTGATATGTGCTATTAAATTTGGATAACATTTTTTATGATCGATAATATAGAAGCTGCTCAGTGCAAACAAGTAAACGCCTGTGTGTGATACTGACGATGAATTGCATTTTACTTTTTAAAAATCTGCATTTAGAAATATATACACATAAGGGCCCAGTTTGTACCTGCTGTTGGACATAGCCACTCCTTCCAGATGGGAGCCTACAATCAGAAACTCTGGTCTGTAGATTTTACTTCTATCCCTCCATCCTTCTTCGAAAATTAACATGTAGTTAAAATGTATAACTCAGTCTTCTTTCCCTTCCTTCTATCTCTGGGGCAGAAAAGTGAAATATCTCAGAGGCTGCTGCCAGGAGAAAAAACAGATCTGAATAACCATTGGCCACAATATGAAACATGTCCTGTAATAGGATTTTTATGGAAAAGTTTCTCATTTCAACATTTGCCTCATATGCTGTAGCTCAGACTGTCTAAGTAGGGGTGGAGAAAAGCTTGGTGATTGAAGCCCTTCTTTAGAAGCATCATAAAAATCACCGGGTAGTGGTGTTTTATTTTCACTTTTATTTTTAGACTTCAGTGAAATTGGTGGTTTGCCCAGAATGGGCAGGGATCAGATCCTGCCTTCATCCCTGTGGTTGTTCATGCCCAGATCTGGTTGTGGCCATGTCTTTAAGGAAGCAGTATTACCTTGGACAAGTCATTCTCCTCCCTCAACACAGTTGCCTTCTCTAAGAAATGAAAGGATTGGACTGGGAATTTAAAAATCCTTCCCTTATTAAATAGCTTAGGCTCCATCATGCTGCAGTGATGTATGGCCCCCAAGCTTCTGTGGCTTTCACAAACAAAGGTTTATTTGCTGCCCACCTGACAGATCCACTGTGGGTCGTCTGAGGCTCTGTTCCCAGCTGTCTTTGCCCAGGGCTCAGGCTCACTGAGCAGCCTGCCCTCCCTGCTCACTGCAGGCCTCAGAGCAAAGGGAAGCAGAGGTGGAGAACCGGTCACTGGCTCTGGACACTTTTGCTTGGGAGCAACAATCACTTCCTGCTTCCATTCCCATTTCACTGGCCCCAAAGCTAGTCCCAGGAGTAATGAGGTAGGCAGGCATGACCCTGTTGGGAAGGCAGCAGACATTTGGAACCGTGGCAAGGGCCCTGCTCCTCCTGTCTTCACCATCCTGTGACTTACGCTGAGCATGTTGCATCCTAGGGTGGTAGTATGACCAAAATCAGATGCCAAGGCTTTAACCGTTTTACATGGCTCTCTCCTGTTTTGGGCACGTCTGCTGAACTGGACTTGGAATGAAGATTTCACTTGTGGGGAGGGGTGGGTGAAATATTTTAAAAGCAACACGTACCCGGCCTCTGAGTTCCTGGTGCCTTATTTGTAGTTCTGTGGTAATACAGCCCATGCTTTCAGAACACCACACGGACCTGCTCACTCTGAGAAGCATGAACAGAATTGCAAGTAAAACACAGTTGCAGACGTGCTGAGATAAATTCCTCATACATGAATTTAAAAGAGAGCATGAAGATCTTAGCAATTCATCTCTAAATGTTGAAGATATTGTTATGGGCTATAATTTTGAAGGGATCCTTTGATACTCTGTCAAAAGTACTGAAGGCTCTGTTGATTTGACCCAACAGGGCATTTTTTCAAACTTGATTTTTCAAACTCCTATGGGAGGAAGTGACTTGGATAAGTCACTTATTTTCTTACCATCGGATGAGGAGATTCTAGATAGATGAGGCCCCCAGAGACTAGGTCATAGCATGTTAGTTCCCAATAGATAACACTGATTATTAGGACGCCTTTTTTATTTCACCCCGACAAATCTGTATTTAATAAAAAGTTAATCTTTAAAAACAAAATTTAAAAATTTGAAAATACAAAATTTTACCTTCATTCGAGAAGCAAAATTATGTTCACCAATTCTTAGAGGCAGAGCAGAATCCTAACCTAAAACCATTCATTGGGCCTCAAGAGTCAGATGGACTATTTCCAGGTCTTTGAATATGAAAAATATTAAAAAGTTTTCCTTGTGAGCTTGGATTTTCAAAGAGGATCTCTTTGGAAAGTTGGCAAATGCTTACTTTCCTGGCATGAAAATTGTTGTTTTTTTTTTTCCTTTTCCCCTCCACCCAAAGCTATGACAGGGTGGAGTATACTTCCATGAAATTGCATGCTTCCAAAATAGAATTCACTGTTATATTTTACTACTGTTATAATTGAATCGCTAATGAGAAATAAGCAAAGAGCAGGCATTCTAGAAATAGAATTTCAACTCCTGTTGTCAAATTTAGTCATCATATTCGATAGAATTATAATATTTTATAAAACTGCCTTTTGTGCAAAATTGTACCAGCCAAACAATTTTCAAAGTGGTTTGAATTTCATTCTCGTTTCTGCAGTCTTACACAGTAGTACCCACAATCTCGTGGTAATAGCACCCTATCATTGCTGCTGTTTAGATTCTCTCCTAGTTTGGATGGCTTCCAGGAGAGAGCCCTGCTTGCTTCAGCTCCTTATTTTTATATTCCAGCAAAATCCTACACCCAACCTACATGATTAGGAATGTTCCTGGTGTTCCTTGCTAGTGGATTGTGAGTCACTGTTTCCTAGGATAGAATGGATCTGTAATAGAACTTGCTGACACATTATACAAATGGTAGCTGTAGATGAAAGTTGGAAGCAGCAGATTTTTAAGAACTAGAGCTGTTGTTTTGGTGGCAGATTAATTGGTTACTGGTCAACTCCCAAAGGTATTCTCTAATAAATAATCTTAGCTGATCATTTTCATCTCCAAGGTAACAGGTAACAAAGCTCTACCTCTGGCAGATGATGCCAGGTTAACACCTTTTCAGATGTTTTACTCCTTGGTTCTTAATCACTGAATCCTTAGATAGTACACTAGACAAAAACATGATCACAGCGATCAAAAAGATATGTGCATCCTTGTAAGGTGGAGACTGTTTTAGCACTCTCCAAGATACTACTCAGCATCTAGCAGACTTACACCCATAGAAAGTGCATGAATGATAGCTATGGGTTAAAATATCTGTTTGTCTTTCTGGCTTGGAGAGCAGCAAATAAGTCAAAACCACTCCAGAAAGATGAGAAGGAATGAATGGCATGTAGATGAGATTCAAACATTTTATAATTAGTAGGAATCAGTGAAATTTACCATTCTTTTCTACCTTGAGATTTTGCTTTTTGTTTTGCTTCGTGATTTTTTCTAGCCCATATTAGGTTTGACTAAAAAGGATTTTTAAGTAACTCCCAGTGTTTGCCCTTCTGATTTGAGTATAGGTTTTTCCCACCAAAGAGTGGTATGGCTGTCTTTATCCTGTTTAGTACACCCAAGAGGAGAGAAGAAGGACTCTACTGGAGCATGCACGGAGCCCAGTTCCTTCCCTCAAACAGGCATTGGATTGACTGATGTGTAATGATGCCTGTGACATCAACATGGTAGAGCCAGCAGTAATTAGCTCTCAGCGCCGATTGCCTCTCTCCAGGAAAGTTGGGCTTTGGTTCACTTATGGGTTCCCTTGATTGAGATGCCAAAGTGAAGTTAAAATACAGAGTTACAGTTACCAGGAGCAAAAGGATTGTTAGCATTTACCAGGAATTAATGCTAGAGAAATGTGATTGTTGTCGTTGTGACTATGTGTTGAGAGTATGGGCAAAGGAAGTGGAGTCCTGGGAAATAAACGTCTTGAGTGAGAAGTTTTCTAAATGTTTTAGGTAATTCTAAGAGGGCTATTTTATTGGTAGGGAAACAGTACACTGTATTAGCTCCTGAGGGCACTTGTCTAGTCTGAGACTTGATGTGTTTGGGCACGATTCTGTCCATCTGTACTTTGCTGGTTTGAGAATTTACTTCAGTTTCGAAAGTTGCATCAGATTAGATTTTTCTGATTCACAGATGTGTAAGGTGAAAACTGTATTTGATTTTTTAGTGGAATTACAAATTATTTGGCCTGTTTGTGATCTGCCTTACCGAACTTTTGAGTTTGAAAGGTGATGTGTTTCTAGAATGCATTCAGGAACGCACACTGTTGAGTGTAGCTTTGGCAGTCGTGTTGTCGTGGGTCTCCAGGTGTGCAAAAGTATTTTCATTCTCGGATTCTGTTATGAGGACCTGGTCCTTATCAGTGGTTTATCCCGCTGGCCTACAAATAAGTGATGTGATGAGAATCCTCTCAAGCTCAGAATGAACAGGATGTGGCACCTGCTACATCAAACAAAGATAAACACAGGCAGAGGTCACTTTCCATCTTTTATAGAAATGACCTTTATCAGCATCACAGGCATGTCCTGCTGTGTACACAAGGTTTTACATCTAGAGGCATCTGTGTTGTGGGAATATATTCCAAGTATGTGTTTTTAAGGTTGTTTGTTCCTCTATTCCCATGAACAGATATCAGTATTACCTGCAAGTCAAAAAAGATGTGCTTGAAGGGCGATTACGATGTACATTGGACCAGGTGATTCGGCTAGCCGGCCTAGCTGTGCAAGGTAAGACATAGTTATGAGCAGCATGTGAAATTCCATTTTCTGTTTGATCATGGTGTTGCTGGCCTCTCAGAGTGAGAAGTTAGATTTACTTAAATGATCCCTTAGTAATGCTCCCTTTTTATTTCAAGTTATCTTACGTGAAAAATGCAAAGTTAGTGATTTTTGGTGGCTGGGTGGTAGATTTCTCAAAGCTGTTTGCAAACTGCTCATGCTTGTATAATTACAGTTTTATATGAGGAAATAGCAGCTTTTATTCTGCCTTTAATTAAGGCTACATTTCAGGGTTTGTGGAACATTTTCTCAGAATTATTCCAAGGCACAATGTGGTCATATTCTGTAGCTTGATGCTGCAAAGGTGTTACTATCACAACTTCTTTGAGTGTGATAGCTTTAAACATTATAGTATAATGCATTCTAATGCAATTAAAGAGGTAGATTTAAAATCCATGATTGTAACATGAAACAACAAATGTGTATTGGACTGAATTTATCTTTCAATCCATCCTATAAAGGTTTATATTACATAGCTGTTTTTTGCCTTCTCTAAATTGTTATGTGTGGGACTTTATATGTATATTTTATACATTATGGTTTATTGAGTGGTGGCTTAACTGCCTTCAGTTATACTGAAAGCAAGATAGGCCATATTGAAAGCAAGATAGGCCAGCGCGGTGGCTCATGCCTGTAATCCCAGCACTTTGGGAGGTCGAGGCAGGTGAATCACTGGAAGTCAGGAGTTCGAGACCAGCCTGGCCAACATGGTAAAACCTTGTCTCTAATAAAAATACAAGAATTAGCCAAGCATGGTGGCACACGCCTGTAATTCCAGCTACTCAGGAGGCTGGAGCACGAGAATCGCTTGAACGTGGGAGGTGGAGGTTACAGTGAGCTGAGGTCACACCACCACACTCCAGCCTGGGTGACAAAGCTAGACTCTGTCTCAAAAAGTAAAAATTAAAAACATTTTTTTAAAAAAGCAAGAAGATGGTAATATAGTTTTTGAAAAGAAACTTTTCCTTTTAGTCATTTTCTTGAAAACCAGCTTATCTGCAAGTGTGAGCCAGCCAGCAGCTGGGTTCTTCCTGCATGGACTGTTGTTTTAGAAGGTGTGAACTGACTTCCCATCCCAAACACTGGGCTGAATTGAATCATCTCAGATTTAAGTGTCTGAAGAGGCAGCCCTTCTCCTGACCTCTTTCATTCTGAAGTATTAACAACTTAACAATTTCTGTTAGAAGTGTAATTTCTATACAGTTAGCTTCTGTTGTAATTCTGTGGATGGAAACAGGCAAAATCTGATGTATCACCTCTGTCTGCTTAAAGACTGGAGGGGAAGAAACAATGGCCAGTTATGATAGAGAAATCAGAGGTAGCATTGTTGAAATAATGGAGAAGATCAATATGTCCCTCATTGTCAAATTGGGTCTTTCTTCTTTTAAAAAGCTTTCGTTGGGCTGGGTGTGGTGGCTTATGCCTATAATCCCAGCACTTTGGGAGGCCAAGGCAAGAGGATTACTTGAAACCAGGAGTTTGAGACCACCCTGGGCAACAAAACGAGACTCTGTCTCTACGAAAAAAGTAAAAATAAAAAATTAGCCCAGTATGGTGTTGTGCACCTATAGTCCCAGCTACTCAGGAGACTGAGGTGGGAGGATCGCCTGAGTCCAGGAGTTTGAGGCTGCAGTGGGCTATGATCAATTCACTACACCCCAGCCCAGATGACAAAGCAAGACCCTGTCTCTAAAAAAGTAAATAAATAAATAAAAAGCTTTGTTTACTGCATGTACTCTTTCCTCTCACTACTCAATCATTAGGCTTATTGTGGGCATCCTGGATATTGGAGGATCCTCGAGGAATTTGGTGAACTTACTCTGGATTCCCTTTTTGTTGGGTCCTTGAAGCTAGCTGTTCAGTCTGATGAAACCTTCTCTAACTAATCCTTTTCAAATAACTTTTTTTTGAGAACGCTTATTGCATTTTTAGAAAGATACATCAACAGAAATATAAGTTGTGGTGGAATGTGATAACCAATTATTGAACTTGGAAATAGGCAGAGTGAGTGATGTTTGCTATTCTTGAATGCTGCACCTAATTGGTAATTTGTTACATGCTGAGTTTGTAGGTTGACGTTTATTTTTTACCTTCTAGCAACTTCTCAACATTGGTGCATGGTGTGTGTATCCTCTCATCCTATATCTCTTGTTACCTTAAAGATACCTGGATCCATTTCTATCTGATGCTAAATATTTTACATGAAATTAAAATTTCATTCAAGTTTAGTTTTTAGGAGAGCAAGCAAGATAAGAAGCAAGACTTTATATATTTCATTTTGCATGTGCTCAAACTGTACCACGGTGACATGAAAACAGGGAAAACAGAATTTTTGGCATCTTGTAACATGTGAAGTTATTTAGAAGGTGTAAAGATATTTGAGGTTGCTTGCCAAGGGTGATTTACAGTGGGAATTTCCAGCTGCATATATATGAAAAGATGCAGATGGGTTTGGCTCTTCAGTTCTCCAGATTAACCTTGAGTTAAAAAGTCCTCTTGGCAGATATTCTTAAGATATGAATTGATGCATATTTAACAAACAGATAGATATAGGTTTGTTTAAAATTTTTTAAATGGCCTTTAGGAATTGTTTTCAAATTTCTTCATTATTTCTAAAAATTCATGTAGTGGTGCTTACATGCTGATATTTACCATATTGTTAGATAAAAGTAACTATGTCAAACATATCTTGGCACTATTTTTATTTAATAATAGTGAGAAATAGGATGAAATGTGAAGAATAATGTAGTGATGAGTTTGCCCTATTTTATTCCATCTTTAATTTCATATAATAAATACTGCCCTTCCATCTTCTTTTCTTCTCAGCTGATTTTGGAGACTATAATCAGTTTGATTCTCAAGATTTCCTCAGAGAGTATGTGCTATTTCCTATGGTAAGTGTAATTTCATTTTTCTTAATTAATTTTCTACCTTCTTTGGACATTTAGTTCTTTCCTTTGAAAATTTCAGGATTTTACATATGCATATTCCCTGGGGAAAAAGTCGATGGGTTTATAAAGTAGGGGCAAGTTTTATAAAACACACTGAGAAGGTAAAAATGCCTTCTTCTGCCTCAAGACACTTCCCTAATTTCTTTTTCAGATAGTTTCTTATTAGTATATAAAAATGCTACTGATTTTTCTATGCTGATTTTGTAACCTGAAACTTTACTAAATTTGTTTCTCAGTTCTATCAGTTTTTTTGTGGAATCTTTAGGGTTTTCTACATATAAGATCATGTCATCATCAAGCACAGTTTTACTTCTTCCTTTCCCATTTGGCTGCTTTTTATTTCTCTTGCCTAATTGCTCTGGCTAGGACTTCCAGTACTATGTTTAATAGAAGTAGTGAGAGTTGGCAGAAAACAATCCCATTTACAATAGCATTAAAAAAAAATACCTAGGAGTAAATTTAACTGAGGAGGTGAAAATTCTGTATGCTGGAAACTATAAAACATTGATGAAAGAAATTTAAGATGACACAAATGGAAAGATACCCCATCTTCGTGGATTGGAAGAATCAATATTGTTAAAATGTCTGCCAAAAGTAATCTACAAATTAATGCAATCCCTATCAAAATTCCAACATCATTCTTCATGGAAATAGAAAACAATCCTAAAATTCATTTGGAGTCACCAAAGACCCCAAATAGCCCAAGTAATTTTGAGCAAAAGAACTAAGCAGGAGATACCACACTACCTTATTTCAAACTGTATATCAAAGCTATAGTAATTAAAACAATATGGGACTAGCAAAAAAATAGGCACAATGACCAATGGAAAAGAATAGAACACCCAGAAGTAAATCACACACATCTAAAACCAATAGATTTTTCAACAGAGGGGCCAAGAACACACTGGTGAAAGGGCAGTATATTCAGCAATTGGTGCTGGGAAAACTGGCCATCTACATGCAGAGGACTGAATTTGGATCCTTATCTCACCCTTTGTACAAAAGTAAATTCAAAATGTATTAAAGACTTAAATGTGGCCAGGCGCGGTGGCTCACGCCCATAATCTCAGCACTTTGGGAGGCCTAGGCGGCCGGATCACAAGGTCAAAAGGTGGAGACCATCCTGGACAATATGGTGAAACCCCATCTCTACTAAAACTACAAAAATTATCTGGGCTTGGTGGCACACACCTCTAGTCCCAGCTACTCAGGAGGCTGAGGCAGGAGAATCGCTTGAACCCCTGGTGGAGGTTGCAGTGAGCCGAGATTGTGCCACTGCACTCCAGCCTGGCCACAAAGCAAGACTTTGTCTCAAAAAAAAAAAAAGAAAAAAAAAAGACTTAAATGTAAGACCTGAAAGTATAAAACACTAGAAGAAAACATGGGGGAAAAGCTACATGACATTGGTCTGGGCAGCGATTTCTTGCATATGACCCCAAAAACATAGGCAACAAAAGTAAAAATAAATAAATGAGATTGTATCAAACTAAAAAGCTTCTGTGCAACAAAGGAAACAACAGATATAAAGAGACAACCCACACATTGAAAGAAAATATTTGCAAATTATACATCAGATAAGGGGCTCAAAATATATAAGGAACTCAAACTACTCAACAAGAAAACAAATAGCCCTATTAAAAAAATGGTCAAGGGACCTGAATAGACATTTCTCAAAAGAAATATACAGAAGGCCAACAGACATATGAAAAATGCCCAGCATCACTAATCATCAGGGAAATGCAAATTGAAACCACGATGAAACACCACCTCATACCTGTTGGATTGGCTGTTATCAAAAAGATGAACAATAACAAGTGTTATTGAGTATGAGGAGTAAAGTCTTACTGAGCATGAGGAGTATTGAGCATGAGGAGTAAAGTCTTACTGAGCATGAGGAGTATTGAGCATGAGGAGTAAAAGATAACAAGTGTTACTGAGCATGAGGAGTAAAGGAGGTATAACTTCCAGCCATTTTGGAAAACAGTGTAGAGGTTCCTTGAAAAATTAAAAATAGAACTACCATATAATCCAGCAGTCTCACTTCTGGGTATATATCTAAAGAAAATGAAATGGTATGTCAAAGAGATGTCTACACTCCCATGATCATTGCCACATTATTCATAATTGCCAAGATATGGAAACAACCTAAGTTCTCACTAGCAGATCAATGGGTAAAAATGGTGTATACTCACAATGGAATACTATTTGGCCTTAGAACAGAATTTTGTCATTTGCCATAAGATGGATGAATGTAGAGTACATTATGCTAAGTGAAAAATCCAGGCACAGAAAGACAAATACTGCCCAATCTCACTTGTATGTGGAATCAAAAGAAGTTGAACTTATAGATGTAGAGAGTGGAATGGTGGTTACCAAAGCTGAGTGCTGGGTGGAAGGAGGAAATGTTGATCAAAGGGTACAAAGTTAGGAATAAGTTCTGGTGATTTGCTGCACAGCAAGGTGACTATCGTTGATAATAATGTGTATTTCAAAATTGCTAAAAGAGTAGATTTTAAATGTTCTCACCACAAAGAAATGATAATTATAAGAGATGATGGATATGTTAATTAGACTAACTTGCCAATTCCACAATATATACATGTGTCACAACATCACATTGTACTATAAATAGATGCAATTATTATTTGTCAATAGAATTAAAGTTTTGTTTTGTTTTAACAAAAAAGACATTTCCCTGCTTTGCTTCCCTCTCTCTCATTTACTCTCTACCCTCTGGCACGCTGGCTCTTTTTTTTTCTGAACGTACTGAGCTTCTCCTCACCCCAGAGCCTTTGTAGGTGGGTTTCCTCTGCCTGGAATGTCCTGCTCCAGATCTTTATGACATTCAGGTCTCAATTCAAATATTACTTCCCAGAGAGCTCTTCCTTTCCTTAACCACCTGTCTCATACACCCTCACCATCCTTCCTGTTAAATCAGTTTTCGTATGTGTAGTTCTGTATCTGGCGTTATTCATTCTTATGTATGTACATATGTATGTATTTATTATTGTCAGCTAGATGGTCAGTTCTATGGTCTTTAAACAGGGACCCTGTCTTCTTCACTGTCATCTGGCACACAGCCTGTGCTCACAAACATTTTAGAATGAATCAATAGAGTAAAATGCCCATTCCTGGGTTGAAGTAAAGATAAGACTAGGTTTTAACCCCTGGGGAATTTTTGTTGGTTGGTTTGTTGGTTGGTTGGTGGGTAGCTTCAGAGTAAAAGAGAAGAGTGTTAATGAGGAGGGATTAAAAAATTTTGAAAGCCATTTTAGGGAACAGCTCTAACCAATCAACATTCTGGCTCTGGTTTCAGAAATCATGATCATTCACTACTTATTTTTTCCGTCAACTCTTTCACCCCAAGCACTGACCTGGGGGACTAACACCCAGGGGATGAAATTATATAAGAAATGGTGCTTGTTTTCAAGGAGACTACAGTGTGGTTGGTTAAATAGGAAGTTTGCAAAATCAGAATAAAAAGCCAAGTGTGATAAAGTGTGATCAAAATTTTATATGGGGAGAGGTCACATGCCCTTGGGGGATTAGGGAAGGCTGAAAGACTAATGGCATGTGTGCTGTTAGGCAAAAAGATAGGGAGCAAGGAATGATTTAGACAGAGAGAGAAGGAGCAGAGGCAGTGTGGCCTGGGTGTTCAGAAAGCATCCACTGGCTGGTTTGACTGTAGCTACGGGTGGAGAGTTGTGGCAGATGAGACTGGAAACTTCTGAGGAGTTAGAATGCATGGGCTCCTTTGAGTTCTGCAGACCCCACACTTTGAGAACTGCTGGATTCAAGCTGGTCAGCTGGGAATCTTGTTGTGTTCTGGGCAAAGGATATAATTTAGGTGTTAGTGAAAGAAAAACAAGAAAGCAAAGCAAGGGATATTTTGAAGTAAAATAGGCAAAATCTGGCAACTTATCAGTGATGGCATATGGGAGAAAGTAGAGTGTCTGGTGACAAAGGTTTTAGGTTTTGAGAGACTGGGATAGGTAAGTCTGGAATTATCCATATTAGTGCATGAGGTCAGTCTAAATTGGTCCAAAGCTAATCTTGGTCTTAATGGTTAGGGAATATTGCACATCTCTAACTTTTCATGAATAACTCCATTCATTCTTTTTTTTTTTTTTTGAGACAGAGTTTCACTCTTGTTGCCAGGCTGGAGTGCAATGGCACCATCTCAGCTCACTACAACCTCAGCCTCCTGAGTAGCTGGGATTACAGATGCCCACCACCATGCCCAGCTAATTTTTTGTATTTTTAGTAGAGACGGGGGGTTTCACCATGTTGGCCAGACTGGTCTTGAACTCCTAACCTCAGGTGATCCACCCGCCTCAGCCTCCCAAAGTGCTGGGATTACAGGCGTGAGCCACTGTGTCCAGCCTCCATTCTTATTTTATTTCCCTCCAAGTAAACAGTGGTATTATCTGCTGTGCCTGCTGTTTTCATACCTTATTAATTCTACTCATTAAATGAAACTCCAGAGATTAACATATTACTTAACAGAGCAGTTCTTCTTAGGGCTTAATGTCAATATGCTTGAGTCAACATTTCTAATGTCTCAGAAGCTCATCCCAAAAGTCAGGGTGTTTCCCAGCGTGCTTGGTGGGAGGGAAGTGAGGCTCAAACCTTAGAATTTTAGAGTGTGTACATGTTTGTGTCAAATGGGGTAGTTGGTATTGGAGGGTTGATAATTTCCTATTTCTTATTCGCCTTACTCTCATTAAAGGCCTTTATTACGTTGCCTTTAGGAAGAGATCAGGTTTGGGTGCTTCTCAGAGTTTTCAAAGGTGATTACCAGCATGATATTTATGAGTTTGTAAATGGTAAAATGCTCTGACAGGTTAAAGTGCTATGAAGTAGTAAAGGAGTTATTTCGTGCATCATACCTCTTTCAGAATGAGACTGTGTTTCCACTAAACTCTAGGCAAATCAGATATGTAAACAGCATAAACTTCATAAATCTCATCATTGGACAGACAGATATTGACATTGTTATTCTTGGATCTAAAATGGCTCTCTTCAGGGTGGTAGCTGCTAGCCATGTGTGGATATTTATATTCAAATTTAAATTAATGCAAGTTAAATAAAATTAAAAATTTAGTTGCTAGATTGCATTGGCTACTTTTTTTTTTCTTTTTTTTTTTTCAGACAATCTCGCTCTGTCACCCAGGCTGGAGTGCGGTGGCGCAATCTCAGCTCACTGCAACCTCCGCCTCCTGGGTTCAAGCGATTCTCCTGCCTCAGCTTCCTAAGTCCCTCCTGTGACAACAGGCATGTGCCACCATGCCTGGCTAATTTTTGTATTTTTAGTAGAGATGGAGTTTCACCATGTTGGCTAGGCTGGTCTCAAACTCTTGGCCTCAAGTGATCTTCCCTCCTTGGCCTCCCAAAGTGCCGGTATTACAGGCTGAGCCACTGCAACGGCCTTGGCTACATTTTTAGTGCACCATAGCCGCATGTGTCTAGAGGCTACTGTATTGGAAAGCTCAGATATGGAACACTTTCGTCATCCCAAAAAGTCCTGTGGGATGCTGAAGATGATGTGGCAGAAGCCTTATCCGAGTTGTGAATATTCCTAGGCTTTAGTTATCAGCTGTCCACTTTCAGCCCCTGCCCCTGCCCCATTGTATCCTGGGTGCACTGTGACCTGTGGTTGGCAATCTCGTGGCACCTTTGCTAGGCAGTGCTGTGACCCTATCCCAGCTGTGCCTCTTATTGGCTATATGACTTTGGGCAAGTTTTTTAACCTTTCCAACCCTCAGTTTTCTCATCTAAAAATGAGAATAACAAGCCTAATTTCGTTGTAAGCATTAAAAGACATAATACATTGTGAAATACCTAGTATGAAATACATAATACAAGTTGCCACATGGTAAATTCTCAATAACTGTTTATTTAGTTGTCATATTATTATTGTTATTAGCACTATTATTCTGTCTCTATGTCTTGCAAATATAAGACCGTTGAAGAGTGTGTTTTCCAGGTAACATCACTCTATGCTTTTTTTTTTTTTTGGATTTTGTTATGTGAGCAGACAGAGTGCAGGCAGAAGGTACAAGTGATTGTTAATCAGCTCTGTGTAATTAAACTTTTGTTTGACAATATGAAATTTACATGTCGCATAGTGAGTTCAGTTCAAGAAGCATGTATTGATCACTTACTATATATTTAGCCCTTATAAGCTGTCATTGCACAAAAGCCCTATGATAGGCCCCTTAAGTGATATGAAGAAGAATTGCTGCCCTCGAGGAGCCTGTACTCTGATAGAGGGTGGGAGACAAGGATCAAGGATAAGACGAGTATACACATAACTGTGTAAGAAATGCAGTAGGCAGAATACGAGAAGAGACACGCACAAGGGGAAGAGGTAGTTCAAAAGGCGAAAATGCTTACGTCCAGCTGGGGAGAGAGGAGAGCCCTATTGAGGGAAGTGGTAGCTGAGACAGGACGTAAGGATGATGTGGCATTTCACACTGCATGACGTTATGGGATGGTTCTCCCAGAGGGGATGGGCATGTAAAGGCCCATCCTTTCCGAATGGAAATGTAAAAGCAGTGTGTGTTAGAAGAGGTGTCGGCCTGGGGCTTGACCTCTTGGGCAAGGAGGTCTGGAAGGGGAAGCTGAGTCACATTGAAGAATGGTCTGCATGCCAGGCCCAGGTGTTGACCTTGCTGAGTAGGCCGGGGGTAGTCTTAGAAGGGTGTAAACTTTTTCCTTGGTTCCACTGGAGCTTTCAAAGAGAATGCATTCCTTTGGTGGGGGAGGGAAGATAGGATGAATGGCTGTGTTTGATCTTATGAAGTAATTGAATTTGTTAAATGGCATTTCTTCAGCAGAGAAAAGAACAAAGTCAAGTACACAAGGCGCTCCACAGGTGTGTGGCTGTGTACAGGCATGCATTCTGCCATTTTTCATTCCCACAGGGCCATGCTCGCACTCTCCCTGGCAGGGCACATACCTCAGGGAGGCCCCAGGTGCAGATGGAGGCGGTTAAGTTGAGAACAATAGCAGAGGGGGTACCTTTGGGCTTCTTTTTAAAAGTAGGAAACGGAGATTTAATGGAACACTTTTTGATCTTCACTTTATTTTATATTCTGTTGCCACATGCCCTTCATTAGCTTTTCAAAATTAATGGGGTTTTTACTCAATACCTGGATGCACATACATAGCTAACTTTCTAAGCCTTGTGATATCTTTGTTACTCCACAACATGAAACTAAAAATGTTGAGCTTATTTCCTATCACGGACTTGAGTCATTTCAATGGATGGCTAAACAGGAAACCGCAAATTAATCAGTTATGTGAAAAGTAAGAGCTGCCATAATTCCCCGTCTGCTCTAAAGTCTCTCGTGAACTCTAGAATTAGCAGGATGTGCAGAGCTATAGAATTTTTAGCATACATTTATGTCTGTGCTTTCCAGTTTTAAAATATATTGATTTTTCAGATTTTAATGATTTGAGATGGGATGTTTTTCACAGTTTTGAGGTGTACATTTTTAGGGGTAGTGTTTTCATCCATGTAAAGTTAAGTTGGAGATGAATCTTTATATAAGTGGTATTTTAGAATCAAAGGAATGGGGCGTTTGGTATGATTTCTGCCAAAACATCAGTCCCTACCTCCCATCCTAGTAGGATGAGCTTCAGGTACCCATCAGGGTGTAGCTCAGAGTTCCTTCTGACATCTGCTCTGGAGGTCACAGGAAAATGGTGCCCATCTGTGACCCTCTTGGTGCTTACTAGCCTGGAATATGTGGGACCTGCTGCCCAGGAAAGCTAGAGGCAGCTGGCTTGGGGCTTGAGCCCCAGGCCACCACAGGCATGAGACAAACTCTAGAATCTCTACCTCTATCAATTTCTCAAGAATGCATTGCTTCGGTCTGCTTATTTTGGATTATTCCTCTTGATTCCATCTCACCATCCTAAGCAGTGCTTCCCTGGCCAGTGTTTAGCAAGCCTATTTCTGTGATGTAAATCCTCCCACTGTGGTGTTACGGAAGGGTAGTTGGGAAAAGATGTGTGTAATCAGTTCTTCTGAGCCCATAGTAGTCAGCACATCACAGGTTCCAGGGGCCTGGGGTTCAGCTGGTAGAGATGCTGACTAGTCAGCTACGCAACTGTTGCCTTACAGAGCTCTCTGGAGATGTTTTAGCCGTCATGGCTTCCTCTGCCCCCGTGACCATCAAGTAACATCAGAATGAGCCTACTCTGCCTTCAGTGGTTTTGAATTCGTTTCCTGGTATACAGAAAGGCCTGGCACAGTCCCTTCCTAGGCTCAACTTTTGAAGGGATGATGGCCTGGAAACTCATTGGCCTATACCCCAATCATTAGAAATATGTAAGCACACGCAAAGCATTTTTTATAAACGTACATCTGAGAGGCAGGCGGATAGGGAAGAATGAATGAAAAGAGCTATTCCCTGGCACCACAGAACTTACGCGGCAACCCAAAATATGCCTGGAAATAACCTGTTATAATGGAGAGCCGTGTTATAACAGTAGAAATCATAACTCAGTTCTAAAAATTACAACCTTTAATTCTACAGCAGTAAAGGAGATATTGAGGAAATGTGACTAATCAGGAACATCTGAGGAAGGGAGCTTTAAGATTTGCAAGCAAAATAGCAAATGCCCACACCCTCATGTGACCTTAAGCACTTTCTATTCTTATAGGATTTGGCCCTGGAAGAGGCTGTTCTGGAGGAGCTGACCCAGAAGGTAGCCCAAGAACACAAAGCCCACAGGTAAGGCAGGCAGAGGGTAAGGGGCTGCCTGCACAACAGATGTTTACAGCCCATGGGGCAGGAGGCATCCATCTCCCTATCAGCAACTCTGGGCTTGAGCCAACACACTTGTATTTATTCCACCACGTGACTCAGCTCTGTACTTCCGTTCTGCAAAAGTGAATGTCCACTTGAAAACTGCTCCGTTCCTTCCTTCCCTCCCTCCCTTCCTTCCTTCCTTCCTTCCTTCCTTCCTTCCTTCCTTCCTTCCTTAGAGAATCTGGGAAGCCTGAGACAGCCTGTGCTGAGAGAGTGAAGACCTAAAGTGCTGTGTTGGGTGGTAGGCAGGTGAAGGAAAGAAAAAGAGAGAAACTTTAATTCAAGGAAGCACCAGGAGTTTGATATCGAGGCCTATGCAGTGATCCTAAGTTCTCTCATCGTGGCTTTTTTTTTTTTTTTTTTTTTTGACAGAGTCTCGCTCTGTCACCCAGGCTGGAGTGCAGTGGTGCGATCTCGGTCCACTGCAACCTCCACCTCCGGGGTTCAAGCAATTCTCATGCCTCAGACTCTCGAGTAGCTGGGATTACAGGCACATGCACCACCACACCCAGCTAATTTTTGTATTTTTAGTGGAGATGGGGTTTCACCATGTGGGCCAGGCTGATCTCAAATGCCTGACCTCAAGTGATCTGCCTGCCTCGGCCTCCCAAAGTGCTGGGATTATAGGCATGAGCCACGGCCATTTGACTCCCAAAATATTATCCTCATGATAAACTTTTTCCTTTTTTTTTTTAATAATGAAGATTTCTCCCAGATGGGAGAAAAATAACTTCTTTTTAAAGTAGGCAACATATTCGAAGGGATGTCTGGAATAATGATTTCATGTTTACAGGGCTGTGGCTCTTAATTAAATACTTTACCTTCCTCTTATTATTCGCTGTTAAGTAAAAGGCTACTGGGAAAGATGTCAATGAATTACTTAGTAATGCACCCTACCCTCACAGTTGGGTAATGATTGCTCTTCCCAGAAACTAGAGCTAAACCACAGCTCTGGAATTTGCCATCAGGAGAGTGGGATCTTCCACTGGCTGCCCTTAACCATTTCTTCCTTTGATGCTATTTTGATTTTAGTGGAATCCTGCCAGCAGAAGCTGAACTGATGTACATCAATGAAGTTGAACGTTTGGATGGATTTGGACAGGAAATCTTCCCTGTAAAGGTAATATGCTGTGCCCTGTGCTGGCTTTAACCTTCTCAGACCGGTACTGGCATTTGGAAAACCATTGTTGATAGCAGTGGGCCAGAATGGCTTGGCCTTCTTTTTGCTATGCAGCCTTAGTTGGCAAGTCCAATTTATTATAGATAAACAAATGCTTTTTCTTAACCAAGACGTTTTGAAGTTTGCCATGGTCCTCAGCAGAATAGTTCAATAAGACAGTCCATCTAAGTGAGTACCAAGCATCAGCCAATCCGGCACCTTGGAGGTATCAAGGCTGATATCCAGCCTTATAACAGGACAAGTAGCCAATGTCATGTGTAACATTAATGAAGACTCTAGTCAGTAGTTTTCTTATTCTCTTTTTCTCTTCATTGAGCCAATACAGGGATAATCGTTTGTGAGGTAGAATGAAACGTTTCTTGTATACAATCATGCTTTATTTCTCCAGCTTTATAGGGCCCTCCCCTGTGGGTTCCTAGCCCCTTTGGTGTTTTATGGAAGCTATGCCTCGGAAACTGCTATAGCACATCACATCCTTTGCAGCACATCCACCTCCTGAAGTGGGTGTGGTTGGGGGGGTCATGGATCATAGTCATTTATAGAGCTGAGCCCATCATCCAAACTCATTTTCCACTCTCTGTTGACCAACTTTACAAAAAATGGAGATTTATCAGAAACCTAAAGCAACTGGCACATTTCAGCAATTTGGGAGATGCCTGCAATTTCAGCACAAACATTTCACTCCAGACTAGCTCCACTGGCTGTTTTATAAGTGTTCAGTTCCCCCTCTGTTGCACGTTTGCAATTTGCCTTAATGAGAACTGCCCATGTGCATCAAGTAGAATCGAGCAGGGTGGCCGCAGCTTTCAGAAAGGGCTAAATGGCTCTTTTTTAGATTTGTTTAATTTTCTTTTGCTTCTCTAATAGCTGCCCTTCATAGGGTTGTAATCCATTTTCCTTGCCATAATGCCTTATGAAGCCATCTGCATCCCACTTACATTTCTGCAGCCCATATATAGTCATATTTTGGGTCATTGAAAAATCAGAGTAAACTTTTCTCTGCTTCTAGAAAACTGACTTCTCAATCTCTGGAAGTTGGAGGTTTTGTTGTGGCAATTTGCTTGTGTTGTTTTTTAATGTGGACTGCGAGAAACAGGGGCAGTTGAGGTCATGTTGAAATCTGCTGTGGTTGGTTCTGATGTGCTTTCTAGTATGTTCTTTCTTTAGTGGGACCAACAGGGTTATAATACCTTCCTCTGAGTTGGAAGATAGGCGCTTCTGACTTATTGCCAAGCTCGGGTAACTGAGCTGGACTGCCTCTTTTTCTTCTCTTTCCCCCCACATATGTGTGCATATCTAAGGTGACCACCTATAGACCGCATGATTCCTGGTGACTCAAGGATGAGGGTGGGAGCAACAGTACCAGTGGGGGGTGGTAATGTGGTCAGCTCTGCAATAAGTGAAAAAGCAGACAAGAAAATATGCAGGGAAAGACTGTGAGTAGGACTGGAGTCTCTTTTGATTGGTACAGGTTCTTATTGACAAAAAGCATGTCATGATATATCCTAGGAAAAATACTTGAATTTAGCATGAACTTTTCCGTGAGTGGTTCCTCAAAAATTTTCAAGAGTAGAACAGCAGTGGACTGGCAGATGCAGATGTTGTACAGGAAGAAGAACCCCCTGCTCAAAATACTATCCAGTGAGCCTCAGGATATATTTTTTTTTAAATTTTGCTTCCTTGAAGGAGTAAGATACTTACAAAAAGATGCATCTAGAAAACAAAAATAAACTCTGAAATTTAAAATGTGATATCAGAAGTGTACAACCTAATAGACAGGTTAGAAGATAAAACTGAGAAAGTCTCACCAAAAAACAAAGTAATGGTAAGTCGGGGACAGGAGATAAAAGAATTAGAGGACCTGTCCAGGATGTCCAATATTTGAATAATGGGAGTTCTAAAAAGAGTGAACAAGGGAAACAAAAGGTAATTATTCGAGAAAATATCCCTGCACTGAAGAATGGGAGTTTCTGCACTGAAAGGGCCAGAGATGGTAGCTGCAAAGAGACACATCGAGAGCTTTAAGAGGTGAAAGTTTTGGCCTCTGTGCAGAGGAAGTGGTAGGGACAGGTCTCCTCTTGGCTTCCTTTAAACAAGCCCTGAAGAATATTCAACTCTTCAAATTATTGCATGTATAACGATTTAAAAAACAAAAACTTTGGTAAGGTTGAAAAATAAAAGACATCAATAGATGTTCATGAAAGAGAAAATCCAAATGCCAATGAATCTGAGAAAATCCAGAGATTGTCTCTTAAACTGGACATGTGTTGTGACAAATTGAGAAAAAAGGAAAAAAATATCTATCTCTCTATCTATATAGTCCACTAGGATGTGTGGTGGGTGAGTTCCTGTAGGACCTGACCCCGCCGACACAGCTGGTCACCTTATTGCTGTGATGTTGTCTATGATTTATTCTACTCATGGGTGAGAAATGGGATGTGATGCCTGTGGGTTTTGAAATAACGTGTATATTGTGGAGTGGCTAAATCAAACCAGTTAACATATGCGTTACTTCACATATTTCTTTGTGGTTAGAACACTTAAAATTTACTCCTTTAGGCCGGGCACGGTGGCTCACGCCTGTAATCCCAGCACTTTGGGAGTCCGAGGCGGGTGGATCACGAGGTCAAGAGATCGAGACCATCCTGGCCAACATGGTGAAACCCTGTCTCTACTAAAAATATAAAAATTAGCCAGGTGTGGTGGCATGCACCTGTAGTCCCAGCCACTCAGGAGGCTGAGGCAGGAGAATCGCTTGAACCTGCTGGGAGGTGGAGGTTGCAGTTAGCCGGGATCACGCCACTGCACCCCAGCCTGGCAACAGAGTGAGACTACGTCTCAAAAAAAAAAAAAATTTACTCTTTTAGTGATTTCAAGAATACAGTACATTGTTGCCGGGCACAGTGGCTCACACCTGTAATCCCAACACTTTGGGAGGCCGAGGATGGAGGATCACTAGCCTGGGCAGCATAGCAAGACCCTGTCTGTAAAAAAAAAAAAAAAAAAAAAAATTAGCAGGGCATGGTGGTGCATGCTTGTAGTCCCAGCTACTTGGGAGACTAAGGTAGGAGGATTGTCTGAGCCCAGGAGGTCAAGGCTGCAGTGAGCCAAAATTGTGCCACTGCTCTCCACCCTGGGCAACAGTGAGACCTTGTTTCAAAACAAACAAACAACAACAAACACCAATATATTGTTACTAACTATGCTATGGTCACAATGATACCTTGAACTTAGTCCTCCTGTCTAACAAGGCTTGATTTCCTTTGACCATCATCTCCCCATTCCTCCCATTCTCCAGCCTCTGGTAACCACCATTATACTCTATCCTTCTATGAGTTCAGTTTTTTAGATTCCATGTGTAAGTGAGAACACGTGTTATTTGCTTTCTGTACCTGGCTTATTTCATTTAGCATTGTGTTCTCCAATTCCATCTGTATTGTGGCAAATGCCAATTTTATTCTGTTTTAAGGCTGAATGGTACTCCCTTGTACACACATGTACCACGTTTTCTTTATCCATTCATCTGTGGATGGACACTCAGGTCGATTCCATATCTTAGCTATTGTGAATAATGTTGCAGTGAACATGGGTCATCACAAGTATCTTTTGTTGGTCTTACCCAGGACAATCATGGAAACTGTGTACACCTTGGCATTTTCTTTATGGGGATTTTCGTGAGGAACAGAATTGGAAGACAAGCGGTAATATACAGGTAGTCTTATTTGTTTGTTTTTCTTTTTTCTTTTTTACCTTGAGGAACTGTAATGTTAATGTTACATTAACATCCAAATGAGTTAAGAGCCAAACTGTGGATAAGATTTGACTTCTCTCAGCTCATATAAGGTGAGCCCTCTGCAGGATTTAAGCAGTTAAATTCATCTCACTTTTCGTAGAAACCCATCCCACCTGATTCCAGGAACTACATTGTTGAACTCTATTGAGTTAGAAGGATGAAACTAAACTTCGTGAGTCTGGTTGAAAACTGGCTCTCCAGTCAGTCATTAACTCTAAACACTTCTTTCCATTGTTCTGAACCACCTGTGCCACAAGAGTGCCAACTGATTTTTATGTGAACAAAAGGTGATTAGTTTTAAAAATGTGTTTTGAAAAAGCAATCTATTTATTATGATGAATTAGGGGGCTTTGGTACTTTTCATTATTTTGACACTTCAGTCCTCTTTTCCATTTATCAGGAATGGCACCAGTGTAGAGATGCAGCCATCTCCCCCCTGCATTTCATGTCAGTATGCTTGCTTTGTATTGGTGCCCATAGATTTTATCATAATGCCAATGATCTGAAAAACTGTGTTCTAGCTTTCATTTACAAGGGCAACATGGCCCATGATTGGAAGAACAGCTTTCTTGTATGTGTGTCTGAGGCGGATCTGTGTATCCAGGGCACACTATCAAAGATAGCTCTTGGAGGCAAGCATAGCCCACCTTCTGGAAGTGACTCTTAACTGGCCATGTACTCTCTGGATCAGTAACCACAGCAGGTCATTTTGAGACAGTTTTCTAACCAAAAGCTTCCTGGTAGGCTTTTATTTTCCTAGATCCCCAGTCTGTCATTGTTTTTATGATATTCTCTTGCTCTCTGAATAGAGACATTATTGAAGCAGGAGTGACAAGAGAGATCTTTCAGGCTATAGAATAAATTTTTTGACTTTTGGACTTACTGTCAGCTCCATATATCTGCCACAAAGTATAAATTAATTGAGGAAAATATGTAAATATGTGCAGAGTTGTAACTATAAATTTTTATACCCATTCAAAGCTATCCAGGCATTGAGTCCTACCAGTTCTTCATAGTTAAATCAATGTTTCAGTTTCTGTTTGAACCTACAGCACAGCAGAGAAGTAAACAAGTCTTGCACACCAGCTACTGAAGTGAAATAGAAGAAAATTGCAATTTGGAAATTTCATGAGCATAAGCCACTCACAGGTTTTGCTTAGTTTCCTTAGAAACTGCTTCCAGACCTTTTCATTTATCTTGAAACCACTACAAGATGAGAATTCACATCTACTGTAGTGTCATGTTAATTATACCACTAGATGAAGTCATGTGGCGGGGCTCCGAGTATATCTAGGATTTCAGCAGTTGATTTGAAGGAATGAGGCCAGAGGAAACCAAATATCTCTTATCTCTAGAGACCTTCACTAAGGAGCATGTAGCTATGAGTCCACGTAGATGTAATCTGATAGAACTGTAGGTTGTGAAGCAAGCTGGGTGCAGCACTATTAGAGAGTATTGCCCCAGCAGAGGTACCTAAAAACATTTAGTACTGGTATAAGGGAATGATGACTGGAGGAAAGGCTGGAAACCCCAGGTAAAGAGCTCATCCATCCTTGACATAGAGAGTAAACATGCTAAGTCAGGTACTTATTTGTGTCTATATTGCCTCATTTTTAAAGTAGGAGCAAAAATAGCTGCCATAAAGAGTTGGTGTAAGAATCGGACTCTATACAGCTAAGAGACAATATTATTGCTTTTTATTCTTCTAGCAGACATTTATTGAGTGCTCTGGGCCAGGTACTCGATTCAGTGCTTGGAACACAGAAACGAAGAAGGCAGAATCCCTGCACCGGGTATGGGGCCTGTGGTCTGCTTGGTCTCATCAGAGATCTCATCACAGAAGTAAAAATTATAATGCAATGTGGTGACCGGTAGGGGACTGCAGCAGGCTCTTCTCCTCACGTGTGGGTAGGGGGATATGATGAAGGGATTCCTAGAGAAGGTGACTCCCAGAGCTGAGTCTCAAAATTATTATCCAAACAGAGGATGGTAGAAGTATTAATGAGCAGACGCATCATATGAGTGAAAAAGCGGTGGCAGGGAATTACAGGTTGGGGCACCAGGTGAAGGGTAAAAGATGGTTAGAAATTGGTTCCAAGTAGGATGGGAAGCAGTAGCTTATCTTTCCTCATCTGGTGCTTATTTTGGTGTATCTCCTTTTAGATAAGGTCTCCATGAAGACAGGGAAGGAAACTCTGTGTGTGTGTGTGTGTGTGTGTGTGTGTGTGTGTGTGTGTGTGTGTTGTTGGGTCCCAAAGTGTAGGCACATTAGAGAGTCAATTAATTTATACTTAGTGGCAGGCATATGGAGCTGACACTAAGTCCAAAGTCAAAAAGTTTATTCTATAGCCTGAAAGATCTTTCTTGTCATTCCTGCTTCAACAGGCGTTTTTTCTTAGTGGCATCATGAATCTGTAGTGCATATTGCAATACAGAATATGTGGATTCTTCTATTTAGGTTCCTGGAAACACATGATTTTTAATAATATGTGCTCCTCCATCATTAAAAAGTGGTGGTCATGGGAAATGTTTTGTCACTTTGGAAATGTGAAAAAATGGGAGAGGGAGAAGTAAAAGTCCCTTGCAGATTTTCCTCATTGCTAGTCACAAAGAAAACTATAGTTTATAAATAGCGATGTCTAGACGTATTTTATGTAGAATTTTTAGCAATTTGAATGGATATGTGTTGCATTTTCTTTTCTCGTTTGAAAGAACATTTCACTTAAAAAATAGTTAAATCATAGTTTGTTAAATGAGACTTGATAGCAGCAAACAGCCCTCCTCTGCTGTATCATAAATGCCTGGAACATTGTTGAGTAAACACAGTGACATTTCTTCTAACCAGGTGGAATGACATGGGGAATATCACTCATAACAAGTCGACCATTCTAGTGGAGCTCATCAACAAAGAAGAGACTGCCCTCTTTCACACGGTAAGCACAACAGACAAACAGTCAGGGTCTGACAAGACACTGGCTTTTGGACTTTTCAACTCCTAATGTCCTTTCCTTGCTCTCCCTATCTTGAGATAATAAATACTCCCTTGAAGAGATGCTTTCTAATACTTGGTCAGTGCTGTCATTACTCATTCCAGGATAGTGGTGATGAAATACCCATGTTTAAAATACCAAGTTTCTGGCTCATGCCTGTAATCCCAACACTTTGGGAGGCCGAGGCCGGTGGATCACTTGAGGTCAGGAGTTTGAGACCAGCCTGGCCAATATGGCGAAACCCCATCTCTACTAAAAATACAAAAATTACCCAAGCATGGTGGTGGGCACCTGTAGTCCCAGCTACTCGGGAGGCTGAGGCAGGAGAATTGCTTGAACCCAGGAGGCAGAGGTTGCAATGAGCCAAGATTGCGCCACTGCACTCCGGCCTGGACAACAGAGCTAGACTCCATCTCACAAAATAAAATAATAAAATAAAATAAAATACCAGGTTTCCAAGCTGACTTTTGACTCTAGGACTCTGGTCCCTCCAACTGCCTTATGTGTGATGGATCACATTGTCTGGTGTGCCGCCTTCCTCAGCACTCTAGTTACAGCCCTCATCTAGTGACCCCTGATTCTATTGCATTCCATTTGCTTTTGCTGGAGGACCTAAGTTTTCTTTCCCATCATAGCCTTAGCTTAATCTGAAGTAGCTGAGGGACTGACCTCCTGTTGAGTGCCTCCTCGAGAGCCAAGGCATCTCACTGCCTCCAATTTAAGAAGTCTGGTGTTTATTCTATGCTGTGCCTTGATTCAGTTATTTATTTTGAAAGCACTTGGTCGGAAATTACATAAAGACATGCTGGTTCATCAGTGTAACCCCAGCACTTTGGGCATAGGGATTCCTTAGCAGACAGCAGGTTCTGCCACTCTTTGGCAGGCTTTGTAGGCATAGCTGCTGCTGAAATTCAGCAGGCTGGTTTACCTTGCTGGCCCATGTATTATTTTGTGCTTGAGATGAAGGTTGGAAGGGATGTGTGTCCCTCCTCAGAAGAATCTTAATGAAATGTATAACTAATTCAACAAATGTTTATTTTTTTCTCTGTCTCTTCTTTTCCAAGGATGATATCGAAAATGCCAAGTATATTTCTCGGTTGTTTGCCACACGACACAAGTTTTACAAACAAAACAAAATCTGCACTGAGTAAGTAAACATTTAATCCCCCCCGACTTGATGGCTTTGTCAGATTAAATTAATGTCCTTTTGGGGTGCTGTAGATCTCTTTTCCTATTCACTCTTTTTCCTTGTTCCTTGTAGAAGCTAATGAAGTAAGCTAAAGCCAGGGCAGGAATGAAAACTTTAATGATGAAGACTGTCTAGTGTCGTGCATATGCCTAGAGAGAGAATAATTCACAAATTGACTGTGAATGCTTGGCTGCCTGGATGGGTTGGCCCACATTAGCGCCTTTCCAACCCTCTGCTAGAAGTTTGGAGAAGCGGTGCAGTTCCCAATTTGCCAGGGTGCCCCTTCGTGTCAGACGTGGAGTGTGTTCAGAAGTGGGTAACAGAGTGACGAGCTAGCTTGAAAGAGAAGACGCTCCTGTCATCCTCAGCCCCGTGTCGCTTACACAGTTGGCTAACCCTGCGTGTGCTCCTGGGTCATGTCATCTGACTGTAAATGAGAGGCCAGGGTAATTAGAGGAAGATGTGGAAGACACTCATAGGTGTCACAAATCCGTGTGTATTTTTTTAATTTAATTTGGAAATAAAGATGATAAAGAGGCGTGTGATGAGGGCACTTAAATGCGGCCTGACCTCAGATGGAGCGTGCTGGGGCTCACTCTATCGTTGTCTTTTTCTTGGTTACCTTCAAAAGACGTTCCTCAGCTGAATACATTCAGCGGTTTGGGCGCCCAATGTGTTTAATTTTGTTTCAAAGAGCGTCAGGGTTATAAATGCAAGAGAAGAACTGCTTTTCCACTCCCACAGTGGACACATCCGAGAGTATGTAGAGTATTGTCCTAGAGCAGTTCCTGCTGAAGAACGCGGCTGCTTTATAGCTGGAGCGCCAGGTCATGGCAGACTTTTTTCTCCACACCGTGGAGGCTCTTTCAAGCCAGTCACTGCAATTGGTCACTGTCGGGGTCTGAAAGTATGTCTGACAGTATTAGGCCTACCTGCTTGGTTTGCAAATGTGAATCAGAAGAAGGCCTGATCGGGGAGTGGCAAGTGAAGCGGCTGTACGTTTCTTCTAGACACATTCTCGCATGTGCCGCACCACACCATTCTCTTGAGCAGGTTCCTGATAGGTCACTTCTGTGTATTTCTACTCTGCTGTTGCCTTTGACTTCTGGGGGTGTCTTTGACATGAACAAGAATGCTATCCTTGACTTCTGTAGGATGAATTTAAAAACTGAGAACTGGATTTTACTCTTGTCTTCTGATTTAACCACAGCTCAGCAGATGGTTTTACTATAAAATTTACGGAGTGTTTATTTTCCTTTTGTGGTCGTTTCCTTCAGTATTAGTGAACATCACATATTAGTCTGAAAACTAAGAAGAAATTCTGTTTCTCAATTCTGCTTCTGTAATAACCATTCCTTTCTTCTTCCTAACCAAGTATAAGAGGTTCCTAACCTCTTACCTGATTAAAACCTGGGGCACGCTCTCAAAATTATACTCTCTCTCGCTCTCTCTCTCTCTTTCTCTCTCTCCCCCATTAAATTCCATATGCAGTTCAGCGTCCCAGCACGATGTTATGGCCTGGGGCATCCCTCTGGAGTTCTGTGAACTGGCATAATCTTAACAGCATCCTTCTCCATGCATGCACAGCAGCATCCTTCTCCAGAGGGCGATACTCTCTGACCTCTAAAAGATCGTTATTGATTTTTCTGCTCCTGCAGAGCTGCTGCTTGTCATCTGGAGGTATAGCTCAATTGAGTGGCTCCTCAATTTCTTGTTATAGGGAGAAAAATTAGGCGGCGGTATATATAACATAGGTCTGATAATATTGTATTATTTAGCCAGTCATTTAAAAATCCACCATTGCTATATTACCTCCATCATTTCATAAAAGATATTTTATCACCAAAAAATTAGGAAGGATGAAATCTCAGAATAAGGAGAGTCCTTTAAATTGAAGAACTTACCTTAATAAAAAACTGTACATGTCCTGGGTTTTTTTTTTTTTTTTATGGTAACACTGAGAATGAGGGAAAGTATTATAGCATTTGGGACCTGTTGCTTGAAGGCGTCTTTGATTTCAACTCTAAAGAATTTGCTAATACTTCCAATTCATTTTTTAATCTCTACATTTAAAAATATGTTGCTTCTTAGTCTGGAAAATATCTGATCAATGTTTGTAAAATGTGTTATCTTAATAAAAAGTATCTTTATATGGTCACACTAAAAATATTGTATCTATTTTGTATTTTCATTTGACTGGAAGTATTTTAAAAATATTTTTTCTTGCATTTTTTTTAAAAACTGTGAAAGATTTTACATATATACAACAGTAGAAAGAGTACAATTTTTTAAAATCCATGTAATAATGGTGATATTTTTCAGTCTGGCTTATTTCCCTCAGTCTTTCTATAGAAATAAGCCTCCATTGGTTTAATATTACTTTGTAAAATTTATTCTAAAAGTATCCTTATCCGAACATTTTGAAAATAAAGAAAAACAAAGCAAATCAAGATTGTTCTTAGTGTTACCACCCAGAAATAAGCCACGTTTATGTTTTGATATAACGATTACCAGTCTTGTTTATTCTCTTCCTCTCCTTCCCTTGTCTATCTGGTCTTTTTATATCAATAATAATAACCATTCTCATTTTTTCACCTCTTCATGTAGACAGTCAAATTCTCCACCCCCCATCAGACGCCAGCCCACCTGGAGCCGATCCTCTCTGGTATGTATAGAAGCTGCAGTGATCAAGTGATCTGACTGTTGAGCATTCTTTGTTATTAATTTGAGGTGGGGGGATGATGAGGGCATCATGATGAGGTGAAATTTTGTGAGAACACAGAGGCGTCATTCTGTCAAGCAGATGCGATGGACACCCGTTTTGTCCCCCTTGGACCCATCCATGCCCACCACTACTCTAAGTGTGGCTGAGGCTGAGGGTTTACCCTGAGAGTAGGTCTTATTCCAGGCCTGTGGGACCATGTTCCATCAGCATACAGCCCATGGTGTGTTTTCATTCCCTTGCTCATCTGTTCTGGTTGTTGTGTGAAGATACATCTTCAGTTACGAGCTCCACAAATTCCTTTGTGTTCACTGCCGTAGAGAGAGCTTAATAAACTAGTGAGAAAATGCCTTCTAAATGAGCAAAAATTGAACGGATCTAGTTGATGGTCTCAGGCAGAGTATCTGATGGGGAAAATTGATTGCATATTTCCTAATTTTAGGCCTTTTAAAAAAAATCAGAATTCCAAAGCACTTCCATAATTTTAGGCTTTAATTAGCCAGCAGAGTTTGAATTGACCTAGCTTTAGCTGCTGCTTTGTTGTTTGTTTGTTTGTTTGAAGCTGCTCTCCTCATCATGTGAATAAGGAAACACAATTAATTTCAATGCATGTGTTCTGTCTTAGGCTATGTTTTATTTTGAGGATTACTCAAGGATAACAGATGTTAAGAATTGGTTTTCTTTAATGTTTTCCACTTGTTTTAACTCACAATTCTTTTATTTTAGGTCATGATTTTTTTACACAAAATCAAAATAAGCATATGACCTTTTAACTTCTCTAGATCAACAATTCTTTCAAGCTGATAGAATGCAATTGAATTTTTCTTCATATTCAGTGTATACACTATAGCATGTCTTTAACTTGTCTTTTGAAGGGAGCGTTTTGAGAAAAGTTTATTTCCTTGAAAATGCTTAGATGTGGACTCTGAATTCTTGAGTTGAGTCATTATATTATCGCAGTAATTCCTGAGTGCCTGTGTGAATATTATTTCTCTCAGTATTATGCACAATATCTCACATGTGGTCCTGGGCCCTGAAAATGTAACAGATACGTTGGGCTTTCCCCCGAGTACCAATAGATTTGTTCATGGCACTGATTTATTTATTCTTCTCCTTTATGAATGTTATCTTCCTTTTCCCTTCTTTAGAGTATAGATGTCTTTATTAGCAAAATAATTTTTCATTTACACCCTTGAAACCCTATGGGAGGCAAAGTGTTTTAAAGCTCTCTTGTGATCTTATCTTGTCCTCATTATCCAGAGAGGATGCAGAGGCTTACCTATTTTATTTGGATGAAGACAGTTTATAGGAAGTCTGATCCAATTCATGGCTTCCCCCTTTCCCCTGTCCTTTAGGTTTAAACCATTTCACCAAGAGTTTCTTACAATGAGTGAGTAAGACCAAATAACACTGTCTCTTGGCTTCCTTGCTGATAACCAGGACTTCTCATTGCTGTTTTTCACCTGCCCTCTTCTGTCTATATTTTGGCGTCAAGTTTGTTTCTCTATTAGCAGGTCTGGGAAGAAATGGAATAATGTATTAGAATATATAACGAGATGAAATAAATAATATAATCCTGAAATGATGTTTGAGGGATTAGCTATTATTGTCCTTTGACAATGCTGTTTGTGAACTGGCATAAGTCTGCTCATTTATGTCAGTTCATAAACCGTAACTTACTTATTGGTTTTTTTTAAATAAGGCAAGAAAACACAGTAAACCAATTTTGCCTTGCTGTGTATTTCTATTCCCTTGTACAAATCCCTCCCCACTGTGTTTTTCTTTAAAGCCTTAAAATGGTTGTGCTACCATGGAAAAATTTAGTTGAATTATGTATTGCCAAGAAAAGGAAAAATATTTTTAAATTGCAACTCAAAAATCAGCCAAAGGGAGACTTGGGAATATAGCACCTTTTCTTTGGTAGGCCCGAACTGCTTTCTTAGATTGATTTCAGTTCTTCATTTCTTCTGTCTTGATTCCTTTTAATTCTTGGATCCCTTTTTTTTTATTACCCCTTTGAAGATCAAGCATTGTTTGTGGCAAAGAAAATGATAGGTGAGTTATTCACCCAGCTTCAAGCTCTTGGCCAGTGCGTTTCTTCCATTGAGGGATGCTGAGAAAGTGTGACCCCTGCTGGATTTGGGTTTCTTGGTTTGATCTGAGATTCTTCTCTCAAAATAGTAACCTTTAAAATCTATAAGGCTAATAGAAATATAAGAGATTGGCTGGGCACGGTAGCTCACACCTGTAATCCCAGCACTTTGGGAGGCCAAGGTGGGTGGATCACTTGAGGTCAAGAGTTCAAGACCAGCCTGGCCAACATGGTGAAACCCCGTCTCTACTAAAAATACAAAAACTAGAAGGGCCTGGTGGCACAGCGTCTGTAATCCCAGCTACTAGGGAGGCTGAGGCATGAGAATCTCTTGAACCCGGGAGGCGGAGGTTGCAGTGAGCCGAGATTGTGCCACTGCACTCCAGCCTGGGCAATAGAGTGAGACAATGTCTCAGAAAATAAAAAAAAAAAGAAAAAAGAAATATGAGAGATTATCCTGTTCGGTGGCTTACAAACGTAAGCGTTTTGAGGGTTTTTTCCCCCGCAAATCAAAACTCTTATTTCAAACAAATTCTTACCTGGAACCTCAGTACATAAATAAAATGGAGAATGCTTGAGGTAGGGGAAGAGAGGAGCTTGATTTGACTGACGGGAAACTGAGACCGACTGAGGTTAAATGGCTTGCTCTAGATTACATTAGTGCATAACCGTCTTTCCTTTGTTGGTTCACCAAATATTTAATCCATTGAAGTTTTTTTGTTTTGTTTTGTTTTGTTTTTTTCTCTGAAAACTTGTCCCTCTTCCGCAGCATGAAGTTATTCAGGTTCAGTCTAAATAGCCATCTTTAACAGACTGTGGAAGATTCTGCACTGCGGTGGTGGGTAGACAGGGCCCTTTGCACACTTGGTTCTGCAATGGGGAAGGTCAGCAAGTGGTCTTGACAGCTACACACTCATTGTTGTGGGCCACATTTTAGATATTTAAATAGATTCACCCTGGGCTCAGCTTAACACTAACCCTGTTCCTATTTAAGGTTGATGTGGAGCTGTGAACTGGGGTCTCAGGCACAGCTATGTTGATGTGTAGGAGCTTGTGAATGGAATTTTGAGAACAAAACAGGTGTCCCCCTTATTCTCATTTCTGAGATGGGTTATAATAATTTACTTTCTCTTTCTTTCTTTCTTTCTTTTTTTTTTTTTTTTTGACGGAGTCTTGCTCTGTCGCCAGGCTGGAGTGCGGTAGCATGATCTTGGCTTACTGCAACCTCCGCCGCCCAGGTTCAACGACTCTCACGCCTCAGCCTCCCAAGTAGCTGGGACTACAGGTGCATGTCGCCACGCCCAGATAATTTTTTTCTTTTTTTCTTGGAGACGAAGTCTCAATCTGTTGCCCAACCTGAAGTGCAGTGGCACGATCATGGCTCACTGCAACCTCCAAGTCCCAGGTTCAAGTGATTCTCCTGCCTCAGCTCGCGAGTAGCTCGGACTACAGGCATGCGCCACCATGCCTGGCTAATTTTTGTATTTTTAATAGAAATGGCATTTCAATGTGTTGCCCAGGCTGGTCTTGAACTCCTGAGCTCAGTCAATCTGCCTGCCTTGAATAATTTACCTTTTCTAAAAGTTATTCTTGTGAAAGAAGGCATAGAGAACTTTGCAAATATATTAGAACATAGATAGTAAATGGTTACATTTAGTCTTTGATGGTGACCTCTTTCTCTTTCTGATCTTGAACCAACTTCATTTCTCCCTTACTGTTTCTCCAGTTCCAAACTTAGTGATGAGATGGGAGTGCAGACGGGTAGAAGAAGGTTGAGTCAAAGGGGTGGCAGGGACAGCAGCTGCCACGAGCCTCCCTTACAACGTGGCGGGACTGCCGTGTGCCTGGGCCGGCTGTGTGAGTCACCAGCCGTGTCTGCCCAGGCCTCCCCACCTCCTCTGTGTTCTCTGTTTCAGCCCAGGCAGCAGCCGTACATCCTGCCTCCCGTTCACGTCCAGTGTGGTGAGCACTACTCGGAAACGCACACCTCGCAAGGTAACTCTGGCTTGCCGTTCTCCCTTCTTAAGACAAAAAGTTGAATACCAGTAAGCAGTAAAGAAGGCTTTAAAAAAAAGATGACAGGGATGCTTTCTTTTCAACTTTGTCATCGTCTGAATGACAGTAGCTAACAGCTTCAGTTTGTGGAAGGCCTAGACTGTCAGTTACCTCTGATCAAAAAATTTCCCCAGTATTGGCTGCTCAGGGAGTCGGGGCCAAGGCAGCGAGCAAGTCCTTTTCTCCTCCCTTTCCTAAGGGAGCTTAGAGAAGAGAGTATGACAGCTCAGCCCAAGCGAATGCACTTCACCTTCATTGCCAGTATCAGAAAGCTCGTGGCAGTCACTCAGCTTTTCATGGTGACGTAGAACACGGGCATGCAGAATAATTGGAAGAAATAAACAAAGTCAGCCTTTTCTTTTAGCTGTTTTTCTCATCTCTTTCTCCAGCCCCTTTCTTGGTACACTTGCTTTTTTCTTCTCTGAGTAAGGTAAATCTGTTTTATTCCTCTCTTTCTCCCAAAACATCTCCCATGCAAAATGTGTGAAAAAGCTTCTTCTGCTAGTAATGACTCCATGATAACAACTAACATTCATAGAGCAATTGTGGTATTGCTGTAAGTACTTGCTATATATTGTCTTATGTCATCCTTAAAATAAACCTATAGGTACTATTATTATTTCTATTTTACAGTTATAGAAATTGGAATACAGAGAGATTAATGATGGAACTTATATATGAAAATCGGTAACTTGTAATCGTTATGCTAACTGCATTTCAAAAAGAGAGATGGTAGAAAACCGTGGATGTTGGAAATGTAGTAAATGGATAATATAGTTTCTACGTTATCAACTCCTGGCCATTTTGAATCCTCTGCTGTCTGAAAGTGTGAGCATGAAAACCAAGACAATCAAGACTATTTAATTTAATAAAAATAGTACTTTTTATAAGGAGACTGGCAAAGTTACCACATTTCTATGGGAAGGCGCCAAACCCCATGGGAGGTGGATAAATTGCGGCACATTTGTCTCTGTGTTCCCCCTGTTTTTTGTGCCTGTCTCATCTGATCAGATCTCTTTCCACATTCTTCCTCTTCAGACAGTTGAATGTCTTCAGTCACCTTTTCTGTTTTTCACCTTCTCTGATTTTCTGTTTCTCTGTTTTGCTCATGTTTAAATCTGTAGTGTGAAAATGAATATATTTTGGCCACAGAAAGGCAAGAGGTTGCCTTCCTTGGGGTGTGTGTGTGTGTAAGAGAACACCAGACACCTGATTGTAGAAATCAATCAGGTTGGGCCTGATTGTAGAAATCAATCAGGTTGGGCCTGATTGTAGAAATCAATCAGGTTGGGCCTGATTGTAGAAATCTGCTTTTTCTCTCTTTAGGTACCTCTTTAAACTATAATTAATTTTTACTTGAATTGACCTAAGTGATGAAACCAGATCTAGAGGGGATTTGGGGAATTACCAAAAAGAACTCTTGATTCTAATTTTGCCCTTTATTGCTGCTCAGGATGAACTAGCTGTGCGGACACCCTGGCTACATCATTTGTTTTGTGTCTTTAGAATGCCCTGCAGTCCCCTGGGTGAAGGGGCTTTTTCCATTGCCGTCAGGAAGAGCAGCTCTGAGCACTTAGTAATTGAAATCTATTGCCCTATTAAAGTTCTTGACTGTCTTGTCTAAATATTCAGTCCTATTGCCGAGCCCTGCACAAGAGGACAGGCCTCCCCAACTGGAGGGCTGTTGTTGGTGCCTGATTTCAAAGCTTATGGCAAAATTGAGAACTTCCTCAAGCGACACTTACTCCAAATGTGTGCATGCCTTCTTCCATTAGGTTCCCTTTTTCTTTTCAGTATGTCTTAAGGTGTTCTTTCTGTATGTTGGCATTTCATCCAAGATAGTATCTGTTATTCTATAGAACATGTGGGTGGAGACCATGGGATTTCACTTTTTATGATTTGTTTAAATTAAAAGTCACCTCATGAGTATGAGGATGTACTTTGTTGTGGCAGGATGGCTTGGAGGTTCACGTGCCTTTGTTTGACTTCTTGTAGACAGCATTTTTCATGGGAATGAAGAAGCCTTGTATTGCAACTCTCACAACAGCCTGGACTTAAATTATTTAAATGGCACTGTCACCAATGGCAGCGTGTGTAGCGTTCACAGCGTCAACTCCCTCAACTGCTCGCAAAGTTTCATCCAGGCCTCCCCTGTATCCTCCAACCTCAGTATCCCTGGGAGTGACATCATGCGGGCCGACTACATCCCGAGCCACCGGCACAGCGCGATCATCGTGCCCTCGTACAGGCCAACCCCCGATTATGAGACAGTCATGCGCCAGATGAAGAGGGGGATCCTGCATACAGACAGCCAGAGCCAGTCTCTGAGAAACCTCAACATTATCAACACCCATGCCTACAACCAGCCAGAGGATCTGGTGTACAGCCAACCGGAGATGCGGGAGAGGCACCCCTACACTGTCCCTTATGGGCCACAGGGGGTCTACAGCAACAAACTTGTCAGTCCATCTGACCAGAGGAACCCAAAGAATAATGTGGTACCAAGCAAGCCGGGGGCAAGCGCCATCTCGCACACGGTGAGCACCCCAGAGCTGGCCAACATGCAGCTGCAGGGCAGCCATAACTACAGCACGGCCCACATGCTTAAGAACTATCTCTTCAGGCCACCGCCCCCCTACCCACGGCCACGACCTGCCACCAGCACCCCAGACCTGGCCAGCCACCGCCACAAGTACGTCAGCGGCAGCAGCCCGGACCTGGTGACCCGGAAGGTGCAGCTCTCGGTGAAGACCTTCCAAGAGGACAGCTCTCCGGTGGTTCATCAGTCTCTCCAGGAGGTGAGCGAGCCCCTCACGGCCACCAAGCACCACGGCACTGTGAACAAGCGCCACAGCCTGGAGGTGATGAACAGCATGGTGCGGGGCATGGAGGCCATGACGCTCAAGTCGCTCCACCTCCCCATGGCTCGCCGCAACACGCTCCGGGAGCAGGGACCGCCCGAGGAGGGGTCAGGCAGCCACGAGGTCCCCCAGCTCCCTCAGTATCACCACAAGAAGACCTTCTCTGATGCCACTATGCTAATCCACAGCAGCGAGAGTGAGGAGGAGGAGGAGGAGGCTCCAGAATCGGTGCCCCAGATCCCCATGCTCCGGGAGAAGATGGAGTACAGTGCCCAGCTGCAGGCGGCCCTGGCCCGCATCCCCAACAAGCCCCCGCCTGAGTACCCCGGTCCAAGGAAGAGTGTGAGCAATGGGGCTCTGAGGCAGGACCAAGCCAGCCTTCCTCCCGCCATGGCCAGAGCCAGGGTGCTGAGGCATGGGCCAGCCAAGGCCATCAGCATGTCTCGGACTGACCCGCCGGCTGTCAACGGGGCCTCTCTCGGCCCATCCATCTCGGAACCCGACCTGACTAGTGTGAAGGAGCGGGTCAAAAAAGAGCCTGTGAAGGAGAGACCTGTGTCTGAAATGTTTTCCCTGGAAGACAGCATTATAGAGAGAGAGATGATGATCAGGGTGAGTGTCCTCCTCTCCCAGGGCATTTTCCAGTGTGAAAGCACATGCTTCAGGCACTGAGCAAGGGGCAGGGCTTATGCAGGGAACGTGGTAGGTTTTTAAGGAATCATTGAGCATTTAAAAGGTAGTACTTTATTACACAAAATGTTGAGTTTTTGCCCTTTCAGATAAATCTTCCATTCTCATTTGTGGCTTCTAACAGGTGTACTTGGTACGTTATTGAGGCCAGTGCCTCAGCCAGCATTTTGCTGTTTATTCAAAGCTCAGACTTCCAATTGGGTAAGCTGGTATTGGGGAAGTTCACCTTGCTGTGTCTTTTAGTGTTTTGTTTTCTTGAAGGAAAGCTGTCCCCCACATCCAGTTAGGTATTAAAGAGCAACATCCCTATACCGCCTTCTGTATAGATCCGTAAGTCAAGACTCACCAGTATTGTCTGGACTGTGATATGTCTAGCTTTGTATTCAGATTTTCTTTCAATAGATGTTTCACACAGATTCAAGAAAATTATAGTAATTGGATATATAACTTAGTAATTGGATAAATAATTCTCCATTGAACTTATTCTGTCAAAAATTCACACACATACGTGAATACACACATACATATATACATACATATTACCACTTGAAGATCCATCCTAGTACTAGACATGAATAGCTCTTCTTCATAATATGTACAGAGCCAGGTATGGTGGGGGACACCTGTAGTCCCAGCTACTTGGGAGGCTGAGGTAGGAAGAGCACTAGAAGCCAGGAGTATGAAGCCAGCCTGGGCAGTATAATGAGATCTTATCTCTAAAATAAAATAATAATAAAAAAAGAACCAGCCAGACATGATGGCAGGAGCCTGTAGTCCTAGCTAATCAGGAGGCTGAGGTGGGAGGATCGCTTGAGCCCAGGAATTCAAGGCTTTAGTGACCTATGATTTTGCCACTGCACTCCAGCCTGGATGACAGGACTAAACCTCATCGCTTTAAAAAAATATATTGTACAATTTGGGGAGACAGTTAAGTTGTCAGAACAGGACTATGCAGGCACATATAGAACAACGAAGTGAATCTGCTCTTACTAATGAGAAAATGTTTGGATTATAGCTACTTTAAAAAATCTCGACTGGGCACTGTGGCTCACGCCTGTAATCCCAGCACTTTGGGAGGCCGAGGTGGGCAGATCACAAGGTCAGGAGTTCAAGACCAGCCTGACCAACATGGTGAAACCCCATCAGTACTAAAAATACAAAAATTAGCCGTGTGTGGTGGCGTGCACCTGTAATCCCAGTTACTCAGGAGGGAGGCAGGAGAATCACTTGAACCCACAAGGCGGAGGTTGCTGTGAGCCGAGATGGCACCACTGCACTCCAGCCTGGATGACAGAGCAAGACCCCGTCTCAGAAAAACAAAAAAAAATCTCCATTGCTGCTTGCCATGAACATTTTCACTCCTTTAAAAAAAACCTATTAACTAGAACTAATCAAAGCCAGATTGACTTCTCTTCATTCACCATGGCTGCACCATAAGGTAGCCAAGCCTAATTTTAGGAACTCCGAAACAGTTGTAACTTAAAATTTGCTTTGATGGATTCCATTAGGCCACCTTCATTTCCAGGTCTTCCTAACCCATCACTGGGATTCAACCTGAAAAGAACAATCAAGGCCCAAAGTTTTAAGGAAGCCAAGTTCCTGGGGTCAGAAATTGAATCTGTAGCAACCTTGTTACTTTTGGAAAACCTTAAGAACATTCTCAACCTCACAGTTCTGGCCAGCCCCACTAGAGTAGTGCTAAGAGATTTTTATACAGATATGACTTTTTGCAAACCTAGAAGGAAATTGTGCAAGGTGTACCTTTGCCTCTAGCAAAGAAAACCTTTGGCTTGGAATGGAAGAAATGGGTAGGTGCTGTTGGGAGAGAGCTTTCCCAGCATGGAATAAAGCAATTTATTGGTAGAAAATGATTTTTCAATACTTCTTCCAGACCACTTAAAAGCAACATTAGCATCAAGAACCTATCAGTCTAAGCATTTAATTTAGCTATTTCCCCTGCCAACTTGATACTTAATGATGTCCACATGGTCCCATAACCTCATTTTGGTTGTATTCATCCTCTTCTCTTGTTACTCGTATTAAACAAATAGCCTGTAGCCAAAATCTTGGCATGGGTCTCCTCCTTAGAGCTCCTTGCATTATCACAAAGGAACAAGGAGATTTTCACTATTGTTTTTTCTCCAGATGCTTTTCCATTCCATTCATGTGGGTAATAATGACTAGCAAATTTTAGCCATTAACCTTTAGTTCAAGAAAATAATTACCCCATTTCTACTTCATTTTCCCTGTTGATTTTTTTTTCCCCCAAATCTGCTACACTCAGGAGCTCAAGGACACCGGCAGACCTTAGAGTTGGATTAGGAGCTGCTTCAGTGAGCCAGGAGGCCAGGCAAGGTGGTGACAATGCCAGTGGCTTTGAGCCCAAGATGAGTCTCCATCTGTTTTGTTTTTAATGCAAAAACTCACCCCATAGCCTAAGCAACATCCCCACAGGTCAGATACTTCTCTGCTCTCCTCACTATGGGCAGCTTTTGCCAGCTTGATGGGAATTCATGAGAGGTGATGGCCATTCTAAGGGCCCTCTTGATCAGAACACAATGAGAAACTTTTAGCAAAAGAAAACTCAGGGGCTGGCGGGGTGTGCAGGTATGGTGAGAATTTGCCCTCTGGGCAGCTCTCCTGGAGCTGCTTGTCTGTTTGATGGATGGTTCCGCCGCTTTTATAGCTTCTCATTCTGGCTCCTACTGCTTCCTTGAAGATACTTCCCTGCTTGTAGTCCCCTAGCCAGAAGTTGATGCACTGAGAAGAAAAGGCCCTCTGATCACAGATCAGAGCTTGTGAATTATTATTATTTTTTTTATCTCTGGTAACAAGCTGATAGGGTGAGTGAGAAGGATCAAAGAGACATACTTTGATTTATCACTGAGTAATAATCCTTTCCCGAGAAAGACAAGTTAATTACTTTTTGTCTTAGACCCAGTTAGGGTCACCTTACAGTGCAGGTGGAAAGAAAGCAGGACTGCTGAGAGGAGCTCAGGACCCATTTTTCAGGACTATTGCCTTCTCAAAACTTTGGAGAGCAGTGAAAATAGATTCCCAAGTGAAAGAGGTGGCAGAAATAAAAAAAAAGAAAGAAAAACTCTTTCTCCCCAAAACTAGCAGCAAGCAAACAAAGACCTAAAAATTTTAATCCAGAATCTTCCCCCAGGGGGTTCCCGAGAATTGAGAGACCAGGGTCATTTGTAAGAATATTATATCTTTTGGTGGTAAGTCCTTGGGTACTGTAAACCCAGAAAATCTGAGACAGGTCTCAGTTAATGTAGAAAGTTTATTCTGCCAAGGTTGAGGGTACACACCTGTCACACAGCCTCAGGAGGTCCTGATGACATGTGCCCAAGGTGGTCGGGGCATGGCTTGGTTTTATACATTTTAGGGAGACATGAGACATCAGTCAATATTGTTTCTGTCTGGAAAGGCAGGACAACTTGAAGCAAAGGCAGGAAGACTTGAAGTAGGGAGGGGGCTTCCACGTCACAGGTAGGTGAGAGGCAAATGGTTGCATTCTTTTGTTTCTGATTAGCCTCTCCAAAGGAGGCAATCAGATATGCATTTATCTCAGTGAGCAGAGGGGTGACTTTGAATAGAATGGGAGGCAGGTTTGCCCAAGCAGTGCCCAGCTTGACTTTTCCTTTTAGCTTAGTGATTTGGGGCCCAAGATATTTTCCTTTCACAGTGCTTTTCTCACTTTCTCCCAGTAACCTCCTCTGAGATACTCCTTTGGTTTGTCTGATGAGTCGGCTGCCACCAGGATAGGCATCCTGTTGTCAGTGTCACTCACACAGGCTTCATTCTGATTGTAGGTGACATTGTGGAGACACATGGAAGGGCGTCATGCAGTCCTCCCACCCGCAATTAGAATAATTCATAACCCTGTGGGATGGCTCCGTCAAGACCTCTTCCTGGGGAGTGAATTTATACATCATAGAATAAGGAAAAAAGTCTCTCAAGGCTTGAAAAGAAACCAAGGATTCAATGGCTCTTCATCTGTGTCAGTCAAATGAATCTGCAAATTGGTTGCCCTTCATTGTGAATCAAAATCCTAAACCCTGCAAAACTCATCTGCTTCTATGAGGAATGCCTGTGTTCTTCCCTTAACTTCAAAGACACACTTAATTTTAGGAAAGGCCCTTCGTGGCTTGCTTGAAGTGAGCATAAAGAGAGCTTTTTCATACTCGGTTAGTTTCAAGGACCTGAGGAAGCACAGCAGGAGGCTAAAAACCAGCCCTGCCCAATCCAATTTCAATTTAGAGGTGAGGGCAGAGAGGATGGAAATCAAAAAGCCACAAACCAGGACCAGGTGTAAACATCAAAACCTTTCCCTAAGTGGTCTGCTCAGTTCCGGAGTCCATGTTCCCCCATAGCTCAGTGGCATGCAGTGATGTCCCACCATTTGTGTTGGGAGGCACCGTCTCTGTTACTGTGGGCCCTCTGGGTGAAGCCTGGAGGGTGATGCCTGCGGATCATCTTAGGTGACCCCAGCCAGGCTTTGCTGTTAGTGAGTTTGCTAAACCACATCAGCTCTCAATTCTGGGGATGACACACCCTTAGGTATTCCAAGGATCAGAGATTAATTATAGAATTAACGTCCTCAGCATTAGCCCCTCAGGACGGAAACTTAGGAAGATTTTCCTCTACAGTTTATGTGTGTGGATCTCTCAATCAACAACAAACTGTTTTACAAGTTTTGCTCCGTTCCGTCTGTGCAGAAGGTCCGTCACTGTGATTGGATTAGATGGTTCATATAACCCTGTTTCTCTTTTCCTTGTCCTGTCATCTTTACCTTTCTAAAGTGTATCGCATGTACCCTATTTTGTTTTTGTTTTGTTTTGTTTTGCCCTATGGCAGGGTGTATTTGTAGGGAGTCTTTTTTCTTATTTATTGGTCTATCTAGCTAAGGAGTTAATTAAGAATAAAAGCTCAGGAGTCCTGTAGGAACTGGCTTCCAGGGGCCCAGTGGGAATAGTGGGAAGGCTGTGTTTGAATTTGCCCTACTGATGGTGATTGTCTGCATTCCTTGGCTGGGGAGTTACAGATTTGAGGAGATTAAAACACATTCCAACATTCTACTAGTATTATAAACAATGAGCACATGCCTTTTCTTGCCGCAAGAATCTAGAGAAGCAGAAGATGGCAGGCCTGGAGGCACAGAAGAGGCCGCTGATGTTGGCAGCATTGAATGGGCTCTCGGTGGCTCGAGTCTCAGGGCGGGAAGAGAATCGAGTTGATGCCACCCGGGTTCCCATGGACGAGAGGGTAAGTGGCAGGCTTGTCAATGTGACTCATTCTCTGTAGTCTTAGGATCCCAAAACACCCTCCTTGCCCGAATATGCCAGCATTGAGATTTGTGTGATGCATTCTTTCTTCAATCTGAGATTAGGAAGATCAGGTATAACTGTGTTGCATTAAATCAGTCCCTTTCAGCATCTCATGTTTCTCCATTCCGGTCTTCCTGCTTTGTCCGGTTGGCAGATCATTGGTTGACTAAAACCATCAGCCCCTAACATGCTGTATGACTTGGTCAAGTCACTCAATTTCTTTGGGCCCACTTCCTGTTTTGTAAAATGCACAAGTTAAACACTTGCAGTAGCTCTGAATTTCTGTGATTTTTGTGAGCAATTGCCACTTCTTAGGAAGTGATTATTTTATCCAAGCATTTATTTTTATTTTTAATTTTTTTAAACTTTTATTTTAGTTTTGGGGGCACATGTGAAGGTTTATTACATAGGTAAACACATGTCACAGGGGTTTGTTGTACGTATTATTTCATCACCCAGGTATTAAGCCCAGTACCCCATGGTTATCCTCTCTGCTCCTCTCCCTCCTTCCACCCTCCACCCTCAGGTAGGCCCCAGTGTCTGTTGTTTCCTTCTTTGTGTTCATAAATTCTTATCATTTAGCTCCCACTTATAAGTGACAACATGCAGTATTTGGTTTTCTGTTTCTGCTTTAGTTTGCTAAGGATAATAGCCTCCAGCTCCATCCATGTCTCCCGCAAAAGACATGACCTTGTATCCAAGCATTTATAGAGTTCTTTAAAAATGCTGTCCCCTCGTATGACCATAAAATGAGGCTGATTTATAATTGTCTGGATAATGCATTGTGACAACATGGGTTTTGAAAAGCAGAAAGCAGCTGCATGGTAGTGTTTCAGAAGCGAAGAAAGGTGGATCCTTAGTTCCCGAAATTGCTGTCAGAAGGTTAAGAAACAGGTTGTATAAATGTAATAAAGTACTAATAACACCAGGGTGTTCGATTTCTGCCAGTATGTATCCAGAATTAGAATGTTTTTAAAGCCAGAAGGGACTTCAGAGAAATCATTTAACCCAATTAATACCATGTTATTGGAATTAGTAGTTTGGCCAGGAAGGAGGAAAAAAGAGAGTGATTTAATCCTCAGAGCTATAGAACTGTGGACCAGTATCATCTTAAAAACAGCTATATAGGTGGAGGAAAGGATGTTTGGATAATTAAGATTAACAGTCTCTTTATCATTAGGACTTTAAACAGAGTTGTTAATAGCAAAAATATTGATTTTTGAATTTCAACTCTTGCTAGTTCTTGCAGATTTGTTCTACTTATAATATGAGTAAGAAGGAAAATGGTTATTAGACAAGGGAAAATATCAATATGGTTGATAATGAGACAAACCAAGCATTGATTGTAGAACTTGAAATCTCTTTTAACACAATCGCTAAATATTTAAAGAAATTTGGTTGTTTCATTGAGTTTTTGGATCAGATAATTTAGAGAGCTGAAGATCAATTTCTGTTGCAGTTCAGAACCCTGAAGAAGAAACTAGAAGAGGGAATGGTGTTCACAGAATATGAGCAAATTCCAAAGAAAAAGGCGAATGGCATTTTCAGCACAGCAGCTCTGCCAGAAAACGCCGAGCGCAGCCGAATCCGTGAAGTTGTCCCCTATGAGGAGAATCGAGTAGAGCTGATACCAACCAAAGAAAATAACACAGGATACATTAATGCCTCCCACATCAAGGTAAGAAGGCAAGCCTGTTAGAAGGTTTGGTAAAGATGGCTGGGTTAAAGGGAAAAATGCGGGGAGAAGAAAATGTGTGGGCTGCAGTTGTACCTTTTGGCTTGTCCCCAGACCCTCAGGGATTGTTTTTGAACTCCTGTGCTTTTCTTAGTCAAGTGGAAGGGCATGTCTATCACTGCAGAGAGAAGGAAGTCTAGCAGCCTCAGGAAGAACTTCAGGTCAGCGATTTCTGAAGCTCGCTCATTACAGAGGCTTTAACTTTTCCTTCTCTCTGTGGGCTGTAACTCTCTCTATACTCAGATTATCCTTTTCAGTTTGTAATTAGCAGGTGCTGGAGACTTTGGAAGTTACAGGTATTGCGTTACTGACATAAAAGTGTCATGTTCAATAACAATAGAAACTATTGTTTTTCCCTTATAATACTGCAGGTTATGCATTTTATAAAAGCGCGAGTCCTATTATTGCATGGTATTTAGAAGAGTGGAGTAATTTTCACCTACACTATAAAAGTGTGGTTAATATTGAATCTTGAAAGATTTGCCACATTAGTCAATGAATTTGTGTTACTAAATTTTTGTTGTTATTTCAAATACTTCAAACCTTTATATGTCAGTATTACATAGTTTAGCACTTCTGCAGTTAAAACTTTGACTTATGGATACATGTGTACCTGTAGTTAAATGTTTCTTAAATAGCTTACCTTCCTCAGAGTCCCTGTTAACAGAGGGACACTTATTTAGAATGTCACCATTTGCTCTGAACTCTGAAGTGGGAGATTTGTTCATCTATTAATGTTAAAGCCAGTGTTATAGGTGTTGTTAAATAACACAAGGTTCAATTGATAGTCCACTGTGATCAATAGCCTTAGAAACCTGTTTTCGGCCTTGTCTAGAATTACTTACTTTCCTCATTGGACTTTTCAACTGTAGCAGAATTATTAACAGGTTTTTTTAAGCCTGTAAAAGGCGAGTTAGATATCTAGCTTGTGTATCAATTATAACTAGTTTTGATACAGAATGGGAAAAGTATAGTATGGTTGGGTATATACTATTTTTATTAATATACACAGATAACCATAGTTTTTAATAATTAGAAAGTACTGTCAAAAGAAATATAAAAGAGTAACTATCATAGATCATATTACTAATTTTAACTTGGATTTTTGAGAGTGAGAAGTAAAAAGTGAACTCTAGGAAACTCTTAAATAAACTGTCAGTGGTGGGTTTCATGGGCTTAGTTTACATTATGAAACAATGACCAAAGTAATGTATTCCAACAAAGATGCAGATCACACAGCTGCTTCCTGATAGAGTGTCTATGAAAATCTTACATAGAAATATTATATTATCTTCTTCTTTTGGCCAGATCTCTTCCACTATTTTCCATCTGCTCTCTGAAAAAAGCTGTCACTTTGTATAAACTGTGCCCATCGGGCATTGTTAACCGAGGAGCATTCCCTTCCTTGGTATTCTCTGTGGCCCACATTTCATCCTGTGGATCCGGGTTAGACATGGGTGCATTTCATAGACCCGTGGACCTTGCAAGAACTTGTCCCTGTGTTTTGGAATAGAGGAGTATATTTTGCCAGTGTTTTCCCCCCTGGGTTCCAAGCAGCCGTTAACACAGAACAGAGATTTATTTGCTCCAGAGGTGGAATCACATGTGTGAAATCTACCTCAGCAGCACTGCTTGTTGTGTTTTTAATGCAGTTTTTAATACCCTTCTGTCAATACTTGGAATATACTGAAAGGCCCCAGGCAGCAGCAGCATTCTCTGGAAGTATTTATGTTTCCTATACGTTGGGTGCCAGAGAGGCTAATGTTTAAAATCACAATTCCACGGATAAACCAAACTCCTAGCCAGCAAATATATGAATGTTATCTCCCACCAGTATTTGGAAAATGGATTTTTCTTGCCAGCTTTGACCTAAACATGCCTTGTGTAATGAGACAATAACTTACATTGTTTTTGTTTGAACCAAGTTAGCATACAGTTTTATCAAATAAATGAGGGGAAAAAGTTTCAAACAATGATTACTTCATTACTTTTTGAACTCTCCAGAGATCTGCATTGTATAGATGTAGAAGGGACCTGACTTTGCAATATCAAGGCACAGACCTGGAAGGGAGAACAGAAAGAATTCCTCCAAAGGCCACCATTTCACCTTGACAGCATGACCTTTAACACTTTGGGTACAACTTCTTATTTATGGTTCTCAGCAGCTAGTATTTATAGCTGTAGAATTATCTTCCCCTGATCACCCTGAGCTGCAGGGGTAATAATTTTATTATCCAAAGTCATGTCATGACTGTAGTTCAGTTGGATGCTGTGGTACTACCAAGGTGAAGCTATTGATAAAATATATGCTGTTGACAAGAGCATTCGTAGCATCTCTGCCGTGCATGGCACCACAGAGCAGCAGTGACAGCAGAGGTTTATGATACACTTCATCTCAGATCCACAGGAGAAAGATAGTGCTCCAAAAGGGATGTTGTTTCATGATCTTTTTTTTTTTTTTTATTGTTTAATTGGATGCCATGAAGCACTGCTTTTCAAACTGGATTACAACACAGTGGTAGAATGTGAAATCAGTTTAGTGGTCATGACCAGGTGTGTGTGTGTGTGTGTGTGTGTGTGTGTGTGTGTGTGTGTGTGTGTGTTTCAATGAAATCGACTAGAAAAGAGAAAAGAATGGAAAGTGTTAGAGTACATTGCACATAGTAAGCAGTAACTATTATTTCTGTAACAAGTAAATCCTAAGTTATACATGTTCATATATATGCATCTATACATGTGTGTATGTGTATGGTTTTTAATAGGCACTAGTTTGCATATACTGTGAGTTGCAAACAAAGATCAGGTAAAGGCCAAGCCTGGTGGCTCAGGCCTGTAATCCCAGCACTTTGGGAGGCTGAGATGGGCGTATCACCTGAAGTCAGGAGTTCAAGACCAGCCTGGCCAATGTGGTGAAACGCCATCTCTACAAAAATACAAAAATTAGCCGGGCATGATGGCGAGTGCCTGTAATCCCAGCTCCTTGGGATTCTGAGACGGGAGAATTGCTTGAACCCAGGAGGCGGAGGTTGCAGTGAGCCAAGATCGTGCCACTGTACTCCCGCCTAAGCAGCAGAGCAAGACTCAGTCTCAAAAACCAGGATTAGATAAATATTTAATAGGCTTGAGTGGCAAAAAGTATTTTCATGTGAGAATGTGTCACTACACTAGCCTCTGTAGTCTCAGGGTTTTTGTTCATTGAACTAATTCATTCGGCCCCAAAAATATATCCAAGGTTTTAAGGTGGATACAGATGGACAGGTGATCAGCAGGTAATGTTGTCCGGACTTGGGGTTTATTTACCGATACTTTTCTTGGTTTTTAGGTGGTGGTTGGCGGGGCAGAATGGCACTACATAGCCACCCAGGGGCCCCTGCCACACACGTGCCACGACTTCTGGCAGATGGTGTGGGAGCAGGGAGTGAATGTGATTGCCATGGTCACTGCAGAGGAGGTAAGGGGAATGGCCTACTCCACATCCTTTTTCCCCAGGGGAAAGGGTGGCCAGAAGATGGGCTTTGTGCTGTCAACTTTGCTACCCTATCCTTCTTCCTGCAGTGCTGTTTCTCTGCACATGCTTTTCTCTTTGGTATACATCTGTTTTCTTACTTCCAGATAGATATTTTTTCCCCTGGAGATAATTGATTGTTGTAGCTTTTCCTCCTCCCATTTTCATCTGGCTTTTAACTCTTTTCCTTGGATTGTAATGCACTAAACTGAAAATAAAACAACAGAAAACCAAAAATGACAGACTTTAGTTCAACCTGCTGACTTTCTGTGCCAAACGAAAACAGTGATCTTTCCACTGGAATTTGGGAGTCTCAGGCTGCTCTGGGCAAATCGACATAGACGCCCAACTCCAGGCACCCAGCTCCACATGCCATCATCCTTATCAGCTGAAAAGAGACCAGAAGCCGTTGTTCCTGGAGAGTCCTCTGTTCTTTGGGGGAAGAAAAAATATCTTTTTCTTCTTTTGCCAAGCCAAACATAGTTTTTCTGCTGTAACTAGAGAACTCTATGTGATGTTATAAAAAACCAGCCTACACTGCCAGTCAATCCAGTCGGTGTTGAGCTTGCTGTCTTTGTGGGGAGAAGTGTTGTATTTCTTCTCTTGTCACATTCTCAAAATTTCTTTAACCACCTTCTTTTATTTCTTTCATTAAATTCCAATTTATGTTTTGAAATCATTCAAGGGACTAGTTTCATGTGTGTTTACCAATATCCATGGTATTGCAGTGGCCTTTCCTAGCTATGTTAAAGGGGTCAGGAACAAAGAAAATTGGGGAGGAAAAAGTCATATTTTCCTTCATTGACTGTGTTGAGCATTTGCTTCTCAGCACAGTCCATTAGAAGAAAATAATGAAAGGGACATCAGGCTCTTTAAAGCCAGTTGTACTTCCCTGGGCTGACCTGTTTGACCTTCCCACAAAGAGAATGAATCCTCCTTAAAGCTTCTAGAATAGATTTATCACCTTATCAGCTCACACCATTGCAAGGCATTCATTCACCTAAATACAGCATACCATCTGTGCTAACTTCAGGAGTACACGGTAAACGAGACAGGCACCATCCCTGTCCCCATAGAGCTTATGTCCTAGTGGGAGGGACATTCAAAAGTGAACAGATAAAATCAGTGCAGATAGCAGTAAGTGCCGTGGCAGAAATGGAAAACTATAGTCCAGAGTGGGTCTGGGTGAGTACAGGTCCTCCTGCCTCATCCCTCCTCCTCTTTGTGTGGGTTTCAGCTGCAAAACTGTCATTCACGCTAGGGGACTCCTACTAAAGGGTGGCTTCACGATGTGCAACCCTGAGCTCCAGGCTCTGTATCATGTTGCACACTTGCTGGAAGGCTGGAAGTAAAAACCTTATTAATAGTAGCATAAATTCAAGGGAGAAAATTTTTAAAAATGGAAAAAGGGTTAAGAAAGAGAGTGACTGGGGTCTACTTTAGATCAGGGGGGTGGCCAAGGACCCTCTGAGGGAGTGGCATTGGAGGTGAGACCGGAGTGACAAGGAGCCAGCCTTGCCAAGACAAAGTAGCATCTAGTAATCTGTGGGACAGCTGGGGACTTATAGTCTTTTAAAATCCATAACTGATTTAGACACTCAGCAGAAATGTAAATTCGAGGTAAATCTGCTTTCACAGGATTGGTAAATAAAAGAGGAAGGTATGCTTCCAATTTAAGGAGACTCAATTAAACCAAATGAAGCCAGGCAAGGTAATTTACATATTCCGCAAAGATGTGTTGCTTTACAAGTGGGCTTTACAAGAGGAACTCTAATGTTCCTGTAAACAGCCATCAGGGTTCCCAGAGCCTGTCACCACTGCAGCTGTATGTGTTCAGTGCTCCTTCTCTCTCACCACCTACTCCTTGCCCTGAATCTCCTCAGCTACCACCTCCTCCACACTCCGCCCCTTCTCCAGAGATTTTAAAACGGTGCAAAGCTGAAACATAGACCTTGTGTAAATGGTTGAGAATACATATTCTCAGAAAAGTTTATAAAATCAAGGGAGAAAGAATGGTGATGTAAGCAGCTGTTCTCAGTTCTAGTTGTAGATTGAACTAAAACGCATTGGTCAGGCTGAAACAAATGTGAAATCGACACTAGATAAAGACAGCATCGGTAGTCAGTGTGCTGTAACAGAAAGAGCTGTGCGCTGAACATCCGAAAGGAGTAACGTGACCTACAGCGATTGCTGGAACCCCTTCCCGCCTTGTTTAAAACCTTTGAATGACTTCCCGTGCCCATGGGATGAAATCCAAACTTTCCACCATGGACTGTGAGGCCTTTCCAGTCTCCTCTCTGATCGCCTGGCCCCTCACATGTCACACTCCAGCCACCCCGAAGACCTTCGTTTCTTTTTTCTTTTTTTTTTTTTTTTGAGATGGAATCTCCCCTCTGTTGCCCAGGCTGGGGTGCAGTGGCGTGATCTTGGCTCACTGCAAGCTCCGCCTCCCGGGTTTATGCCATTCTCCTGCCTCAGCCTCCCCAGCAGCTGGGACTACAGGCACCCGCCACCGCGCCTGGCTAATTGTTTGTATTTTTAGTAGAGATGGGGTTTCACCATGTTAGCCAGGATGGTCTCGATCTCCTGACCTTGTGATCCACGCGCCTTGGCCTCCCAAAGTGCTGCGATTACAGGCGTGAGCCGCCACGCCCGGCTGACCTTTGTTTCTTGAATGCACGAAGCTTGTTCCTGCTTCTAGACTGCACTTGCACTTCTCTCTAACATTCTACTGCACCTCGGTTGTGAATCTTTTAAATTTTCCATTGATGTAACTGTCATTGTAAATTGTGTTATTGGTCTTAACTAGCATGTATAGGATCTACCCTGTGGTAGACACTGCAGAGTGCTACTGAACTAGCGATTTAGAAGCTATTTGCATTTTCTTCTGTCTTCATATCTTAGGATTAAAAGGATGAGAGCTTCCCTTGACCTATTTCCAATTTTGCTTTTATATGTGATTTAGGAGGGTGGACGAACCAAAAGCCACCGATACTGGCCCAAACTAGGTTCAAAGCACAGCTCAGCCACCTATGGCAAGTTCAAGGTCACCACGAAGTTTCGAACGGATTCTGTTTGCTATGCAACCACGGGCTTGAAGGTCAAGCACCTTTTGTCTGGGCAAGAAAGGACGGTGTGGCATTTACAATATACTGACTGGCCAGATCACGGCTGTCCAGAAGATGTCCAAGGATTTTTATGTAAGTGTTTTTCTTCCCAGTCTGCTACCTGACTGACTTTTATGATCTGTGTCAATAATTCATCTGTTGGAGATGAAATGGAAAAAGAGGATGCTTTCTCTTAAGTGGCAAAAGTATTATAATATTGAAATATATATTCCTTTCTTACTATGTAGAACAGAGTATAATAATACATGTCACTTATTCTGTTTACCTTTCATGCACGTAAGCTAAGACTGTGATCAACATATTGGCTCTACCTTGATTCAGACCTTTAGCTACTCATTTAATCAGTAACTATTCTGACACATGTTACAACAAGGATGAACTTTGAGGAATGATGCTGAGTGGAAATAATCCAGTCACAAAAGGACAAAAACTATGTGATTCCACTTATATGAGGTTCCTAGAATAGGCAAGGTCAGAGACAGAAAGTAGGTGAGAGGTTACCAGGGGCTGGGGCAAAGGGGGATTGGGAAATTACAAATTTTTTTCTGAGGCGGAGTCTCGCTCTGTCACCCAGGCTGGAGTGCAGTGGCACAATCTCAGCTCACTGCAACCTCCGCCTCTCAGATTCAAGCAATTCTCCTGCCTCAGCCTCCCAAGTAGCTGGGACTATAGGCACAGCCACCACATCTAGCTAATTTTTGTATTTTTAGTGGAGATGAGGTTTCACCATGTTCGCCAGGCTAGTCTTGAACTCCTGGTCTCAAGTGATCTGCCCGCATCAGCCTCCCAAATTGCAGGGATTACAGGTGTGAGCCACTGTGCCCAGCCAGGAATTACATTTGATGGGTGCAACATTTCTGTTTGGGACAGGGAAAAAGTACTGGACATGGATGATGGTGATGGTTGCACAACTATGACTATGCTTAATGCCACTGAACTGTGTACTTAAAAATGGTTAAACTGGTAAGTTTTATGTTGTGTCCACTTTAGCACATTTTAAAAAAAAGGAGAAATAAAACTTAAAAATAGGCCGGGCATGGTGGCTCACACCTATAATCCCAGCACTTTGGGAGGCCGAGGTGGGCGGATCACCCGAGGTGAGGAGTTTGAGACCAGCGTGGCCAACATGGTGAAACCCCATCTCTACTAAAAATACAAAATTAGCCAGGTGTGGTGGCGCATGTCTGTAATCCCAGCTACTGGAGAGGCTGAGGCAGGAAAATTGCTTGAACCTGGGAGGCGGAGTGAACCAAGATTGCATCATTGCACTTCAGTCTGGGCAACAAGAGCAAAACTCCATCTCAAAAATAAATAAATAAATAAATAAATAAAAACGAATAACATTAAAAAAATTGTTTTCATGAAGGTTTGCATCTCACAAGACCTATATTTCCCTACAGTTGAGCATCTCAGTACTTTCTCGTACTTTCTCATATTTTTATGAAGACACTAAGAAGTATTGAAACCCTCTTGTAGTTTTTGAAACTGAAATTTGCTCAATGGCTAATTCATTAATTTCTGTGTATGTGTACTTTTAGAATGTGGTTATATTAGAAACTAATTCACCAGATTATGTGCAGTATTTTTATTTGAAAGACCCAAAATTGGGCATGTACCCACTACGTGCCAGGCACTGGATCGGGCTCTGAGAATGCAGAGATGACACTGAGTTCAGTCTTCACTTCCGACGTACTCAGAGCCTAATGGGAAAGACAGGCCAGTCATCATCGTCCAAAGATGAGATCTGATACCCTCCTCTGCTTTTCAGCGGTGGCTGCAGCTCTCCCTCTTGCTTTCCACATGCTCATCTAACTGTCCTGTGCTTGTCAGGAGACCCCGTTCTTTACTCACCCACCTGGAAAGGAGCCCCAGATGCTCCCTGTAGCCTTGTGCCTGCTCTGTTGTTGACTCTCCAGCTAGTGGAAGACCTGTGACCACCATGGAGGGACCATGATCCAGATGTTGGATCATGTCAAAACCTTGATTTTATTTTGGTATTCATTTAGAATGGGAGAAAAGGGGAATGACAGAGGGAGAGAACAGGTTCTCAAGACCTAAAAATACTGATTTACAAGTTCCAATAAATATTCCGATGTGTACTTATCCAGCAATACAAGCATTTCATTTCCTTGAAAGTGACGATGGTACTTGAGGGGTTTGGCACTGAAAGCAGAGAGTAGAAGGATGATTGGAGTCAGAGAATCTAGAGTAAGATCCAGAGAGGACTCGTGATTTGCCTGAAGTCAAATGGCTTGTTATCTGTAGCTTGAAATAAGGGCAGTGACCTTTACAGAACTTCTTTTCCTCCTAACAGTGCTCATTGTATTTCTTTCACCTGATCACGTGCTAATTGACTTATTAAAATTTTCTCCAAGAAGCAAAAAAGGGAAATAATATAAATAGATCAGTTTGTTGATTGGCTAACAGCTCTGATGAAAGAGTGAGCTTATAAGGCACTTTAAAGTATAGTCTTTTAAATCAGAACCAATTAAGGAAAGCCTGTCTAAATTACCAAAAAAGACATAGTATTTTTTTTTTTTTTTTTGAGATGGAGTCTCACTCTGTCACCCAGGCTGGAGTACAGTGGCAAGATCTCGGCTCACTGCAAACTCCGCCTCCCGAGTTCACGCCATTCTCCTGCCTCAGCCTCTCCGAGTAGCTGGGACTACAGGCGCCCACCACCACGCCTGGCTAATTTTTTGTATTTTTAGTAGAGACGGGGTCTCCATCTCCTGACCTCGTGATCCGCCTGCCTCGGCCTCCCAAAGTGCTGGGATTACAAGCGTGAGCCACCGCGCCCGGCCAATACATAGTATTTTTAAAGAATGTAAATGTATGTATTATGCTTTTAGGAAAGTCAATACACGTATTCTGTGCAGGGCATTAGAAATGTTGAATCTGTTTCTCCTAGGTTTTAAAAGATTTTTGCCCATGTTTAAATTAGATTACCTGGATGCAGAGTACCTGAGCCAAATTGTTTACTGCCCGCCAGAAGTCTTTATTGAGTTACAGCGTAAGGAACTTTATTAGTATGACTGATAGAGGAAACATCCTTTGAATCCACCTTCTCTCCATTACATGAAAAGCTCTATTTGAAAGTGGCATCTACCGTATTACCCAACATTCCTTTTATTTTTCTTCTTAAATTTAGCTCAAGTAAAGCTTTGTCTCTTGTATGTAAATATTGCCTTTGGTCAGATAGAATACTCAGTTGCCTAATGTCTTTTCCCCCTCGCAGAAAAATTGTAAAGAAGATTCCACACACAATATCTAGCTTGTATTGGTACCTAATAGTAACTACTCCCTCTATGCATCTCACGGCATCTCCTTTTCTTTTTCTTTTTTTAATTGAGGCGGAGTTTTGCTCTTGGTGCCCAGGCTGGGGTGCAGTGGCGGGATCTTGGCTCACTGCAACCTCCGCCTCCAGTTTTTAAGCAATTCTCCTGTCTCAGCCTCCTGAGTAGCTGGAATTACTAGCTGGGATTACAGGCTCGTGCCACCACATCCGACTGATTTTTGTATTTTTAGTAGAGACAGGGTTTCATCATCTTGGTCAGGCTGGTCTCAAACTCCTGACCTCAGGTGATCCGCCCACCTCAGCCTCCTAAAGTGCTGGGATTATAGGCATGAGCCACTGAGCCCAGCCCTTCTTTCTTTTTTATTTTGTCCTATCTCATTGTACATTACTACTACTAGTAGTACTGCTATGACTAGTACTAATAACTACTACTAGTCATCATCATCGTAGTAGTAGTAGTAGTGATAATAATAGTTTGGTTTTTTGGTAAAGCACTTCAGATTATTTTGTAATTAGATAAGTTTATAAAGGAAAGTATGGATTATTTATATATGTCTGTAAACAGGTGCTTTGAAATTATTTGAATGGTTCAAACCTACTTTTTTCTCTTCAACAATGTAAACATTTCCCCTATAGTCTGGTTTACACTTTTGCCTTAGGATGAGGTTCACTGAGTATCAAGAACCTTTAAACCTGTTTCTGTCCTGAGCTACTACAAAATCTAAATTATTAATTACATTTTGGGGGTTTTTGGAGTGTCTGAGGATTACATTTCCATACTTTTCTCTTTTGTCATGGTTGTGAAAAAGTCATTAAGGCTTGGAATCCTGTGATTTTTCTTTTGTGCCTAATTGGAGTCATGAACGCACCCCTCCCTGCACAGCCCTGCTGAGCCAAGCAGATGCTAGAAGGCATGGGGGGTATCATGACCCCCTCCACCTCACACACATGTTGCCTCCAGAATGGGGGTTCATCTTGGGCTACTCACATAGCCCCGTGGAATCCATGCTGAAAAGCAGACTCCCCAAAGTCTACTTTAAAACCCAAAAATGAAGTCAAGCCTCAGTTGACATTCACTCATCAGTGAGGGGAAGGAAGAAGGGGCAGATGGATGCTCTCTCCCCACCAGAAATTGGCTCTGACAGGCGGGCGTTTCAAGGGGACTTAGCAGTTGTTCTGATCCCAGTCTGTTAATAGCAGGAATTGCTGTAAGTAATGTCTAGAATCATCTGCTTGAGGGACTTAGGGATTTGCAGAGGGGAAAACAGAATTTAATTTTTAAAAAAGTACTATTTAATTTAAAGAACAAATTCTCCCACGAACTAATTGACTCCCAGCTGGTCCTGTCTGGATCCAGGACTGTACATTGGGTACCAGCCAAATAATTAGTGTCTTGTAAGAACTATAAATTATTGTCACTTAAAACACACACACACACACACACACACACACACACACACACACTCACCATCAGTTCTCTTCCGCTCCCCCCTCCCCAACTTACATGCGAAGCCATGGAGGACTTTGGTGACAGAATTTGCATTTTGTCCTGCAGCCTACTTGGAGGAGATCCAGTCGGTCCGTCGCCATACCAACAGCATGCTGGAAGGCACCAAGAACCGGCACCCGCCCATCGTGGTCCACTGTAGTGCTGGGGTGGGAAGGACCGGCGTGCTCATTCTTTCTGAGCTGATGATCTACTGCTTGGAACATAACGAAGTGAGTCATTCTGGGCTTCTCTCCGGATACTCCACCTTGGGGACAAGTCTACACCCTGGCCAAACCTTTGCCTGCACCCTTGCATTTTCAGTGGTTAATTTCCTGTCTCCCAACCAGAGTTTTCCAGGCTCCTGGTTCCTAGTTTGACTCTGACATTTACAGCCCTCCTTATCTTTTTGCCCTCCCACTGCTCCGTGTAGATACCCAGATAAAACAGGAGAAATGAGGGTGTGCAATAGAAAACACTTAGAAAATGTGATCTTAGGCGGCATCTACTTCCAGAAGTCTTTGGCATTTTGTAGATAGCCTGGTTTTATTGTGGGTAATTTTCCATGGTGAGTTATTTGACCCCATATAGTTTCGATGCATCTTGCATTTCTAGGATGTGTTCTGGCCTAAATGCTAGGTGAAAATGTGTCTACTTGGAAAATGTTTTTCATTCTTCAGAGTGAGGTTTGAGGGGTTGTTTGCTTGTCTAGTCTGGTTGTTGCGTGGTGTAGCGGAGCAGAGTAGATACTTTGAGCACGCAAACATCCCCGTCTTTGCATCAGCGGGTCACCCTACCCCTTCTCCCTGCAGAAGTGGGGTGCTGCTGAGCCTGTGCACACAAGGTGCGTGGCATTCCTTTGCTGCTGTAGGATTAGGGAGTTACACTGAGAGACTTTCAATTTTGTGTAGGTGAGACAAACAGCAGTCAAAAGCTAAGGAATAGTTCTACCTTCTAGCTACGTGGGACATTAGAAGTTTTAAGGGGCTTTTGCCTGCCATATCAGCCAAGTAGAGGAGCCATGAACATGTCACTCTTCCTATTTCACAGAAGAGGAAACTGAGGCCCAGAAATAATTACATGATTTGTCTAGTGCCATGTGGCTCTTACGCAGTGGTACTGAAGCCAGAAGCAAGGTCTGTGTCTGGGTCCAGAGTTATTTCCTGTCTTCACTCTGCCTCCAAACGCTGAGTAAGATTTGGTTCTTACTCAGTTTTCAAATTATATGGCTTGAAAAATTAAAGGAAACTTGTGGTTTGGTAGTTTTTAAATTACAGAATGATTTGTTGCAACTCTGTGGAGGAATTTATATGATAATATACCTATTTATTCAATAGCATGAATCGTTTGAAAATCAGATTAAATATTGCTACATGAAGTTTGTCATATTGAATCATCCAGGAAAACAACGAATGCTAAGCTTAGACATTAAACTCTCTGCCCATGAAAAGATAATTTTGAGAATCTTCCAGTCTGTCCATGGGAATGAATGTTTGTGCTGCTAAAAATTGGAAAAGGGGCAATCCCAACTGTAGCCCAATGTTAGAAAAACATAAAACAAAGCTTGAGCGAAATGTTCATCATGGAATCAGTTGAGACTACATAACAGAAATGTCATTGCCCTCTGAGTTTTTACCATTTTGCCCCACATAGGATTTTTTTATTGTTTGCCTCTCTATTCCCATCACTACTAGAGGTCTCTAGAAATCTCTAGAACAATGAGTAACCTGCCACTGAGTCTCAATCCATCCATTGCTAGGAAGACAAAATAAGATGAGGTAGAATCAGTGTGTGCATGGCTTGAGGGCCTCATCATCACCTTCCCCACCTAATCGTCCTTTCCTTCCCTTCATATCACTTTTGTCACCAAATTCCCCCCTTGTTTTCTTTTCTTTTTTTCTTTTTTTTGAGACAGGGTTTTGCTATGTTGCCCAGGCTGGCCTCAAACTCCTAGGCTCAAGTAGTCCTTCCACCTCGGTCTCCTGAGTTGATGGGATTACAGGCGTAAGCCTGGCCACTCCACTTCTTTCCCCATTCCCTGTGCTCCGCTCCCTACTTCCCCTTTTCAACTCAAGAAGCCATTCTGTCTTGTCTGACACGAAAGACTATTCTGTTCTGAGCTCTTTGGAGACCCATCAAAGGCTGAGCCTCAGTGAGGCAATGACATGGGGGCTCACTGAACACCAGATGTTACTGGTCTGGCAGAGCACAGACAAGCATATCAAATCCGGAACAGTTTGGAGTAAGGGATTCGGCCAGTGTGGCCTCCTGTGGACTTGGTGAAGGCTCAGGGTGGTTAAATGCTCTATGGTGTGTCCAAACATAGCGGATTTCCTCAGTGCCCAACTGCATGCCAGAACATTCTTTGCTGGGACGTGGTCAACCCAAAAAGAACTTCTGTTCCCATTGATATTCAAAGATAGCAAGATGACTCATATTTTTCACTTCTCTTCCCCTAGCACAAATATAGCCAGTCTTATCTGTCCTATTTCCCATGGTTGCTATTGGTAGATGGTTAGCGGGGAGAAATGCTCTCCTTTTGTTCTGGTACTGTTCAGGCCTGGCTAGTAAGATCCAAGCCCCTATTTCAGGAGAAGAGTAGACCATGTTTAGTTTATTTTGTGTTTCAAGCAAAGATTTTAACAAATATATATTAAATTGTGGGACCATTTTTCTCCTGTCCAAACTCCCCTGCCTTCTTTCCACAGCTTCTGGATTTAGCATACTTTATATTTTAGTCTGTAATTCATGCAGTTTTAATTCTGTCAATGAAATGGCCTTTCTTTTTCCTGGACTTGTCCCTCTCAGTCTCATTCTAAACACAGAAAAGTTGAGCAGAAACAATGAAACACAGACACTTACAATGAGGTTGGTAGCTGTGCAGTGGGGAGTGGGGACAGCTGTCCCAGGCTGCTCTGGGAAGCCTCCCTGTGGCCCAGTGCTTTTGGTCACTGAGTGTTAGCTGAGACTTTTTAAGGTGCATAGAGTTTTTCAGAAAGCACTCGTTTTATGGTCTGCAGGACACTCAGTCCCTTGGATGTAGCTGTCTGTTCCAGCTACAGCTAATTACAAAAGGTCAGGATCTCAGTAGCCAAAGGGCAGATGTCTTGATCTTGCTGCTTTTCTGAGTAAGTTATACCTCCTTCATAAAGTGAGGAGGAGAAAATGTCTTCTAGACAAGATTGAGCAATTGTCAACTGCTTTGTGCTTCCTTGGCTTGGGGGCAGTTAAGAGCAGAGCCTGTGGGAGTGAATGAATCTTTAAGCCAGCTGGGACCCTTTCATTGAAGACCAGGAGAACTTTCTTTGTCATATCCCCAGACTTGAACATATCAGACAATATACTGTCATTTAGGCTCAGTCCTACAGGTAATTGAGATGGGGATGATGGTAGAGGAGGAGGAGGAGGATGTGGTGGTGGAGGAGGTGGTGATGGTGACAACATTGAAAATAATATCGTAACAGCTAACTTGTGTCTAGTGTTTACCATGTATACGCACTATTCTAAGAGCCTGATAGTATTAACACAAGTAGCCTTTGCAGTGACACTGTGAGCTAAGTCCTGTTAGTATCTGTGTTAGTCCATTCTCACACTGCTATAAAGAACTACCTGAGACTGGGTAATTTATGAAGGAAAGAGGTTTAGTTGACTCATAATTCTGCAGGCTGTACAGGAAGCATGGCTGGGAGGCCTCAGGAAACTTACAATCATGGTGGAAGGATAAAGGGGAATTAAGCACGTCTTCACATGGCAGCAGGAGAGAGAGAGAGCAAAGGGGGAAGTGCAACATACTTTTAAACAACCGGATCTCATGAGAATTCACTGTCACAAGAACAGCAAGAGGGAAATCTGCCCCCATGTTCCAATCACCTCCCACCAGGTCCCTCCCCCAACACTGGGGATTTCCAGTCAACATGAGATTTGGGTGGAGACACAGAGCCAAGACCATATCAGTATCCTCACATAACAGAAGAGAAACTGAGTCATAAGTAAATGAAGTAATGTGCCCACTTCCCACAGTCAAGAAGTGGTAGAGCTGAGATTCAGCAGATGAAGCCTTACTCAGAGCCTGTGCTCTGAACACCAGTGTGATCCTGCCTCCTGGCTAAAACCTTTGGTGGGTAGGGGAGGGAACAGCCTTATTCTCTCTATTCTTTTATCTTCAGTGCCCAACCGCAGAGTAATCCTCATCAAACATGAAATTAAGTTCATTATTAGGTGGCTCTAGGTCACATCTTATACTGGTCACTTTGCAATATAATTTAGGCAGAGACCTACTTGTTACTGTCAGAAGCTTATAACCTAGGCTCTGTATTTTGATTCATAGTTCGAAGATTCACATGCCTTTTTTTTCTTTTCTTATTAGGCAGGGACTTGACTTTGTCCCTTTGCACCACTGTGATTGCACCACTGCACTCTAGCCCAGGCAACGTCGCAAGTTTGTGATATGCATTCCTTAGTTGGTGTTGAACAAGAGTGACTGATGGCACGTGTCATGTCATACCTATACACGGCTTGGAAATAGCTTAAATTATTTTTTAAGGTTCAAAGGTTACAAAGTCAGGCATACAGCTGAGTTTTTATTATTTTCTTTTAAACACTTGCTTAGCCCTTGAAAACTTCCTGGGTGCCATCATTTGCCCTGGGTTAAGAGCTCCCAGAGCAGAGTGAATGTGCTGAGGCCACCATGGCCTCCACAGCTCAGGGGTGCTCCAGCCGTATGTGTCCTGGCTAGTCCAGGAGGATGGACATGGTGAAGGTGAGGGGAGAGGACACTGTGACAGCCTCTGATCTGCTCAAGTACCCATGACACTGAATTAATTTCCTTTCATTAATGATAGTATATATCATCGTATATATTCTCAAAGAATTCACACATAGGCAATCTCATTTAATACTCAAAATGTTCTCATTTAAGACTCAAGGCTAGGCACAGTGGCTCATGCCCATAATGCTAAGACTTTTAGAGGCCAAGGCTGGAGGATTACTTGAGCTCAGGAGTTTGAGACCAGCCTGGGCAACAGAGTAAGACCTCGTCTCTACACAAAATTTTAAAAGTTAGCCGGGTGTGGTGGTGTGCATCTGTAGTTCCAGCTACTCAGGAGGCTGAAGTGGGAGGATTGCTTGAGCCTAGGAGGTTGATGTTGCAATGAGTTATGATCGCACCACTGCACTCTAGCCTGGGCTACAGAGCAAGACTCTGTCTCAAAATAGGTGTTCTCGGCCAGGCGCAGTGGCTCACGCTTATAATCCCAGCACTTTTGGGAGGCCGAGGCAGGCGGATCACGAGGTCAGGAGTTCGAGACCAGCCTGACCACCATGCTGAAACCCCGTCTCTACTAAAAATACAAAAAAAAAAAAAAATTAGCCAGGCATGGTGGTGCGTGCCTGTAATCCCAGCTACTCAGGAGGCTGAGGCAGGAGAATTGCTAGAACCTGGGAGGCGGAGGTTATAGTGAGCAGAGATTGAGCCACTGCACTCCAGCCTGGGAGACAGAGTGAGACTCCGTCTCAAAAAAAAAAAAAAGAAAAAAAGTGTTCTCAGTTGAAGGCTTTTACTCCAAGTAGGACTGGTGTTCAGAGATGGCGCTTTGACATTTTAAAGGTTTACACTTAAATTATCTCACTTGATCATGACCACAGTCCTGTGAGATTATAATTGCATTAATAACATTTATTAATGTTAATAAAGGAATAATGAGGTCAGGCGGGGTGGCTCACGCCTGTAATCCCAGCACTTTGGGAGGCCTAAGTGGGCGGATCACCAGAGGTCAGGAGTTCAAGACCACCCTGGCCAACAGGACGAAACCCTGTCTCTACTAAAAATACAAAAAATTAGCCGGGCGTGGTGGTGCGCACCTGTAATCCCAGCTACTCCGGAGGCTGAGGCAGGAGTATTTCTTGAACCTGGGAGGCAGAGGTTGCAGTGAGCCGAGATCACACCACTACACTCCAGCCTGGGCAACAAGAGTGAAACTCTGTCTCAAAAAAAAAAAAAGGAATAATGAGTAATATTTATTAAGCACTCACTGTGCACTAAATGCTTGATATGTGTTTCATCATTTGATCCCATGAGGCAAATGTTATTTCATACCCCATGTTATTGCTGAGGAAATGTAACTAACTAGGGCAAGGCCACACTGCTGTTAGAGGAAAGCATTATTATCCTGATTTTACAGATGAGGAAACTAAGACCCTGAGAGGTCTTAAATCCTGTCATTGGGTTGCAGGGGAGTTGAGAGTACCATTCAGGTCTAACTCCAGCCTTTATGTTTTAACCAGCAGACTAGTCTGTATTCAAAATAATACACCAGGACAGGTGTGGTGGCCCACGCCTGTAACCCCAGCACTTTGGGAGACTCAGGTAGGAGGACTGCTTGAGCCCAGGAGTTGAAGGCTGCAGTGAACTATGACTGTGCCACTGTACTCCAGCCTGGGTGACACAGCAAGACCCTCTCAGAAAATTTGAAATTAAATAAAAATAAAATATCCCACCAGTGACACATGATGACCAGGTTCTCCAGTTGCTGATATAAACTGTTTGATGCATAAAACCCAGCCAGGGCAGAGTCCCTTGCCTTCTCTTGTACCTGGACATGGGCAGTGGGTGAGTGCTTCCTGAATGAGGGAATGAGGAATGCTCAAAGGGAAGCCTCCTGTCTCAGGACCTTGTGCTTTCTCTCTTTTCTTGCAGAAGGTGGAAGTGCCCATGATGCTGAGGCTCCTCAGGGAGCAGAGGATGTTCATGATCCAGACTATCGCTCAGTACAAGTTTGTCTACCAAGTCCTCATCCAGTTCCTCCAAAACTCCAGACTCATTTAATCACCCCAATCCAGCTCCTGGAGGAGGGACCCAGCTCCATCGCGCTGGAGGAGAGTCACCTCCAGACAACATCTGCTCCCCCCACAGGGGTGCAGGTGGCTGGCAGCAAACAGGCTCTCTGAAGACAGTAGCCAAGATTATTCACACATACCATGTATTATTTTATATGAGATAATTTATTTTTTTCCCCTTTGGAATAACTTTTGTGAATTATTATAATGCAGTTTCCCTAGTAATATAGTACTTTTCATTTGAACCACATCTTGACTGATCTGTATTGTAATATATGTCAGCAGGTAAGGTTGCCTGCTGGATCATTTTGAGGACAGAGGCATGAGGGAGCACATCTCTTGTGAAGTTGCAGCCAGATTTGTAACCAACCCTGAAATTCATCAGCTTAATTCATTTATCAGCTTGATTCATTCATCATTCATTGCTTATATCCAAAGCAAAGACGGTAAGAAAATGAATTCATCCTGAAATATAAAGAAAAGGGTCTGAAGGAACAAACACGATTCTCTTATATTTTGGGGCTCATGAGCCTTGATAGACAGTTTCCTCTCGTCTTCATTTCCACCCCTCATCCTCAGTAGTCTCCTCTCCCCCACGCCCCACCCCAACTTCCCCCCCAAGCTTGAGTTAAAGACAGAATAGCTAAAGACAGTGCTGCCTTTACAATGCAGTAATTGCCATCTTTGGGGCCGAAAGACAAGCTCTGTGTTGTGCTTTTCTTGACCACCCCTTATCCTGGGCTCTGGAGCTTGTGTTTCCCTGCTGGCGACTGTACCTTGGGTATTTGTTGCTACCTCTCCTGTTTGCTCAGTAGGACCCTGTCTGGTGGCATTGAGGCTCTGGACCAGACCATCTGTGCAGTTAAGGCTCTACCCTGATTGAGAGAGGATAGCAGACCTAGAAAGAGAAAGGAGTTGGGCAGGGCCTTTGAGGATTGTGTTTTTCAGGCAGGGCCTTGATGATCATTGTTTTTTATTTAAATAAGATGTGTGTGCTGGACAGAGACCTAAAAGTTGAGGTCACTAAGTCATTGGAAAGGCCATCAAGGAAACAGATGGGGAAGCTGATTTATGGGAGCTGTAAGGCATTTAGCTACATAACAGGGGTCCTGGCCAGGAAACACATCAAATGTGACCCCCGCTGTGCTGATATCATCTTCAGGCTTTGGTCTGCAAGATCAGAATTAATCCCACTCGGGACCCCATAGTCCAAACTTGGGGCCACTTGATGAACGATGGTAGAATTGTCATTGGCAGAGCCCTGTGCTTCTTTCCTTTTCTTCATAAAATCCACTCGCTGGTCAGTTATCTTCACTTTGAAGCCCAGTTCTTAGTTTCTTCCTATGGCTTCATTGGTCAGTGTCCTTCTGAATTTCCAAGGATGGTACACAATAAATCATGTTTTGTACTTTTTTCCTCTTACTGCATTTTGGGGGATTTATCATTCTATGTCTACCTTTTCTTGAGTACAGCTTTGATATGCACCTGTTGTTACGTGGTGATGGGAAGTCACAGGCGTGCTCTTTCTAGTTAATTTGATGCCACATCTTCCTTGTCTTTTCAGCTTGGGAAAAAGGCGGCAGTGGAGGAAGGCATGGAATGCCCACAGTGGTCAGTTCAAAGAACAAACGTGCAATTAAAAAACTGTAGTCAGCCAGGCACGGTGGTTCACACCTGTAATCCCAGCACTTTGAAAGGCCAAGGCGGGCAGATTGCTTGAGCTAAGGAGTTCGAGACCAGCCTGAGCAACATGATGAAACCCCGTCTCTACAAAAAGTACAAAAATTAGCCAGGCGTGGTGGTATGCCCTGGTAGTCCCAGCTGCTCGGGAGGCTGAGGCAGGAGGATCACCTGATTCTAAGAATTCGAGACTGCAGTGAGCCGTGATCTTGCCACTGTAGTCCAGGCTGGGCTACGGAGAGACCCTGCCTCCAAAAAAAAAAAAAAAAAAGGAAAAAAGGTTGTCAAGAAAAACTAGATGTTAGGAGAAAGGAAAATTTAATTGCAGTTTTTTTTCTTAGAATTGACTGCTGTGAGAGTTCCATATGCCTTTCTTCATTGCTGCTTTTGTCCCCCGTGAGCTAAAAAGATGGAGTGACATCAAATCAACCAGAAAAAGTATGCCTTTGTGACATCCCATCACCACATGCCAACAGGTATATATTCCCCATTAAGTTCTTCGGAATAGGAATCCTCTGTTTCAACCTGGCCAGGTGTTGTGGTGGCTGTACTCTAGTTAGACTCGGAATATCTGGGGATGGAGGGCTTCCCCTGTGTCTTCTACTTCAAGGTCTGAAGGCTCAGTGAAGGAGTATAATCTGCTGATCTTTGTAGATTCTGGAGTTTTGTTGTATGTCCTGGAAAGAAACCCATTAGTATTACATGTATTTTCAGTGAACAGAGCTTATAACCCTTATTATAAGAAGCTCATCAATAAGCAAAAAGATACTTGTTTCCTTTCCTTGGAGGTTTTTCCATCCTTGGGATATTCTGCTGTTAGGGATGTTTTAGCAAGTGGTCTCAGTTACTGGTTTATTGCGTGATGAACAACATCAGTATTTATCTTTTATCTCTAAGCCCCAAGGTGGGCACTGTTAGAATATGTCTCATGTGGACAGCATATAGATCTGGTGCGTCTTTGAGGTCGTCAGAGCTCATGGGCTTCCCTGAAATTCATCCACTGTCCCTGCCGTATGCTACGGGAATATTCATTAGTGTACAAAATGCAGGGAGGAAGTAGGTTTAATATTCAACTTTCTAGCCAAAGTTTATATTGAAACCCAAAAGAAAACATTTAAGAGTTGTTCCACATATTTCACTTTTAAAAACAAATGCCTTTGGTTCTTTAGCACATTTTGCATTCCTTTTCACATCTCCAGTAAATGCCAACATATCTCCTGTTAAATTAGCAGCAGCCATTTAAAGTCCTTTCGGTGGCATCTGCATAATAATTGCCCAGAGATGCTTTATATCTGGGAAGCAAGCCAAGGAATAAACCTTGAAGCAAAGTGTATTAAATTAGTTATCTAGTTAGAGCTTTTGGAATGATTTCCTGATGATGTATCAAGTCTGAAGCTGGAGCTGTCAGTGTCTATTGCTGCAGTTTGGATTTGAAGGGAGAAAATGTAAAATGGAGGAAAAAAAAGTTACCATCTCACAACAAAGCCATCAAACATTTTCCAGCCGCTGTTTTCGAGGTTTTCCAGTTGAACTGTTTGGTTTCTTTCATCCACACTCATTTGGATACATTGACCCGAGGTATTCATCCTTGTTTACTGTGGTCCCTGAATCATGGGGGCTGAATTTGATGTCTTCATCCTTGAGATGAGCCTGCTGGCTTAGCTGAGGAATGTCCTGCTGAGGTTTCTTAGGTTTCCTTGGGTTCTAAGGATATACTGGATATACCATCTTTTAGCAAGAGTATCTGGTAGCATTTACAGATAGCATAGACATTGGTATGCACTTCTTTCCCCAGATAGGAAGTAAAGGAGGATTTAGTTGCATGAAAAAAGGATGTTAAACATTGATTACATAGGAGTAAAGATGAATGAGCTGCAATATTCAGTCGGAGCTAAACAATAAGATCAGGGAAGGTAAAAATACCTATGTGGAATATTTTGAATCGTAAGCTTTTGAGGAGCTTAAATTGAGAGAATTTTACTTTTAATTTTGTAGATTGAGAAGAGGAACCGCTTTTTAAAATTATAGCTAAACTGTCATTGTTTTCCTAAGAGTCACTTGGCCATCTCTGGCCCCCTCTTTCATCAGCCTGAAGAGAGGGTCTTTGTAGACTGCTGAGGGTGGGCCTTGTAGGACTTGACCATGGCTTACACCTACTTAACCTTTATCCTGCTTTCTTTCAGCTTGTGCTTTTCAGTTATAAACTCCAGTGGGTACAGCAGGCTGGCCTTTTCATCCAGCTGATTATTTTTCCAGCTTAATATAGATTGACCCATATGAAATTTCCAATAATGGACCATATTTTCTGCAAATAGACAGTACTCGCATGGATCACCTATATCTTCCCCCTGATACACTGTGGGTCCCAACACCAGATGTCATTTCTCCAGAGCAGTGCTAATGAACACAAAAGGTATACCCTGGGTGGCCCAGCTCTTTTCACGAACGTGCTGCCCTGCTCATAGTGATCCTTGCATCACTTGGTGAATGGGCCATCTCCTGGGACATGGAAGTTGCAGAGGTAGATAGTGCACTGCAGCTTCTCTTAAGCCGGATTGGCCATCAGGCATATCACTCTGGAGTTTTTAGCTGCTGTCCTTTCCCGATGAACAGTCTGTATTAGCTGACCTCAGCCTACTTGTTACGTGACGTATGGGTCCCAAAAGTGTCCTTTGTCAAAAAGCAGAATGTGCCTTCTAGTCTCCCTTTCCCCATCTAATGGTGTATTCGATGGTGAAGATGAGTACAGTTGACCACCCCTATCTGTGGGTTCCACATCCCTATATTCAACCAAGTACAGATTGAAAAATATTTGGGGAAGAGGGGAAACCCACAAAGTTCCAAAAAGCAAAAGTTGAATTTGCCACATGCTGAATACTACATTGAATTCACACAAATGAAGTGATGTGTAGGCATTGAGTTAGGTATTGTAAATAATCTAGAGATGATTTAAAGTATGCAAGAGATGTGCATAGGTTATATGCAAATACTGTGCTATTTTATATAAAAGACTTGAACATCCATGGATTCTGGTATTCTCAGAGGGTCCTTGATTGCCCCCTTTGGTAAAGGACAACTATTTCGTTACTGATTTTCGTTTGGGGAAGATCTGTCAATCCCTTGAGGTGCGGGGGTTGGGGGGATGGAGGGTACAGGGCATTCTAGGATGTGTGCCAGGGAGCACAGATTCAAGGGATGGGATTGAGTCAGACCTGTGTTCTTACTCAGTGTCAGAAATAACTCTGTGGAGCTCCTAGAGTAAGACATTTCCGGAAGCACCACATAATTACTGTTGGGCTCTTAGGGTAGCCCTTTTAGGGAATTGAGCATTCCCATGTTTTACCAACAATTATTCTGCTGCTGTGTTTTATTATATTGCCAATGGTTTTGAGACACTCATCATGCTCTTATTTAGTGATTTCTTTTCATGAGCAGAGCAACAGCTCATCCAGCATGGTTTCCAAATGGAGAAATTTGGGTCTTCTGTAGAAACCACACAAATTCTCCAATGGCCTACAGCCTTATGGTTGGCACACTAGTTGGCCCTATAGGGTGGAAATAAAGCTGTAAGATGTTAAACTGCATTTGATACTTCTCTTGAACGCTGAGCAAGGAAGCAAAATAGTTCTTGTCTTTACTTAAGCTTCTAAGACATTTTGGGGCAAAGGACCTTACAGATGGCGTCTGTTGAAAGTAACAGCAACGTGCCAGGGAGAAATGTGGGGGAAATCTCATCAAATTCTGCCACCTCAAATGTGTTGTCCAGAAGTCAGTGTTATTCAGGGGGCCCTGTGAAACTTGACCACCAGCTTGCGCCATCAACACTCAGCCTTTATCCAGCCTGCTCTCAGCTTTTGTGTTTCTGTTAGAAACTCAGATAGGTAAGTATTTTTATTCAGTAGACTACCTTTCTTATCTTTTCAGCTTAATATAGCTGCATCTTCTTTCTCAAAGCCAAACTAAGATATTCTCTATTAAAATGTCCATGAGCCTAGCATTGAGTGTCTGGCATCCATCAATTTCATAGACTGGAAAATGATTGTTGTTTGGTACAGTAAAGAAGAGGATGTGCATCAGTTCCTACCGTTTGCAGCTTTGTTTTTAGCCTTCCCATTTTAAAAATAAATTCAAGGACATTGAGTTACAAGGCAGGAGGGCTGGAGCTACTGGGCAGCCTGAATATGACAAGCATTTGTGTGGAAAGTCATTGCTCCTTCTGCCACACTTTGGGCCATCAGGATCATTCTTTCCCAGAAGTGCCATAAACTTGCTCAAAAGTTTCTATAAATGGGAAGAGGGAGAGGAAGGATTTTTGCATCAGTCCTGAAGTTGCTATCCAAAAGTTCTCTGTTTCACAAATAATTTTCTGAACTCTGGAATGCCTCTCCTACTCCCTGCCTCCCTTTCTGTAATGTCAGAGTGATGGAAACCACCAAGTGGCATGCTAGGGAAAGCCTGCAGCAGTGTTGGAGTCTATTTCACCCTAGCTCATAGTTTTAAACTGTCTTCACTGTTGAGGTAGAGCTTGATGAATGTCATGGATTATGATGTGTGGTTTATCATATTTGCCTGGATTTGCTGATCAAAAGCACCATCTTCCCTCGCCTGCTGCTGGCAGCCTTTCCTTGCCTTGCTTGTTAGCAGAGCATTCTGCTTACCCATGTGGCTCCCAGAGTTAGCAGCCCCGGCTCTTGGATTTCTTGATTCTTCTCCCCTGTGATCTCAGAGGTGCTGCAGAGGACATTCCCCTTTAGAGCAAGTCATGTTTCTATTCAGGCCACAAAACTGGGATGTACATGCAGTGACTTTGGTGTTCCTTGTCTTGTTCAGGGGAACGGGTGGGACTGTTGTGTGCTGTCACCCTCTTCATTCCATGAGCACCTTGTTCACTTAGGGTCTGCTGCCTTTTTTTTTTTCTTTTTCTTTTTTTTTTTTTTTTTAGTTTTTGAGATCGTGTCTCACTCCTGTTGCGCAGGCTGGAGTGCAGCCTCCAAAGTAGCTGGGATTATAGGCGTGCACCACCACACCCGGCTAATTTTTATATTTTTAGTAGAGACGGGGTTTTGCCATGTTGGCCAGACTGGTCTCAAACCTCTGACCTCGTGATGACCCCCCTCGGCCTCCCAAAGTGCTGGGATTACACCCAGCCTCTGCTGCCTTTTCATATTTCCCCATCTGCTTTATGGATCAACTCTCAACAGTACACTTTTTCTTTTCTTTACCTACCCTATGAGTGCAACCCAGATGTAAGAGTTAATCCTCGTCAGAGAATCATTGCCTTAAACCTCTCAGAAATATGTAATTAGGAAATCTTATTTTAATTTTTTAAAAATTGCTTGTATAGTTTCAAAGAATAAGATCTGGCAAATGGCCAGATGTGGTGGCTCACACCTGTAATCAAACCAGCACTTTGGGAGGCTGAGGCAGGCAGATCACCTGAGGTCAGGCGTTCAAGACCAGCCTGGCCAACATGGTGAAATCCCGTCTCTACTAAAAATACAAAAAAAAAAAAAAAAAAAAAAATTAGCCAGGCATGGTGGCACATGCCTGTAATCCCAGCTACTCAGGAGGCTGAGGCAGGATAATTGCTTGAACCCGGGAGGTGGAGGTTGCAGTGAGCCGAGATCATGCCACTGCACTCCAGCCTGGGCAACAGAGTGAGACTTTGTCTCAAAAAAAAAAAAAAAAAAAAAAAAAGATCTGGCGGATGAAAATAACCAGAATGAAAATAGCTAGAAAACTCAGCAAGCAGGAAGCTCCCTTTCTCACCCTTTTGTTCCCTTGCCGATAGAATCAGTCACTATTAGAAAAAATGAAAGACGCTCTGTTTAAAACAATGATGACAGCAGTACTTAATATGTATTTCGAGGTGAACTTATATAGATTGAGAGAGGCTGCATTTGGCAGACTGATGTATAGGAAGACCCATTTGTTTCTAGCTTCTCCCTGCAGGGAAAATGCTTTCGTCATTATAGCCTCTTTACACAGACTGGCCATTCTAGTGAAACAGGTGGTAAACCTTTGGGCTGCCCAGAAACATTTTATCTGTTTTCACTTACCTAGGAAGGGGAAAGATTAGCGGGTCATCCAAAATCTGTATGTAAGCTATCTTCATTTTCTTCCCCAACCTTCTCCTCCTGGGAAACACAAATGCTATCTCATCTGACAAAAGGTTTTAGAGGATAAAGCTGAAAAGATTGGATTGGGATCTTTTTGTGGCTTGGGGCGGAGCCTTTTGCTAAAATCTCAAGAATGCTGCTTTGAGTTTAGCTAGGGTGGCTCTCAGAACTGGGGTGCCTGGCATTCTCAGCATTTCTCAGGGGCCTCCCACCTCTGACAACTGCAGTGTTAGCTAATACATACCTTGAGCATAGAACTGAATGCTGTAATTCAGAGCCATTTTTTTTTTCAACTTGAACATTGTACAATTTTACTGCAATTTCCTTTGAACTTTCTTGCCACTGTTTGGAATCTTAAAAATTCATTAGCCTTCTCCTTTCTGACATAAAGCTACTCTTCATCAGAGATGAGTTCCTATGTATGTCCTTTGTTCCTTCAATAGCTAATTAATGTGCTTGAGGATACTTCAGTGGAAAAAAAGGTTTAAATATGCAAATTACTAATAAATGTGTAACCTTATGTAACTTGTGTTACATCAAGTAACAAGCTAATCTAGTTTGTTTCACTGGACTAGGCTTGTGCTCCCTACTTCAGTATTTTGATGCTTTCCTTGATCTTTGTTTCACAAAATGTTGTGAATTTTGGTATCATTCAAAACAAATGACATTTATTAGGTTTCATTTTGAAACGATGTACAGACAAGTCCCCAACTTAGAAACCGGTTTGTTCTTAAGGTTCTTGCGTCAGCCCATAGAAGCCCACTGACCTCCACCACAGCCCAAATGGAGGGCTGTGATAGCCAGATCTGGTTGGCTTTTGTGGGCTGACCCAGACATTTAATCACCATCTCTTATGTTGTTGCCGTAAGAAATGCATTCCAGGTTGGGACTTGGGATCCTGAGAGCACATTCGCCCCCTGTGGTGGCCGCTTGCCACCTTGCAAGATGGAAGCCCAGTCTCCTTACTACCAAACTGTAGTTGTAAGCAGAGGGAGGGGTGAGATGTTTATAGGACATTCCCTAAGCTGGGGAGTGATTTTTATCACTATTCATGTCAACTGTACTTTGGTATAGACTCCCTATCAATTTAATAATATGAAAAGCCTAAAATAAAACTATGCATGCTATTCTATGTGCTATTTTATATCAGTAAATAAGCTTATGCTTGCCAGTTGTATACACAGTTATGAGGTGTATAGAACTGACTTTGACAGTATTTTTTGCACTGTTTCCTATCTGTTTTTATAAAGTCTTATTTAGATATTGGACCTTGTTGATGTTCTCACTGCCCTTGTGCTTGCTATAAAATGTTTCATATGTGCCTTTACAAATGTGAGATCTTTATTCTAACCTTTTTTTGTAAAAGATATCTATTGATTTCCATATGCAATAAACCTTTTTTTCAGAGAAAAGTTACATCTTCTCTTTTCTGTACTGTATATGTTTGCATTAGTTGAAAGTGCCTGGGAAAACCTGCATGCTTTGTTTTCTAAAGCCCATTTATTGCTACCCAGTTTTTAGTCCTGCATAACCTTATCATACTGAAGATTTAGTTTGAAATTCCCAAGGTTGTCACTGTTAGAAGAAACCTGAAAGGGGTGATCACTAGGCAAGTGGAGTGAAGAATACATAGAAATGGGTCTTTCTCACAAATGCAGCAATAAGCCTCGTTAAGCTCCAAGCCCCTACTCACTCCTCCTTCACTGTCATTTACTCAGGTACCAAACTGTTGATGTGGAAAAGGCAGGCACCAACCAGGCTGCTGTAGAAAATTTAAATTCTTGCTTTTGCCTTTCAGCTTTATAACAGCTCAACTTGTGTCCAGGTTTAAAGGTGGCTGTCCTGTCCCAGACTTTCAGCCAGTAACCACCATAGCACATTCACGGTGAACCCCTCATATGTGGGTAGATGCTTTATGTATCCTTGGTAAGTAACAGAAAAGTATAACAACTTCTCCCAGTAATGCATTGACAACCCCATGACTATACAAGCAGTTGTTGAACTACCAGAGATCCCAACTAGTTTCACATCAAAAAAATGAGAATACTGTAAGCCACTCTGGGGTGAGAGGATATGGCAAGCAAATCTCATTAAACATACACTTAATTCTCTATGGTGACTGTGGCAACAAAGCAATTATAATTATTGAAAGAAAGGCTACATAATGTTAAAAAAGATGATAGTAGACAAAATAGGCCAATGAAAATGGAGATAAATCGGGTAGAATGGCAGGAGAACAGATACACTAATTCATTTTCTCTTTTGTGAGCTGAGCAAATAGAACCAGTTTCTTTTCTTTGGTTGATAAACAGAAAAAGTAGAGGTTTGTTACATAATTGAGAGAGAAAACAGTAACCTGGTAGACGTATTTGTCTCCAAATATACTGTTAGCAGAGCTGGGGAAGAAAATTTTTAAAAAGAGAGAAACAGAATAATTCCCCACAAAACTAAAGATAAGTATAAGAAACAGCAACGCACACACACAAATATGCAATAAGATGACAATACCAGAACCAAATATGGCTATTTTATGTGATTTTACCTCTTATTTTATTTAATGAAAATAAATGGGAAAAACTCACCAGATTTACTAGTTAAGAAACATAATGGGTGCAAAAAAAAACTCAGCTAAAGAAAAGAAACATCTAACAAAAAGAATAAATGAGACTTGTATAAACACAGCAAAACTCCTTCTGAGGCAAAACTTAGACAAATTGATAAACTTACCACATTCTTGAATAGGAAGACTCCTGAAGAGGCCAGTTCTCTGTATATCACTGACTCTAGTGCAAGTCCAATAAAAAAATCACAACACCACCAGAAAAATTCAAGGGAACCCAGAAGGATTAGCCCTAGTATATACTAAAAGTTTTGCAGTGCAACAATAGAGTATTTTACTGGCACAAGAATAGATCAATAGAATGAAATACTGCAGAAATAAACCAAAGTCTTAGAGAAATGATAATGGTACCCTTCCAAATCAGCATGGGAAAATAATAAATAATTCAACAAGTAATTCAATAAATGAAAACTAAAATTTATTAAGGAATACCATGGGATATTTTATTATTTTTATTTATTTGAGACTGGGTCTCGCTCTGTCGCCCAGCCTGGAGTGCAGTGGCACGATCTTGGCTTACTGAACCCTGTGCCTCCTGGGCGCGGGTGATCCCACCTCGGCCTCCCAAGTAGCTGGGACTACAGGCATGCACCACCACGCCCGGCTAATTTTTGTATTTATTATAGAGATGGGGTTTTGCCATGTTGCACAGGCTCATCCTGAACTCCTGGGCTCAAGTGATCAGCCCACCTTGGACTCCCAAAGTGCTGGGATTACACACATGAGCCACCATGCTTGGCCTGTATATCTTATTAAACAATTCTGCCCGGCGTGGTGGCTCACGCCTATAATCCCAGCACTTCGGGAGGCCGAGGCGGGTGGATCACGAGGTCAGGAGTTTGGGACCAGCCAGACCAACGTGGTGAAACCCTGTCTCTACTAAAAATGCAAAAATTAGCCAGGCGTGGTGGCGCATGCCTGTAATCCCAGCTACTTAGGAGGCTGAGACAGGAGAATCGCTTGAACCCGGGAGGCGGAGGTTGTAGTGAGCCGAGATTGCGCTATTGTACTCCAGCCTGGGTGACAGAGCGAGACTCAGTCTCAAAAAAAAAAAAAAAAAAATTCTAGCTAGATGAAAGATTTAAATAAAAATTAATATTACTTTTTACAATAAACCAGTAATAGTTTTATTCACTTAAAGATGAAAACAATCTGCTTTTGTACAGCAAGGGTCATGAAAAATAAAGTTAATGGACAACTAGAGTAAAAATATTTTTAATATATGACAAGGAGCTAATACCCCAATATATACAGAGCTCAGAAGTTATTATGAAAGACATTAACATATAGCAAAACAAGCAATGGCCATGTGGTATCACAGAAAATTCTGGAATTTCATATCAAGGGTGATAGGAGGCTCTTTTGTTTTAGTGAGACAATTTTTTTTTTTTTTTTGAGACACAGTCTCGCTCTGTCACCCAGGCTGGAGTGAAGTGGTGCGATCTCGGCTCACTGCAAGCTCCGCCTCCCAGGTTCACGCCATTCTCCTGCCTCAGCCTCCCGAGTAGCTGGGACTACAGGTGCCCGCCACCAAGCCTGGCTAATTTTTTGTATTTTTAGTAGAGACGGGGTTTCACCATGTTAGCCAGGATGGTCTCAATCTCCTGACCTTGTGATCTACCCGCCTCGGCCTCCCAAAGTGCTGGCATTACAGGCGTGAGCCACCGCGCCCGGCTGTAGTGAGACAATTCTTAGTGGTACCCTAGATAGCTTCAGGATGGGGGCAGGTCTTCAGAAAGACTAAGACTTGATTAGGAGCTTAGAACTTTCAGCCCCATCCCCAACCTCTGGAAAGAAAGAGATCCTAGAGATTGAGTCAATTTCAATGGTGAATTAATCAATTGTGCTTATGTAATGGAATTGCCATAAAACCCCCTGACCAATAGCATTCAGAGAGCTTCTGAGTTGGTGAATACATCCACATGCCAGGAGTGTGGCATACCACAACTCCATGGGAACAGAAGCTTCTCTCAGGATCCTTCCGGACTTTACCCTATGTTCACCCTCTTCATTGGCCTATTCATTTGTCTTTTTTATAATAAACCAGTAATAGAAAGTAAAGTGTGTTTTAGAGTTTTGTGAGCTATTCTAGCAAATTAATGAACATAAAATAAGGGAGGAGGTGTTGTGGGAAGCCCTTGACTTTGTAGCCAAGTCAGACAGAAGTATGGTTAACCTGGGAACCTGAATAACTTGTGACTGGCATCTGAAGTGAGGGCAGTCTTGTGGGACTGAGCCCTTAAACCAGTGTAGTCTGACACTAACTCTGGGTAATTAGTGTCAGAGTTGAATTGAATTGTAGGACACACAGTTGGTGATTGAAGAGTTAGAGAATGGTTGTGAGGCATAAAAACAAAAACACCACACATTTGGTTTCAGAACTGTTGTGAGTCAAAACAGCTCATATTGGTGTCAGAAGTGGGATTAGAAAGACCCTGATTATTTAGTGTCAGAAAATTTAGGATTCACTAGAATGGTCCTAGCTAATGGAAAAGTGGTTTGGGAAGAGAAAGGATGAAAGGGTGGGAGATACAGAACTTTTGATTCCTGGGTGGTCATGTAGTCACCCATGATATGGACCAGCATGACAGCTGTGCTGTTATCAGTGACTAAATTTAGTTACAAATGGAATTTGGAGGTGGATCTAACTGCTGAGGAATTGGTTCATTGGATGCGTAAGGAAATGTAAATGAATAGGAAAAGTGCAGAACATATAACTCCTTGGTTTTTGTTATATCTGTAATAGCTAAAGTGAAATTAAAAGAGTGCTGGATGGACTTTGATGCTAAACCAAACTCAGATTTTGGTCAGTCTGAACTTTGGCCACTAGCCTTGAAGCTGCCCTCAAAGGGTAGAATTATGTGGAGACAACAAAGGGTACCTCTAAGACCTCTGGTCACCAAGAAGTTGGTGTGTGTAGGGGGAAGGTACAACCAATAAACTATTGAAACCAGGGGGGATAGTGTGGAAGAGTTGTCGCATTTGTAGATCAATATCATCAGCTTCCTGAAAAACCCTTACTTAAGTGGATTCTGAGAGTAACTGATTTAGAGACAGTATCTTTGGTTTTGAATGCTGCAGAATGAAAGAACATGTCTGGGTTGACAGAGGACTCACTGCTCACTGTGGAACAATCACAGATGGCTATATCTGACACAGACACACAGCAGGTTATTCCTGAAGAAACAACCAGCCTGGTGGACTGGATAAAAGGCACTATGAGGTATGTTTACTCTGAGAAGTGAGGCTGTCCAACTCCCCCTATAAATGTTAAAAGCAACACTCTGATGAAGTACCTGATAAACTGTGTATGCAAGTCATGTGGGACTGGCTTTTTGGTAATTGGGACACTCACCCATTGAATATGCCCATTGCCAAGATCATGGTCAATGTTATGATTAAGAGGCATGGGCACCTTTTGCGTGGGTGTCGCATATAACTTTACTGCTGCAAAACTGAGCAACAGTCTTAGAAGCCCTATCAAATTTGCTCTCTCTGCTTCCTCTCATGGTTCTTACTGATGCTAATTAAAACACTAGACTAATTCACAGGAAAATATGAATTAGGCATAGGTATGAAAGGTAGAGGGATGAGTCCAGGGATTCATCCTAAGAGGGTAGAAATTTTTAAATGGTTAAGAAATGGAGTGAATAAAGAAAACATTGATAGTGGCAAAACAAAAAGCAAAAAGAAAGGGAAAGAGTCAACAGACTTGTCCCAGCAGGGTGAAAACCTTGAATGGTTATTAAAAAATGGGATGAGGCCAGGTGTGGTGGCTCACGCCTGTAATCTCAGCACTTTGGGAGGACAAGGTGGGTGGATCACCTGAGGTTAGGAGTTTGAGACCAGCCTGGCCGACATGGTGAAACCCCATATCTACTAAAAATAAAAAAATTAGCCGGGCATGGTGGTGCACACCTGTAATCCCACCTACTTGGGAGGCTGAGGCAGAAGAATCGCTTGAACCTGGGAGGAGGAGGTTGCAGCGAGCTGAGATCATGCCATTGCACTCCAGCCTGGGTGACAGAGTGAGACTTCATCTCAAAAAAACAAACAAAAAAAAAGGTATGACTAAGACAGACATTGATAGGGTTAAAACAAAGGTCTTAATACAGCACTATTAAAGTTTGGGTGGACCAAAGTGTCTCCTAATGGTATTAGTCCATTTTCACACTGCTGATAAAGACATACCCAGTCTCGGGTATGTCTTTATCAGACTGGGTATAAAGAAAAAGAAGTTTAACAGACTCACACTTCCATGTGGCTGGGGTGGCCTCACAATCATGGTGGAAGGCAAAAGGCACGTCTTACGTGGCAGCAGATAAGAGAGAATGAGAGCCAAAGGGAAAGAGGTTTCCCCTTATAAAACCATCAGATCTCGTGAGACTTATTCACTACCACGAGAACAGTATGGGGGAAACCACCCCCATGATTCAATTATGTCCCACCAGGTCCCTCCCGCAACACATGGGAATTATGGGAGCTACAATTCAAAATGAGATTTGGGTGGGGACACAGCAAAAACATATCAGTCACCCAACATTAAAGGGTCCCAAACAAGTTCACTCTATTTACTCCAGTTTGGAGAAATTTTAAAAGCCAGAAGGCCAAGATTACAATGAGAAACCTGACCTGGAATCACAGGACAATAGTAAGATTAACCAAGACCAAGACTGACAAAAAGGTCAGAGTTCTTTGCCTCAACCCCCTGCTGGTGACCCAAAGCTTTATGTAAATGAATGGGTTATGTACATGAATGGGTTATGTACATGAATGGGTTATGTACTCCACCCATTTAGGGGGTGGAGAAATTTCTGGAACTCCTTTACATGGGGGCTTCATGGACTGTGGTATCCAAACCCACTGGTGAAGCTCTAACATAAGCTAGAATTAGGTTGAGGGAATACAGAAGAGTTGACAGGATTATGAAAGTTAGAATGTTTAAACAGACTTTTTGTAAAATTGTGTCTCCTTTACTTGAATGTTTTGTGGGAATGGATATTATGTCATCTTGGGGAACACTTTCTTTACCTAATATTGTAAAACTAAAACTTGTTGATGATGTCCGATGGTGGCTACAGTTAGGACTGTAGGGGTTGATGAGATTAAGGTGAAAATTTGTACAAAAAGTTGCATCTGAATGTATTATGGGGATGGACATTAGGTTTAACTGAGGAACTGTGTCTGCAAAGAAGAAGGTGTATAAATCATCTTCAAGCAATATTAATTGGACATGCTAAATGGGAACCAGTAAGATTGCCCAAGCCCACACAGTGTAGAATAAAAGCTGGAGTGCTGATATACACAAAATCTCTGTGGGATAGTTCTTTGTGGAGCACTGGCTGGGACTTACGGCAAAAGCCTGTGAGCACCTCCCAGCGATGACTACTGGGACTGTGGACTAGAAAATTTCCATTTGAGAAGCAATTCATCTCATCAGACATTAATTGAAAATACTCCTATGACTGAAGGGCATAAAATAATCTTGAAACCTGAAATACCCATAATGCCTTAGATGATGTTGGAGAAGCACTCTAACGTGGATGGCAGTGCCCAGAAGAGTTCCATCATAAAATGAAATGGTTTCTACAGGATCTTGTTACCTGAGGAATGCAAGGACATATTCACAAACAGGGAAGCTGTTTTGTCCTAGGACTGACTGGTACTGCATGAGAAGCTGTCGGATCTATTGCCACTTGGACAGTGCCCAGAAACAGCCTTTCACTAACCAACAAAGAACTGCTTGGTTTATGGACTACAGTTCCAAAGTGAATGGACATCTAGTTTGGAAGGTCACTACTCTGATCAGAGAAGGGTAAAAGTCAGCTTGGTGGACTGAACTGCTTGCTGTTTGTCACCACGTTTTGGTTTTTACCAGCTCACTGGTGCTGGTGAATATGGCCAGGCAGAAGGGGAATGGAAACCTGGGCCATTAAAGGGACGGGCCACACAGATGGGAACCACCATAGGAATTTGAAGAGTGCATTAAAGTAGGACCTATCAATGCCCATCAAAAGAAAACCCTTCTGACATCAGAAGGTAAATGGAATCAACAGCAGATACCCTCATGTGCTCACCTAGGTGGCCACCTAGGTCCATGAAATGAGTGGACATGGCAGGGACAGGCTGCAATAATGCAGAGATGGGCTCAATCTAGACATACTCCTGTTGCACCCTCTGAGAAACAAAATGCCAGTAAGGGCTGTTTTGGGTGGGGTGGGGGGCCCTGAACATAGCTCACAAGTCAGGTTAATGCCAGTAGGCCCAGGAGGCTACAACTGGGTCCTGAGAGAAATCAACACTGACTCTGGACTGGGATTTGCTTACCCAGTGGTAGATGCAACTATGCTTAGAGTGCTACAAAAGAACCAGAAGATACTGCACCCATTCCAGACCAAGGGACACACTTTGCAGCCCACCGTGTCCTCCAGTGGGAAGAGATAGCTCAGCAAATGGGCACTTTGTGTTGCATATTATCCTCAGAGAAATGGCTTAATAGAGAATTGGAACAGGCAGTTGAAATATTTACTGTCTAAAATGGGGGGAGATAAAGGCAGGAAGGGCTGGCTTCCATGCCTTCACAAGTGTGTGCTCACATAAAATAAGGGGGGGCCTAAGGGAGTGTCCCCACTGGAGAGAGTCCTGTTTTCCTGGTGAAACTGGGGCAGAGGGGTTGGGAAAGAGTGCTGGTATGACCACCATTCTTCCCAAGGAAAAGATGCTGGTATAACCATACTTTTTTTTTTTTTTTCCTTTCCTACATCATCTCAACTTTCTTTTTCCTATCTGATGCAGTGGTCCCAGGACCAGGGCTGCAACTACCAGTGCTAGAAACAGGGATGATTTCTAAGCAAGAAACTGAACTACGTTTCTAAACCTTTATGTCAGAATTCTTAAGGGTCTGATGGGGCAGGTCAGGCCTTCATCCTATCTATCTGGCAAAATCAGGGTTACCAGTGAATGCAGCTCTATTGCCTAGTGTCAGAAATAGCCCATTAGTTCTGTACCTACAGAATCCTACCGTACCTGAAGGGAGTGGACTGAAGGGGAGGCATTTTTGTTAGACTAGTATTGCTGTCTGCAACCTAGACAAGCACAGAGGTGGAACCTAATGTCTCTTCCAAAGGTGAATGAACAAAGGGGATAAATGGAGAGGAGAAATAGCAGCTGAGGGCAAAGGAATGATTAAATGAGTTATGTAATAGGGGAAATCCAGTATCGTGCTGACATCTTGAAAAAGGCTCAGAACAAGAGATGATATTGTCTCTTAGCTCAATTATACCAGAGGCCTGAAAGGGTAAAGACATATTGCCAAGATCACTCTCGCCTGTGGAACCTGACAAGATCAAATAGAAGCCTGTACGCCTGAGTGGCCTCAGCTAGGGAGACATTTTCATGCAGTAGGATGATAGACTGGATTACCAGTGACTACACGGGAAGCTAGAAATATGCCAGTAAATATCATCCTTTTTTATGAGTAATCTGTGGTCAGAGACCAAAAGGGTGTCCTTTAGTGTCATAGAAAGATTATTTGGTCATTGTCCTCAGTTCCTGGGACACAGCTCCTCTTAAAAGACCCTTGGAATTTCCTAAGTGATAGGAGTCTCTTTTGTTCTAATACAGCAACTCTTGGTGTGCCTCTAGGTAGCTTCAGGATGAGGGGTGACCTCCAGAAAGACCAAGCCTTAATTAGAAGCTTGGAATGTTCAGCCTCAACTCCCCAACCTGTGGGGAAGATAGAAGGGCTGCAGACTGAGTTAATCATCAATTGCTAATGATTTTATTAAATGACTAATGATCATTTAAGTCAAATGATCAATGATTTAAACCCTGTACAATGGGGTTTGGAGGGCTTCCGAGTTGGTGTACACGTCCATGTGCCAGGAAGATGTCACACCCCCAGCTCCATGAGGATGGAAGTTCCTGTACCCGGGACCCTTCCAGACCTTGCCCTATGTACCCTTCATTTGCCTGTTCATTTGTATCCTTTATAATAAGCTAGTAATAGGAAGTAAAATGTTTTCCGGACTCTGATAAGCCATTCTAGCAAATTATCGAACATGAAGGCGAGGGGATTGTGGCAACCCCCTGACTTTGTGGCCAAGTCAGATGATAGAAACTGGGTAACCTGGGAGCCAGGCAAGGTGGTTCGTGCCTATAATTCCAGTACTTTGGGAAGCCGAGGTGGGAGGATCCCTTTAGGCCAGGAGTTTGAGACCAGCCTGGGCAAGACAGCAAGACCCACCTCTAAAAACAACAAAAAAAATAACGCCACTGCACTCCAGCCTGGGTGACCGAGTGAGATCCTTCCAACTGGCATCTGAAGTGAGGGAAGTCTTATGGGATGGAGTCTTTAAACCTATGGAGTCTGACGCTAACTCCAGGGTAGTATCAGAATAGAACTGAATTGTAGGACACACAGTTGGTGTCCAAAGAGTTAGAGAATAGCTGGTGTGAGATAAAACCTCAAACATTCGGTGTCAGAAAGTGTTGTGCTAAAAACAGCTCAGCCATGAATGTCAATTCACCGAAGAAATAAAATAAATCCTGAATATATGAAAAACAGTCCAATCTCACTAATAAATGCATATAAAACAAAATATTTCACACATTACATTGCCAAAAACATTTTAATGATAATACAACGTTATGAGGGAGAGGAAAGCAAATACTATTATATCTATCTTATTTGTATCTGATGCAGTTTTTTTTTTTTTTTACAAAAGGAAATGTGGCTATATTTATTCAAATTTTAAAAATATTCCCACTATTGGATCTTGAAATTGCACTTCCAGGAATCTATTCCCCAAAATGCTACCACACAACGCAAAGTTTTATGTTTCAGATCATTCATTGTGGCATTGTTTGTAATAGCAGCAAACTGGGAAAAAAAACCTCCTGTCCATAAATAGAAGTACCGAGTCCATGATGACATGCATCCAATGCAATATTCTGCCTCTAAATAGAATGAGGCAAATCTGTAAGTGCTGAAATGCAAAGAGATCCATTTTGTTCGTTTGGAGAAGCACGTTACAAAATCCTATGTCAGTACCATCCTGTCTTTGTTCTTCTAAATCTATTTATATAGCTACATCATCATCCAGGAATGGAAAAACCTGGGACCATATAAAGCAAACTGTTTATGGCAGTTAGCTCCACGCAGTGGGACTGGTGAAGAACAAAGAAGTTTACTTTTTTCATATACATTTCCATTACTTGAATTTACTGAGAAAGGATTACTTTTGCAAATTTTATAAAACCTATAGAGATGGTAGGCTAAGTTTATTTTAGGCTTCGTCACAGAATGTATAGTAAATGAACATTCTTAAAACCTAAGTTCCACTGATCTGGGACCATGCCTTACTCTTCTCTTTGCACCTAGAGAGCTATTCAGAGCATTTAGCATAGATAGTACCAGGTGTTCAGTAAATGTCTTATTGGACTACACAGGACAAGAGAATGCATTCTATCTGCTAAATCCCACTGTGTGCAGCAAACTGCGTGTGAAAGAGGGGCATGAGTGTGTGTGAAGATGTGGGTGCGTGTAGATGAGGAGGGAAGGAAAATGTACCAGATTTACAGCTGTTCTAGCTGTTTTCGGACCATGACTATGAAAGGTAATTGACATGTAAATTTCAACAGGCTTTACTTATTAACCAGTGGGGAAGTTCCTCTCTTTCGACTACAAGACGCTTTTCTAAGAGTAACACCCCTGCACTCAGGAACGTGTGCTGCGTCCTTCTGTGCAATGGTTGCTAACAAACAACTCCCCAGGTTGCTGCTGTCTAGGCTGTGGGGCTGCAGAAAGCTGGATTCCTGTTGTCTGTGTGGGTAGAGATCAGTGTTTACTCAACAACACAGCGTTGGTTGGTAAGGAAAAACATTTTTTTCCTTCCCAAGCATACCCTGGAGTTTTTCCAAAAAGGAGAGTACTGCACAGAACAATCAACAGAATGAGAGATGGCAAGTCTGCTTTCAGACAGATGGGGACAGAAAAGCCAAGAAAGCAAAGCACGCACTAAGCACCTTTACACACTGAAGGAATACCAGGCACCAGAGAACAGATTCAAAACCTCGCCTGCTGGAGGGCACTTGGGTCACTGGACTGTTCCTCCACCACAGATAGATGATAGTTTTCTTTCCTTCGTGTACCTTTTTCTCTTTCTTCCCATTTTCTTCCTCCACAGGCACAGCCCCACAAGAGCAACTGCAGAATAAAGAGGCTGCCCGACCCCAGTCCCATGGAGAAGACTTGAGCTTGCTGAATTATGGACAGCAGGTGTCACTTTCACTCCAAGACTGGGCTCCCACCACCACTGAGAAATCCTCCCCAGAGACAGAAGAAAATACAAACCTCAAATACTGATATCTCTTTAATACTTTCATCATTCAAGTTTGTTCAGAACATTACAAGAGGCATGAAAGAAAAAATAATTCCATTTTTAAAACTCTGTCTGTCCAAAGTATAACATATGAAACCATGCCATTATCTCTTAGGAAACAAAAGCATTCAAAATTAATTTGGTATTAAAGTTCAAGATTCAGACTAACCTCAAAGTACGGCATGTGCAGTGTTTAAGTGCAAGAAGTATTTTCATTCCAATTATTTTACAGAGATGCTGGAGTGACGTGTGCAATTTGAAATATTCAAATCCTTTAAGGTTTCTGAACTAAGTGTTTAAATGAAAACTGAAATGCTGCATAGTTTCAGTGGCTTTCAATTTCCTGTTTGATCTCAGAAATATATGGATGATCTTTGCCGTGAGCTACTTCCATGATTGCAATGGCCTAGGAAAAAGCAAGACAAACAATGAGAGCCTAGAAGCCAATCTCCTCACACCTCCACCCAGGGTAACTTTAAGTTGGATCTCTCTGCTTTAAGGCACAGGATGCAAACTGGCCATTAGAGCCTATGTTCTCCACCAGGACCTGTTTTTATTTTAATTTATTTATTTATTTTGAGACGGAGTCTCGCTCTGTCGCCCAGGCTGGAGTGCAGTGGTGCGATCTCCGCTCACTGCAAGCTCCGCATCCCGGGTTCACGCCATTCTCCTGCCTCAGCTTCCCGAGTAGCTGGGACCACAGGCGCCCACCACCATGCCTGGCTAATTTTTTGTATTTTTAGTAGACACGGGGTTTCACTGTGTTAGCCAGGATGGTCTCGATCTCCTGACCTCGTGATCCGCCCGCCTTGGCCTCTCAAAGTGCTGGGATTACAGGCATGAGCCACCGTGCCTGGCCTTGGTTTTTTTTTAAAAAAGGAGAAGACCATCTGGTAGCTAACTCATCCAGTGTCTACTGCTAGGTAAAACATTCTGCAAAAATATCCAGCTGGAGAAACGATGTCATGAAACTGATTTCATGACATTCTCTTGCCCCAAGATTCTAGATCTTTCAGTAAAACATGCTTTAAGGACTAATTTTTTTGATTATGTTCAACCCAGAAAATAGGTGATGCTGGTAAAGTCCATAGTGAATTTTATATCAAAGCTATTTTGATTTTTAGTTGACATTACTAACCTGCAAGACGTAGCTAAACTATTTTTCCCTTTCGAAAAGCATACTCTTTCCTTTTAATACATATTCTAAAAACTTAAAAGAAAGGTAGCAGGTTTCATTGAGGGATGCTAGAGAATGTACTTAAGGTTTCTTTATAGTGAGGCAATGTAACATGGTCAAGTTTCCAGTGGTTTAATCATTTCCTAGCTGTGTGGCCTTGGGTAATTTACTTAACCACTCTGTGCCTCATTTTCCTGAACTGTAAAACTGGAATAATACCTACCTCTCAGGGTTGTTAATTCAGATACAGTGTTTCGAACAGCGCCTGGCATACAGGAAGTTTATATCAAATGTCATCTCTAAGAATGTATTTGCTCTTTTGTATTCAGCCAAATTACTCAGAGAAAAAAGTATTCCCCCAGAGAATTTTTAATGGCCTGTGACTATGACAGGCATTCCTATCTATTATATATTCTCCTCCTAGATCTCAAGCCAAGAGGAGGCAGGCCAAGTAACAGTGCAAGCCTTCGGAAATCACCTGTTCCAGGTGCCGACTCTGCCCAGGCATTCATTTCAAGACTCATGTTCCTTGCTCAGATCTGCTCCAGCTTTCATTGATCTATTACTTAATCACCTGACACACTTTGCAGTTGTGACCCAAATGGCTAATTCTCAGAAGACAAATTCCATGGTTTAAAACAGAAAATTTTGTTCTGTGCTCCCTTCCAGCCTGGCTGTGCCCTGACCCTTCTATTTGGGATGTGGGCCTTATTCCATCTTCGCAAATAGTCTATTGGGAAACTTTGGAGAAGGTGAAAGATTAGGCCTGCAGGCCCTGTCCATGGCCCCAGCATTTTATAAAGTTTCTTACAGGAGTAAATGGACTATCCCCTAAATTACACTGTATTGACTGTGAATTCCACATCACAAACAATGAGAATCAATACTCAGGATGATGACTCTGACCTCCCATGATGTGAGGGTCGGGGCCTGGCTCCTGGGCAGCACAGGGCCGCCATCAAACCAAAGGCGAATGCTGCCCAGGGTTCTGGCTCCCCACCAGTTTCATCACAGCTTGAGTGGGAGGAGCCGAAGCTTTCAATTTAGACCCTCATTTGAATGAAGGCCCCACCATGTACCCTAGGCTATTACTCACTTAAACCTGCTTGAACCTCACTTTCTTCATCAGGAAAGCCTCTCGGTTTTGTGAGAATTCAAAGGAAAAGCACACGAGGGTCTTGGTATGTAACTGGTCCTCAATGAACTGAGAGGATGATTAAGTGCATTTTAGAAACAGCAAATGCGCAATTCTAACATCCTAACCCTAACTCTCCATATCCTACCTCCTTGATTTCACAACTGGGGATCATCATTCTGAAAATCCCAAAGGTCAAACAAATGGAGAATTCCTCCAGGCACAGGCTGGGCCTGTGATCACGGCCAGCCCTCTGGATGTGGGCACCCATTCCCTTTGAGGGAGGCCTGGACACAAACACAGCAGAGGTGCACTCTCTCACTCCCCCCTCACCTGCAGGACCCACCCCCGCTGCTCCCACGGCAAGAGGGTGGGTGAGAGCTGCTCACCCTCCACTGCTTCAGCCATTCAGCCTGGTGAGGCATGAAGGAGGTGCGCTAAGGAGGCCATCTGGCCACTGGGAATCCTAAGGCCGAGTTACAGACATACCTTCTTCAGGGCTTTCTCCCCTGCGGCTTTGTGTTCCAGGCCCATGTAGAGTCTCCCTAGCTTCAACCACATGGAGGCCACGTTGAGGGAGTACAAAGGATAGTGCTTACTAGAACAAGAGAAGAGACAACAGGCCACCATGTCAGCGGCTACTGAGCCGCCCCACAGGCTGGGTGCAGTAAGCCGGAGGCTGCCATGCTTAGGGCCAACCTCTGCCCACCAGCGGCCTCTCCAAATCCCACCAGGGTTTGGGTGGAGAGCGTGGATGCTGCCACCCTGCCGAATCATTGCAGATGTTGTTCATTATTTGTAGTTTGTGTGTTTCTGAAAAGCTACGTAACAACTGCAGGAGAAATCCTATTCAAAAGCATTTGTAAACACAATCTTCAATCCCAGTCCAGATTTTTATATTTCAGACATACCCAGAGGAAGACCCTGGGAAAACAGCTTGTGAAGTAAATGTCCCATTTATGAAGGCAGCAATTAGGCCTATCACCTTAGGTACTCAGACATACAGCCACCCACCCAACCCCCACCCACCCCAATGTGTCTTAAGACCCCAGCTTTCTGTCACACTATGATATGGGTTGGTTTAGCAAAACAGTTAAGTGCTCTGAAGTCAGAACACTTCCTGTGTCTTCTGGATGTTCTTTCCCCATTGTCCAGCAGGGGCTTTAGATACAGCAAGTGTTCTCTCCGGCTGTACCTGAAGACTGACTGATGGGGTCTGCCTGGGAAACAGCCATTTCCCTAAGAACAGGGCCCAGAGGCAGCTGGTGGGTGAGCCAGTGTGTGTGTTTACATGTGTGTAAGAGGTGTTTATTTAAAGGCTAGGCTGTTCCACCCTGTGTCTCCTGAAAGTCAGTCCAAAAAGACATGTTCTAGCTGTATTCCTGGGTAGGAGGCAGCCCTGGGACCCACGGCCCCACAGAAGACCAGAGCTGGGCTTCCGGGAGGGGCTCACGCAGATAAAGATGGGTCTAGCAGAGCAAGGCCCTGCTGGGAGAACCACAGGGCTGGGATGCTGTCTGTCTGCTCCTCTCTCCCTACAGATCTCACACAGAGAACTGCGCATGAGGCCAGTGCACTTCCTCACACACTCTAGGAGAAAAGGAAGGTTTGAGTTTATCCCCAATTTAACAAATTCTGTTTCCAAGAGCAGATTTTAAGAGCTGGCTTCCTTTGGGCTCCCCCTGCTGGCTAATCAGGGCACAGTGGGGTAAGTAGAGGGTGGAGTGGGCAGTGGACATTCAGACCAGACACAACCTTCACAGACCCTAATCTCGGAAGTGGAAGGAGACTGAGGGCTTCTCAAACTCCTGAGAAACACCTGGGATGCTTCCAGAACACAGATTTCTGGGTCTAATGCCCAGCGACCCTGATTCACTTGGCCCACTTGGTGTTGGACGTACCCTGTAAATGCATAATATCAGTGCCTTTAAAAAGAGCTCCAGTGATCCCATCTAGGCCACCTCAGCCCTGAAGTGTCTAGTCCGAGTCAGAGGACAAAGCCACAACTTCCGTCTGTCACCCACTTTTAGGTTTAGTAACCCTCTCAGGCAGGAAATCTCTCCAGGGCTAATATTCATTATTACTACAAATTAAAAAGCAATTTTTGTTTCTTTTTTCCAAACCTGGGGTGGGGAGATTAGATAACCACGGTCAACCCACTGGTCCCAGAGCTTCCCCATTTGCAAACTGGGGCTGTAATTTGAAAAAGCAAAAGAAGGGGATGGTGTGAGTAATGATGAAAACCAGGGTTTCTGAGACCACCACTTAGTAATTAAACTTGGAAGCAGTGGGTGGGAAAAGAAGCAAACTAGTGGCTTCTCAAAACTAGCCTGAGTTAACTACTATGGATATGGCCCTGGATGGACCTGGGAGGGATCTTGCCCCAGTATCCGCTGCATAACCTCAACCTGTCTCCTTGGGATGATGGTGAGAACAGGCCTGACTCGGGAGCAGTGCCCTGCACCAGCACCTCCAGATGTGGGTGCAGAGAAGAGGCAGCTGCGCTAGGCAAGTCTCAGCAATGGGCAGGAAGATGACACTATCGTATACATTCTAAACAACCAAATTCCACTCCGTGGATGATTAGAACAGCCTCTGCAATCACCTGTAGGGCTTAATGATTTTCTGTCCATATTGCAGGGCTCCTTCCCAGTCCTGCATGTACAAGCAGACACCCATGGCCTGGTACATCATGTGCAACATGTACACGTTACTGTCCTCAAACACAGAGCTCATCTTCTCCTGGCTGAGCTCGCAGATCTCCAGCAGCTCACTAGGGGGTGCTGTGGAGTCAAGGAAAGGGCCACCGGGCCCAAGCTGCCTGGAGGCTTCCCCAGGCTGGGTTCAAGGAGTTATTTCGTCCACTCCACTCTCACCCTTACCCCATGAAAAAGTAACTTACAGAAAGCCAAGCAAAAGTGAAAGGAATTACATTTCTCCAGAAAAAACAAATGAAGAAAACCTGAAGGTCGGAACCGCTCAACTCAAGAATTTTAGCCGCAGGGTCCAGACCCCTAGTTCTGATGTAAACAATGTTGATTAAAATCACGATTCTAATCAAATTCAAATCCTCACCCAAGTTGGAACCCTGAGCACGACTCCCACTGTGGCAAAGTTCTTTCTTATGCTGAGAAACAATGTGCCTTTCTCTCATTTCCTCTCACTGGTTTTAAATTCTACCCTTTAGAGTACAAATCGAATCCCTTTTCAACTCCCAAGAAAATGCTACAATACAATGGTTAAGAATATGGATTCTGATAGAGCTGGGACAAAATCCTAGATCCTATCACCATCAGCTGTGTCCTTTGGGCAAATTACTTAATATCTATCAGGCTGTTTCCTCATCTGCTGCATGGGAATGAGCAGAGTCCCTGCTCAGAGTGTGCCAGTGAGGAGAGCTGAAATAAGCAAGGCCCTTGGCACTGTGCCCTGCCCAAAGTAAAATACCCAAAGCACAAGGCCATCAAGGCTCTGTCCTTCATGGTCCTCCACCACATGGGGCTCCCAGCCAAACTAGCCAAAATAAGGGGAAATAAAATCATACAACTCCAACAGGATGGACACCACATTGTGGGTGGTCAGTACGCCTTTACACATTTACTAGGAGACATTCCTCCTTTGGTTTTCAGAATCTTAAATCCATCCTTCTCCTGCTCCCTCTTTCCAACTTCCCACCTTGCCTTGTTGGCGAGGGATAATAAGCTATCAGGGCAGTTGTAAAGGATATATTTATAGTGCTTGGCCCTCCGGAACTCTTCAATGACGTTGCGTGCATATCTGACCATGTCTCGGATGGCTTCTGCCTTTGGGGGATCGCTGAGCTTCCGGATTTCCACCTTGGCCTTATCCTGAAGGAAACGTCCACAAGGGCAAGGCGTTACCGCCCATGGAAACCACACTGATAGGGAAACCTCTCATATAATACACATTCCCACACAGCGGTCGACACTGGCCCATTCCAAGGTTACAAAAGAATGAAAGGAAATCAGGCAATGCATCTGAAGAAATTCAGTACTCCATTACCTTTTTACAGAAACAAAACAAAAAGATTAATTTTCTAGATACTCCTTATCTAAAATGTGTTGGCTATGGGCAGATATATGTGTTTACACATCTACGAATCAAGAGACTAGAATAAGGAAGGATGGCATTGACGGAACAATTTGGAAAATGCCAGGGAAACTTCCACATATTCTGGTGAACAGGTTGGAAAGCCTAGAGATTATACTCATGTGCTTTTCCCCCCTCCTCCTTTGAGCAGTTGTTTCTTTTCAAGAAAGAGCAGTTCGGCAGACCTTTCTCCTGTTTGTACAGTGTAATGGAAATGTTTTCTTTAGCTACTAGGAGCAGGTCTGAACAGAGACCTGGTCTAACTAGATTCCCTTTGGCTGTCTTTGTAAGGAGGGTTTAAAGGGTCAAAAAGATCCTAGAGGAGATCCGCCAAGTCAGACAAGCTCTTCAGCAGAGAGGTCCTGAGATCAGAGTGCAGTCAGCGCTCTTGCCCAATGAACAACCTTACCTTGTCCTTGGTGGTACACTCCTGGCACTCACAGGTAAAGAAATAAGAATCTCTTAACCGGTCATTTCTATCTTCCGTTGGGTACAGGAGATCAATATAGCTGGTAAAAACCTACGGGGTCCAAAAAGATAAAGCTTCAGTCTGCTACAGGTAAACTCAATCCTTGTCATTCCCGTGCCTTTGCAGTCACCTGCAGGGCCCATGCAGAGGATAAGGCGGGCTGCAGCGGAGGAATGCGCTGTTTACTTTAAGGCACGGAATTCCTGAACTGAGCAGCCACCTGACGTTGGCTTTCTCTGGAAGGTGTTCACTAATCCACAGCTGAACTGGGAGCTGAAGCCAAGGTGCAGGTTAGTGGAAAGAGTCTGTAGAATCAAGGAGTCCTTAAAACAGTGTCCTGGAGGGTTCAGAGGATCCCTGCCTCCCTCAGCTGCCTCTGCCTGGCCTTCATGTAGTTTCATGTTTCACCACCTGAGACGGCGCAAATGCTTCGTTGCCGTCATCACTGGATGCTGCGTGCAGGGGAGGGCATGAGCACGCACACACCACACACATGCAGCTAAGCTCCCCTTCTCCTCACATCAACTGGCAATGGAGCAAGAGGCTCCACTCAGTGGGCTGGGACCCACAGCTCTGGGTGGCCAGCGGAGGGTGAACACATCTTCTAGGACACCAGAATGCTGCGGCCTGGCCCAGCGGGCAGCTCCTGATCCTGCAGGGCAGCGAGCTTGGAAAGTCCTTACCTTTGGTTCATGGGGCTCCACCGTCCTTGCCTTTTCCTAATGGGGTCTGTAACTAAGGCTTGGAGCATATGGAGGAGACCAGCATTTAGATGTCCATTATCTACTCACTGGGACAGCACTGGCTACTCATCCCACACAATCAGGCAAATGTCTGACTGAACAGATGGATCTCATGAAGCCGCTAGCGTGCCAGTGACCACGGGCACCACCAGGCAGGCAGGGGAGGACACGCACAGGGCTGGGTGCTGCAGGGGCAGCTAAGCTCTCCCCAGCCCATGGGGAGGTACTGGACACGTTGCAGCTCACCCCGAAACCCTGGGGAATGGGGTTTCTCCTTCTCTGAAGGGTAAGTAATCCCCAAAGCACTGACTTCCCAAAAATGAGGTTACTGCGTTTCAGATCTGGGAGAACATAAGGGCAAAAGGAAACTGCAGCCACCCCTGCCCTGCCTCACACCACAAGAGCCTGCCAACAATCTCTGTAATGACTGACTCACAGTGCAACATGCGGAAGCTTCCAGAAGATGGCGACAAAGGCCACTCCAGTACCACTGCTCCCAGCCAGACTGAGCCAGCTTAGGTGACAACCTGCTCATCTCTGCAGTCAGCCCACAGGTGCACTGGAGCCTGGGTGACTGCATTCTGACTGGCTGCAATTATCTGTTTCAAGAAAGGCTTCAGAGCAGTCTCCATAAGACCTTTGGAAACTCAGACACCCCAGCCGAAAGGGGACACACCCTCATCGTAATGGATTTAGCTGAAGGTAGAAGGGCCAACCTGCCTGCATCTTGGGCTTCAGCTCCCAGTGCAGCTGTGGATTAGTGAGTGCCTTCCAGAGAAAGCAAAGCACTTGTCATTCAGCACGCTGACAGTTATATTTTACACTTCACACTTCAAATACCCAGGCATGCACCGTAAAATAGCATTACAAATTGCTAAACTGAAATTAACCCAAGTGTGATTACAAGTTCCTAAAAACTCATGTGTCTTGCTGGGAATTTACTTAAGAACACAGAGCATACTACAGCAATCCATCAGGCCAGCCCTTCCCAGGTGAGACGTCTCATGAGGTAGTCAGGAATCACACATGGGAAGGGAACAGGGAATCGCTGAGCAGGTGATGGGAAGACTGGTTCTCTCCACGTCCTGAAGCTGAGGAGGGAAACTAAGGTGCCCCTTGGCCACAGACTGCCTTGACTTCTCCTATTACTGCATATACCTGGACTTTTGATTTAGATTCCTAAAAAGTGAACTGCGACCTGAAGTTCAGATGTGGAACTGATAGAACACGAAATTCTGATGTGTCCCTTGGAGTGCCAGCTCTTTAGCTACTGCTGCGTTGCTTGCTTTCTTTTGCTTTGGACCTTTGAGGGATGGTGGGGAACAAGCAAGAATTCACCAAAAAAAATAAAATAAAATAAGGCTCAAGCTCAGTTGTTTGGCAATAGGGATACAGAGACTCTAAAGATAATCAAAAGTTTGACTGTGGTCATTTTGGTAGTAAATGTCTTCTTTCTCTGTAAATCTCTATAAAGCTTTGGGACAAATTTGACTCAAATTTATTACTTCCTGTTTTTCTTGACCAGAGATGGAAATGTATGTACCAAACAGAAGCCCCAAAGTGTGGGAATCTAAACTACAGGTTACAAATCTGATCACTGACTCCTGGAGAGCCTGAGGGCAGACTCAGCTAAACTGCTGGAGGCATTCACAACTCATACTGTCAAGTGACACTGCACAGATCTGTCCACATTGCCTTTTAAAGAGCAGTCTCAAGCCCCCTGCTGCAGCCACCCATAGCCATGAACTCACCTCCTCTCCCGGCTTGATTTCCTGTACAGCTCTGACTTCTGCCAGGGTCCCTTTGTAGGTCACAATGACATTGGGGCAACAGCTATGATTCATCAATGCAACACTGTCAGTCAGAAGAGAAAACCCAGTTTTTAAAATGAGATAGGCAGACTGTTTAGCTTCCTTCACTACTTACTTGCTAAGTCAGAGGAACTGAATCTTTGCAAGACATTTTTTAAAAATCTAATAGTTGGCTATCACATTCTAAGAGGTTGTTCTGCATGCACTGATAATCCTATCTACCATCTCACACTTTCACCATATTAAAAACTGAAATCCACAATTCAAGTACTATCTAAGCCAAAACCAAAAAACACACAACAGCAAAAACAACAAATGCCACAAATATTCCTCCCTGATAGAATGCAGCTCTCAGAACCCAATACCCACAGCTAATTGCTACTTCACTATACACTGTCAAACACAGGTGCGTTGTCGCTTTCAAGCAGCTTTTTGTATTAGTGGATTATTTCTCACGTTTTTTTCAGATGTTGAGAAATGCCAGCTTCCTAAGGGAGGAAGGGTGTGTGATCCCCTGAGAGACCCGGAGACACCCGTCTGAGTTTCTCTGCACCTCAATTTCCTCATCTGGAAAATTGGGACATTACTGCTCCTGCTGCTCACTGTCTGCTTTTCAGGGACAGCGAGAAGGAGAGAGAGAGATTCGCCTATGCGAGGTGCTTTGAGCTTTCTGATTATATGAAGGTCAAAGTTCTGAGAACAGAAATTTCTAAACTACAGGGAAAAAGTGCTTGATCTCTGAAAATGCTGCCTTTGAAATCACAATGCTGATATGATTTCAGCCCAAAGGGATTTTTTCCCCCAATTAAAACTGCCCAGAAACTGGGGCTCATGCTCCTACGGGCACTCACAGCCATGTGTGTCATTGCTCTGGTGGCCAATGTCACCTCCCTGACCCTCCAGAGACCACAGCCCCTCTCCTGCTTGCTCCGAGAATACAAAAAGGGAAAGGGGTTTCGAAGCCTGATGAGGATGAACTGCCCCAGGCTGGCTATGGCCTATGGCCAAGTGCACTCCCCCACCTCCTGGCTGCTAAAGGCCTAAGCAAAGTATGTGGTTAGCCTGGTGCCTGAGATAAACAGGTAGCAGCTTCCTGGTCTTGACCTCGGGGAGGGCCACCTCTGCACTGCACCAAGGCCCACTTGGCTTCCTGGAAAGTGATGCCCAAGGAATCAGGTCCTAGGAAATCAAATAAACAAATGCATCGAAGGGTAGTTGTATTAAAATAAAAGCACATTTCTAAAACCATCTTGCGGAAGTATTAAATAGCTGAAGGCAGACTCGGGTATCTCTTTAATGAAGGTGGGGGAAATGCACTAAGTCAAAGACCCTAAAACAATTCATGTTCTTGGTATCATAATTCTGTTGGCAACCACTGACAGGTGAGAATCCTCAAAGCACCTCACTCTTTTTTTTTTTTTTTTTTTGAGATGGAGTCTCGGTTTGTTGTCCAGGCTGGAGTGCAGTGGCGCGATCTCAGCTCACTGCAACCTCCACCTCCCGGGTTCAAGTGATTCTGCTGCCTCAGCCTCCTGAGTAGCTGGGATTACAGGTGTGCGCCACCATGCCCAGCTAATTTTTGTATTTTTAGTAGAGACGGGGTTTCACCATGTTGGTCAGGCTGGTCTCCAACTCCTGACCTCGTGATCTGCCCGCTTCGGCCTCCCAAAGTGCTGGGATTATAGGTGTGAGCCACCACACCTGTAAGGCGTGCCCGGCAGCACCTTACTCTTAATCTTTTAGTCTTTTAAGATATTAAGAACAGAGACATTCCATAGTTCATTTCAGTTATAAAGGTGTCAATACACGCCTTCTTCAGTGGGTCCAATGCCCTCTTTTTCTCCTGCCTTTTCCCAGGGGCCAAAGTTAAAAAAAAAAAAAAAAAAAAAAAGCTTCTTTCCTCACTTCCAGAATTCCAACTGCAGATGATGCCATTTTGGCCCCAAGGACAAATATTACATGAACAAACTTTTTAGTCTCTCTGGTTCAAGTAAACCTGTGACAGCTGCTCACGAGACACAGACTGTACGGATTCTTCTCTTTCTGACCTACACAACGCACAGCGTCTGGCAGAGACGCACATAGCTAAGGGCAGGCACATCACTCAGGGCAAATGCATGAGTATTAAGGGTTTCCTACCTATGTGGCAACCTACAGGCAAAGGCCCCTGCAGTATATGTTAAGCAACCTCCCTCTGGATAGAACTTATCTACAATGTGGATTAATTTGGAGGCTGGGGGGATGCATGATGAATTCCTTGGCTCTATCTGTGAAGCAAGGGTTTGATTTCAGGGACTGAAGCATTTTGGAAATACTCACTCCATGAGACAGACAAAGGCAAAATCATTCTTGGCAATCCATTAAAGTCAGATCTATAAAGATCTCCATTTGTCAACTGGCTAGCCTTTGCTGAATTACTCAAGTATTCTTCAAATCCAGAGAAAATCCTACAGTTCTTTGAAATTTTTATCCGGCCCACTACTTCAGCATATTCTCCCTCCAAATTGTGCTGTTTCTGTACTGGTATTTATCAAAAAGGACAGATGGAGAAGAAGCTCATATAGTCTGTACTCAAGCTTGTGGCCAATTCTTGGTTGGCAATTAATGTTTCACTTTGAGCATAAGAAATGGAAAGATTTCCAGAACCACAGATAGGCAGAAAGCAAATTTCTCAGCAGGGCATGAGCTGTTCCTTCTATGCGCGCTATAAAATATTCTTTAATAACAGCTCTCTGCCTAGCAGGACTTAACAAGCAACTGTTCTCTTAACTACTACCTTTGGATCCTTAAGTGTAGGGGAAATATTTTGAAATCTGGCAGATTAAAAAGCTGTTTTAATTCACTTTGAGTTTCATGTCTGCCACATGCAGTTAGGTGGGTTATTTAAAAATGAAAAAAAAATCAAATTAGTGTTAAGTAAGTAAAAAGGAAAGAAATGAAGTCAAACACAGCCTACTCAGGAAATATCGCTGATCCCAAATGAGAAAGTTCTTCATCTTCAATTGTGAAGCCATTACAGTTAACCTGCAGCAAGAAAAAGGGAGAAAGGAAAAAAATGAGCTGGAGCTTCTTTCTGGGTAGAGATCATTTTTTTAAATTTTGACTTTTAACAAATTAGGAAGATGTTTTGGTGTAGTGGTTTTAAACCCTTTCTTTTGCCCATGTTATCGTTCAAACAAAATTTACTTATCAGTTCCATGCATAAACAAACAAGCAGAATTGTGATGCATCCCTTAGTGTAGCCTACCTACCATCTAAATACAGTGGTCCAGGCACGCCAAAGACCCCCAAGACTCTGAGGACTGACGTTTGCACACTTGCATGGGAGTTAAGATACCTGGAGTCTAATCTCAATTCTGCTACAGCTTTGTTGTATGATCTTAAGCCTATCACTGAATCACTGTGTCTTTAAAGAAAAGAATCAATCTGGCTGGGCGTGGTAGCTCACGCCTGTAATCTCAGCACTTTAGGAAGCTGAGGCGGGCAGATCACCTGAGGTCGGGAGTTCGAAACCAGCCTGACCAACATGGAGAAACCCCATCTCTACTAAAAAAAAATACAAATACAAAATTATCCAGGCGTGGTGGCGCATGCCTGTAATCCCAGCTACTTGGGAGGCTGAGGCAGGAGAATCATTTGAACCCAGGAGGCGGAGGCTGCAGTAAGCCAAGATTGTGCCATTGCACTCCAGCCTGGGCAACAACAGCGAAACTCTGTCTCAAAAAAAAGGAATCAATCCAATGCTCATCTCATAAGGTGAGGTGGTAAATATGAAGCCCTTATTCATCTAATCTAACTGCTATCCCTCTCTCTGTTAGGGAGGCAGAGGGATTGAGGGCTTAAAGCTAAGGCACTGAGACCTTGCCTTTCAAGTCTCAGCCAAATCACCTACAGGCCACCTTCTCACCCTTTAAAAGAAACGTTGTACGGGCCCGCTGGCTCACGCCTGTAATCCCAGCACTTTGGGAGTCCAAGGTGGGCAGATCACCTGAGGTCAGGAGTTCAAGACCAGTCTGGCCAACATGGTAAAACCCTGTCTCTACTAAAAATACAAAAATTAGCTGGATCTGGTGGCATGCACCTGTAATCCCAGCTGTTCCATCTACTCGGGAGGCTGAGGCAGGAAGATCACTTGAACCTGGGAGGTGGAGGTTGCAGTAAGCCGAGATTACACCACTGCACTCCAGCCTGGACGACAGTGTGAGACTCCATCTCAAAAAAAAAGAAATGTTGCATAGAAAAATACCAAGGGCAACTTTCACCATTCTGGAAGCCTAACTTAGAACAAGCAGGCTGAAAATGAGGACTATACATGCCTAACTTATGTACTGTTCTATAAACTCATTCTTTCCACAGATATGTACTGGGAGCCCTTACATGCTGGGCACCATGCACAGAAAAACAAACAGAAAGACAAACAGGCTGAAAATTTGTGGCCTCAAAGAAAATCAGACTATTAGGAGACAATTCGGTAGGTGATCTTCATGTCTCTAAAATTTCAGCACTGGAAGAAAACTAAGACTCTACTTTTTAGAGGACGAAACTGAAGTCAGAGAGGAACAATGATTTGTCCACAGTCACAAAGATACTTGGTGACAAAGGCTGAGACCCCTGCTTGTCCCACGCTGCTATGAAGTCTCTGTCCGTGAGGCACTCACACTGAACGATTCCACCCCACTCTCTTCTGCACTTGGGGACACTGCACTGTTACAATTCAGGCCAACAGATGGGCTTTGTAAAACTAGCATCCTCTGAGCACTCACTCTGGGCCAGGCACTGTGCTAGGTACTTCAGATTTACCATCCCATAAATCCGCAATATCACTATAGCATTACTACAGCAACTCATTTTACAGATGTGAAAATTGAGGCTCAGGAAGGTTCAATGATTAAGTGACTTGCTCAAGGATATGTAAATGATAAGTGGCAGAACAGGAGCCAGAATTCAGACTAGGCATTCTGAACAGCAACTCTGGTTTCTTCACACTATACCATGTTCCTTCTAAAATTGGTCAGATCTACTAAATGCTAATGTGGTTATTTTGCTTAACATTAAAGGGCCAAACGCAGGGGCTTGAAAATCTTGGTATACAAAGCAATAAGAGCTATATGATGGGTTTGACTTGCAGTATTTACAATTCAACACAAAAAGCAGAAAATGGGAGGGTACTGTGGATTAGTAAAATAATACATAGGCTTTAAAATCCTGAGGGGTTGGGCATGTGTAAGTAGAAGACTTGGCATATTATTTTTTGTGCCAACTCTAAGTACCCTGACCAATTCTGTCACACAGACATTGACTAACAACCATTAACCAATGACCATCAACCAACATTAGGTAAGAGTAAATTAAAGTTTTCATTCATTCAACAAAATTACCGGAGCATGACCTGTATCCGGTATTATACTGGGTTCTAAATGATCTATGTATCATCTCAGACTGAGTACTACCACGCCTCAGCAGTTTCTGGTACAAATGTTTTCAGAATGAAACAATGAATCAGAAAAATTTGCAACACTTTTCAAAACTGATCTAGGGACAGACAGCTTCTGACTACTTTGGGGATGAGATTCTTGTTTCTCTGCTTTTTCAGTCCCTCCTCTGCAGCAAGCCCACTTAGACCAGTCAGACTCGATCACTTTATGACCATCAGTCCCTTTATTCCCTTCCCGGCTCCTCTTACTGTGGAAGACTGCTTGTGTTTCTTCAAGAGCTAAGGCTCCCATGAGCCTAAGAGTCATTACTGTTCCTTTTGTGATGGTGTTTAAGCCTACTTACATAGCAATTTTCCTGCCAGCTTTCCTTCCCTTCTGAAATATCCCTAGAGAAGAAAAGTGAACTTGCATGTTAAGAAACATGCATGGTCCACAGTCTTTTTTCTGAAGTCAAATCAGGTGTAAGAACCTTGCAAAAGCTATTCTCATAATTAGCATTTAGACTAGATGTAGGCTGCACACCAAAAATACACTTCCCAATCATGCATATGTTCCCAGTGATTAGAACACACCTCGATGCTGTCAAAGATGTGTGGTCACCTTCTGCTGCCAGCTGCTGCCAGGTCTCGAGGTAACCCACAACAGCCTCCCATGGACCAGACGGTGGAAAGGGCTCAGGGGCTGGAACAGCAGACACGTAGCTGCTGGCTGAGAGGTGGGACCGGTGGCATGTGGCTGCAGCAGCACTTTGCATTTCTGCTTTGGAGTTTTCTTTGGGGATAGTAAATGTCCCCTTTCAAATTTACATATGAAAAAATTATATGTGTGTGTATTTGTGTGAACACAAATAATCTCAAAATGTATACTTATTTGTATTCACATGTAATCTCAAAATGTATACTTATTTGATAAAGTCAATAAAGGAATTAATTCTCTATAGTTACGTGTATGTGTGTATGCATATGTGTGTGTATATATATATACATTTTTTAAGGTATATAAATGTTCTGAATTTTCTGAGTCAGTCCATATTTCAAAGAGTCAGTCACTTTCACCACAAATATACTTCTACTTGTGAGATGGAGTCACTTGATTTTTGGTTATGAAAATATGGTCCTGTAACTACGGCATCAACATTGAGAAGTCCTATAAGCATGCATCACTGTGTTAGAGGAAAAGCTATCTTTTTCCATAGCCAGAAAAGTAGATACTTTATGTTTATTTCATCTCTCTGCTTTCTCATATATAAACTAATCCAGAAAAAATTATGTATTCATTTTTTCAGAAAATGTAAGAGAAGTTGATTCCTCACTTCCCATTGTCAGCCAAATCTATTGTCTCAGGATACTTAGGTAAGTACAATTTAAACCCAGGATAATATGAAAATTAGAAAGGTCTTTTATTCCTTCTACCTTAACACTCAAAACTTGAAGCCACCTTTTCACCTACAAGGAATCGCATATTTTTCTGATTATGACAGTCACATAACTGAAATATATCTAAATAAAGTTTATAAAAGAATTCAATAAATTGTTAATAGTTGTTCACAGTTGGGGGGAAGCTGAAGTGGGCAGAAGTGATGAATGACTCACTTTTTTTCTTTATAGACAGGGTCTCTCTCTGTTGCCTAGGCTGAAGTGCAGTGGTTTGATCACAGCTTACTGCAGCCTCGAACTCTTGGGCTCAAGTGATCCTCCTACCTCAGCCTCCTGAGTAGCTGGGACTACAGACACACGCCATGGTGCCTGGCCACTTTCTTTATGTGTGTAATTTTTAAAGTGTGTGCTTTTTGCCTTTTTCTCCTTCTTAGCATGCTTTTTGTAAGTTATACATGCTCACTGTAGAAAATCCAGAAAGTCACCCAGTAAAAAGCCTAAATTTTTCCACAACTCGGAAGACAACTGTGAACTTCCACTTAATCTTTACGTTATGTATGTGTGTTTTCGTATTATACCCTTTTTTCATACTTTTCATACTGCTTTGATACTTAATGTTATGTCATCAGCATTTCCCAAGTTTAGACAGTCGTGAAACGTAACTTATAAAGGTTATGTAACCTTCCATCACATGGAGATGCCATAATTTATGTAACCAAACTCCCACTACTGGCCATTTATAGTATTTCCTTTTCCTCTTTCCTTTTCTTCTTCCCTTCCTCCTCTCCTTTCCTCCTTCCTTCTTTCTTTTCTGCCTTTGGCTTTTAAAAGAATCCTACAATAAACAATTTGTACGTAAATCTCTGTCCATGATTTCTGATTATATCCTTAGGACAGATTCCTGCAAACAGAGTTACTGGGCAAAGGGTACATTAGGTAATGCTTATTCTATTCTAAGACAAAACCATGGAGGTGTCCACTTCATCTCTTTTACACATCCGGAGACTGATGTAGCTTCTTGCTCCCATGGAGCAGAATTCTAATATTTCTCTACCTGGGAAGGTCACTTTAAACTAGATGCCCAGTTTGTAGAGGGCATCGCAAAGGCATATGAGAGAGAAATCCAATCTAGTAAGTCAGGCCAGGAAGAGCCACCCTCACGATAACAGGAAGGTTGTGTGTTCCCCGAGGCATGGCCACTGCACCCTTTGTTCTCTCGTCCTAACAATGCCCAAGGCTTGCCTTGCCAGTGGCCTAGTTTCCAAAGCTGTAATCACTTTCAAATTGCTCTTGCTTAGAAGCCTAAGATTTCCTTAGATCTGATTTTGGTAAACCTAGACTTCTCTAAACAAGATTTCTTAGCCACCATCAGGAAAGACTTCCACATCTAGACCCACTTGGGCTCCTCTCGGCAGTGACTGTCCTTCCTCGGGCCATCACAAAGGGCCCTCCTATCAGTGCAGCCTTGGTTAGAGTGAAAAAACACTACAGATAGAACAGAAGGTTTAAGAGAGTAAAAGTAAAATTTAATGTAGGAACTTCAAATGGTCTTTTCTTTGCAAAGAGCTTAAAGTATGCCAGAGTACCAGGGCACTGACAACTCCTTTGTTTTCATGAACTCTTTGTGAGGCAGAGGCAGAGGCGAATTTCCTACACTCCACCCATCAATGAGGGCCAGCAGAGGGGACCTTGATCTGCTCAAGGTCACTGAGCAAGGCTATGGCAACACACGGTCCAATTGGCTCAGAGCTTCGTTGTCAGGAAGATGCCATCATTCTATTTGCATTCATCTTCACTGAGTGCTTGCTAGGGAGAGGGCCTTGGAGAGGGAAAGGCCAGACTGAGTGTTACCTGCTGCCAGCGTCCTTACCTGTGCAAAGAGTACTACGAGGCTATCATTGTCAGGGAATCCGAGATGCTTGGAGTAAAAGTGATGGAGAGCAGCTATGTCACTCTGAATCAAATCCTTCTTCTCATTGTCTAACTTATCCAGATCTGTGGATAAATAATCCATTATTCACCCAGTAGAAAGCGTGGGATTTCTAGCTACATCCTATTTTTGCTGTAAATGATACAGAGGAAAGGAACGGGCGAAAAAAAAAAAACCCAAAACTAACATGTTGAACCCCCAGAGAACATTCTTCCCCATTACTTGGTTTAACTGACAAACCCTAAGGAAAGAAAGCAAGCCATTTCTTCCTTCTCTCCCTCTGATGACTAGAAGTCACTTGGGACGTGAGATTTCGACTGACTGTTAGCAATGAGGTCAGGGATGGGTAGCAATGACTCATAACCAGCCTCAGCCTAGTCAAGGGCCCCCCAATTGGCCCGGGAATCTGGGCCGTGGTCAAACAACTGGACAACCCCTGATTTCACGGCTTTCAGTAAGAACATCAGCTATTTAGAGGACGCAATTCAGCAAAGATCCAAAAGTATTCAGCATGCCAAGAGGGCCAGCAGGAGGTAGCTCAGGGTGCAATAATTCATTTTGGGAGCTCCTACCTCCTTTAATTATTTCCTAACAATCCTGTCAACTCAGAAGAAAAAAGCTAAAAGTGCTTTTCGAAACAGCACAAGAGTAAAAATAAAAACTAGTAATCAAAGAAATCACTACTCCTCTGAGCACAAACTAGCCCGTCCTCGCTTCAATCCTGCCCAACCCATGTGAAATCTGTGGCTGAGAGAACTGCGCGGCTGGTCACAGAAAGACTTACGTGATTCAAACTCCTTCACAGCTAACAATTTTTCCGAAGGTGTTCTCTCTGGGTGGATTTTCTAGCAATTGGGGAAGAAATCACACAGATACAGATTTTTTAACAACCAGTGTAATAAAGTGGCACTTTCACTTTTACATCAACATAAAGAAAAAGTAACAATTCTTAAGGAAGTAAAACAAGCTACTCAAGGACTCCACCACTAGGGCTCTCCACCAGCCAAATCCAAAGACTCTTCTAAAGCGCTTTTTTAAATGTCTACCGTGTACCTAACACCCTGATAATACTATGCACACAGTAGGCTCAGAAATACCTGTTACGGGAAAGAACAGGGCCGGAAAACAACTTTTTAGGGTCCTTACTTAAAAGGACTGGGTCTACAGACAAACCATCCTATTTATTATTTCTCCTTCTAAAAAGGAACAAAATCAAACCCCCCATCCATTTTACACTTTCTTTAAGCATAGGCTAAAATGATCTCAAATTCTGTGTTTCAAAAAGAACACTTTTGGTTGTATCTGTGAGCCCAGATTCACTTTAAACGCGTTGCTGGCTTTGTTCTAGACACCCCAAGAGGAGCTAACAATAGTAAACCCGCTAGGCTTTGAGAACATGAATAAACTTGGTGTTGACAAGAGTTCAAAGGCAGAGCTCAGGAGCTGGCCCAAGGCCATGTCTTTGTAATGTGGCTATTCAATTTGGGGATACAGGTGGTCTAGCAGGGCACGCTCACCTCCCTAGTTAACATGTTAAGCCTCCCCTTGGTAGTTTGGTAGCCTGTCTCCCCTAATCCTTTGCAAGCTACTAGAATACAAATGGTCTGTTTTTTTAATCATCAAGTCCTATAGAGATGAAAAGATGGGCAGGTAACTTTCATTTAATACACTATTAGTAGTAGTAGTAATTATAATAAAACTTGAATGAAGCTTGTATAAACTCATCTTTGCATTCAGACTACCCTCCTGGTGCCGAAATATTTCAATAGTTCTTTTTTGGAGCAGAAATCTTCCATTCACGGGATGCATTTTTATAAGATTTATAAGTCATCTCGCTTGGGAAAGCTTTTCATTCAGGAAAGTCTACCAGCCTCTTCTGAATTCTTAACATATCACTATAAATATCATCAATAATTCAGGGGAACAAAATAATAAAACACCAGCTTGGCCACCCAATCCTCCCAAGATGTGCGGAGATCCCATCTGATGACTTACTGACTCTGATACCTCACACCCAGTCATCCTATTCCCTCTGACTTATTCAGCCCAAATACTCTGCATAAATTTAAAAATAACTGTTATTAAGGATCCGAAAGTTAACCTCCTGCAGGGAAACAATTCTGATGTTTTGGTCTCACTCTACAGGCAACCCATGAATGGCCTTTGTTACTCTCGGCTGGCTGGCGAGGTAGCATTTCGGCAAGCACCTGACCCAAGCTGAACATAGCTGAAGGATGACCTCAGAGTTTTGAAATGTTCTACTTCTGTTTACACAGCCCAGGATCCTAACTTGGTCTGGGGACAGATACATGCTAATCATTTCCATCACATTTGGCTTAGATTAAAAAATAGAAAAATTTTAAGGGTGGAGGAGGGCTGGTAGGTATACAGGAGAAGTGGATGAAATTTCAGTTTGTTTTTTTTTTTCATTTTTAGAGACAGAGTCTCATTTACTTTGTTGCTCAGGCTGGATGGAGTATGGTGGCACAATCACAGCTCACTGCAGCCTTGAAGTTCCGGGTTCCAGTAATTCTCCTGCCTCAGCCTCCAGAATAGCTGGGACCACAGGTGTATACCACCACACCTGGGAAATTTTTTTAATTTTTAAAATTTATTATAGAGAATGGGTCTCACTTTGTTGCCAAGGCTGGTCTCGAACTCCTGGATTCAAACAATCCTTCTGCCTTGGCCTCCCAAAGTGCTAAGATTACAGGTATGAGCCACTATGCCCAGCCAAAATTTCAGCTTTAAAAGATTTATAGTCCAGAGGCCCTGCCACCAACTTCTCTGACAGCACTGAGGAGCAAGACCTCCACAGCCTGGACATATGCCTTCTAAGCCCCACACTGCCTATTTCATTGGATCACAAGGACAAGTTCTATGGCATTTTCCTGTCCTCTTTTTAGTTTGGCCCTTCGAAGATTAGGTGTCTAATTATTATGCAATCAGCAAGAATGAACCAGACCAGGCGGAGAACAGTCAGTACGGTGGCTAAAGCAATTTCATCTTGGATGCTGATATACCATGTTGATTTCTGGTTAACTCCTGCTCTGGGAATGCTTCTAAGATTTCTACTTTGTCTATGGCTACCTTAAATCCTGCCTTAGGTCAATACAATCTTGAGCACAAATCTTGCTCTCAGGCAGATTTGCATAGCATCCTTGCCTTTCCTTGTAACTGCTGTACACATTTCTTCCCTATGGTATATAAGCCCTGGCTCTGGTGGGTAATGGTGCAGGGATCCACCATCTTGTCTTGCTGCCGCCCAAGACATAGACATGGCTTCAGTTCATAAGTCCTAGTAAATGTTTCTAATAAACTGGATTTGTCAGCTTCTTTCTTCTGTCTCTCAGCTTCCTCACTCTTTGAGCGTAAGTTTGCATAGTCCTGCCCACCACAGAATAGTCAGAGTTGGCATCACTTCTGGAGAAAGCCATTGATGACTATCATCTGTTTCCATCAAGGGCACCTCTTTCTTTCCTTCTTCTTCACTTTTTTTTTTTAACTCTCTTCCCCTCTCCCTTGCCTCTATTTCTACTTTTCCACTCTTTCTCTTCTTTGCACATGTCATAGTCAAGGCTGTTCCATCCAATTCTTTGCCTGCCTATGCACAGGCAAGAAAGGAGCCAAGAAAGAGCAGAATATTACACAGGAAAGGGGAACAGAGTACACTCTTTATGTCAGAATGGAAAGAGAGGAAAATCTCAAAGCTGCTCAGACCAATCTGGTTCCCTAGGAAGCTCTAATTATTTGAGGTCAGGCTTTTCATGTCACGTATTTCCATGTAAACCTGTCATGAAAACAGCTCAGAATTTCAGAGCTGTGGCTATGCTCCTGGTCTAGGGTAAGCAACATCCTAATTGCACAGGGCACACAACTAACTAGATTATGCCTGGAGTATTTTCCCCACCCCTGTCCATATGGATATGATAGGAAATGTAGTCTAAGGATGTTTAACGAGAGATGGTTACCAAAGGTCAGTTACTCATCTTTCTGACCTTTAAAAGAAAAACAAAATAAAATGCACTTGAACATTGTCCCATTTCCTCACCTGTTTGGCCAGAATCCTTGCTGTTAGTCTTACAGTCTCCGAGGGATTCCAGTTTTCCCCAAAAACAACCATGGGAGAACATTCCAGCTTGTGCATGGGCCAATCTTCTTTCTGGGAAGATTGAAAAAAACATTATTAAAAAATAGCACATACACTGGAATAAAGTGTGAGAGGAGAGGATGCAGTGAGTCCCCCTAGTTAAGGTCAAGTAAAATATGTTTCCTTTTGGAAAACACGAGGATGCTCACAAAAGCTAGAGATAAAAACATCCTTTAAGATAGGCAGGATTGTATGACCTTCACTCAGGCCTGGGTCAAGCTTGTTGGGATGAGAAGATCTACTTTGTGTTTTTTCCTCAAGCACCTCATGGCTTTCTGCAGCCCCTCATTATTCTAAACAACACATACATCTTTCCATCATCTGTGCAAGCTGTCAAATTGCAGAGGGAGCAATTTGAGTATCAGCCATTGATTTGGCTTTGTTGCCTCACAGTTCCGCTCTGGCTTTGTTCTCACGTCAGGGCAAATAATGGAGAGTTGACTTACACAGCAATGAGTCCCTTTTACAGGCGACTTTTTAAAAAGCACAAATGAGGGTTTCATGAAGGGCAACCACTGGAAAGATTTAGGAATAGTTAGGACTTCCCAAAGATGCACTGGATAAAACAGTAGTATTCTTTCTTTCCTTTTTTTTTTTTGAGACAGAGTCTCGCTCTGTTGCCAGGCTGCAGTGCAGTGGCGCGATCTCGACTCACTGCAACCTCTGCCTCCCGGGTTCAAGTGATTCTCCTGCCTCAGCCTCCTGAGTAGCTGAGATTACAGGTGTGTGCCACTACGCCCGGCTAATTTTTGTATTTTTAGTAGAGACGGGGTTTCAAGATGTTGGCCAGGATAGTCTTGATCTCTTAACCTCATGATCCACCTGCTTCGGCCTCCCAAAGTGCAGGGATTACAGGCGTGAGCCACCGTGCCTGGCCTAACAGTAGTATTCTTTCTATCATACGCCCTGAAGTTTCCCTGCCCCGGGTAGAGGGATGAAGGATATTTGCTGCTGGAAGGGTGGAGGCGCCATCACTTGAGATGGGGAAGGCATTGAGAGAAGGACACCATGGTGTTTTGGAGGCTGAGGGAAGCAAGTACTTTGAGGACTAGGGAGTAAATGATGATGCCAGTGCTGGAGATAGGCTTAGTGTGAGAGGACGGAGAATGTGATTTGGAATCATGGAAGCTTGATGATTTTCATAAAAACAAGTTTTGGTGGGATGATGGGGTAAGAAATGACAGGGAGCAGATTCAAGAAAAAATGAAAGGAGACACAGCTTAGAGTAGTGAAAAGTTGCGGGGGACTTTTTTTTTTTTTTAGATGGGAAATATCAGAGCACGTTGTATACTGATGGAAGCCCTTACACACTGTCTCTTTCACGATGGAATTGGGTACTGTCCTGCTCTGTCCTTGGCCTTCCCTAGCTCAGAAAATGGCCATAAATGCTCAGGGCAGGGAGGCTGACATGGGCGGATCACCCGAGGTCAGGAGTTTATGATTGGCCTGGCCAACGTGATAAAACCCCATCTCTACTAAAAATAAAAAAATTAGCCAAGTGTGGTGGCATGTGCCTGCAGTCCCAGCTACTCAGGAGGCTGAGGCAGGAGAATCGCTTGAACCCAGGAGGCAGAGGTTGCAGTGAGCCGAGAGTGCACCGCTACACTCCAGCCTGGGCAACAGTGTGAGATTCTGTCTCAAAAATAAAAATAAATGCTCAGGCCAGAAAGCTAGAGTCATCCTTGACGCTGCTCTCTCACTCACACTCCACATTCAGTCAGTTCTGGCAAATCCTCTGTCTCTGCCTGGAATCTGATCACTTCTTAGCTCCACAACCTTTCTACCCGGCTGCAGCCCCAACATCTCTCATGACTAATGTCCTGCCACTGCCTTCTAACTGGATGCCCGCTTCTGTCCTTGCTCCCATGGACTAGGTTCCAGAGAGCAGCCTGAGGGATTCTGTTGACAAAACTCGGATCAGGCCAGTCCTCAGCTCAAAACCTAATGGCTTTTCTCATCCAGGCAAAAGGCCAAGCGCTAAAGGTGACCTAGGAGGCCACACGTGATGGGAGCGTCCCTGCACCACCCCAGCCCATCATCCCCCACCGTACTCTCACCTGCCTCACTGCACTTAGCCACAGAAGTGTCCTGGCTGCGCCTGGAGCCATGTACCTGCCTCAAGGCCCTTCGCACTTGCTCTGTTTTGTGGCTAGCACTCTCCTCCCCTGGATATCCATGTGACTCCCTCCCTCCTCTCCAGCCGCTGCTGGAATGTCACCTTCTCAAGATACCTGCCACAATCACCCTGTCAGAAAGAGCACTTCCCCATCATTCTTCCTTTCCTTGCTTTCTGCTGCTTCTTAGTACTTCTCACCACCTGAGCATATTATATATTTATTAGTTGTTTGGTTTAGTATCTGTCTCTCCCCAGGAAAATAAAGAAATTTTGTTTTGTTCATAGCTGTAACCCCAGAACTGACAACAGTGCCTGGCATTTAGTAGGCACTCAATATAGTTGTTGAAGGAATGAAGATATCTCCCTACCCGCTTCCCTCCACACTGATCCCCCAAGAAGGAAGCACATAATGTCACTTAATGATTTAATGCAGTCTATGGTGCAGCCCCTTAGCTCAAGTTCTGGGCCAAGATGTTCTGCAGAGTTAAATAATGCCGCGCCAAATATAACTAAGAGCAGGGAGGAAAAGAAATGACAAGATATGCACAAGGGAGAAGAGAATCTGTTTTTAGCCAAAGCCTAAAATGAGAGCATGGTGATGAGGCGAAGAGGTGGGAACAGGTGGGTCTGTCTCCCTGCAGACTAATCAGCTCCCTCCTCAGCTGCAGAGCAAAGAGGAAAAGACAGAGATGACCCTCGGGATACCTGAGAGGATATGGGGACCTACCAGCTGGGGACAGATGGATCATTAACAACTATAGACAAATGCCCACTCTGACTCCAGCAACTCCAAGAAAACTCCAAGACATAATCTCTGTCCCTAACGGGCCTGCAAGCTGTTGTTTTCTGAACTGCAGGTGGTGCCTTGGTGTTTAGCAACTACAATGAATTCCTGGGAAGTTAAATATGAACATTTATTAATATAATTATTATTTATAAAATATCAATTTATTAATGTAGTTGATTTAAAATTAATGGTACTGTAAATACTACATAATGGTGACATTTATTGATATAAATGTCCTCAAAAGGAAGGGAATCAAACACAAGGAAAGCTCTGGGAGGAAAGCAGAGTGCTGTCAAGCAGGAGGGCTGCTGACCTGGGACTCAAGAAACCTGCATTTTATCCCCACTCGCAGCGAAGCAGCTGTGTGACAACGCAGGTTTCTTAATCCCTTTGCGCCTGTCTCCCTGGCTGTAAATAACATGATCCCTAAGTTACTTAGCAAGTCCAGAATTCTGAGTCTGTGAGTTTACACCTTCCAACAGTGATAATCAGATATCAAGCTTGAAGACTACCAACAAAAGTGGACCAAATAGGGATCATCAGGCATTCATCAGGCACAAAGGATCCCATCAGCAGATCCACAAGAAGCACTCAGAACGGTGCCCGGCACAGGCTGCGCTCTGAAACATTGGTAATTGCTCATTCATTCATTCATTCATTCAACAAGTGCTGCAACTGACCCTAGAGGCAGGGATGGGAGATGAAGTCTTTGACTTCAAGCAGTTTATGGCAATGTCAGAACCAAGATAAAAGTACACCTACAATTAAATACAGTCCCGCTCATAGCAGTTAAAATCAGGTAGCTGGATAAATTCAAGAAAATGCAGAATCAGGTTAAATTTCATCAAAGGAAATTTACCACAGTAATAACGTTTCACTTTCTTTTTTGAAGGTGGATTAACGGAGGAAGGGCAGAGATATAACACAATGGCACTGCACAGCTTTAATTCTTAAAAAAGGAAGATGTGATAGTATCTAGTAAAAATGTCAGGTTTTAAGCATATTTTGATACATTCTCTTCTATCATAGAGATGGTCCATATATTTTAAAGAACCTGACAGCGGCAACTACCCTAGTTTTGCCCATAAGAAATTACAAGCAACCAGACTGGACAAAATTGAAAAACAAATTAGGCTAACCTGATGAATAGGAATGAATGTTATAAATTACCGTATTTTTGAATACTGGCAGTACTGCTGTATACAGAGTGATTTTGCAACTCTTTATGCTTTTTTAAATGTTATCAATTTTTCTAAAACTTTTCCCACTATTCTTCAAAATTCGAGTTAGTGCTCCTGCCCTGACTGCAATACTTATAAAATTTTCTGTAAACTAGGATCTCATTTTCCAAAAAAAAAAAAAAAAAATTAATAAAATACACATATAAGCACAGAAGGGATTCAGGAAGATATATACCAAAGTATTCTCTCAAGGAACAAGATTATGAATACTTGTTCTGTTCTTTTAGTCTGCACTTTCTGATTTTCCCATAATGAGGACAGACTGTGTAACTTAAATCCATAAAAAAGGTGAGATATGGAATTTTTCATACTGATGGTCCTCTTTTAAAACTTCTAATTCATTTTCAACTAAGATAATAACTACTGTGCATGACTTTCACTTTCGTGCACAGTCAAAAATGCTTAAAGATGCATAAAGAGTTGCGAAATTGTCTCATGGTGCACCAGCATTTCCAGCACTGGAAGAAAAGAGTGATTATTATGGCATCCAGTTTTCTGCTGAGCAAATATGTTGCCTTCCTCGATAAGGAGACTGGATTTTCATCATGAAGTCCCTTTTCTGCCTCTAGCATTTGGTGTTTCTATTCTTCTAACAACAAACACAGCCTACCTGTACACATCCACATCTTATTTCTTAAAATGTGGAACAGGGAGAAAATGTCACAGGATTTCTGCTTTCCACTAGCATGATCCTTGAGAAGAAGTGTGCAAAAGCAATCAGGTGGACACCTGACCACCTTATACAAAGATGGCCCGTGCTGCTGAGCTACCATCACTAGGACATATGCTTTGTGTTTTCCCAATACAAGCAATGAGACATACTCAGTCATTCACACACATTTCTTCCTACTGGTGATGTTAAAGATTTAGAAAAAAAGAGTGGCCCAAATTTAAGATGCTTCCTATGGCTGACAGGAGTGAACTGAACCAGGATTGAACCTACGACTCTGGCCCCATTACACTAATCACCCATAACAGCAGCATTTATTAGACATGTTCTATACTTCAGTTATTTTCTAGTCAATGATAAGGGCCTACTATTTTCTCACATGCTCCTCATACACACTTTAAAAAATCCCTTCCTACTTTCAAAGCTTACTCATAACCCCCTCAGCAGCAAAACACAAAGGTTTTCTTCTTTACATTCATTAGAGTTAAGAAATATACCCTAGAAAGTCCTACTGCACAATGATTATTCTATATAACAACTTTCTAAAACTCTTCTCTTGAAAATATCCTGGTACAATTTATGGGTGAGTGGGTGAATGAGTAATATACTTTGCTTCCCAGGCGTATTTAGAAAAATAAATACAGTTCATTAAAACACACAGGTTACAAAATAACGCACCCAACTAAAAAGGAATTTCTGTTTCTTTTGTATTTCCTCCCATTACCCTTTCATGCATTAGCAATTAAAATCTTTCCTCTGGCACCATCACACTGAGTCAAGTGAACTAAGAGGAAAGTAACGGGACAAGATAGAACCAAATTGTATCAAATAAAGCAAAATCCGAAAGCACTGCAGACAGAAGAGGGCTTGGGGAGAACATACACCATGGCTAGGATCCCCTAAGAAGCCTTACTCCATGTAAAGAGGAAATCCCCAGGAAGCAATGTGAGCCTTTAGCACTCTTGGAGAGGTGTCTGGCCAAGGCAACAATGGACGCAGCTCTCCCCTTTCACATCCACTGAAGGCCACTTCTCTTTCTCTGACATTCCCACAGAACCTCCTTTCCTAGAGGGCCCTCACTTCTCCCAAGCACACTACTGTAAAGGGGTGAAAGCCCTCCCCAAGTAGTGTGTAAAGTCTCATCTCTGTTCTGCCACTGTTTGACCTTGGGTGATCTTGGGTCACCCAACCACTTGGGACTACGTTTTCTTATCTACTGACATATTGAACTCGATAACCTCCATCCCAACTCCACCATCTGCTGTGTGGCACTGACCACCTGATGACTCCAGGGGGGTAGGGCCTACCTTTGAGGAAGGACCAGTTAATTACTAGCAGCTGAAGGCCATGCTTTCTTAGGTGGAGAATCACTCAATTACCTTCCTCATCGCTGCTCTTGTTTTGTGCCACGTTTTATCCTTTAAGCAGAGCCTCTACTTTGATCCCATGCAAGCACTCCCTTAAGCCGAACCCTGAACACATTTATATCTGGAGCAAATGCCCCAGATTCCTCCCTAATGATTTCCTTTACGAAGCCCTTGTGCTACCCTTTATTTCTAGGCACTTACTTTTATTAAACCTTTATGCCTGCTCTATCTCTTTATAATACACTGCCCACACTTATTTAGTTCTTCAGTACTAAAGGATGAAAAACCTTAATGGTCATTAGCCTTTTCCTTCAGCAGTGGGAGACAGATGAAACAAAAATGAAACTTACAGGTCAGATCCAGCCTGCCACCTCTAGAAACAAGAGACTTCAGGAGCTGCGGTACCACTCACCTCCTAGGAGGGTACTTTGGTCACCAGATACTTAACAGAAGCACAGGAAAGCAGAATTACAGAAGTAATCCCCGGTGCTCAGGGTGCCCCTGTCTGGGAATTGAGTGAGCAGCAGGGGAAACTCCATCATGAGGCTGGACACAGCAGGCTCTCTTGGCCTGCAGCCTTGCAAGAGTAGAATCCCGTAACTGTTTCCTCCATCCTGGGGTTCCTTGCTCCCCAAGTAATTGTGTCATTATGAGGCGGCCACCTGTACAGTTTTGTCTTCAAGGGCAGGAAATCTAGACTGTTCAACTTCTTGTTGTAGAGTAATAAACTGGCATTGTGGCACATACAGGTTGGGATATTGGTTAATGTGAGCCTCCCCCAAGGGAGGACACCCCTCATTGCACGCTTACAAATGAGGTCTCTGGGTCTGCGAATCTGGGATTCTAGGTCCTGGGGGCAGGGAAACCATAAAGGGCATCTCAAATCCCAATGTGGGCCATGACGATTCATCAAAATACTGCCACCTCATGAGGCCTAACAAGTTAGTTTAGCAGCGTGCTCAGAAGACTCAGACTCGGAGCTAACTCCACATGCCACACACTCTGATGGTACTCATTAATACACTGTTCACAGCTACTTAAAGGAGTTAAGACTCATTTTGTAATAAGCCTTATTCACACAATGTACACCATCAGCACCCTCAAGTTCTTAGAATCCAGTCATTCTCTCAGGCTGAAAAACCAAGCCCCTTAAATCAAAACTATGCTGTTTATTTCTTTGCATAAAGCTAAGCTTTAGTCTAGCCTGAATTACACAAATTCGATTTTCCTGTGGACTGTAATATGTTTATACTAACTCCTCACACCTGTATATAGGGTTACAGCTTATATAAAACTTTAATATCTATCACATCATGTGGTCCCTAACTCATCAAGGTGGGCACCATTGTGCTTAGTTCAGATTTAAAGAAACTGAGCCTCAGGGATGTTTTGTAACTTGCCAATTTCTTTCTTTCTTTTGAGACAGAATTTCACTCTTGTTGCCCAGGCTGGAGTGCAAAGGCACGATCTCGGCTCACTGCAACCTCCGCCTCCCAGGTTCAAGAGATTCTCCAGCCTCAGCCTCCAGAGTAGCTGGGATTACAGGCACCCGCCACCACGCCTGGCTAATTTTTTTCTATTTTTAGTAGAGACGGGGTTTCACCATGTTAGTTAGGCTGGTCTCGAACTCCTGACCTCAGGTGATCTGTCTGCCTTGGCCCCCCAAAGTACTGGGATTACAGGCATGAGCCACCGCGCCCAGCCATAACTTGCCAGTTTCATAGAGCTAGTAAGTAGCAGAGCCAGGACCTGCTCCTGGGACCATGGCCTCCTGCTACTCCATGCTGTATGATCTGAACTACATGTGACTCCCTATGCTTGCTTTGCTACAGAACGGAATGAGTTAATTTTTCTAGAAGTGTTTAACTTACATATAGAAACAGCTAACTCATCTGGCAGGCCTGGAATCAAACCATATATGTCGCAGGGGCTGCTGATCTCTACAATGCCGTTGCACTACTCTATCTACAATTGGTAGGAGCAAAGTATGATCTTTCCTCTTCAAAAGAAGGCACCCTCCCCGAAAACTCAACTACAAGCTCCATTTATATTCTCACTGCCACACAGGCTGACAGCCTCCGGGAGCCTGCTGTGGGAAACACAGGGAAGGGGACGGTGCATATGGTCTTCAGAGCTAAGGCAGAGTCTGAGCTTCCCAAGCCAAGGTCTCAGCCTGTGCTTCATTCTGGGGAGGGGCCGCTGTCCCTGGGGCGCTACAGTCAGATGAGACACCAGGGCTTAGCAATCTCTCCCACTGCTAAATAATGCTCTTTGAGGCCTTTCAGAAGCCAACAGTGTAGGGAGGTGAGAAAGAAAAAAAAATGAAATAGTGGGTAATCCAAAGTAGACCGGGGATGGGGCTGGAGGGTGGGGATGGGGGAAGGACAACACCAGGTATGGAACAACAAAAAGAGATGCAGCTATAGAGAAAATCTTCCCTGTCCCGTAGAGCCACCCTTTAACAGCATCACCATTTCTCAAGGTGTATTAATAGGTTCCCTTTAAAAATAAATGCCACGGGGTGTCCAGAGAGATCAAACAAGAAGGCTTAGAAATTCACAATGCCATACTAGTGTATTAAAGACTATAACAGGTTCTGAAGTAAAGAGACTACATTCCCCTAAATTGTTTGAACATGAAATGCATTTTCTGTGGAATACCTACGAACATTTTGTGGAACAAGTGTTTACTATAACAGTTTGGGAAATACCACTCTTAGGCCCTCAAAGAGTCTACCAAGAATTCCTCCAACATCCTCCTTATTAACCTTCCCATCCCTACATTTCAGGATTCATTTGAGACTCATCCATGCTGAACCCCTCAGCCCTGGCTGCTCCTGAGGCACTGGCCCCAATTACGAGTTCAGAATAGCCCCCCCTCTGGCTATACAGAGGCTGGACTAGGGGATCATCTGAGTCTCACTGCAAGCAGGTTAGGTTCAAACAGCCCAAGGGTAAGATGTAGCCTGCTATGGAGGGATTTATAAAAATACAACAATAAAAACGTTAAAAACTTAAAGATAGCATTTTAATATTGTTTATTTGTCAACTCTGCATTTTCCGTCTGTGGCTGCAGTCCTTGGGGCAGACTTGCTAGCACACCTGCCTGTATCTAACATGGTCTTCTCCTGCACCTCGATGTTGGTCCTGCATGCGGCCTCAAACGGTTTACTGCCTATCACTGGCCGCCTGTGAGGTCGGGGTCAGCACACATCCAAGGATATCCAGCCACATCCTATGCTTTCCAGCTCTGGCTCCAGGAGGGCGCTGAGGAATGCCATGACAAGGAAGAGGAGGACTTCAGAGGAAATTAGGCCCTCCCTGCCAATGGCCCAGCACCTACCTGACACTCCACATTGCAGTAAAATGCCTGCTTGCATCTTCCACATTTGGACAATCCTTCTTTCCTTAAAAACAGAAAGGGCACTGTAGTGGTGACAGACACAGAAACGTGAAGCTGTACATTTTATCATGCAACAACAAAAGCCACTTGGTTGGAAAGCAGAGCCAAGGTTCACCTTACCTTACTCTCCCACTGAGAAGGTGCATGTTCCTTAAGAGTTTGACCAGATTCAGCCCTTGAGGAGTGAGTGAGTCAAATAGTGCATGCACTCACATTTACCAAACCCACCAGTATGAAGAGCACTGTCCAAAGAGATGAGGGACAACAGCTCTGACTGACTGGTGACCTGGCCAAAGACACCAAGGCTATGAACATCATCTGCACAGAACTACTGTACAGGTCAGTAGCTCAGGGCAAGTTCAAGTTCTTATGTCCCGATTTTCTCATCTGCTAAAGAGGCACAGAAATAAAACCACATTGAAGGTTTGACCCCATGAAGATGGAGTGTTGGGGTGCACCTACTCTGGTGAAAATCCCATGTGAGTGACAACTCTCATTATTTAGAAATTGCAAGAAATGCAAAGATGGAATTTAGTATGCTAGGACTATTCGAATGTTGTCCAGAAAGCTAAGTTTAAAAGTGCAACCTAGCAAGTGGAGATAGATGCTTTTTTTTTTTTTTTTTTTTTTTTGAGATAGGGTCTCACTCTGTCACCCAGGCTGGAGTGCAGTGGCATGATTCTGGCTCACTACAGCTTCGACTTCCCGGGCGTAGGCCGTTCTCCCACATCAGCTCCCAAGTAACTGGGACTATAGGGCATGTGCCACCATGCCTGGCTAATTTTTGTATTTTTTGTAGAGAAGGGGTTTCACCATGTTGCCCAGGCTGATCCCCAACTCCTGGGCTCAAGCCATCCACCTGCCTCAGCCTCCCAAAGTGCTGGTATTATAGGCATGAGCCGCCGTGCCCCCACCAAGAAATAGATTCTTGAATACTGTATTATGGGATCTGATTGCTATACATACCCATTTTGTCAGTGTACTATTTAGCTATTCTTCTGCCTCTTCATAATGGGGTCGATTCAACTTATTCATTGTTATATTATTTTTCCTGCTTCCCATAAAGGACAGGGACATTGTTGCTTCCCAACTGTTAGGTGCTCGCGTGTGTATTGTGTGAGATGAACCAAAGCTTTTTCAAAAGCTGAAAAGCCACTGAATTAAGCCACATACTACAAAACTCTTTACTTTTTTCCCAAGTGGGGAACAATTACATTGTCTAAGTCAGAGCGCAATCGGTAAAACCTGCTGTCGAACTCTTGCCCACCCCGGTGAAGCCAGCTTCTGGACTTGTGGAGATACCGACAGCACGAAGCGGCTACACTGCCGCAGAGCCACCCTGTGCCACCTCGTCCCCCCTCCTCTGCAGCCCAGCAGAGCTGACGGGGGCGGGGGCGTGCGCGGTGGGGGCTGACATCTTATAATACGGATATACATATTGTCACGCTGCAGAATCCTCCGCGGCTTCTCGTCAGCAAGTGGTAGTCACCACACTCCTCCTACAGAATTAAGGAAGTCTTCCAAAAATTCTGCTGTTGGAACTAAACAGACTGCCTTGCAGCTTTCATGACAGCACTTGGATTCCAAGAAGCAGACTGAAGAATGTGGGAGAAAAACGCGTCTTGGGGTTGAGGCATAAATAAATATTCCAAGTTTGCAGACCTCAATAGTTCAAAAAGGAACCCGCTAATTTAGCTGATGTATTCTCTGGCCTAAAATACTCCCCCTATCCCCTAGGGTATATCTGAAGGGACTGAACTCTGACTTTGCATTTTGGAATATAGAAGAAACAAGATGGACAGACCCTTGCTCTCTCGGGAAATGCACTAAAAAATCACGGTGAAGTGACTCGTCAGCAAGCGCTGCGTGATGTGCACTGTGCAGAAATGCCCAGGGGAGGAAAAGCAAAGACAGCAGAGCCAGGGAGGAAGCTTGCAAACTTCTTTCCACAGAGAGGTGTGTCAGGAAATAGGTAACGGTGGGAGATGCTACCCTTTAAAAATGTCTATCCAAAAAGTCATCTTTAATATTTGTTTTTATGGGGGGCAGGTTAGAGACCTCTGAGAGTTTGGCTGAAGCTTTTAACTTACTCTAATAACCCACCTTCTCCCCCAACCCTAATGAAACAAAAGAAGTCTGTAAAATTTCAAGGGCTTTGCTGAGCTGTTAAATGCTGAACAACAACAAAAAAAATTAAAGGCTCAGGGGCCACCTAAAAGCCCATATGTAGGACCAGCAAAGAGCCTCTGACACCAGCGTTAAGACCCCCTGATGTAAGAGATTAGAAAATTATCATGGTTAAAAAGACATTTATTAGCTCCACAACATACAAAAAAAGCAAGGATTAATACAGGTTTTCTTGCACAGAAACCAGTAGTAAAGTTAACCTGAAACCAACACTTGTTTGCAGTCTCCACGTAACATCCCAAGGAGAAAGTAGGCAACTAGGCTCTAGGGAACTAAGAAAGAACTCTAGTGAGAGTTCATCAAAATAATACCTCTACCAAAGGCTGGCCTTCATTTGAACCAGCTCGTCACCAAGTCCACAACCACAAATAATAAAGAGCAGGAAGTAAAGGCTAACTTTTCAGTCTTGGCAATATGATATGTCATTTCTACTACCTATCTCAGTGATTCTCAAGAAGGTCTACAGACTGCTGGGGTCCCGGAGACCCTTTCAGGGAGTTGGTGAGAGACAGAATTCAGATTATTTGCTTTTTTTCTCACTGTTTTAACATTTGCAATGCAGAAGGTGTGAGGCGTAAGGCGTAAAGGTTCCTGAAGGGTAGTAAACCTTCAGATGCCTAAGCGTAAATCAAAGCTCAGGAAACACTGTATTTTTTTTTTTTTTTGAAACGGAGTCTTGCTCTGTTGCCCAGGCTTGAGTGCAATGGCATGATCTTGGCTCACTGCAGCCTCCACCTCCTGGGTTTAAGCAATTCTCCTCCCTCAGCCTCCTGAGTAGCTGGGATGACACGCATGTGTAATGACACCCAGCTAATTTTTGTATTAGTAGAGACAGGGTTTCACCATGTTGGCCAGGATGGTCTCGAACTCCTGACCTCAGGTGATCCACCAGCCTCAGCCTTCCAAAGTGCTGGGATTACAGACGTGAGATACCGCGCCTGGCTGGAAACACTGTATTCTTTACTGCCACACTGGCAGTAAGAGGGTGAAAGCCAGTCTCACGAATGTCCCTGACGACGCAGTAATGAATATTAACTTTACTAAATCTCGATTCTTAAGTATATATGTCTTTGGCATTGTATAGTGAAGTGGGAAGAATGCAAAAAGTATTTCTGCTTCATATTGAAGTCCAGTGGGTATCTCATGGAAGAGCACTGGTGTGATCACTGGCATTGTAAACTGAACTAGCCACTTTCTTCTTGGAAAAATTCCTGGCTTTTTTTTTTTTTTTTTTAACTTGAAAGAACAGTTTTAGATAAACTGTGGTTATTCAGACTTGAGCATTTGGCAGATATATTACTGAAATGAATGAAGTGAGCCTGTCACTTCCAGGAAAACAACACTTGTTGCCAATGATAAAATTTGAGTTTTCAAGCAAAAATTAGCATTTTGGAAAACATAGATCTGCCATCCTAAGCTTGACAGCTTCTCAATACTGAAGACTTATCTGATGAGACTAGTGGTAATATTAAGAATTATGATTTTTTGATATGGTTTGATAAAATGAGTCAATTTTCAGGAGATCTGTACAATCTAGGTAACTAATATTTTCCAAATGGCCAATGACACTGTTTTAAAAGCAAAAAAGTCATTCCAAGTGCAAGGTAAACCAATGGATTTTATGTCATTGAGTACATAAAGTTCACAATATGGCTTCTGATTGCACATCACAACTTTTAAGACAACATCAATTATCAAAGTTTACTGATTAATCAAATAAGAACATCCGCATTTAACTGAGAAGGGTATCGAAATACCCTTCTCTTACCAATTACGTATCTATGTGAAGCTTTATTTTTGCTACATAATCCAACTAAAACATAACATGACACACTGAATTCAGAAGCATATTTGAAAATCCAGTTGTCTTCTATAAATCCAGACATTAAAGAGACTTACAAAAATTTAAAACAAAAACACTATTCTCAGTAATTCTTTTGTTTTGGAAGATATTTCTCACAGAAAAATGTTAGCATAATAGTTGTCATTTTAAAATGAATAAACCTTCATAATTTTCTGTTTAACTTGACATATGATACATAATGATTGCTATAACTCATATAAACAAAAGCTCTCTGCGGTTCTCAATAATTTTTAAGAGTACAGAGGGACCCTGAAACCAGAAAGTTTGAAAACTGCTGATCTATTTTAGTAATCTCATCAGGTCTAAGAAGAAGCTATTATTATTCCTATTTTTCAAATGAAGATAATGAGGATCTTAGACATGAAACAACTAATCTAACATGGTCATTCTGCAACTAGGTGGCAGAATTGGAATTCACACATTTTGTTTCCATCACGCCGAAGCATCCTTCCTTGAGTGCTGTGACAATGGTTCAGGAGGGTAGACTCCACGCAGCAAAAATAGTCTCTCTACGTGAGTGGATAAGCTAATAGTAACAACAAAGCATAGGAGAGGCATGCTTTACTCTGGTCTGCATAATGCCCCGGCTCCAGTGGTATCCCATTAATGTCACTTTGCTTTAAAGATGCAATGGGGAGGGGATCCAGGATCATTTTTCAAAATGAGATATGGGGAGGGAACATCCGCACAGAAGAGCGTCTCTCAACCCATTGTGCTCCAGGAACCCATTTCACTTGAAACAGATTGTAAGAAAACAAGGATTGATGTATTTATTGTGTACATAGAAGGTCCCTCCTCTCATTCAGTATCGTGAGCCTACATGTTTCTCCAACAGATCCTGGGAGAGTCCAAGCTGGATCATGTGCTCTAGGAACCTGGTGAGAGAACACCGCACTCCTCACTAAAAACTGAAAAGCTTTGCCTGGCTCTAGGGAAGATTTTACTACATGTATGCTCAGTGAACCAAATACCTGGTTATATGTAAATTTTCTTTTAAAATAATAATTTCAACTTTTATTTTAGATTCAGGTTTGCTGCATAGGGATTTTGCATGATGCTAAGGTTTGGAATATAAATGATACCATCACCCAGGTAGTGAGCATAGTGCCCAATACATAGGTTTTCAGCCCTTGCTCCCTCCCCTCTCTCCTTCCTAGTAATCCCAGGGTCTGATGTTGCCATCTTTACATCCATGAATACCCAATGTTTAGCTCCCACTTCAAAGTGAGAACATGGCTGGGTGTGGTGGCTCACGCCTGTAATCCCAGCACTTTGGGAGGCCGAGGAGGGGAGATCACGAGGTCAGGAGATCAAGACCATCCTGGCTAACACGGTGAAGCCCTGTCTCTACTAAAAACACAAAAAATTAGCTGGGCGTGGTGGCGGGCGCCTGTAGTCTCAGCTACTTGGGAGGCTGAGGCAGGAGAATTACTTGAACTCGGGAGGCAGAGGTTGCAGTGAGCCAGGACAGCGCCACTGCACTCCAGCCTGGGCAACAGAGAGTCTGTCTCAACAACAACAACAAAGAAGTGAGAACATGAGGTATTTGGTTTTCTCTTTCTGCATTTGCTTAGGATAAGGGCCTCCAGCTGCAACTATGTTGCTGCAAAAGACATAATTTCATTCTTTTTTATGACTGCATAGTATTCTATGGTGTATATATATATATATATAATGTTTTCTTTATCCAGTTCACTGTTGATGGGCACATAGGTTGATTCTGTGTCTTTGCTAGTGTGAACAGTGTTGCAATGAACATTTGAGTGCATGTGTCTTTTCAGTAGAACAATTTATTTTCCTTTGGGTATATACCCAGTAAAGGGATTGCTGGGTCGAATGGTAGTTCTGTTTTAAGTCCTTTGAGAAATCTCCAAACTGCTTTCTACAGTGGCTGAACTAATTTATATTCCCACCAACAGTGTATAAGCGTTCCTTTTTCTCCACAGCCTCACCAGCATCTGTTATTTTTTAATTTTTCTGGAGACACGGTCTCAATCTGTTGCCCAGGTTGGAGTGCAGTGGCATGATCATGGCTTGTAATTATGGCTGCAGCCTCAAACTCTTGTGCTCAAGCAATCCTCTCACCTCAGCCTCCCAAGTAGCTGGGACCACAGGGACACACTACCATGTCCGGCTAATTTGCTATTTTGTAGAGATGAGGGCCTCGCTATGTTGCCCAGGCTGGTCTCAAACTCCTAGTCTCAAGTGACCCTCCTGCCTCAGCCTCCCAAAGTGCTGGGATTACAGATGTGAGCCAGTATGCACAGCCACATCTGTTATTTTTTGACTGTTTAATAATAGCCATTTTAACTGATGTGAGATGGTTTCTCATCGTGGTTTTGATGTGGATTTTTCTGATGATTAGTGATGTTGAACATTTTTTCATGTTTATTGGCCACTTGTATGTCTTCTTTGCCCACTTTTTAACGGGGTTACTTGTTTTTTGCTTGTTGAATTAACTTCTTCACAGGTTCTGGATATTAGACCTTTGTCAGATGCACAGTTTGTGAATATTTTCTTCTACTCTGTAGGGTGTCTGTTTGCTCTGTTGATAGTTTCTTTTGCTGTGCAGAAGCTCTTTAGCTTAATTAGGTCCCACTTTCAAGTATTGTTTCAACTGCTTTTGAAGACTTAGTCATAGTCCTTTGCCAAGGCCAATGTCCAGAATGGTATTTCCTAGGTGTTCTAGGATTTTTACAGTTTGAGGTCTTACATTTAAATATTTAATCCATCTTGAGTTAATTTTTGTATAAGGTAAAATGTAAGGGTCCAGTTTCATTCTTCTGCATATGGCTAGCCAGTCATCCCAGCACCATTTATTGAATAGGGAGTCCTTTCCCCATTGCTTATTTCTGTTGACTTTGTCAAAGATTAGATGACTGTAGGTGTGCAGCTTTACTTCTGGGTTCTCTATTCCGTTCTGCTGGTCTATGTCTCTGTTTTGTAACCATACCATGCTGTTTTGGTTACCATAGCCTTACAGTATTATTTGAAGTTGGGTAATGTGATGCCTCTGGCTTTGTTCTTTTTGCTTAGGATTGCTTTGGCTATTTGGGGTCTCTTTTGGTTCCACATGAATTTTAGAAAAGTTTTTTTCTTATTCTGTGAAAAATGACTTTGGTAGTTTGGTAGGAATAGTGTTGAAATCTGTAGATTGCTTTGGGCAGTATGGACATATTAACAATATTGGTTCTTCCAATCCATGAGAATGGAATGTTTTTCCATTTGTTTGTGTCATCTCTAATTTCTTTCAGCAGTGTGAATTTTCTTAACATAGGTCTTCTTGGGCCAGCTTGCCTTCAGAGCAGAGAAGAAAAGCTAACAGTTTTTGATAGCTACTGTTACTGATAGTGAATAACATAAGAATCGCCTTTGATCTATTTTGGTTTAAGCAATTCTAGATGAGGTGGTGGGGTGGAGGCGGGGATGAAGCCCTGTTTAAATTATTCAGATATGTGCTGCAGTTCTTTCCAGAGCTAGCGAGAGATTTAAACTCTTCATAAGTCTCATGGCTGAAATTCAAACTAAAACTTGCTGAGCTGGTACCTGCACTGTGTATGTGCAGTATATGTGCTTGAGAGAGGAGAGAGATCCTATGAGTGTTCGACTATTGCTGACTGAGGAGTTACAGCCAGAGAGAAACTTCATATGGGCTATCCATTTTCGCTGTAGGACTATACAAAGCATTTGGAACAAACTCCGTTCCTACAAAAGACACAGTCGTAAATTTTTCATTTGCAATGTAATCTGATCTGAATTGTTCAGGAAGTCTGGGAAAAGACTGAGCAAAATAAAGAAAACAAAATTTCCTTAAAAAAAAAAAAACCTGAAATAACCCCCAAAGGAATGGAGCGAAAAGAAGTGTAGAGTGAATCACTAATAACCTCTCACAGTGGTTCTCAACCTTGGTTGTCTGGGGCAGGGATCATCAGTTCTCATTCAATTGGTATGTGTTGGGCCCAGGCACTAGGACTTTTAGAAAGCTCCCAGGAGATTCCAGTGTGCTTCTAGAATGCGGAGCCACAGGCCTATGGTAACACATTTGGGTGGAGTGGCTTTTTCGTGTGGAAATTGCTGTATACAGTTGAAGCACTCTGCAAGGCAGATTGTTTAGATTTTTCTGAGATTCTTAAGAATGAATCACAGGATGGATCAGGTTGTTTAACTACCTTGATGATGAACATTTACATAAGAATAAAGTAGCTGACCCTGTCTTTTTCTAACCTAAGATCAAGTATCCTAGAAGCAGGTGCAAGTTTTAAGAAAGAAAACCTCAGCTTTCGTTCTGCTGCTTCTTGATTCCTGTCTCACAATTTAGGATGAATATGATGAGTTACTCTTCCCACTTCCCTCTCTCAAATCCTTTTTTCTTTCTGGTACTTGATGTACTATGTGATCTTGGGCAAGTTACTAGTCCTTTCTGAACCTCAGTTTCCTTCACTGTCAAATAAAGATATCGTTTCCACCTCATAGGTTTGCTATGAAAGTTAAATGAGAAAATGCAAGCAAAACATTTAATACATTGCTTAGAACACTGTAAACGTTCAATAAATGCTGGGTACTACTACACTTTTAATTAGTCTTTGTGCTTTTTTTTTAAAGTGATGTCAACTGTTGAAATACCATCAGCACAGTCTCACTCAGACTCATAGCTAGAGGATCTATGTTTCTAAAGCCTTTGTTTTATGGGCAAATATCTACCCTACTGTGAACAGAAGGGCTCTTTGAACTTAAGAAATAGTTCTATCCACAAAGGAAGAAAAGAAATGTTACAGGAAAATGCAAGTATTTGATTATTACTGACTGGAACAGAACTTAGAAGACACGCTCCTGTCATTTCCTACTGGAGGAGACACACACAGTGATTAATTTCCTTGCTTTTAAAAATCGGAAACCATGAAGATCAACAAGTTAGAAATGTAATTAACAACTCCTGCTAGTTAATGCGTTGCCGCAGGTGCTGTTGGTCTAGATCAAAAGGATTTGATTCTGTAAGCTCCCTACTTTCTGCTACTGAAATGAATGCTTAGTGGGTTTCACCATGAAAGAAAATGATACTGGCATAGAGGGGGTTTGCAATAACAATTACTTTTAACTAATGGTGACAGAAGAAGTGACAAGTATGCTCTGTTGAACAGAGGCAGCCCCAGCCAAATGAAAAAGAGAATGGGAAAAAAGCCCCAGCAGTGCAATATAACTTCACCATAGGTTGAAATAAGACAATCAGAAACAAAGTTAGCCTCCCACCCAGCGAGGGTGGTTATACTAGCAAGGCCTCCAATCTTGTTTAAGAGAAATAAAAATTGGAGGAATTGTGGCAGAACCCTATTATAACCCTGGTCAGGGGACAAGGATAATACTCAGGCTACAGGTTTTTCTGTAATACTGAAAGGTGCTCCATACATCACTTTAATCCACAATGTAACAGTGAACGGGACCCACGTGCAGCGGGGGGCTTCTTCCCAGGGCTGTGCTGAACCTTCGCTCAGCACCAGGCTTTGTTCTGAGGCTTGTTAAAAGTTAGAGCCCGCATCCTCTTGGGGAGGCAGGAAATATTTAGGGCAGTAAGGTAGCAACTAATAGGTTTTCCCAACTATTGGAACCGGAGCTGTAATTTACAAGGAGGAAGCTGGGCTTGGTGGTCAGAGTAATGGCTGACCTAGTTATAAAATAACACAGATTTGTTTTCATGCAGGCTCTGGCCCAGACAAAATTTACCTTTGCCTTAGAAAGCAAAAAAAATTCATGAAGCTTATGAATATAGGAGAGAAATATTTAGCCTGTGAAACAGTGAACATTACATTTCCTTTTCAGCCCCTGGACAACACCTATATCCGAAGCTCCTCTTGTAGGCCCTGCACAATCTCTAACAGTTAAAGCTCGTCCAAAGAATGAATGTACACACTTTTAAAATCTCATGTTTTCCTCTGGAAATGCTCTGTCTTAACTTTTGTGCAAGGTCAGAGTAACACTTCCTTGCTACTTTTATCTTTACTTCTCTAATGCCCTCTGATTGAAAAGTCAAAAGCAAAGAAACAACGAATGCCTTTCTAACTCAGTTCTCTCATAAAGGAACTGACAATAAAATAATATCCACCGCTTCTTCCAGTTAAATGACAGATGTTACTATTAGTACTTTGTAATGAATACCAATATTATTAGATTCCCCTATGCTTGCTGTTGCATAAAACTCACGTGATTAAAAATCAAAGAAAATGACAAAACCAAAGTAATATAAATTTAACTACTTGAAAACTTAAAATACTCCTAACAGTATTCCTCACTTCAACGTTCTGTCCGTAAAACAGAAATAAACCATGGTAAAAATTCCTTTATAGTCTAATGCTAATTGTGAGTTCCCAGAACATGGTCAGGTCTGCTGCAGCAAAACATGTGTTAACTACCTGTCCAGACAGAACTGTTCTGAATCTTACTTACAGGAAAATGTGTGTTTTTTGTTTGTTTGTTTGAGAGAGGGTCTTGCTCTGTCACCTAGGCTGGAGTGCGGTGGCACAATCTTGGATCACTACAACCTCTGCCTCCCGGGTTCAAGAGATTCTCCTGCCTCAGCCTCCAAGCAGCTGGGATTAATTACAGACATGAACCACCACGCCCAGCTAATTTTTGTATTTTTAGTAGAGACGGGGTTTCACCATGTTGGCCAGGCTGGGCTTGAACTCCTGTCCTCAAGCCATCCGCCCGTCTTGGCCTCCCAAAGTGTTGGGAATATAGGCGTAAGCCACCGCGCCTGGCCTGGAAAATGTTATCTTTTTAATTGCCTACAGAAGAATTTTAAGAGTTGAGATTCTCTCATCCCCTCAGTTTTATTTTCCTGCAAACAAAATATAAAAAATTGAATTACCAATTTGTTTAGGCGAATTACCCCGAATTGTGGACTTTACCTTGAAAACTTAAACTGATCGGATACCGTTTGAACAGATTTAGCAGACATTTTTCTTTCAATCCTTATTGATTCCATTTGTATTTCTCTGAACGGAGAACATTTTTAATACTGTAAAACCTTGCACATGAGGCAGTAAGAAGACATGTTAATCTATCATAGCTAAGTAATTTCTATTCAAAAGTGTTATTTGCTAGGTACAAAAGTACTGTGCTACAGCCATACTGGGAAATAATATTTTTGTTAAAAAAAAAAAAATGAGTGGCTGGGCACGGTGGCTCATGCCTGTAATCCCAGCACTTTGGGAGGCCGAGGCAGGCGGATCACCTAAGGTCAGGAGTTCAAAACCAGCCAGACCAACATGGAGAAACCCCGTCACTAGTAAAAATACAAAATTAACTGGGCGTGGTGGCGGGTGCCTGTAATCCTAGCTACTCGGGAGGCGGAGGCAGGAGAAATGCTTGAACCTGGGAGGCGGAGGTTGCAGTGAGCCGAGATCGCGCCATTGCACTCCAGCCTGGGCAACAAGAGCAAAACTCCATCTCAAAAAAAGAGTTATTTGGGGAAATCTGCCCTGCCTACATGAGAGTGGTAAATATAAATATCAGGCAAAATGATTCAGCATCCAAATGGCCCACACGACCTGGAACTGAGAGCAGAAAGCTACCCCTAGGACTGAGCTCTTTGAAGATACAGAAGTTAGGGAAATAGCACTTACTGAGCATGTTGTCTTATTCATCTCTGAAACTCCACAGTGAGAGCACAATGCTTGGAATAGTAGGATGTTCAAAAAATGTAAATATTAAATTATTGTAAAATAAATACAAACAAGTCGATAAATAAAATGAAAGCTGTGTGGGCTGAAGTAGTTAAGAAAAAGCTTTGGACCGGGTGCGGTGGCTCATGCCTATCATCCCAGCACTTTGAGAGGCCAAGGTGGGTAGATCACCTGAGGTCGGGAGTTCGAGACCAGCCTGGCCAACATGGTGAAACCCCATCTCTATGAAAAAATATAAAAATTAGCCAGACGTGGTGGCAAGCGACTGTAATCCCAGCTACTCAGGAGACTGAAGCGGGAGAATCGCTTGGACCTGGGAGGCGGAGGTTGCAATGAGCAGAGATCGTGCTATTGCACTCCAGCCTGGGTGACAGAGAGAGACTCTGTCTCAAACACACACACACACACACACACACACACACACACACACACACACACACACACACACAAACAGAAAAAGATAAAGCTTTGGAAAGAGATGCAATTTGAGCTGGATCTTTCTTGAGTATAAACAAACTGAAGGCTCTAAGGCCTTACCTAGGAAGGAGGCAGAGGATAAGGAAGGAAATATTACAGAGAAAAGTACTCTAGATGACAAATAGACAATAGGAAGAATGAAGAATGACATTCTTCAGCTTTGCAAAGACCACCCAAATTGAACTTGGAGTCTAAGTCAAAATGCAGTGAGGGATAATGCTGGATACGATGGGAGGGGCACTTAGTAGGGAACTTGTCCTGAAGAAAGCAGGGAGTCAATGAAGAGTTCTGAGAGTATTTACAAGGATTCATTTCCAAGAATGAACAGTTGCATATTAAGAGAGGTGATGAGGCCTATGCAAAGGGCCACTAGTAAGATAAGATGCAGAAATGAGACTAATATATTTCGCAAATATTTATTGCAGTAACAGAGGCTAGTCTTCTTGCTAAACGCTGGGGTTACAAAGATGAGTAAGACCTAGTTCATGCATTCAAGGAGCAAGTGTGATAAAGGAAGTTTGTATGAGGTGCTGTGGGAGCAAAGACGAAGGGAACTAATCCAGACTGCAGAAATCAGGACAGATTTCTCAGAACCAAAGGAGTGAGCCAGGCAAAGAGGGACATAGAGAGGAGAATCAGCAAGGTGCATATATGTGTGTGCATGTGTGTATATGTGTGCATTCATTACTATAAACAATTTAGGATGACCAGAGTGAAAATAACACAGCAGAGCAAGCTAGACTCAGATATGGCTCCTGAGGCTTGGCCTGAGGGTGTCCATCAGGAAGCCCCGACTCTACCATGGAGTTCTATCAGGGGCGTCCTCAGATTCACAGACAGAGAAGATCAAGAGAGGTGGGCTTCTCTCTCTCTCTCTCTCTCTCTCTCTCTCTCACCCTAGAAAATATTTAGTAGCTGAGTGCCTTGTAAAGCTGGAACATGTGCAGAAATCAATTAAATATTGGATGAAATAAATAGATTGTTCCTAAATCCCTACTTCCTTGTTAACCTGAATGTTTTAAAGTTAAAAAACAAACAAACAAACAAACAAAAACCCTAAAGGTTTTTTTAGAGTGCTGTTTAAAATATTTACTCAGGTGTATGGGTAGGCCATATTTCATTAACTTCTAAAATATATCTACCCAGAGCTGCTGCTATTTTAACCAACATAGGGATGTTGCCAATTCATTGGACCTAAGTAGTATCTGATCGAAGCTCTCTCTTAGTTTGTGTCAGTCATGAGACAGGGTGTTGTAGTTGTAGGACTGGAAAGATGTGATGTCTTTCCTCATCCATCATAAGGGTCGTGGCCAACACCCCTGGAAGAAAAGACATACTAGCAAGATAAAAACATAACAAATGTATTTAGTCAAAGTTTTTACGTAAAACAAGAGCCTTCAAAATGAGAGCCCAATAACTCAAGAACTCAAGGAAAACTGCCTAGTTTTATGCTGAGGTTCAATGAAGAATGGACAAAAGGGTATGAGCTAATAATGGTAATAGACTGAGGGGCAGGGTAGGTCACAGAGTCTTCGCTTCTGAGGCCCTTCCAACCCCCTTCAGTGGAAAGTGCTCTGTATGCCAAAGGGCCAAACTTCGGGGTATCATTTTCTGAGTCCCAACATGGTTAAACATTCTGGTTAACAGAATGTTCTTCATGACATACCTGGATGACCAGAAGAAAGAAAAAGAACAAATCTTCCTGCCTTTTATACAGCATCTGCTGAAGCCTTACAAAGTTCAAGGAACTGGAGGTAAAATAAAGATGAATAAAAGCTGGAAAATAAGCTCCGTGGTGGTAGGGATTTTTGTTCCTTTTCTTTGGAGTTGTTTTCCAGAACTATAGAACCCACTAAGTGTCCACAAATACAAATGTTTTTGATTGAGTTAAAAAGTAGAATTCCTACCCTTAGGGAGTATACTATTGGCTCATAATTAAATGTGTCTTATTGGTGAGGTTTTAAGAGCATATGAGGCTATCACTGTGAACAGCAACTGTCACTGTACCATGGATTCACGGAATTGACAGAGAAGAGATTTTTCAGGTGGCAAATGAGCAAATGTTTCCTATCCAAACATCACCAGAGTAAGAAAAATCCCCATCTCATCAAAAATATGAGCCAGTACCTACATCCCTGAAGAGTCTTTCTTGGTACTCAGATTAAACAGAACACAGATTTCAACATAACTCCTTCCAAGTGCCAAGACATAAAATCCTTGAGCTTTTTATTTGGCTCTAATAAAAACCTGTATCTTTTTGGACAGCCAGATTATCTTACCACGTCCCTCCCCCAAGATACATTCAGGTCTTCAAGCCCTGTGTGAATTTCACTTCTCTAGGGAGTTGTCCTTGTTTCTCCTCTCCTCCATGGTGACTCCGCGTCCCCTGGGCACCAACACACCCTGAGCATCACAGTGCACTCACTAAGACACAACAGTGTCTTTGTTATTATAGCACGCATTCATTTTTATCTCTAGGGACTATAAACTTGCCAAAGATAAGCACTTATGAATTCTCAGATCCACTTTTTCTATAAAAGCTAACCCAATCCATTTTAATAACATACATACAATATTTCCACTTAGTCATCCGAAACCTTCCACTTCATGTACAAGAGTCGCTAGATTTTATGTTAATAAATTAACACAAGGAGTTCCACGCTATTTTTAAATTTTTGATTGAAAAAGAATCTGAGAGACACAGCTGGATTCTCAGCGAATGTACGGACTAGAAAGATAAGTTGTTTCCTGAACCTTCAAGACTTTTTTGTATTATTTTCCTGCTAAATTGCATATTTCTGTCCTTCAGAGAAGTCTTGAAGAGATCTGATTTCCTTCTGTTCTATTGTGTTGGTGTGAACGCCTTTGCAATTGAATAGGAAGCCGCGGAGGGTGGCAGGAACAAGTCAGCAGAAGTTACACAAAGTGAGGTGTGTGCTTTGTGACTGGTTAGAGCTCTAATGAGGCCAAGGTCATGGGTTCAACCCCTGAAAAGGCAGGTACTTCAGTTAATTCCCTGCCAAAGGACTGCACCCCTAAACTACTGCAGATTTCCTAGAAATCCAAAGAAGTGAAGGTTGGGGATGTGGGTGGGCTAACAATGCAAGTTCCTGAGAGGCAAAGGAGACCTCAAAATGCCCTGCCTCCCTCAAGTGTCAGAACAGGCCACTCATCAGGAGGAAGGGGCCAGTGCAGGGGCCCCTGCCCTGACACAGCCACAGAAAAACGCTGAGTGAGCAGGAGGATCAGAAGAGAGCTCAAGGTCTGAATCTGCCAAGTAAAATCAGGGTGCCTTGTTCTAGGTGTGTCTAGTTCCCTAGTGATCATCAGGACACACATACACATGTATTCAAAGATACGTAACCAAACCCATAGAGGAGCTGTCTGTGAGAAGAGCAGGAAATGAGAGGGAACATTCTGAAAAATCAAATTTGCCTTGCATATACCAGATAAAAGCATGCCTTGAACTCAGAAGTATGATTACCTCAACTACATCTGAGGTCCAAAAAAAGATGTGTGTGGATGGGGGGAGTCAATTTAATTATTCATGACTCCAGGAAGACAAAGCATGCTTTTAATTATTGATTGCTTCCTTCGAGGACAGAAATAAAGTGGCATAAAACAGTAATTATTTCATATTTTTATACTGACAGGGAAAAGAGGAGGGAATATTAACCTAAGTTCAAAGCAGTAAGCCTAAAACACCCAAATACAGTAGAAACTTCCTTTGCAATTCTCTCACTATATCAAATCCTAAAAGAGACAATTTTGCTGTCCTGAATTCTCACCAATTCTGAGTTCTCCCAAAGACCAGGTTCCTGCCAAACTATAGCAGTGAGCCCTGGATCTTCTCAAAGAAATTTAACATATTTTTACAAGAACCTTCTCACAGGTGGTGTGCAACTTGCCTGTTCTACAGGAATACCAACCAGGGGCTGCCTCCTATAGCTGCACCATAAATTCCATTTCCACAACTCAAGAGATTTAACTTCTGCAGAGAGAGATCCTGAAGAATGGATTTGCTTAAGGAAAAAAAAAAAAAAAAGACTATGGGCTGATGCTGCCCTATCACACGGCACAGAAACAAACTCTTTATATGTAGGTATAAAGGCTGAGATGACTAACTCTGGTTTAGTCCTAGCGTAATATTAAAAATATTCCAAGCCTACAAAAGGACCAAAGCCTCATGTTCTTTTTATGTTTTATTACATAATAATTCATACATATAAAAGAATATGTGTAGCTCTTATGCAAATTTCAAAGCATTATAATAAAAACAACATGTTTAAGTCCATATCAGCATAAAATATAGATCTAAGATGGCTGAATCAAACATTTTTTAAAACTTTAAATAATTCTTTAAACAATGCATTCGTTTGTTAAATTGTTGGCCAATTATAAATTCTATTCAATCAAGGAGATATCAGAGACGGATTAAGCCCCCAGTCTCCAGGGAACCACACAGTAGTAATGTAGGGTGAAGTCCCTGGGTGAACCACACAGTAGGTTCAGGCCAAAGGGGGGCACAGGAAGATCACACGAGGAACAGGGAGATTTGGCTCCATCCTTGAAGGTCATGGAGTCCGGCCTTTAAGAGGCACTCAATAAATATTTGACAAAAAAGGTGTGAAATTCAGAGAAACCACTTAACTTCTCTAACACTCAGTTTCTTTCTATGTAAAATGGAATAAGGCCCTGTGTATACCAGCCATCCTTGGAAGGATCAAAATAAGAATGTATCTGGAAATGCTTTATGGGCTGCAAAGAGCAATATGATTTAAAGAAATGCCATTTTATACAGGTTCTTCGAATTTTTTTTGATTGAGAGGATTCTGTGCAATTGCTTCGGGAGGGAAAGGTGTTAGATGGTGGTTTTAACTCACCAGGGTTTGAATTTCACTTCAGGATATCCTGCTGTTATTCTGTCTCTTTCATCTGAAATCGGTTCCAAACGTGCAGCTTGGTCACTGAGCCCCTATAAGCTATAACAGAAATTATGTTCCCCGCATATGAAAAATAACGTGAGTTACTGGCACATTTGAAGTCTTAAAGGATGGCTCCTTGCTGCTGTTGAAACAATTGTGCTGAAAGTAAAAGGCAGAAGGAACCCTGATATCCTTGCAATGTGGAAAATTCTGTTTTCTTCCATTTCTCTCTATAAATATTTGTTTTTTCTTATTAAAAGAATATTAAAGTGCCTAAGACTTTGGAGTGAGAAAAGGCTCTTTTTTGAAGAAGGTTTACCTGTGTAGGTATATTATATTATTTCCATTAGGTTTTGAAAAATACTGAAAACTAATCCCAGACCCCATCATTAATTCTGGGGAACCCAAGGTTGAGAACTGCTGGTTGTGGCTATGGGTCAACAGGCCATCTTTTTTTTTTTTTTTTTTTTTTGAGACATAGTCTAACTCTGTCTCCCAGGCTGGAGTACAGTGGCGCACTCTCAACTCGCCACAACCTCCACCTCCCGGGTTCAAGCGATTCTCCTGCCTCAGCCTCCCAAGTAGCTGGGATTACAGGCGCCCGCCACTATGCCCAGCTAATTTTTGAATTTTTAGTAGAGATGAGGTTTCACCATGTTGGTCAGGCTGGTCTCAAACTCCTGACCTCAGGTAATCCGCCCGCCTCGGCTTCCCAAACTGCTGGGATTACAGGCATGAGCCACCGCGCCCAGCCAATAGGCCAGCTTAATGGTGACTCCACTGGTCAACAATTTCCAGTATTTCCTTCCCAGTGTTCACCCCTCCCCACAACTCCATAAAAACGCCCCTAAAATTATAATATTTTATCACACAATTTAATTAAGTTAGAAACATTTAGCCAGCAGAGTTCATCAAACAAGTATGAGATCAGGCCAGGCGTGGTGGCTCATACCTGTAATCCCAGCACTTTGGGAGGCCAAGGCAGGTGGATCACCTGAGGTCAGGAGTTCAAGACCAGCCTGGCCAACATGGTGAAACACTGTTTCTACTAAAAATACAAAAATTAGCCAGGCATGGTGGTGCATGCCTGTAATCCCAGCTACTCACCAGGCTGAGGCAGGAGAATCACTTGAACAGCGGAGATTGTGCCATTGCACTCTAGCCTGGGTGACAGAGTGAGACTCCATCTCAAAAAAAAAAAAGAAGAGAGATCAGAGTGATTTTGATGGCTCACTATGTGCTAGGGTTGTACTGACTTAGCTTGGTTGGTAGGGTGGGTATTCATACGCTTTTTTTTTTTTTTTTTTTTGAGATGGAGGCTAGAGTGCAGTGGCGTGATCTCAGCTCACTGCAACCTCTGCCTCCTGGGTTCCTAGGTTCAAGCCATTCTCCTGCCTCAGCCTCCCAAGTAGTTGGGACTATACTACACCTGGCTAATTTTTGTATCTTCAGAGGAGACAGGGTTTCACTGTGTTGGCCAGGCTGGTCTCAAACTCCTGACCTCGAGTGATCCATCTGCCTCAGCCTCCCAGAGTGTTGGGATTACAGGTGTGAGCCACCATGCCCAGTCCACACTTTTTTATTTTTTTTAAGAGACAGGGTCTCACTTTGTCTTCCAGGCTGGAGTAAGTGATATGGCTTCCTGCAGCATCAACCTCCTGACTCAAGGGATCTTCCCACCTCAGCCTACCCAAGTGTAGCTAGGACTACAGGCCCAGGCTACCACAGCTGGCTAAACTAAATAAAATTTTTTTTGTAGCGAATGGGGTCTTGCTATGTTGCCCAGGCAGGTCTCAAAATCTTGGCTTCAAGCGATCCTCCCACCTCAGCCTACCAAGTCCTGGGATTAACGGCACTGGCATTAGTACGCACATTTTACAGATAAGGGAACCTGGGAGTTCAGAGAGGTTAAGTGATAACTGGCCTAAAGACAAACCATCAGGAAAGAATGAAACCAGAATTCAAACCCAGTCCACCTGCCACAAAGTCCCTGCTTTGCGGTTTCTACTGAAATAAGGTCATGCACTAACAACATTTTAGTCAATGACAGACCACGTGAACAAAGGTGGTCATAAGACTGTGATACCATATTCTCACTGTGCCTTTTCTATGTTTAGATATGTTTGGATACACAAATACTTACCATTGTGTTACAACTGCCTACAGTATTCAGTACAGTAACATGCTGTACAGGTTTGTAACCTAAGAGCAACAGGCTATACCATACAGCCTAGGTGAGTAGTAGACTCTCTCACGTAGCTTTGTGTAAGTACACTCTAGCATGCTGGCACAAGGACCAAACTGCTTTACTAAGGCAGTTCTTGGAACATATCCCTGTCATTAAGTTATGCATTAATGTACATGGAAACCTTGAAATACTGAAAGGTGGAAAGTGAAAACAGCCATTTCCTTACCTAACATACAGATAGCTGAATTTTGCATTCTTTAATGGCACTTTTTACAGGAAATCTGTTGTATGTATGTTTTAGTCTTACCACCTATTTTATAAAAATACATCTAAAAAAGAAGGGGAACCCCTTTATTAGAGCATGTATTCAATTTTTTTATTCAGAAAACATGATGATTTAAATACATCTGAAGCCATTTCTCCCCCAAAACAACTCTCAAAGCATTCTCAGGAGAGCCAGAGTCATAGCAGTCCTGGGCACAAGGTCCCCTTCTCATGCACAGCTTCAGGCAGCCAGAACCAGGGCTAGTTCAGAGAACTTCAGGAAAACAGCATCAGGATTTCATGGCCCTTAATACTGATTAAGATCAACTAAAAATTATTCTGCCGGTTTGATAAAACAAGAGGAAAGCTAAGATGAATACGCTAGAGAATAAATCTGGGGGACATGAGGAAAAAAAGCCTTTATAACTGCTGAAATAGGACACCTTAATCACAGGGTTTGGCTCAGGCAAACAATTTAATTTTTAAAACAACTAATCTAAGCCAGACATGACCGAAATTCACTGAAACTGGGTTCTAACAGCTCTATTCCAAGGAGGCTAAATGGGCTTTCCTGGTTCCCCCTACACTCAGAACAAACAAAGAAATGTCAATAATCTCATCCTTAAATAACCCATGAGCCAAGAGAACTAAAGATCAAAAGGGAGACTAAAGATCAAAAGATCTGCCTACCTGAAGAATGGCACATAGAATGAATATTTAGATGGAACACTGGGTTAAAGCAGATTTCTCTCCTTCTGAGACAAATCACATTGGGGGTTAAAATATGTCTAGGCCAGGCACGGTGGCTCACGCCTGTAATCCTAGCACTTTGAGAGGCTGAGGTGGGTGGATCACTTGAGGTCAGGAGTTCGAGACCAGCCTGGCCAACATGATGAAACCCTGTCTCTACTAAAAATACAAAAATTAGTCGGAAATCACTTGAACCCGGGAGGCGGAGGTTGCAGTGAGCCAAGATCGTGCCACTGCACTCCAGCCTGGGCAACAGAGTGAGACGAGACTGTTTCAAAAAAAAAAAAAAGTCTAAAACTTAGTTTAAAATACAACATACTTGGCCCGGCGCAGTGGCTCATGCCTGTAATCCCAGCACTTTGGGAGGCCGGGAGTTTGAGACCAGCCTGACCAACATGGAGAAACCCTGTCTCTACTAAAAATACAAAATTAGCCAGGTGTGGTGACGCATTCCTGTAATCCCAGCTACTCGGGAGGCTGAGGCAGAGGAATTGCTTGAACCGGGGAGGTGGAGGTTGTGGTGAGCTGAGATCACGCCACTGCACTCCAGCCTGGGCAACAAGAGCGAAACTCTGTCTCAAAAAAAAAAAAAAAAAAAAAAACCACACCAAAAAATGGTGATAAATGGCCAAAATGTGTATGTGTGCATTTATGTGTGTATGTGTGTATAAAGTGTATCTGAGAAGTCTGATAGGGACAGCTTCCAAGTGGAAAAACTTTATATAATATTATTAGGAGCTGCCTTCTAGCAGTTCAGGCAAGATACGCATGTTCTCCAATGGCACCCACCAGACTGAGAAATGTGATACAAATTAAAAATTCCCCAAAGCAAACCTTTGTCTGAATTGCCCTGACCGTAAGAATCCCATTCTGTTGAGACTTAAGACATTTTCCATTATTTCTCAATTTATAGCATATACTTATTCCTACCTAAAGAAATCACTTTTCTTTTCTTCAAAAAAAGTTAGATCCTGATACAATTAGTATGACATGGAAATTCTTGGGTCATTCATTTATCTTAAGCAGTATTGTTTATGTTAAACTTCTGGCAAAAGAAAGGATAAGGGGTAGCTTTCTTTTGGGTGTGTGGAGCTGGGGCAGGCAGCAGATTTTGACCTGTAAGTATGAACATTTCCAGAATTCTACTCCTATACTTTGAGGCCCTATGGAGGAAAATACACGTTCCCCTCATACATCTGGACAGACTGATTTGTCCTAAGTCATATACAAATTGCTGACAGAGGAACTGATGCTGAATCTATCAGATGACCTAACCACTAATAGTAAATGATTCAGATTTAATAGAAATCATGAAGTAGGGTACAAGGATATTTCTAATTGCATAAGTATCATGGATATTATTTCTTTTGTATTATTTTAATTGACTTCAAATAATTCTTTGGGGAGAGAGAGGAAATAAACTACGGGTATTGACATAAGGTCAGGGAAATCAAACAGAGAAGTGGTTTGCAAGTTGTAATAACACCCCATTGCAAGTTGCAGCCCTGGTGAGGGACCCAAGGCAACAGTGAGTAACACTAATAAATGTCAATCAGAAAAATTTAACAACAAAAGAGGCAGCAAACTGTCACATATGGCAGAATAATCCAGGCTGAATGCTTTGTGAACTTGCATCTGACCATCCATTAATGTTCTAAGGTTGGGGGTATGCGTAGTAGATACAATTAGGAGACTTAAAGCTAAAGAGAAGCATCTCTCAGTTCTTCTCATCCCTTCTAAATCCAGAGGGATTTGATCTTTCATTCACTGGGGGCCAGGGCTGGCAACTACCCATATAAAGTAAGCACCTACTATGTGCCTGGCATCCATGGTCTTAGGCGATGGCTTCCAGGAATTGCCAGGATCCCTGATGGAGGCTCCTTCTGTGCTGCCTGACCTGCTTTGCTCCTGCCACTGCAGACACCCACGCTGCTGCAGACTCCGAGCCACAGCAAGGCTCAGAAGATCAAGGGACCAGTCACAGCAGCCTTTTTAACTTTGGGAAAACCCAATGCTCACTTCACTCAAACGTTGCAAAGTGGTGCCATGACCCTTTAGCTCTTGGCTCACCAATTCAAAGAGCCACATCACATACAGCCCTTAAGCTGCCCACGGCATGATTCCGTGTCTAGTTCCTTTCCAGGTCCCCCCAAGCGGAAGACAGTTCTGGCAGGGAGTCTGGGCAAGATTACTACAATATTTAGCCTTTGTCCCTTCTTTTGCTACGTCTTATTGTAGAATGAGGCACACAGGTCTGAGAGATTGAGTATGCTGGACTTGAGACCTGTACTCAAAAGGTCCCTGCAGGACCGCAGGTCAGCTTAATCCAGCCCAGGAATCTCCATTTCAAAGATGAAGAAACTGAGGTTCAAAGAAAGCAAATCATGGTCTCTACTCAGAGTACTGGAAGGCCTGATATAAACTTAACCCCAATGCCATGCCTCCTGCCTTAGTAAATTTACTGAGCACCTAACCAGTGAGAAATAGGCAGAAGTGAATAAGGCCAGATTTCACTCCCTTCACTACTGGTGTGAATGGATAAAGGTAACTCCACTTTCTCTCTGGGCTTTAGTTTTCTCATCCATTAAGTGAAAGACAAGACTGAATTGGTGATTTCTAATGTGCCTTTAAGCTCTGAAACTCTCATAAGAGTTGAGGATATAATTATGTGTTGGTGTGTGCAAATGTATATGCATCATATATACAAACACAGACACATATATACATATGGTATCTTACAATTAAATACCATTAGCAACCACACATCTTGCCCAATCCCTTCCTGCGACCATGTTTTCCTAATCCCAAACCGAAACTGGACACTGCAACTCATCGTCGCAGCACCTCAGAATCCAGGGGGTGTGGTCAGTGCCCACTGGCGTCCCTCCAAACACCCATGTAAGCGTACTTTAACATGTAAGCGTACTTTACAAGACATATACTAAGTCATTAAATTCCTTGGAAGAAACGGCCAATCTGAGGCAGGGCTGGACTGTGGGTAACAGAACACACCGCAGGAAGCATAAGTTAAAGGTGACAGCCCGTGGCTGCCCAAATTTGGGGCTCCGCTGCCAATGCACCGGGAGGGCAGTGAGTGCCCAGGCTTGGAACAAGCCTGGCTCGGAGCCCACATTTGAGGGCAGGAACCTGCACGCCCGGGTTTGCGCATCCAGCGTGAGCAACTCTGAAAACGTGCAGTGCAGGGCGTGCAGCGGGGCACCGGTCCTGTTTCCTCTCGCACGTGGCGCCTGGCGTGGGGCTGCAGCGCGGGGCCGCAGCGCGGGGCCTCCTCCCCTCCCCGCCCCCCACCCCGCCCCAAGGGCCGGCGCTAGGACCCCGCGAGCCGCACGCACTTCCTGGCGCCGCCGTCCAAGCCTCCCGCTCGGCGCCCCCGGCTCCCGCCCGCCGCCGCCGCCGCCGCCGCCCTACCTGGTGAAGCAGTACTCGCAGTGGTTGCCCCGCTCGTTGACCGTGAGCACGTAGGCATAGGCCGGGCAGGAGAACAGCAAGTCCCCCACCTGGAAGGGCTGCAGAGCCCGCAGCCCCCGGCCTTTGCCCGGGCTGCAGAAGCGCTCCAGGCCGCCGAGGCCCTCGGCCCTCATGGTGGCGGCGGGGCGCGGCCGCCGGCTGTGCCCGAGCTGCGGCTCCCGGCGAGCTGTTATTGGAGACGCGTCACCTAGAGCTGCGGGGGGCGGGGTGGGAGCCGCCCGGCGGACGCGGCGGCGGCTCCCCGCTCCCCGGAAGGGAGGGCGGCCCCGCCCGGGCCTCGCGCGCCCCCGCGGGGAGGGGGACGGGCCCGGCGGCCCCGCCTAGCGCCGCGACCCTCGGCGGCCGCCCCGCGCGCGCTCCGGGCCGTTTCCGGTGTGGCCGCGACAAAGAGCCGCAGCCCCTGTGGCTTCTGCGAGGAGGCGTGAGGCGTGTGCGCCTCCGCGGCGTCTCCACGGAGCGAGCGGGACGCGCCCTCCTCCTCGGTGGGAGGGAGGGGGGTCACCTGCGGGGACCAGGTATCCGAGGGCCACCCCTAGACAGTCAGCCTGGCCCGAAGGATGACCAGCCCCCGGTAAATAGAAGGGGGCGAAGCCAGCTCCGAAACCTTACGTTCGCTGTCCCTTGTAAAGACCCTAGAGGCAGTGATCGGGGAACGCCAAGGAGAAAGCGGCAGAGGGGAAACCACAGTAGAGAAGTTTGGTGTGCAGAGGGTTGAAGTGTGCTTTTCCAAGGTTAGAGGTTTTTAAACCTTGTGGCTTTAATGGGAACGTAGTTTGCCCTCTGCTCCTCTAGTGGAATTACATGGACGGAAGAGGAAATGCATTGGCCGGCCCAGCTCACCGAGTCTCTGAGGCATGCTGCGAACGTTGCAGAGGAAGCCAGAGAGAACCTTGCCTTCAAGGAATTTAGGCTGTTGGGGGATAATGCGATGCTGTGGCCAGTGTCCAGGACACTGCGCTAGAGTTTGCAGTAGTTTTAATATGCTTGACCACCCACGAACTGTGATCTTAGAAAAGTCACTTGGGTTAGGAGTCAAAGGATTTAAAGCCCACAAAGCCTGAAACGTAAATCCTATACACATGCACGCTATTACTTTTCATATGAGAAAGGAAAATATAATCCGTGTTCCACATGATTATGTAAAGACTGGAATTGATGTACATGCAGTAAAGACTAAAATTGTGACGAGATCATTTAGCAGAAACCACTACTTCAAAATAGGACCTCAAACAGTTACCTGTGTAAGTTCAGGACTGGTTGAGCAAAGGGAAAGGATTAATATGATTGGAGATGTAAAATCAGTGGAATTTTTGGCATTTCAGTAAAATGTCTTTATCAGCTGGGTGTGGTGGCTCAGCCCTGTAATCCCAACACTGTGGGAGGCCAAGGTGGGAGGATCATTTGAGCCCAGGAATTGGAGAGTTGGAGACCAGCTTGGGCAACATAAAGACCCCGTCTCTATGGGAAATTAACCACCTCTCAAGTGGTGCTGAGGTGGGAGGATAGCTTGAGCCTGGGAAGTCAAGGTTGCAGTGAGCTGTGGTGACTCCATTATACTCCAGCCTGGGTGACAGAGCAGGACCTTGTCTCAAAAGAAAACAAAAAAGCCCTTATTAGTGGCAAACTAAATAAGCCTCTAACCCGTCTTCAAGTAAAGGAAGTTATGATAGTATTTTCATTTATGCATTTTAAGAAACTTCGACTGACTATGGCCAGCAACTGGGATAGAAAGATGGACATCAGCCGGCTGTGGTGGCTCACGCCTGTAATCCCAGCACTTTGGGAGGCCGAGGTAGGCGGATCACCTGAGGTCGAGAGTTCAAGACCAGCCTGACCAACATGGAGAAACCTCATCTCTACTAAAAATACAAAATTAGCCAGGTGTGGTGGTGCATGCCTGTAATCCCAGCTACTCGGGAGGCTGAGGCAGGAGAATCGCTTGAACCTGGGAGGTGGAGGTTGCTGTGAGCCAAAATCGCACCATTGCACTCCAGCCTGCGCAAGAAGAGCGAAACTCTGTCTCAAAAAAAAAAAAAAAAAAAAAGTGGACAAAATGTAGTCCTAGGTCCTTGCATTTGGCACATTCAAGTTTGATAATACCATTAGTTATTGAGTATTGTTGACCAGGCATCGTGCTCCATCATTAAACACATTATCTGGTTTATCTTTACAACAGGCTAATGAGTTAGGTATTATGCCCCTCATTGCCAAAATTAGGAAGGAAACTAAGACCCAGAAGGAATGATTTTCAAGGCCACACAATAAATTGCAGAATTTGGTTTCCAAGTCAGTCTGAATTCAAGGTCCATGTTCCTAACCACAGTGTTTTGCTGCAAACAAACACAGTTCACTGGGATAAGTGCAGTTATGGTGGCTTGTACAAAATGTTCTGTGGTAGTACAGGCAGGGAGTGACAGCTTTAGCCTGCTAAACAGTCAAGACAGGCATCACATTCAAGTAACGTTAGAGCTGAGCCTGAAGGATGGACAGGATTTTGCAAGTGGAGGTGGGGAGAAGAGTTTTCTGGGCAGAGAGAACTGCGTACAAAGACAGAAGACCCTGAAAGCACAGAGCTTGTAGTTGGGGGCCCCTGAGCATCTGGAAGAGAGGACAGGAAATGAGGCAGGAACAGCTGAAGAGCATCTTCTCCAGAGGTGAGTTCTGCCCCAGAGGCCATGGGAGAGCCAGTTAAAGCGTTTAAGTGAGGGGTGGCACATTGAGTCCAGTGTTTTAGACTGATCTGCCAGCAGCATTGTGGGTTGGCTGGGGTGCCAACATTCAGCACTTCATAACTGTTTACATGTATATAAACAGCCTTGGCATGTGAGACCACTGACAGTTTGCATTTGTCTGTGTGATGACCTGATTAGTGTTTACATCCTCCACCAGACTGTACAAGCTCCATGAGGGCAGGGAATGAGTCTGTTTTTGTTACCCTTACATCACCAGCTCTTATCACTACTCCTGGAACACAGAGAGAATGGAAAAAATATTTAAAGGTTGAATAAACGTCATGGAATCTCATTCTGATTTCTGGGGGCTCTAACCAGCAAAAAGATGAAAAGACTGACGTAGAAGTAAACAATTACAATACAGTAGACAGTTTACTGTTTCAATGATTAATTGTGCAAAGTAATCTACCTGTTTACTTTTTTTATTGCAAGTAACTTTTTCCACTTTAATTGGGAAAGATTTCCACAGCTGAGAAAAAAGCAATTACATAGCTACCGAATTATCTTTCCAGATGAGTGCTGGCTTATTCTTGAGGGTGGAGGTGACTGTGATTTGAGAACACTGGAAAAGAAACCGCCTCATTTCAGAAAAATCCCTGTGATGAACTTAAATGACTCGAGATGGGGAAATGGTCACTGAAGCAGTAGCCATGAATTTAGGAGCTTAAATTACTAAGAAAACTGTGTTTAAAATAAACAGCCAAAGAATGGCAATAAACCAGCCCGGGGAGACTGATGACAGCGCTCTTCATGAAGCCCATACTTGTCACTCTGCCACTCTGTAATCTCACATTCCGTGAAGTCTTTGAGCAGCCAGGACCCATCCACTTTTCCTACGCCCTCTGCTCCATAACGTAGGAGGTATGGAATTTGAAAGGAGTGTTTTTGGTTACTTTGCCTCACTGAAACTCAGGAGAAGTGGTACAAGGACGAAAACTCCTTTGCTTAATTTCTCTAACCTAGAAGTTGATCTAATTTATGAGTAAAAGATCCTTCCAACCACAGATTAGCACATGAAAGAAATAGCTCTGGCCTAGGGAAATGAAGCCTTAGCAAAGAAGGTATCCCAGTGAACGTGAGCAAAGGGCCTAGATGCTGTATAGTTCTGCATCTATGTCTACATGTCACTTATTGAGGACATACTATGTACTTACACTGTGATAGATCCTAGTCATACCAAGGTGTAAAGACCAACATACATGAAAACAGTTATGAAGTGCTGAATGTTGGCACTCATAGATATTAGGTTCCAATCCCTGGAATCTATAAATGGCTTCAAAGGGTCTTGCAAATGTGTTTTAAGGATCTTGAGAGAGTGAGAGTATCCTGGAACATCCAGGTGGGTTCTCTGTGCAGTTGCAAGTTTTCTGATGAAGGACAGAAGGAAATTTGACACAGACAGGAGAGGAGGCAGCAATGTGACTATGGAGGCAGTGATGAGAGGGATACAGTGATGGGCTAAGGAATGCTGGCAGCCACCAGAGCTGGAAGAGGCAAGGAACACCTTTCCCCTAGAGCCTCGGGAGGGAGTGTGGCTTTGCCAATACCCTCACTTCAGCCTGTTAATCTAATTTCAGACTTCTGGCCTCTAGAACTATGAGAGAATAAATTTCTGTTGTTTTAAGACACCTGTTTTGTGGTAATTTGTCATAGCAGCCACAGGGAGCTAATAAAATAATCCAATAAAATTTTAATAGGGAGCTGAACAAAGTGCAGTAGGAAGGCTTCACAGAGAACCTGACATTTTAGCTTCTAGAAGGAAGAGGAAAGATTGACCAAGGGAAAGCAAAGTTCCCAAAATGGGCTTAAGACTAACAGTGCAGAGCTGGGCATGGTGGCTCATGCCTGTAATCCCAGCAGTTTAGGAGGCTGAGGTAGGTGGATCACTCGAGCCCAAGAGTTTGAGACCAACCTTGGCAATGTGATGAAACCCCATCTCTACAACAAGAGCAACACATTAGCTGGGCGTGGTGGCATGCACCTGTAGTCCCAGCTAATCAGGAGGCTGAGGAAGGAGGATCGCCTGAGCCTGGGAGGCAGAGGTTTCAGTGAGCTTTGATCATGCCACTGCACTCCAGCCTGGGCAATGGAGCTAAGCCTTGTCTCAAAAATAAAAAAAATAGGCTGGGAATGGTGGCTCACACGTGTAATCTCCGCACTTGGGGAGGCTGAGGCCGGTGGATCACAAGGTCAGGAGACTGAGACCATCCTGGCCAACACGGTGAAATCCCGTCACTACTAAAAATGCAAAAAATTAGCCAGGTGTGGTGGTGTGTGCCTGTAATCCCAGCCACTTGGGAGGCTGAGGCAGGAGAATACCTTGAAACCGGGAGGTGGAGGTTGCAGTGAGCCCAGATTGTGCTATTGCACTCCAGCCTAGCCACAGAGTGAGACTGTCTCAATAAATAAATAAATAATAAAGACCACAGTTGAAATTCACTGGGGTAGGAGAGACTTTGACAGTCCAATGGACAATTTTTCTTGGACTTAACGAATGTTTCCATAGCTCTCACTATGTACCAGGTGTACCTTTAAAATATATTCTCATATAATCCTTCTAATGACATTCCACAGAGGAGAATACCAAATTGAGAGGTGAAGCTAGCTGGACTTCCTGGGTCGAGTGGGGGCTTGGAGAACTTTTCTGTCTAGCTAGAGGATTGTAAATGCACCAGTCAGGACTCTGTAAAAACACACCAATCAGTGCTCTGTGTCTAGCTAGAGGATTGTAAATGCACCAATCAGCACTCTGTAAAAACGCACCAGTCAGTGCTCTGTGTCTAGCTAAAGGATTGTAAATGCAACAATCAGCACTCTGTGTCTAGCTAAAGGATTGTAAGTATACCAGTCAGCACTCTGTAAAATGGACCAATCAGCTTTCTGTAAAATGGACCGATCAGCAGGATGTGGGCGGGGCCAAATAAGGGAATAAAAGCTGGCCACCCAGGCCAGCAGTGGCAACCCGCTCGGGTCCCCTTCCACACTGTGGAAGCTTTGTTCTTTTGCGCTTCACAATAAATCTTGCTGCTCCTGACTCTGGATGTGCACTACCTTTATGAGCTGTAACACTCACTGCAAGGGTCTGCGGCTTCATTCCTGAAGTCAGCGAGACCATGAACCCACCAGGAGGAACAAACAACTCCGGACGCGCCACCTTTAAGAGCTGTAACACTGACTGCGAAGGTCTGTGGCTTCACCCCTGAAGTCAGCGAGACCATGCACCTACCCCAGGAAGAAACTCCAGACACATCTGAACATCTGAAGGAACAAACTCCGGACACACCATCTTTAAGAACTGTAACACTCATGGCGAGGGTCTGCAGCTTCATTCTTGAAGTCAGCGAGACCAAGAACCCACCGGAAGGAATAAATTCCAGACACAGAATCACAGAAGTGACATGTATGAACAAGCTGTCTAGCAGTGAGTCCAGGCTCAGAACCACTCCACCATGCTGCCTCTCTGTTCAGCCAGAGCTACAGCTTTCCTTAGAGTACTTGGGATGAAGGTGGATGGGCAGGAGTGGGCCCCATCATGAAACCCATGAGCCTAGGAGCTAGACGGCACTGTGTAGGCACGTGAGTCAGAAGAATTTTGGCTGACATGATCCGAGTTTTGCTGTAGAAAGTTCATTTTTTAGCTAAATAGAGAATACACTAGAAGGGGCTGAGGAGACAGAGGGAACTGAGGCGCCTGATGCAATAAAGGGTCCAGAGGAGAGATGTTACTGGAATGAACAAGGGCAGTGACGGTGGCAATGGGAAGGAGGGACATGGATTTGAAGAACTTTTAATTAACAGGACACGGTAATTGGGGCGAGTGAAGAGAAAGGAGAGGGAATATGAACCATAAAAAATATGTCCAAGGACAACTGACATCATCACCTCCATCCAGTCCTTCCAGTTCATTCCCCCCCGCCCCCCACTTGAGCCTTGTGTTTATTCCCCAAACAAGATTTTGTTATTTCTTCATTCGCCATATCTCTTGTCTAATCTTTTATTTCCATTCTTAATGCCACTCAGCCCTTAAGTCTTTATGTCCGGTTTTGTGCAGTAGACTCTCAACAGCAGAGTGAGTTCAAATTTTGAGATATTAGCCTGGGATCATACATTCCAACTCTGTGTTTCCTCTTACCCCTTACCGTTAACTTCCCACTTAGTCAGTGGCATTGACTTAGAGAAGAAATGATATTGCAGAATAGGAGCAAAAAGTCCCCTGAATTTAGATTCAAAAGCCTAGGGTTTTGGATTGCAAAAGCCTAAGGACTTGGGGGACTCAGGGCTCCAGTCCTAGCAAATTCAGGATGATGCAGGAGCCACAACTCCCTCTGCCAGAAAAGATTCTCCAGACCTGTGATAAAGGAGAATTGGAAGGAAAGCCAGAGAGAAGTTGAGGGTATTTCTCTGAGAAAGAGGCATGTGCCATAGTTTCCTTCCAGACTGAACCTTGGATGAGTGAGACAACATAACTAAACCCAACCCCGCCCATGGGTTTGAGGGGATTCAGAACAAGGCTGACCTATGTCCTAGTTTTACATTGACCCCCAGACTCCCTGTGTAATAGAAATTCAGTGTGTGGGAGAAATGACTGAAATACTTCATGGGAAATAGGAGAGTGATTTCCCATGCACCCAAGAGGAGCACTAGAGTAGACAAGTTAGCCATCTGCTGTGATCTGAAATGTTTGTGCCACTCCCGCTCACCCCCTTTTCCCCACCAAATTCATATGTTGAAATCCTAACCTCCAACATGGTGATATTAAGAATCGGGGCCTTTGGGAGATGATTAGACTGTGAGGGCATGGGCCTCATGAATGGGATTAGGGCCCTTATAAAAACGGCCAAGGTGGCCGGGTGCGGTGGCTCACGCCTGTAATCCCAGCACTTTGGGAGGCCGAGACGGGTGGATCACGAGGTCAGGAGTTCAAGACCAGACTGGCCAACATGGTGAAACCCTGTCTCTACTAAAAATACAAAAATTAGCTGGGCGTGGTGGCAGGTGCTTGTAATTCCAGCTATTCAGGAGGCTGAGGCAGGAGAATTACTTGAAGCTGGGAGGCGGAGGTTGCAGTGAGCTGAGATCCCGCCACTGCATTCCAGCCTGCGTGACAGAGCAAGACTCTATCTCAAAAAAAGTAAATAAAATAAAAATTAAAATGGCCAAGGGAGCTTGTTTGGCCTCTCACATTGTGAGGCAGAAAGACAGTATGTATTAGGAATAGGCCCTCACCAGACACTGAATCTGCTGGTGCCTTGATCTCTCTTCCCCAAACTGTGAGAAATAGCTGTGGCATTTTGTTACAGCAACCAGAACAGACCAAGACACCATCCAAGAGCACCATTGTGATGACCCAGAGATCTGTGTGGATTGATGATCAAGGACCAGGTGTTCCAACCCCAGCCAAGCACTCACTGCCTTAGCATCACTGTGCCAGCCAAGTGCAAGAAGCAACCCCAGGAAACTGACCAAGATGACATCTCTACCACCCAGGGAAAATGAACACTCATAATGAAAATTATCACAGTTTCTTAAATACACAAGTTTACAGATGAGCGTCATCATTCAGGTCTCCCTATTCTATATGCCTTTGTTACTGCTGTCAAACACATAGTCTTAAAATAACTACATTAATAGTGACATTTCGTTGAAAAACTCCCAGTTGCCCTTTATTAGATGCCTCATCAAGGCCAAGCTCTCTTTTTGGCTTTGAAAACCCAAACCTTAGCTGTCGTACACATCTTGAGTTCTATCTATGTTGTGAAGCCTTCTCCAAACATTTCTTCCATAACAGTCCCTACTTCCTAAAGTAAGTCTTATCTGTACCTTGTTGGCTTATGATCATCAACCATAAACACACACACACACACACACACACACACACACACACTTTTGTGTAGTCCCATGTAAGTTAAAAGGTCTTCAAAGGGAAATACTGTATATTGTATTTATTTCATAGTCTTCTTAGTGGAGAGCTTGATACTTGCTATGTGTTAAATTTGGAAATATTTTCTGAGTGATTGAGGTACTGAAATTGCTGATCAGGCTTTGATGGGAGGTGACACTGGATTTTAACAAGTATGTTACACGGGGCATGTTTTTGAACTTGTACCTAGACTTTATGACACCATATCCAAAGAATGAATACATAATTCTAGGTAGTGAATCTATGAAGTGTTTAAAGAGATCAGTAGCTTTATTCATCAGAATCTATTCTGAAGTAGTTAAAAAACAATTATGTTAGTAGAAGTGATGAGAGTTTCCTAATCATGGAATTAGTGTTGTCTTCGGGTGCCTATGGATCCAGATGGCCAAAAGGCACCCACGTAATGCTCTGCCATCTCACTGGCAAGCAAAAGTTGTGGACTTGAACAGAAAAAAACCTTTGCTTCCAGGCTGAAGTGCAGCATAGCAAAATTCCCCTAACGCATAATTTACAGTCCTCACACCAGCATCTTAACTGCATTGCAGCATTTTTACTAGAGGCAGTTACCCCAGAAGAAGAAACTCTTATCAGTGGGAGGAGTAAGAAAGCCAGAGAAATCATGCTTAAATTAACTATTTGAAGGTCAGATTTGATGAATTCTTAAACTACCAGCCATGCCTTGTATTTGAGGGGGGTTGGTGGGGAGAAAAGCTTAAGCTGACTTTGTATTCATGATTCTGGTAATGTAATAGCTCTGACCAGTTACTAAAAATTCAATAAAAAGGCAAAAAAGAGCCCAGAAAATACTACATTATAACATGTTTGGTCCTGAACTAGACATGAAAGCTTTTAAAATGTTTATCTCTGGTAAGTCTAATTACGCTTTTTTCCCCATCTCCCCACTCCACCCCCGCCCACCCCAAAAAGTACCAAAGGTAACAAATTTCAGAAGTCTTGCATGTTTCTGTCTTGTTGAGAACTGCTAACAACTTCGTTATTGGGGGGAGGCAGTGTCATCTAGTGGCTGAAGGAGGGGGCTGGGCACAGAACTTGACTTCACTGCCACAGGCTCTTTCAGCATCTCACATGAAGCCAGATTTTTCAGTGCTTCTGTGAAATTCCAACTGATTTTATGTGAGGGCAGGGAAATTCCACAAAAAGAAGAGAGAGGTGATATTTAAAACCTTATTCTACCTGTTTTATTGGTTTAATCTTGACATAGAGTTTGAGTATATCAGTCTAATTTTTCTTCTATATGAGGGAAGAAAAATACAGGAGGAAAAAAGTTCATAGCTTTGAGCTGAGGAAGCTGATGTGGTCACATGCTGTCATCTTATTTGGAAGGTATTGCAACACTGCAAAAAAAATTGGGGGGCTTAGTTTTTTTCCTAATAAGGGTTAAAATCAGTAACATTAAATGTTTGTTATTTGGGAAATGATTAAGATTAAAGGTAGATATAACATATTTTCTTAAACCAAAAAAAAAAAAAAACCCAGGATTTTTTCTTTTCTTGATAACAAATTAATTTATACAACTTTAAATACAGCTAATTTAGTGCTCAGGTATTAATAATTATTTTAAATGTTTTGGAAAGTACATAGAAGTCAAGCAAATATCTGAATATACTTCAAATGCTACTTTTTATGAAGTTTTAAAAATTCAGGCTTTTGTTTCACTGGCTTGTATTTCTGAAATATAGCACTTTGAATACAGCAGATGACATTTTTATTTTTTTCTTGCATCAGTTGTTAGTTTCCCTTTACTAGAGGCTACGTCTCTGTCTTTTGTTATCTTCAACATTTCGTAAATTGAAATCAGAAACATTGAATACTGATGAGAAAAATAGATTATGTGGAAAAACAAGAAAACAATTAGCAGAAAACTAAATGCCATATGTTCTCACTTGTCAGTGGGAGCTAAATGATAAGAACTTATGAACACAAAGAAGGAAATAATAGACACGGGGGTCTACTTGAGAATGGAGGGTAGGAGGAGGGAGAGGAGCAGAAAAGATCACTGTTGGGCACTGGGCTTAATACATGGCTGATGAAATAATCTGCACAACAAACCCTCATGACACGAGTTTACCTATGTAACAAACCTTCACATGTACCCCTGAACCTAAAATAAAAGTTAAAAAATGATTAATAAGTATAGCTTTCAGGGTCAAAGGATAAACCAATTGCAGAACTTTTGCATCCTTTCCTTATTTAGTCATTTATTGATTTAACTGCAGAATGCTTTCTTGTGTGCTGTGGAGGAGCCAAAATTAAATTGGAATCAGATCTTGTCCTCCAAGAATTTAGACTCTACAAGAAGAAACATGACATATACTTAGAAAGCTCTAAAAATCTACTAGGATGAAAACCCCATGAGGTCAAGGATGTTTGTCTATTTTGCACACTGCTATAGCCCCAGGCAGAGCCTGACACAAAGTAGGTGCTCAGTAAATATTTGTTAGATGAATGGATAATACAAGGCAGAGCATTGAGCCATGTTAAGAATTGAAAACAAATTAAAAAATCAGTGATAGGAGGGACAGGTAAGTTCCAGCATCTTTGAAGTTATAAGTGTAATTTATAGATAATTAATCTGACAGTCGGGACATAAACAAAATCTCCTGTGTTTTGCTATTGTTTTTGAAATCAATCAACTGCTCTGCCATCCTCTTCATGTAAGATCAGAAACACAATGCTTAATATGCTTAACACATTTCTTCATGGAAATGAGGAAGTTAGAGTAGATTTGTGTTTGTGGGGTCCTTTTAGGTGGCAGAGTGATTAAATGTGGACAGCTAGTTCACTAAACCCCTGATTTCATAGATGTTATTGCCTTGGAGGGAGACTTAAAGGAACTAAATAAATAATAATGGAGGTGTTATGCAAATATGCCAAAAATTGTGAAGATAAAACATGAATGACTGAAGTTTGGGAAGCCTGGGAAGGAAGATCATTAAGGTTATGTGAGTTTTAATGTTTTATTATTTAAATTAACTCCAACCAAAAAATTGCCTTTGTCTTGCCTAAATAATGTTAAATAAACCCAGCTTACTTTCTTATATTCTCTGAATTGTTTTTCAACAACTTTCCGGATGTTTGACTAAATATACACAGTGTCTGTCTTGGGGCATTTTCTTACAGAGACCTCTTTACTAGATAATTGTGCCTCCTAAGAGGCAGTGCCAGCGTCTGCTACGGTTTTTGCCTGTCTGCAGCAAAATGAGAAAAGCAGTGTGCTACTTTTAAGGCTAAACTGACTCATTTTTAAGGACTTTAAAAAATATCTAAGATCAGGACATTTTCAAGGTTAGAACATCTTTTCCTTTTGAACAACGGAGGCTGTAGATGGTATTCTTTTTATTTTTATTTTTTGAGACAGACTTTCGCTCTTGTTGCCCAGGCTGGAGTGCAGTGGTGCGATCTCGGCTCACTGCAACCTCTGCTTCCAGGGTTCAAGTGATTCTCCTGCCTCAGCCTCCTGAGTAGCTAGGATTGCAGGCATGTGCCACCATGCCTGGCTAAGTTTTCTATTTTTAGTAGAGATGGGGTTTCACCATGTTGGCCAGGCTGGTCTCCAACTCCTGATCTCAGGTGATCCACCTGCCTCTGCCTCCCAGACTGCTGGGATTACAGGCGTGAGCCACTGCGCCCGGCTGTATTCTTTTTAATGTTCTAGGCAAAATAAAATTTGTCAACACTCTGTAGATCCCATCTTCTTTTAAAAAATATTATACTAGTCTCTAAAATGTAGAAGCACGGATATTATGAATAGTATTACAGTGTCATTGCAGAGACTACTCTGGAATTATTTCTTAACCCAGATTGTTGCGTCTTCAAATAAATTTACGCTAAATGCTTAGAATCATGACACTTTAACTTATTTTAGGTCTTGGTCATGGACACTGGTACATGTCTGCACCATTTAATATACAAGACTGCTGTGGATCAAGAAGCATAAGACCACATGTAATTGAATAGAAAACTATCATTTATTTAAAGGCATTTTAAAAATTCATTTCTGTCATCACAATTTCATTGTTTTTGGAAGACAGATTAAGCATCTTTGAGGCCAGTGTTATTAACACTACTATATTAAGCATTTACTGATATAGTTTTATTGAATCCTATTTTTTCTTTGACTATAAATGATTTGTTTATGTTACCCAGAGTACTTAGGAAACAAACTATGGAAAAATCACAAGGCCACTGATTTTATTGCTTTATGAGCATTCTATATTAATTATATAAAGTTTTGAAAACACAGATCAACCCAGTGATTACTAGTGTGAAGTTTTTGTTATAGATCTTTTTATACATTTCTTTATGTACATATAAATATTTTATAACAAAAAGAGGATTATATCATACATGCTGTTTTATAACCTGGTTGTAAATCTCTTTCCAGGACAGTAAATAGTTTTCAATATCATTTTAGTGGCTTTATATTGTGATGTTCTATAATATTCTGTCATCTACTTAACTAGTTCCTTGTTCAATACCGTTGATGTCCATTTTTTTCTATTATAATGTTGAAATCAGCATCTTTGTCAAGTAAAATCTTTATTTACATTCCTGAATAATTTGTTAGGCTAAATCCCAAAAGTAGAATTGCTGGGTAAAGTGTATACAAATTTATAAGACCTAGTACATTATATGGAACCAATGTAAAATGTATATATTTATTTATTTGCATACTTATGATAATGTTTACAGCCCACAGATAGAAAAAATAATTTAACTCATTGAGTATCACTCCCTGCATTTCATTTAATTTCCAATAAATTCATCACAGCTTATATGAGACATTTTAGATGAAATCATCAAACTGTGGAGTAAGAGATTCTATTATCATTTAGTACAAAAGCTTTACTAGAGTCAGGGAAACTGAGGCTGAAGTCATTACATATCCTATTCACAGATATAGCTAAGAAGGATCAGTGCCAATCCAATCGTGGACTCTGGTGCTGTCTTTTTGCTCCAAGATGCTCAGGGAAGTTCAAGTTGTTCTTCTTTAGATATCCAAGTAACACTTGAGAATTAAATGCAAAGAAGTGAAATAGACTCTGATATATAAGTTTCACCATTAATTTTGTGGTTGGTGTTATTAACAAGATAGAATATTTAAAAATCATTTTGTGATTAAAATGCTTAGCTCAGAAAAGCTTTCTAAAAAGTTGATTTATTATCTGTAGTTTTGTAGGAATGGCCACCAAATGTATAAGTCTAGTCAAGACTGCTCTTACCTATTTATTATCTATTTATTTTTTGAGACAGTCTCGCTCTATTGCCCAGGCTCGAGGGCAGTGGCATGATCTCAGCTCACTGCAGCCTCTGCCTTCTGGGTTCAAGCAATTCTCCTGCCTCTGCCTCACAGGTAGCTGGAATTACGGGAGTCTGCCACCATGCCGGGCTAATTTTTGTATTTTTAGTAGAGACAGGGTTTCACTATGTTGGCCAGGCTGGTCTCGAACTCCTGACCTCAGGTGATCCGCCTGCCTTGGCCTCCCAAAGTGCTGGGATTACAGGTGTGAGCCACTGCACCCAGCCTATTTATTAAAAATAGAAATAGCTTTATTGCTTTTTCTAACTAAATAAGACATATCATTGTGAGATCAATAATAAAAATATATAGAGTAAAAATGATATATAATCCCACCAACCAAAGATAATTACTATTAACTTTTTGTTTATATCCATGCCATCTTTTACATATATATTCTTTATGTGACCTATCTCTCTATATAGAGAGATAGCATACAGAATTTCATACTGTTCTATAATCTACTTTTTCTCAAATGTCATTGTCATTTCTTATTGTTAATAAATACTGACCTGGCGGGGCGGGGTGGCTCACGCCTGTAATCCCAGCACTTTGGAAGGCCGAAGTGGGTGGATCACGAGGTCAGGAGATCAAGACCATCTTGGCCAACATGATGAAACCCCGTCTCTACTAAAAATACAAAAATTAGCTCGGCATGGTGGTGTGTGCCTGTAATCCCAGCTACTTGGGAGGTTGAGGCAGGAGAATCACTTGAACCAGGGAGTCGGAGGTTGCAGTGAGCCGAGATCGCACCATTACACTCCAGCCTGGTGACAGAGTGAGACTCTGTCTCAAAAATAAAATAAAATAAAATAAAATAAATATTGACCTATATCATAATGTAACGGCTACATGCTCTTTTATTGTACAGTAGTAGTTTCTTTAACCAACCCTCAGTTTATAGACATCAGTATTGTTGAAGGTTTTTAACTAGTTGAACAATACTGCAACAATCTTTTAAATAGTTGTTTAAATATCTTTAATAAATAAATTGCTTTTCTTTTGGGAAATGTTACAGGTAGTATTTTTTCCTGGATATTTACAATTCACATTCATGTCATAAGCAAATATTTACTAAATACCTACCAATTATGCTAGGTGCTGAGATTAATATTTTAATGGCTCTGAGAATTCTTTTTTTCTTTCTTTCTTTTAAAATAGAGACAGGGTCTCCCTATATTGCCAGGCTGTTCTCGAACTCCTGGGCTCAAGGGATCCTCCTGCCTCAGCCTCCCAAAGTGCTAGGATTACAGGTGAGAGCCACCACGCCTGACCGCTCTGAGAATTCTTATAGTAAAGAAACCTTTTTAGTTTTACGTGATTTAAGGTTTCCCAACCTTCTTTTGATCGTGGAACCACCCCTTTACAAAATAGAATATCTACTAATATTTCACTGGTCTTATCTGGAAATAATTTGGAAAACACTAACCTAGAATCAATCTTGTTGAAAACTACTAACAGGTAGATAAGTACCTGTATCTACCTGTTATTTTTCTATGAACTCTGAAAAAATCTTCAGAATTATTTGGAGGAAAGATATGCTTTAGGCATTTCAGAGGAATACATCTTTGATCTAAATTTCCAGATTAACTTCCAGATAAGTAGTATTTTGGTATGAATGTTTTGATGAGCACACTGGAGTTGTTTTTCTTTTTTAAAATGATATCCATATCATTAGAACAAAAGGGATACTTGAAAGTAAAAGGGGAATGTGGGATATAAAGTTTTTGGCTCATCGGTGGATTAGTTGGCATGGGGGTAGAGTGCAGAGAAGTGAATTCCCATGGGGAAACAGAATAGATTAGGAGGAGAAAGTCAGAGAGATAGGAAAGTATTAAGAGGAATTAAGGAGGGAGGTTATGAGGACTTTTGCAGCAACATGTGAAATAACTTTTAAAAATCTGGTAGAAAATGAAGGATACAAAATCCTATTCATAGTGTATAAAAACCAATAAGAAAAAAATCAGAGGAAAAATACAATAAAATAATAGTGTTTGGATTGAGTCCTTTTTTCCCTCTTCTCTAATTACCGTTTTCATTTTTATTTTAAAAATATACAATAAAATTGTAAAGAAAAGAAATACTAAAGGATCAGACAAAATTAGGAGAAGAGAGGCTTATGGAGGAGGAGGAAGAGAGTGGTTGAGTCGAACAAAGGCAACAAATGGATTAAAGTGAACAAGGATAGAAGAGAGAACATTCAGTTTGGCTTGGAGGAGATCATTAATGGCTCAAGTGCTGTGAGGTGGACAAAAGCCAGCCTGTGGTGGGGTCAGATGAGAGAATCAGGGAAGAATAATTTTTTTAGCACCTAGGATCATAATAATTCACTTAGTGGTTCCCCCCCCAGCCACTATTACTTTCGTTCTGGTTTTATCATGTTGGGATTTTGCCTGTATCAGTTTTTTTTTTTTCCCCAGGCGCTGATAAATGAAAACCTTAAAAAAAGAAATCCTATGAGTAAGTTTCTTTGCCCTTATTTTTGAACTGAAAAATAAAGAAATAATAAATTCTTTTTCTGAGCTGTTCTATGTGCTAGAAATGCTCCCATATAGAAATCTTAATACTACACTGGGCATGCCATTTAAAAACAGAAGAACTTGATCGCCCAAGGTCATTTCACATGCCTTTTTTCCTAAGTGATTTGTGTATATTTTATCCATAAAAGACAAATTATTATGAAAGGATGTGAAATATAGGTTTAAGAAACTCAAAGAACAAAGTGCATTCTTTGCTCTTTGAATTTCTTAAAATTAAGTTCTTAAGACTCCTGCTGCTTACCTTCAAACAAGCAACCTTGAAACTGCTCTATGAAACCCAGTTAAAGGACGAACCAAAGAGTTTCACTTATTAAAAAAAAAAAAAAAAAGGCACATGGGAGAGAGAACATTCAAGTCTTCCAGTATCCATACTTATTAACTCAATTGAATGCCTGTGGTGGGTCTCCTGGGAGCACACAGCAGCAGCCTCTTTGTATTACAACTCAGCCAGAAGCATGTATTCCCTTGTAATTAAGGCCAAGGGTGCAACCAGTGATGCGAAAGGAAGTAATTAGATGGATTATTCAGTTCCCTCAACATTTCTCAAGAGTTTGTGTGTTTGTGGTTTTGTGTTTGCTTGAAGTCCCTGTATAGCTCCCTCGGTTCTCCTTGATACTGTAGGTCCAGCCGCAGATGTTAACAATAACTAATATTGAAACAGCACTTATATGCCAGGTGCTGTTTTAGGGGCTTTAGATATATTAGAATCCATCGCTTGAAAACTGTATGAGGGCTAAGTGTTAAGCCCTAGGTTCCCAGGAGCAGACACTGAGAGGTTTAAATGCATGGGATGTATCCCTGAGGTGGTTCCAGGAGGGACCTGTAATGGATTGGGGAAGGTAAGACAGGGAAAGGAGGCTGCCAAGCAAGGCTCTGTCTCAGGCCAGGGTCCCTCAGAGGGTAGCTTCAGCCTGGTCCCATAGCATGACTCTAGGGTGCAGGCTAGGAAAGGGAAACTGGCGCTCATCCTGCTGCACAGTCATTGGTTGACAACCTCCAAGGATGGCACAGAAGGTGTATATGTGTGATCTGTGGAGGAATGTGTCAGGTGCACACCGAGAGGAGTGCAACAGAAACACCTACTTTATCTGCTACAGGTAGACACTATCGCTGCCCCACCATGTGACAGCCAGGCCACTGAGTCTTGCCCAAGATCTCAAAGCTTGTAAGTGGAAGAACTGGGATTTGAAAGCCTGCCGTTTGGTTCCAAAAGCCATGTGCTTTTAACCACTATGCTATTTTGGATAAGATCTGATCTTTACCATGTGCTATGGTATTATCAATAAATTTCTACAATTTTCTCAATGGACTATGTAACATAAACTATTTTGATTTTATTGGATTTTTAAAAACGCTGAAAGTATATCTGCGATGAAATCCATTAATACTTTGTTGAACTAAGCTTCAGATACCCAAGCCCCTAAGCCTAAGGTAAGTTCAGAGAACAGACAAAATATTAGACAATGGTATACTTTGAAAAATGTAGTACTCCCAACCCTCTCTGACAGAATGTGCCCAGTTCCTATAGAATTATGTAAAAAGTGATTCCATAAGTCTTTTTTAATGAGACATATTTATACAGAGCCTATTTTTACATTAAGATGACAGTTTAGAATGCCGCGTTGATTCTCTATATATGCATCATCCTCTTAAACCTCACCCCCACGGTTTTTTTAGTTTTGGTGTAATGCAATATCTGATTTCTGAAAGTTTTAAAAATTTCTTTGTTTTAACTTTAGAAGAGTTTGCTTTATTTTCACTAAAAGAATTCTCTTTATTTTTCTGTTCTAAAAACAGGAGTATGTATAATACTTGTCTATCGCTTTTGCTTGATAAAAAGAGGGAAGGTCTGTGCATAGCCGTGGGTGACTAATTTCGTAACCTCTTCCAGATTCTTAGATTGGCGGTGCTGGACAGCAAGTGACCAGAAGAGAAACAAGTGGTAACCCAACCTGCATGAAGAAAATTCAGTAGAACCTTGCTGGTGTAGAGAAGATGGCACAAAGAAGAGTGAGAACACTTTTATGAAAGGCTTAGGAAATGTTGAAGTTTTCCAGTTTTCTTCCTATGTGAAGGAACATAGTGAAGGGGGAAAGGCCCCTTTTTTGCACATACCTGTGGAGGGTAACGCTGTGTGGGTGCATTTAGCCCTAATCTCTGCCGTGGATCAGGATCGTTGGTTGTGGAGGAGGAAGAAGAGAGGGAAAGGCTTGAATACTTACAAAAGATTTTGAGAGCCTAAATGATGAAAGCTAGCAGTTCTACAGTGTTTACTAAGTGCAAGAAACTGTTGTAAGAGTTTTGCATATATTAACTCCTTTGATTCGATTCTAATGACCCTATGAGGTAGGTGCTATTATTATCATCTCCATTTCACAGAGAAGGAAATTGAGACACAGAGAGATTAAATAACTTGACCAAGATCACACAGCTATAATAGTCAATTGTGGAGCTGGGATTCAAGCTCTGGTGTCTGCTTTCAGATTCATACCCTTACCCATTACCCTGTACTACCCATCTGGAATGTGGAGAACGTGCTGATAACATTGCTAATAATCATCTGTCGTTTATTTCTGACTACTCTCCAATTTTTTTAAGAGACCTGTATCTAACCTTTGGTGATAACTAAACTATAGGAGAAAACTTGAGTTCTGATAGTAAGAAACATTTACAAAATGGTCTGAAAGTTGATTTGAAGTCGAAAACCCTTATATGTGTTTGTAAATTCTAGAGAAGAAGTGGCAGCCAGGCAGATGAGCTCTCTGTTCTGTGCAGAGCTGATGGTACTCCCTGCCCTGGGGAGCCGGCACTGGCAGCGATTACATCACTAAGTCACCCTCCATACTCAGCTGCTTGCTAAGAATTAAATTGCTGGCACCAGATCTGGTGAGCCTCATGTTACCATGGCTTGTTTGTGGAGAGCACATTAGTGTGATATGTTCAGTCTTCAGAAACAGTTAAACATCAGCTTTATTACCAAAAAGATAGTGTATGCTGGTATTACTCCTGGTTATTCGGTTCAGCTCCTCAAGTGAACAGTCCCACACCTATTTAGCCCATTGAGTCAAGCTGACCTCCTTTCCCGGTTACGGGTTTGTGGACAGGAGTGACAGGCGGGTTCACTTGCAAGGGAGCCAGAGAGCCGCTCGTGCCTCTGCTGCCCTCTAGAGGCGTGTCAGGCCAAGGCCGCTCATCTCTGAGCCTTGCCGGCGGATTGCACCACCAGTCCACCTTTTGTCTCCCTTTTGAATCTCCACTGAACACCATTTGTCAAAAGGGTTGAGGCAAAACCACTCTGAGCTTCCAAAACAATAATAAGACTTAATTAGAATTCCAAGCTAAGCCATTGAGAGTTGCTGTTTATATTGGGGAAGATGTAACACTTCAGTCCTGTGTTTTTCAGCCCCTACATCTCAACCATCAAAGGGAAATGAGTCAAGGTTGTTTTAAAACTATAAATAGAGCTAACACTTACAAAGCAATTGCCACATGCCAGGTACTATTCTAAGCGCCTCGCATATGATGACCTATTTAATGAGGTGGGTGGTATGAGCATCTCTATCTTATAAATAGGGGAACTGAGGCAAGGGACTGTAAGTATTTCTCACAGTTCATGGGTGGTGGAACTGGCTTTGAAGCCCGGTAGTTCTGGCTCCATGAACTTGGCTTATAATCACTTTACTGTACGGCCTCTTTTATAGCTATCGAGGCATGCATTGCAAGTCCAATTTTTAGGTAAAGGTTTTGTTAAAAATCTTTAACCTTAATCTTGTAATGAGGAAACAATTGGCCCAGACCCTTTAAAAATGTCAATGACGTAATAAATAAAGAAGGAGAAGGAGGAGGAGGAAGGGGAGAAGTATTTTAGAGCTATGACAACTAAATATAATTCATTGTCCATGGTTAGACCCTGGATATAAAGAGACAAAACTACAAACAATATTATTGGGAAATTAGGAAAATATGAATATGGGCTATATTTTGGATAATCATATTAATGTTGCATTTCTTGAGTATGACCTCTTATTGCTGTTATATAGCAGTATGTCCTTGTTCTTAAGTGATACTTGAACTATTTAGGGGTAAAATATCATGATATCAGCAAATTACTATCAGACAATTCAGGAAAAAAATATACCTGAGAAAGAAAGAGAAAGCAAATGTGGCAAAATGTAAAATAATTAGGAAACTAGGTAAAGGGTATATGGTGTTCATTATGCTATTTTTAAAACTTTTTTCTAGGTTTGACATTTTTAGCATAAAAAGTAGAGGCAAAATAATTACTTATTTCAGAATAAGAGGTAGCCATGGCTACACCCAAGGTATCTGCCTGGACACCACAAGTGGTACAAATAAGCAAAGTGTGTTAGTTGGGAATCCACAGGCAAGCTTTGAAATCTGTAGACATATGTTATATGAAAGTGTATGAGATATTACATCTTATTTATTCATGTTTTTCCATTAGTACTAGGAATTACATGCATCATTATGTATTTTCAAAAAAGATCAAGTTTCCATCCAATAGAAAATAAATAGTGCAAATTACAAAGTCTTGTATGAAACTAAATAAGGTCTAATTGTAGTCTTGGGATTATTCTGTTTTTATCATCAACAAATAAGGCATTTGTAGGAGAGTGCCTGCCCTATTTATTCAGCACTGTGTTCCAGGTACTGATTTAGTGCTGGGGATACACCAGTGAGCAAACCAAGATCTCTGAACTCATGGTGCTCGCCTTCTGATGGGACAGAGAGACAAATATTATAGCTCAGTAAACTGCAGAGAATGTTAGAAAGTGATTATTGCCAAAGAAAAGTAGAAAAATAGAGCAGCATAGTGGGAAATTGGGACAGGCAGTTGCAGAGAAGAGGGTTTCAGTTTTAAAGAGGATCCCCAGGGTAGGTTTCATCAAATATGACCTCATGGCACCTGGAAGGAAAGTAGAAGAGAACAGAGAAGAACAACCCTAAGGTGACAGCATGCCCAGAGTATGGCTAGAGCTGAGTGAGCAAGGGGGAAAGAGGAGAAGGATATGAAGTCAGAGAGGAAATAGAGGATGAGTTCACAAAGGTCACCATGAAGGCTTTGGTTTTCATGCTGAGTAAAATAGGAAGCCACTGGATGATTTTGAGCAGAGGAGTGAGGTGATCTGACTTAACACTTAAAAGGATCAATCTCGTAGGGGGACAAAGGTGGAAGCAACATCTCCCGTTAGGAGCCTATTGCAACAATCCAAGCAAGAGAGGAGAGTGACTCAGCACAGGCTGGTAGAATTGGTGGTGGAGAGATGTGATCAGATTCTGGATATTTTGTTGGTAGAGCCAACAGGAAGGATTTGCTGATAAATTAGATGTGATGTTTGAGAGAAAAAGACAAGGGTGACTCAATATTTTTGTCCAGAGCAACTGGAAAAATGAAGCTGTCATTCCCACAGATAGGGAAGACTAGGTAGAGCAGATTTTGAGGGAGAAGATTAAGAGTTCAGTTTTGGACATGCTGAGTTACAGCTGTCTATCAGACATCCAGATGGAGATGTCATAAAGGTAGTTGGATATAGAAGTTTTGAGATTGTAGAGAGGTCAGGGCTAGAGATTTAAAACTGGTCACAATTGGTGTATTGATGGTATTCATAGCCGTGAGCCTGGATAGGATGACCAAGACAGTGAGTGTGGATAGAGAAGAGAAGAGTATTAAGGAATGTGCCCTTGAATTCTTCTCTTTTATTGTTTATTTATACTTGTTATGTTTCTCATTTTGTTTGGAAAATTATTACGCTGTGTAAAATAAAAAGGAGAGTTGACAATTATTTAAATTACTGAAGATAGTCAATCAAATAATTAAATTTGCAAAGTATATTAATTTTCCTTAATTACCTGCTCTGATTTTCTACAAATGTCTGTATTATTCAGATACTATGACATCTACATTTTGAGCTGTTAGTGTTATTTAATCAATAACATACTCATCTTTAGGACAGTAATGTTCAAAAATGCTTTCAAGCAATTCTCTTGGTGGAGGAATAGTCTGCATCTGTGTTTATTTTCTTAAATTAAGTGTGCTTTGTTGGAATATGAGAATTCTTTCCTCTTTTTCTGATGGTTATGACTTGACAGTCCTCATTTTGGTGATATAGTAAATGGCTTTTAAAGGTTATGCCTAAGCATAGCTACTATCAGCAAGGACAGAGAGGAAAGGAAATGCTGTCTCTGGGGGGTTGGGCGGAATACACACACACACACACACACACACACACACACACACACATATATTTGTTATTTTCATAAAATAAAAATAACTGTTGAAAATGAGGAGTTTACTCAACTGCAAATAAGTCCCTGTGGTGAATGTATTAGTAAGTTTTGAATTTTAGTCTCAGACCCGTTTTAACACTCTTATAACTGGGTAACTGTTATAGCTGGTTAACTGAATAACTGGTTAACTAAATGTAGGCAAGCTCCAGAACATATTTTCCCACCACAATACACTGTATAATGGTAGTAGACAAGCTAGATAATACAGACATATGATGAGATTTATCAGTAGAGGAAAAACCCAATTTAATCTAACTTTGGAAACACAGCGGCTTATTGAGTCATATGTTGAAAAATACAGAGGTAGACCAGGCTTCTGTATTTTTGATCAAGAATCTAGTTGTTTTATTTCTTTCTTTGTTTTTTTTTCTTGCTTCTCTGCTCTGCCATCCAAATTGTTGTCTTCCACCCAGTGCTGGCTTTCTTCGCAGGTCTAGAGATGCTGCCAAAAGTAAGCTGGGCTGTTTGCTTTCTTGAAAATGCCCAAGGAGAAGAAATGCCTTTCTTCAATTTATCAGGGAAGTGATTTGAGTTTAGTGCCAATTCTTGTGGCCGGTATAATGCCATGTGTTGGCAGTCTTATGGCCTCAGTCACCTGAGCCCTGTGACAAGTTCAAAGGGATTCCCTTGACTTGCATTTTCGGAGATGTTGGTGGCGCCAATGCCCTTTGAAGCACGGGCTGCTGTGCAGCAGGGGTCGGGGGTCATGGCTGTTGGGGAGATGAGCATCATGGCACTCCATGTGGCCTAATCACCCACATAATCCAAACTCAATTAATATTACCTTTGGATTTATTGTGGAGACTCAGGTTCCTAGCTTTGGTTGATATTTCTCTCTCTCGGGGGCTTTCTCCATTTGGTAGTGATAGAAAACCAGCTATATCTAGTTATGAAAAAATCTGAACTAAAACTCAGTAGACATGGACAAAAGGAAGATACTTCACTTTTTCCTTAGCTACTAGTCAATATAAACAAATGCCTTTTTACCTCTATAGAGAATATCTTTTTTCCTGTTACTTAGAGCAGATTTAGAACAACATATACATAAATATCATTTTTATGTGAACACTTCTCTGTCACTGATGTTGTTTGAATGAATTTTTATGATAGAAGCTTATTTCCAACACTTTCAAATTCCATTATATGGATGACTCCAAGAAAGTCATTATATTTACGTCACAGTTTAATGGGGGCTTTTCAACTAAAGTTGATGAACTGAACATATATGATTACCACAGCTTCCTCACTGACACCATACTAAAATGAAAGTAAAGGTGTTTTTAAGGGCATACATTCTCAAGGACAAAGAGAATTTGAGGGGAGACAACAACAACAAAATGTTGGAAGTTGAAAGGCAATGGACAAATTCCAGATCATGAAAACTGAAAGCTTACAGTGGAAAAAGTATAGAAGAAATCCAGTTTGAGCCTCTAAACCACCAAGGGCTCAGGAACTGGCAATATGAGGTAACTTTGAAAGTGAAGGTGTATACAGGGTGGAAACAGAATTGTTGATGAGATTGTTAAAGAATCAGATAAGCCCCACATCGGTATTCTCCTGCTGCTTTGAAGGTGGGCAATTGCTCCCCTTCTCAGTCCTCCACTCCATAATATAAAGAGAGGAGATCTATTTTCTGGAGAGGTGAACCAGAGGATCTCTGGATGGGGGTACACCAGCACAGCTGAGGGTAGAGGATATAACTGGGTAATCAGGTGGAACTCTATACAATAAGAGGGGTGAAGTCCAATTTCATTGCCTCTCCAGACTCCCAAAATTCCAGGAGCCATGCAGAAGATTGAAAAGTCCCTTCTTTGAGGAATCCAACTAACCCAAGAGCATGGACCTAAAAGTATTGAAAGCCAAAGATCCAGTAATGAGAAGACCAAGCAAGGCTGGGCGCGGTGGCTCATGCCTGTAATCCCAGCAATTTGGGAGGCTGAGGTGGGTGGATCAGCTGAGGTCAGGAGTTCAAGACCAGCCTGGCCAACATAGTGAAACCTCATCTTTACTAAAAATACAAAAAATTAGCTGGGCATGGTGGCTGGCACCTGTAATCCCAGCTACTCAGGAAGCTGAGGCAGGAGAATCGCTTGAACCCCGGAGGCGGAGGTCGCAGTGAGCTGAGATCGTGCCATTGCACTCTGGCCCAGGTGACAGTGTGAGACTCCATCTCAAAAAAAAAAAAAAAAAAAAAAAGAAATAAAAGACCAAGCAAAATCACCTTAGACTGAAGTCCATTACTCATGAAGCCTCAGTCCCTCACAACTTCCAATCAGCTCTTTAGTTCTCCACTTTAAAATATGAACAGGGCTGGGTGCAGTGGCTCATGCCTGTAATTGCAGCACTTTGGGAGGACAAGGCAGGCAGATCATGAGGTCAGGAGATCGATATCATCCTGGCTAACATGGTGAAACCTTGTCTCTACTAAAAATACAAAAAAATTAGCCGGGTGTGGTGGCATGCACCTGTAATTCCTGCTACTTGGGAGGCTGAGGCAGGAGAATCGCTTGAACCCGGGAGGTGGAGGTTGCAGTGAGCTGAGATCACACCACTGCACTCCAGCCTGGGCAACAGAGTGAGACTCCATCTCAATAAAATAAAATAAGAACAGATTACCATACATTTGAGGGAAGCCTCTATCAGGAAAGACAGAGACCAAACAACAGAAAATGAAATTTGGAGAAAATAGAGACCAGGTGGAGAGAAAACTTTTTTGTGAGGGAAAAACTAGCCTGAGAAATATAAGAAAAGTCATTATATCTATGAAACAAGAACATGATGCTGTAAAAAAAGAACAGTCACAGAATATTAAAGAACCCTTGAAACTAAAACTATGATTGCCCCAGACTGGGCAACATAGTGAGACCCCATCTCTACAAAAAATTAAAAAAATTAGCTGAGCATGGTGGCATGCACCTGTAGACCCAGTTATTTGGGAGGCTGAGATAGGAGGATCGCTTGAGCCTGGGAGGTCAAGGCTGCAGTGAGCTGTGATTGTGCCACTGGACTCCAGCCTGGGCGACAGAGTGAGACTCCCATCTCAAAAAATATATATGATTGCAGAAATGAAAACACAAAGGAGGAAGAAGAAATGGTGGAAATTTCCAATAAAGTAGAACAATTTGACAAGAATAGAAGATAGAAAAGATTAAAAATTGTAGAGGATCAGTCCAGGATTTCCCATATTTAAATAATAGGAGTTCCTGAAAAAGAAAATAGACCAACAGAGGAGGTGGAAATAATCAGAGAAACAATTTATGAAATTTCTCATTACTTATTGAATGAGCCCACCAAGAGCCTAGCATAATGGATGAAAATAGATACACATTACAAGATATCACCATAGAATTTTAGCATACTGGAGAGAAAGAGAAAATCATGAAGTTTCCAGAGGGAGCAGGGAGTGAGTACTAAGTCACATACATAGAACATCAGAATGGCATTTGAGTTAGCCACAGCAACACTGGAAGTTAGAAGACAATGGAATAATGGCTTAAAAATTCTGTATGACTTCCAACTTGGAATTTCATATCCTTCAAAAGTATTATTCAGAGTAAATGTATTTTCTGACATGCAAGTTCTCAAAAAATATGGCATCTGTGGCTCCTTTTCCCAGAACCAACTAGGGAATATGGTATAGCAAACAAGGAAACAAGTCAAGGTGAATAACATGGTATCTCGGATGCATATGATTGGGAGAAAAAAGTATCCTGGGATGCTAGTGAAGGAAGAACCTAGGACATACAGTTGTACAGTAGAACTGCAGAGCTCCCAGTGCAGATTGGAACTAATCAGATAAAAGGGGGAATATTCCTGGTCTTGCCTTCTTTCAGAAGATATTTGTACTTTTAGAGAAAAATTTGTGGATGAGTTTGATAAGCATTTAGAAAACAACACAAATGAAAAATGTAAAATAATAGCTCTAGGAAAACAAAATGTCTGAAACAATAAATATAATCATAGTATATTATATTCCATGGCTTCTCGGCCTTTTGGCTAAGATCAATTGTGTTATATTCCATATTTTGTTGACTCTAAGATGCCATCAATTATATATGCACCAATGTTTCATGTACTACTAAGAAAGAAAAATCTCTGCAATAAAATAATGACAGAATGACAATGTTAGTTCTGTGTAATGTATTAATCAGTCACATCTGTCTCTGCTGCTTTGAAATTTATTGCACCTATACTGAGGGTTTTGGTGTATTTTCCTGTTTTTAGTTGCATTTGCTATAATAGGGAATCTTTTCATATTCTCATTAACTAACATAATATAGTTTCATCTATTTGTGGATATCTTCTTGTTTTAGATTTTTTAAAGTACTCGATTATGCTTTGCAAGAAAATGTTGTGCTGCTGTCATTCCTCCAATATAAAACATTTATTACTAGTAAATTTATGCTCTATTATTCTTTTTGTTGTCTTTCCATGTACACAATAACTTTTTGTTTTAATGCCAATTCTTCTTGAGGATATTTTATGTGGTAGTTAAACTCAGTTGATGTGTAATGCCAACCATGCACAAACTCACCTGAAGTAATGACATTATCAGTAGCTTTGACCAAACTTTTACATATGCAATGACAGCTGTATTACAATGACTCTCTGGCCAAAAGCAGTTTGAAAGACACACCCACACACCCAGTTTTCAGAGTTGATATAATATAGGGGGGAAAAAAATCTTCGAATCAACTTAATAAAGTTGCTCATCTATTATTAGGATAAACATAGTAATAATACTATAAACACTGAATATGAAAGTTAAGATGTAATTATATTGGGAGGATAGAGGGAAAGAAAATATACATATATATGATGGTGATGAGCTCAGCAAGTATATGTATGATTATACACACACACTAGTCTCGGTGTCTGCAGGGGATTGGTTCCAGGATTCCTGTGAATACAAAAATCCACGAAGTCCGTTATATAAAATGGTGTAGTATTTGCATATAACCGAGCCACATCCTCCTGTACAATTTAAATAATCTCTAAATTACTTATAATCCCTAATGCAATGTAAATGCTATGTAAATAGTTGTTATATTGTATTTTTAAAAATTTGTATAATTTTTATTCTTGTTTTGTTATTTTTTAGTTGTTTTTTTTTTTTGAATATTTCCAATCCATGGTTGGTTGAATCCGCAGATGCAGAGGGCCAGTTATATGCAAAAATCATATATATATATCGTGATGATGAGTACAGTGGTGGTGAAGAAAATCTAAATCTTTAATTTCTAAGGTGAGGAAGTCCATTGTTCATGCCTAATTTTGAATACTCATACAAGTAATCATGTTATTGAAAGATAATATTAACAAATTAAATAGCTAAAATAATTGAGAGAGATTGTCTCTGGACAGTATTTTTGGGGTCAGAGACTTTTTTTAAAAATAAGCCTTTGAATTGCTTGAAACTTTAGACTATCCATATATAACATGGATAGATACAGTGTTTAAATTTAAAATAAAGCAGTGGCAACACAAAGATTGCTAGCATAATTTTCTGTTCCTAGTAAGCTATATTGAAATTTACTAGTCTTAGTTGACATTCAAAACATTTCTGGAATAATTTTCTTATGGCAAACATAATACACAAAATGTGATCTAAGTGTGGCATTATAGATCTCTTGCTCTTATGGAGTTATATTGAACTGAGCAAGATAGCTCCTGCATTGTTACTGAAGGTAAATTTTTGTGTTTTGGTTCAGATTTAATCTTACCTGAGATACATAGAAACGAAAAACGTTCTCTCTTTGAGTATCTTATTAATGAAGGCATTTATAGCTAAAATGATTCTTATGTTTTTGCATGTTAGTAATCATGACTTGCTGGGCTTCTAACCAGCCCCAAAGAAGGAGCCCCCACATTCCTCTATATAGTGTACAGATAAACCTCCTTCCCTTGCAATTTATTACATTTTTGTGGCTTCTCTTTCCTCTGCTCACATCTTAGGTTGGTTGTAAGCTGGTGGGTCAGATTTCTTCGTCAAGAATCAGTATCTCCTGTTGTTTAATTAATCTGAACCCTGCTAATTAGTGACTACCAGGGCAGCGTGATTTAAGGAGAAAAGTACCGGACCATGAGTCAGGAAACTTGATTTTTATCCCAGCTGGGCCATCTGTATCTCACCTCTTTGTGCCTTAGTTTTCTTACTTGTTAATGAAAGGTTTAGTATAAGAGCTCTCTAAGGCATTTTACAGTTACAATATTGTATGAAAGCATATGCATTTATTTAAATGCTTTATTACTAGATTACATCACAGTGTAAATTTATTGAGACCTTTTGATAAAGCTCTGGATATTGGTATGTGCAATAGGTTGACAAATAACAGAAGGAACTACATAGACTTAAGTTACTGGGCAAAAAAATAAATCTAGGTAGAGCACAAACAATTTTTTAAGTTTAAGAAACATTATTAATGTTGCATTCTATGCTAGTAACTTATGTATAGCATGATATTCTAGGGATAAATGCTTCTTAACTGGTTGCAGCACATTTGTAAGGAAATGGGACATATTTTTTCTAAATGTTGCTTCTAAGCAAATTAACTACCTTAAATATTAATCCATTATATTTTATGCTCCTGCAACTACCATTTCTTGTTTTATGCATCCTGTGATGTTGCCAACCAAGGCAGAAGCTGACTTTGCAAAATCAGATTAATATCTACATTGAAGACATAAGTCATCTGTACTCAGTTCGTTAAAGAATTAGAAACCATCCTAAAAAATGTCAGATTCTAACATAAAAATGCTCAGTAGGTGTACATTATGTACCATCTAAGAAAAAATATCTTCAATTTAGTTATGGTACTTAATGAAAACAGTAATAAACAAACACTGCCTTTAATAATAATAATTATGCGAAACCCAGGCAGGCTACAGTGTGCTCATTTTGTGACTGATAAGTACAGGCAGTATAGTCTTTCTGCTGCTAGGGGAGTGTTGGCCTACAGTTCCAAGACAATTAGCTTTCCTTTCTCAGTTCTACCACCTCTGGCAAATGCCGTGCCATAAAGGGGAGCCAAGTAAACATAGATTCATTCTTGTTACTAGAAGAGGGAGTACAGAATGACAAGTCTTTGTTCAAATAATCATTTATTACTTGTTATTTAAAGCCCTTAAATATGAGCCAAGTCACTATTTCAATGGTTTTCAACTTGTGATACATACTAGAACTATCTGAGGATTTTTATTTTTTTCAAATTCAAGTGCTTAGACCCTCAATATTTTGCTCAATCTATCTATAATCTATTTTTTTGAAAAACTGCAGTAAATGCCAATTCAAACATCAACCAAAGGTTGAAAAAGATTGTTCTGTATGACAACTAACCCTACAATGAGACAGATGTATCTGACACAATCCATTTCTCCTACAATTCATTTGAATTCTAGACCATAACTTCAGATTTGAACTTTGGGTGGGAAATGTTAGTGATAAGTCCTCTTAGCTTACCATGTTATGGCCTATTTGTTTTGACAATATTTTATTGCTCAAATGGAAATAATTAGTTGTATTCTGCCTTGTCTTTACTTTTTTTCCTTTTATAAGGTTTTACTGAATTATTTATTCTATATTCTCAAAGCCTGGGGAGCAGGGAGACCTGTACGTCTTAGGACATGGCATATGAAAAAAGTAGGTAGAAAATTATGTTACCACCACTTTTCAATATCTCCTTTCCCCCTTCAGTTTTCCCTTGTTTGTATATAGGATCAATACCCATGACATGTGACCATTTTCTGATAATGTATAATTTCAGAACCTCTCATTGTTGGTAGGTTCTTATCTTTCTCGATCCCCTCAACTCATTTCCTCTCTGGTTCTTATCTAGTACAGTAGGTAAAGAAAAGTCCAAAGGAAATACAAGTTACAGGCAGAGTTCTCCTTTGCCCACCCCACCCCACCTCAATTTTGTTTCCTATTATTCATGACTAGATAAATAGGGTTATGAGTGATGTGAGTGGGGGCAAGGGAGAAAAGATTGGAAAATTTTGACATACCTTGTTCTGTAGGAAATTAATTTCTTTAATGAAATCTTCTCCTCAGTAGATCTTGGTAAATTGCATGTTTTGACATGGATAGGAGGCTACAAGATCAAACTAGTTCCACATGCAGCAAGGAGCTGCGATGTGCCTTTAAAATGTGGCTGGGCTGACTTGGTACCTGTTGCCTTCATGGTGGAGCTACTCAGCGGGACCCTCCATGGCCTTCTGATTGGGAACCTGAAAGTCCTCTTTCTGTTTTCACTTCTGGGCATGGACAAAGCCCTAGAGTCCCAGGCCCAAACCACCTTCACAGGTTTTAGAAACCAAAGTCTTGGGCTAGATTTTATCCCATCTTTTCCTAGATATATTCTTTAATTCACACACACATGCACATACTTTACTTTCCAATGAACATGATGAAGGGGAGAGAAAGAAAGGTGAAGGATCCAAGAGAACAGACAGATCCTGTCTTTTATCTCAAGTCTCTTTGCTTCTATGGTTCATGGGACTTTGGTTTTGGAGTCTCAGCCCAATTTTAACGTTCAAGCTGCCTATTACTGGTGGAAAAGGGGGGGAAGAAAGAGCCGCTTCCCTGTCTCTTTGCCTTCATCTGCTGTTCACGTGGAAGTGTGTGCGGCTGACCCAAACCTCGCTGACATGTCAGCGTGCAGCCGCAGGACGAGGGGTGTTTGATTTATAAATGGAATGTATAATAGGCACGATGCCTTCTGAGCCGAACGTTCATGGAAAATCACATGCCGCTCACATGAGGGACCAAGATCTTTTTTTTATTATTTTAATGAATTGAGTTTTTTCAGTGCACCAGGGAGATAAGAAGATACCTGCCAATAACCCTCTGATTGTGTCCTCGGCCAATTGGTGGGCTTGAACATGGGTACTCCTCTCGTCAATTGAGTTTGTGTGTTCAGTCAAGGTTTAGCTTTGGATTTGAAGCTCTCGCTCAAACAAAGCCACAGACGCTCCGACAGTGGAAACCATCACATAATTCTCCTCTTTGTTTCTTGAAAGAGGACGAGGTTGGTAAAAAAATCCATTTTGGGAAGATTCAGTCTGAAGATAATGATAGTGAAGATGAGAAAAGACAGCAGGTTGTAAGTTCTGGTCTAAGTTCGGAAAGAGGAGGGAAAAAAAGGTTGAAAAGGCAATAAACTACAGCAAGGCCAACAGATCAACCAACATGAGAAAAACCAACAGGTAACAAGGGACCTCTGGAGCTTCTGAAGAATAGAGATCAGTAGGAAAGCGTTTTGAATGAGAAATAAAATGCTCCTTCCTGTCAGGGAGGAAGGGAGGTGTATGGTGCTTGAGAAATGGGGAAAAAAATGCAATTAAAAGCCAGATATGAATAAAGATCAGGTGAGAGAGGATGTCACCCTGTGGCCTTTGGAACTGTGTTTCTGCTGCCTCCAATTTTTTTTTTTTCCTGGAACAAAGGAACAATGTTGTGGAAAAGTGGGTGCCAGATACTTTAGGAAAATGAGACACAGTGAAGCGGATAAAGGAGACAAAGACAATTGCAGTCATATGCAGTAAACTGGAGGCAGCTGAGGCCTGAGACAAAAGGTGAAAATTTGGAGCCAGCAAGATGACTGAACCATGGGAAGGAAGGAGGGAAAGATGATTCACAATAACATTTGAAAGACATTGGCTTGAATATTTATTAGCGTGTTGCACACTGCTTGGCCTTGGGGGACTGCCTTTGTTCAGTGAACCATTTCCCAGTTTTAAGGCAATCAACAGGAAAAGAGCTTGAAAGATGGCCACGGATGCATGATACATAGTGTTTGAGAGCAAACCTGAGATAAAACTTTGGCTCTGAGGAAAGTGGTGGGTTGGAGGCTTTGTCACCCAGGGGGATCATCTCCCTCCAGAATTAGACTCCAAGAGGAAATGCATGATTGAAGTGCCACGAAGGGATTCCTTTTCTTGAGACTAAAGTCTCCAGCACATTCTAGTCTAGGGTAATTTCATTTAATTCATCCTGGATATAGATGAGAATAAAGAAATGAGTAAGGCCAACTGTAGGATAACTAACATTATAAACCTATGAGTAATTCTCCTTCGGGGACATCAAGCCTATATACACATCTGTGTTCTTTCTTAAAAACAATCACATCAGAGGCCATTTGAAGTGAGACTTATGATCCACCCATCTCAGGATTTTTTTCCAGAAAATAGGACGGAACGATAATTTGTAGAAAAGGTGATCATCATCCTTTAGGATGCTGTTCTCAAAAAGTTACTGATGCACTCAAAAATATAATATCCTTAACCCTTTCTCATTGGCATTAAGGCTCTGTCACAAAGATTTTCCCTTCTATTATTTGTTCTTAACAGTAAAATACATTTTTATTAAGCCAGTCAAGGACTACTTATATAACTAGTTAGTTGGTGTTTAGTCTGGTAATGAAAACCCACTCATAATTGTGGAGTTGCTGTTTAAGCATTTATTAGTAAGATTCTGCCCAAAATGGGAGACAAGAGAATCTGAATATAAACGAAAAGAATCCCAAAGTTAGTTTTCTACGGAGTTGAAATACTGGGTCAAATGGCACAAGAAAAGACATAGAAGAATGAAAAGCAAACTTGGAAAACAGCATTGTCTGAGGCATCAGTAAGCCCGAGTCGGCTCACAGTGTTTGTGTGCAGTTAGCGGAAAATGAATGCCGTTGCTAATCTTCTAGAGCACTCTATCAGGGAGTAAATGCACCGGTGCTAGCTAAGGGAATGGAAAAGGAATTAAGTCCTGTCCAGCTCAATACCCACAGTGCCATATGTTTTCACTGTTGGGTTTGCAGAGGGGTGTCTGCATCACAGCAGACACAAGGGTTAGTAGAAGTGAGGCCATCGAGAGAATAGCACTCAGCAAAGACATTGACTTGTTGTTGGAAATGAAATAGATGTTCAGAATCTCAATACCCCCAAAATAATTGTTGTCATCTTATATCTTCTGCAAAGGGGCAGCAGAACAATCTGGAAAAGTCCAGAGGCTCTTACTTTGCCCTTTTCTCATATTGATGATTGTGTAGATATACATGAGAGTACATGGGTATATATGCATGGGTCAGTTGAGCTAGGGCCGTGGGGGTTTCTGGTTGGTTGGTTCAGCTAAAATAACACGGAAGTTATTTTTCAGTCTTCCCAAATTAATGATGTGGAATCCTTGAGTTGCTCCATCATATATCAAAACATTTACCACTATTTCCTGAGAAGAAAAAAAATGCAGAAGTATTTACTTCACATAAAATTCCAGGTTTTAAATGTAAGAAGCAATAATTACACGTAATATAAAACTAACATTTTATAGTTTGCAAGTGCTTTTAATATGCATTAACTCATTTAATAATTTGATGATTATTTGCCTTGACTAGATAATTGAGGACAAACTGTTTGTCTTATTTATCTTTATACTATCATTGCCTAATATAGATTATAGCACATAGTAGGCATGTGATAGAGATTGCTGAATAATAAAAAAAAATATTTTTATTTCAAAAGAGACTTAAGTGACTCTTTAATAATTCACTTAGTCTCTGTGGTCTCTAGTTTCTCCTGTAAAAAACAAGATGTTTGGACTAGATTTGCCCATATTGGACAGCAGGACAACTCTGGGGCTCCTTAAATGAATACATTCCCGGATTCCATCCCAGCCTACACAATCAGAATCTCTAGTTGTGGATCCAGTGAAACCACATTTAAGAACCAATGCAATAGATAAGCTCTGAAGTCCCTTTCCCCTTTAAGATTCTCTGAAATAAAGAAGGCTCTATAATGCTTTTAAGTGTTTGTTTCTCATTAACTCCTTGACAGATAAATAAAGGGGGGTAGTTTTGATTCAGGCCTTTGTCTATTAGAAATGAAGATGATACTTCTTGAAATTATCACATAAGGGAAAAGAAAAAGAAAGAGAAAAGGAAAAAAAAAGAAAAAGGGAAGAAAAGCATGCTTGTGATGTTTAATACTGAGTGTCAACTTAATTGGATCGAAGGATGCAAAGTATTGATCCTGGTTGTGTCTGTGAGGGTGTTGCCAAAGGAGATTAACATTTGAGTCAGTGGGCTGGGGAAGGTAGACCCACCCTTAATCTGGTGGGCACAATCTAATCAGCTGCCAGCAAATATAAAGCAGGCAGAAAAATGTGCAAAGGAGAGAATGGTCTAGCCTCCCAGCCTACATCTTTCTCCTGTGCTGGATGCTTCCTGCCCTTGAACATCGGACTCCAAGTTCTTCAGTTTTGAAACTCGGACGGGCTCTCCTTGCTCCTCAAGCTTACAGACGACCTATTGTGGGAACTTGTGATTGTGTAAGTTAATACTTAATGAAATATATATTATCTAAATATCTGTATATCGATCTATCTCCTATTAGTTCTGTCTCTCTAGGGAACCCTGACTAATACAATGCTTGATTTATAATGCTGTTTTATACACTTTCTAGAAGAAAACCATGACTATTGTTGTAGCCTCTTGTGTTTGTGTAGCATGTTGTCAACCACTTCATCTCATTATCTTGTGTGTTTATTCCACAATAATTTCCCCCCCATTATGTATGTGTCTCCAGAAACCCACACTGACAGGTCGGAGAGGAGAGGACAGAGAGAATAAAAGCACAGACAGCAAAGAACAAAAGAAGGCAGCATGCTTGACCCTTCTGGTCATTATGGGATGTTCACATTGTTAGTCAACTACCTAATTGCAATTTGGAAAGTCCTACTTTTCTCACTTAACTATATGAGCTCCATTTACCCAGATGCTTTCTTGCCATGGCTGATAATTAGATGGTGACTTCTGTCCTTCTTAAATAGGCAAATTTGGAGCCACATTAGATTGTTTTCAGCAAAGGGACACTGCTGAACCTTCTGGGCAGTTAGGACAGCTCTGGGGCAAGATTCAAAACAAGAGCTGGTAAAGCCCCCTGGGATGGAAGAACTGTTAATGAAGATTTAAAAAATACAGGCTAAAAATGTTTCTCTGCTGGTTTTTCTTCTCATTTTTAAGAAATATAGTGTAGATCATTTTGAATTTAAAACCACATTAGGCCAGGTGCGGTGTCTCATGCCTGTACTCCCAGTACATTGGGAGGCCAAGGCGGGCAGATCACTTGAGGTCAGGAGTTCGGGACCAGCCTGGCCAAAATAGTGAAACCCCGTCTCTACTAAAAATACAAAAATTAGCCAGGCATGGTAGCACACACCATCTACTCTGGAGGCTGAGGCATGAGAATCGCTTGAATCCGGGAGGCAGAGGTTGCAGTGACCTGAGATTGCACCACTGCCCTCCAGCCTGGGAAACAGAGTGAGGCTGTGTCTCAGAAAACAAAAAACAAAAAAACACACATTAAATAAAAAAAAAGACTAGAAAGAGCCATAGCCAAGAAGATAGGAAACTTACTTTTCATGTCTCTGATGACAAAGTCAGATAAGAATGTTTCTGAGAAGAAGATAAAGATTTGGGGACACGCCCATAGACAATTAATTGGACTTTGTCTTAGACAACAGTAGGGTGTGTGTGTGTGTGTGTGTGTGTGTGTGTATGCATATGTGTGTGTGTGTTTGAGGGGCAAGAGGTGAGTTGAGGAGTGCGAGTTATCAGTCTTTCTTAAAACCCAAGTATCTTCAAAGGAAGAGGAAAGGGCTACAAAATCATTTTAGCTGAATTTACCCCAGAAAAATTCTCATTCAGACAGATCTAAGGCAACTGGAATAATTTCTTTCCTCTTCATTCCCTGGAGCTGTGGTTTTCATTGAGAAGCCTTGGGAAAGCCAGACTGTGGGCAGGAGGGCAGGAGCCGGTTGGAGGTCTGAAGGAGAGTAATGTTTTGCAGTGCTGGAGGTGGGAGAGGCGGCACGGAGAGGCAGCACAGAGCGGAGAGAGAAATGAAGGGTTGCCTGGAGCTCACGCAGAACATTTTTGGAGAACAAATTCAGATTCATGAAACGACTTTTGAGTTCGATTATAACAATGTGAAAACATCCATGTCTTTGCCAACAAAGATATGGAGAACATTTAGAATACTATTTTAAAAGTCAAATTTTCGGCTGGTCACGGTGGCTCAAGCCTGTAAGCCCAGTACTTCGCAAGGCCGATGGGGGCGCATCACGAGGTCAGGAGATGGAGACCGCCCTGGCCAACACGGTGAAACCCCGTCTTTACTAAAATACGAAAAATTAGCCGGACTTGGTTGTGCACTCCTGTAGTCCCAGCTACTTGGGCGGCTGAGGCAGGGGAATCGCTTGAACTCAGGAGGCGGAGGTTGCAGCGAGCCGAGATCGCTCCACTGCATTCCGGCCTGGCGACAGAGCGAGACTCCATCTCAAAAAAAAGTCGCATTTTCTTTTTTTGTGCAAAGATTTAAAAAGCTTAAATACTTTATGTTAAAAGAACATTAACAATCAATGTATCAGGACATTAATTCATTCAACAAATACTGATTAAGAACCTACTGTGCTCCAGGCATGTCTGAGCTTCTGGGAGACAGCAGTGGACCCGATCCCTCGTTCTTGGTTCACCTGGGTAGCAACCGCAGCTGCTTCTCAAAGGTAAGCCCTCAATCTTGACCACCAAAAAGCATCAAGGAGCTGAAGCCCAAGGAAATGCAGTCTGCTATGTCAGCAGCCTCCTCCCTGCACTATTCCTGAAAGCATACAGGAGTGAATCTGAATGAATTTAAAGAATACCAACAAGTTGATTTTATAGATACCTTTCTTTTTTCTGGGTGTCCTCAGAAAAACTCATCCTTTTAAATGACTATCAACTTGTTCACCTTCAGGAAATAGAAATAGAAATAGTCATGATGTCACTTTGAACTATCAACTAGTTCCATGCCCCAGCATTAGTACTTTAATTTCCCTCATATAGAGCCATCACTTCTGCAAGTGTACTTCTCATCCAGCAACACCAGGGTAGACAGAGACCAGTCAAATTATGTGGTCACAGGGGGCCCAAGTTCAAGGCCCTCTGAATAGTTATCCTCTATACCAATGTCTACAAACACACACACACACACACACACACACACACACACACACACACACACACACACTTTCCTTGAAATGATATGAGGCTTTAGTATTGATGGTAAAGATTCTTATTTCCTAGGGTTAATACTTGGAAAACCTAAAATGTGGCAAACATTAAAGAGATAGTATAACATTAAAAAAAAATACACTGGGCCTGTAATCCCAGCACTTCGGGAGGCTTGAGGGAGGGATCACTTGATGTCAGGAGTTCGAGAGCAGCCTGGCCAACATGGTGAAACCCCGTCTCTACTAAAAATACAAAAATTAGCTAGGTGAGGTAGCACACACCAGCTACTTGGGAGGCTGAGGCAGGAGAATCGCTTGAACCCTGGAGGCAGAGGTTGCAGTCAGTCGAGATCGCACCACTGTACTCCAGCCTGGATGACAGAGGGAGACTCTGTCTCAAAAACAAAACAAAACAAAACAAAAACCACTGGGTCTATCTCAGCAGTATTTCTGCTAGTGTTTAGACCACCTGCATTAAAATCACCTGGAAGGACTGATTAAAGTGCAGATTCCTGGACCTACTCCAGACCCGAGGAATCAGTAGCTGGGGGGAAGGGGAGATGAGAGGGTGGGAATTCCAAACAAAATTGTAAATATCAACAAGCAGCCTGGGAAATTCTGATACACACTGCATTTTGTGATCTAGCGCTTTAGAGAAGGCAACAAGAATGCTTTGATACCTCTATTTCCAATGAGCAAGTGTAGTTTATCAGCCAAGAACCACGACATCTTCTGATGCTGCCTTTAAAACTGGCTGGCCCTTGACGTCAATGGTGTTGTCCTCTGGAAAACCACAGTTAACTTGATCTGTGAGGTGGTGGTGGGGCAAGGGTTGGCAGTGTCTCAAGGTCAAAGGCATCCTGACTCTTTGTGGGTGAATAAGACTAATGTTAACCTCAGGAAAGTCTTCATCCTGACAGTTTGTCTGTACCACTCTGTGCAGTCACCTGACTTAGGCTGGGAGGTGTATTAGTTTGTTCTCGCACTAATATAAAGGAATATCTGAGACTGGGTAATTTATAAAGAAAACAGATTTAATTGGCTCACGGTTCTGCAGGCTGTACAGGAAACATGGCAGCATCTGCTTCTGGGGAGGCCTCAGGGAGCTTTTACTCATGGCGGAAGGCAAAGCAGGAGCAGGTGTCTTACACAGCAAGAGCAGGAGGAAGAAGGTGGGGGAGGAGCCACACACTTTTAAACAATCAGATCTCACAAGAACTCATTCACTATCACGAAAACAGCACCAAGGGGGAAATCTGCTCCCTTGATCCAATCACTTCCCACCAGGCCTTACCTCTAGCACTGGGGATTGCATTTCAGCATGAGATTTGGGTGGGGACACAGATCCAAGCTCTATCAGAGGTATACGGCCTGACCGAACTGGTTAGCCATATCAACAATTCCTAACTAAATGGGCTTTTCATAACTGTGACTTCACTTTTACAAGCAGCAAATCAAAATCTCCAGACATTTTCTTATACAACTTTAGGTCCAGCTTCTATTTAAAATTATTTAAAAGTCTGTACGGGAGTGTTACAGGTCTAAAGTAAGATTTCTAAAGTTGTGGTGTTATCATCATGCCACAGAATTCTCATTTTGAATAAATCAATCAACACGGGGACTCACAGACTATAGGAAAGCCTGCAAGCTTACCTGTGTTACTTATGTCATCCACGTGTCTCCCCCAAGAAGCTGCTGATCAGTCTTTCCAGGGCAGGCTCTGTCCCAAATTCCCTTCTAGACCTTTCCTCTTTTCTTCTTCACCATCCCCCACTTTGTTCTTTCTTAGGATTCTCTTGTTCAAATGGACTGCATTCTGATTTGCAATTTTTTTCTGTGTCTTTATATGTTTTCTCACCTTTCCCTCATCTTCCAGGCTTCTAACAGTTCTCAAAGGAGGAGCTTTAGAGGGTGTTTCTAAAATCCATGGAGAAAAGCCTGTGGAGCCATCTTCTTCCCCATGATCTTCTTCTCCCATGTCCTCCCTGAATGGAGGAACACAAATGAGTGAGACAGACATGAAGGTCACCTTGGAACAGTCCACCCAGGAGTTCCCAGATTATTATATTTGATTGATGAAAATGTTGATGACGATGATGGTGATGGTGCTAAACGTTAACTACCTCATTGTGCCCTAGCTAATGCGAAAGGAACTTCTCTTTAGATGTTATAGGTTGGATTTTGTTCTTTAGCACTGCTACTCTACTATCTGAAATGGTAGCAATGAGTCATCATTGGCTATTCCTTTCCCAACGAGCAGAACATTATTTTATTAGAGACGGGAGACAGGAAGTGATACAATAATGTAAGACAATATAGTCCTTGCTGATTTTAGGCTTATAATACAACTGGTAAGCAGGTACATACATATGAATGTATACTACACACATATTTAAATCGACGTATATTCATATATAAAATATATACTATAATTCAATGTACATACTAAATATATATATTTTAATACATATATATTTTAACACCTTATTTGCCCTTGCATTTTTGGACAGCATGATAGAAAACTAGAATATAAAAATGCTGAAGAGCATTTATGAATGAATGAGCATAAATGCAATCTTTAACAATGATGTGGAGGAAAAAACAAAAGAATGATTAACACCATTTAGATTTGAGAGATTAACCAAAATGAATAAATTAGCTATTAATATTGTAGCATCATAAAACAAAAAGTGCTCATTATGATGACTGACTGAAAAGTTTGGTTTTGTTTTCCTCATTAAAATGTGTGAATCAACAAAGTTAAAAATATATTGCTCTCCATGTGGGAAAGCTGTGATCACTGAAAATTAATCTGCTTCAAATATTTCCATGAGTTATCAGCTACCCTTTAAGGATTCAAGGGATTGTTGACATTAACCAGGATTTCCAGGAAATCAAGATTTGATTTAAATTGAGACATGTAAGATTTTATGAACCCAAAGATTTAAAAGGCATTAAAATAAATGTTGACTAATCCCTTAGGGAAATCAGTCTAGGATTAGATTATGTTGCTATAATAAATTAGAAATATTCAAGAAAATGGATAAAACACTATGCACACATTAAAATCTATGTTTTACCTGGAAAATATGAAGAATGATACATTTATGTTGATATTTTGCCTTTTAAATCTACTTGTAATTCTTGTTTGCAAAATTTACTCAATTTTATTTAAATATCATATCATAGAATAATGCCATGGACATGTTGGATATTTTGTTGCTTTTTCAGGGAGGAAATAATGCTTACATCTAAAAATATATAGTCATAGGATGACACGGCTACAAAGATCTTTATAAGGTGATAGCCTTTCCCTTCTCACGAGGGAAAAACAAGGCTCAGAGGGACACGATCTGCTCTAGGTCACACCCATAGTTCTCAAGAGAGACACGTCTAAGAGTGAGGTCCACAATTTATATCTTCTCCAGAATTGTCATCTTTGACAGATGGTTCCTCAAAAGGGAGAAGCAACCAGCCGAGCTGCCTCTTGAAATTTTTCGTGATTATTTTAAGTCACTCTGTGGCTAAAAATGTGGTAGAAGAGGAAGAATTAATTCCTTGCCAAAGAAAAAATCAACTGTTCCCTGAAATCTGAATGGAGTTTAGGGGGAAAAAAATGAGACCACATCAAGGGGTCTAGTTACCATTAAATAACAGTTAAAATGTGTTGAGTGTTTACTATGTCCCAAGGGTTGTGTGCTAAGCACTCAAAATGATTTTTATTTCATTCACTTTTGAGAAGCATTGTCTCATTTGATCTTCCCAATAACCCTATAATATAATTGCTATTAGTTGCATTATTATTAGGTTCAGAGAAGATAAGTATAATTTGCCTATGGTTTCATAGCTGGGAGGCTAGAATTTGAAACCAGTCTGACTCTGAATCCTTAACCAGGCTTGTAAGGTTTCTACTATGTCCCATAATGGAGGGATATTTCTATTGAACCTCAAGAGAATGTTGCAGGTGGGAGTGCTGATGTGGACAGTTTAGATGGACTTCTCCAGGATTCACATGAAATCTCCCTTAAAACTGGCTCTGGGAACCAACCTATCATTTCTCTCCAACCTTGAAATAAAGAATTCCCACCGCATAAAATACAATAAAAACCCTTGCTTTGTTTTATACTTTATCAACAAGGTTTTCTTTCTTTCTTTTTTTTGTGAGATGGAGTCTCGCTCTTGTTGCCCAGGCTGGAGTAGCAGTGGTGCGATCTTGGCTCACGGCAACCTCTACCTCCTGGGTTCAAGCAATTCTCCTGCTTCAGCCTCCCAAGTAGCTGGGACTACAGGCACCCGCCACCATGCCAGGGTAATTTTTGTGTTTTTAATAGAGTTGGGGTTTCACCACATTGGCCGGCTGGTCTTGAACTCCTGACCTTGTGATCCGCCTGCCTTGGCCTCCCGAAGTGCTGGGATTACAGGAGTGAGCCACGTGCCCAGCCGGTTTTCTTTGTTCAATAAATGTATTTTACTGGGCTACTAGAAATCTGAGGTTGGAGTAGCATTGTTCTCCAGGATAATATAATGCTGTGTTTCTCAAACTCTGGTCTCAGGTCTGCATTACACACTCTTAAAAATTATTGAGGACTGGCAGGGTATGCTCATACCTGTAATCCCAGCACTTTGGGAGGCTGAGGTGGGGGATCACTTGAGGTCAGGAGAACAAGAATTACAAGTAGATTTAAAAGGCAAAATATCAACATAAATGTATCATTCTCCAGGAGTTCGAGACCAGCCCGGCCAATGTGGTGAAACCCTGTCTCTACCAAAAAATACCAAAATTAGCTGGGTGTGGTGGAGCGTGCCTGTAGTTTCAGCTACCTGGGAGACTGTAGTGGGAGAATCGCTTGAACTCGGGAGGCAGAGGTAGCAGTGAATCAACATTGCACCACTGGACTGCAGCCTGAGTGATGGAGTGAGACCCTATCTCAAAACAACAACAAAAAATTATTGAGGACTTCAAAAAACAAGACAAAACATTTGTTTATGTGGGTTATCTTTTTTTTCCTTTTTTCTGTTTAAAAAATTTAATAAACTAGAGCTTATTTCCTTACACATTGATAAAGCAACAGAACACAGATGTGAGGAAGCACAGCATGACTCAGTGGGTTAGATCATGCTATTTTTATCTTCTTCATAGAGACATGGACAATTTAGATATATTTTAAGGAAAAGAAGACATTTTCCTTAGACTTTTTTTTTCCTCAACACAATTTTATTTTGCACATTTTTTTAAAGCTCTGGGTTACATGTGTAGAACGTGCAGGTTCGTTACATAGGTATACATGTTGCACATCTTTTTTAAAAAATCGGTGTGATGGTAAACTTAACAAAATATATTTTAACTTTTATTTTAGGTTCAGGGGTACAAGTGCAGGTTTGTTATATAGTAAACTTGTAACTCGAGGGTCTGGTGTACAGTTATTTCATCACCCAGTTACTAAACATAGTACCTGATAGGTTTTCTTTTTCTTTTTTTCTGAACTTCTGCCTTCTCCCACCCTCCACCCTTGAGTAGGCCCCAGTGCCTTTTGTTCCCCTTTTTCTGTCCATGTGTTCTCATCATTTAGCTCCCACTTATAAGTGAGAACATGCAGTATTTGGTTTTCTCTTCATGCATTAGATTGCTAAGGATAACGGCCTCCAGCTCCATCCATGTTCCTGCAAAAACATGATCTCATTCTTTTTTATGACTGCATAGTATTCTGTGGTGTATATGTACCACATTTTCTTTATCCAGTCTACCATTGATGGGCATTTAGGTTGATTCCTGTCTTTGCTATTGTGAATAGTGCTGCAATAAACATACACAGGCACGTATCTTTATGGTAGAATCATTTATATTCGTTTGGGTATATACCTAGTAGTGGGATTGCTGGGTCAAATGGTAGTTGTTTTTAGTTCTTTGAGGAATTGTCACAGTGATTTCCACAATGGTTGAACTAATTTGCACTCCCACCAGCAGTGAATAAGCGTTCCCTTTTCTCTGCAACCTTGCTGGCATCTGTTATTTTTTGACATTTTAATAATGGCCATTCTGACTGTTGTGAGATAGTATCTAATTGCGGTTTTCATTTGCATTTCTCTAATGATTAGTGATATCGAACATTTTTTCATATGCTTGTTGTTCACATGTATGTCTTCCCCAGACTGAAAACTGGACCCCTTCCTTACACAATATACAAAATCAACTCAAAATGGATTAAAGACCTAAATGTAAAACCTAAAACTATAAAAGTCCTGGAAAATCAGCTAGGAAATACCATTTTGGTCATAGAAACTGGCAAAGATTTCATGATGAAAACACTGAAAGCAATTGCAACGAAAGCAAAAATTGACAAACAAGACCTATAATAACTAAACTGAAGAGCTTCTGCACAGCAAAATAAACTATCATAGTAAACAGACAACCTACAGAATGGGAGAAAATATTTGCAAACTATGCATCTGACAAAGGTCTAATATCCAGAATCTACAAGGAACTTAAACAAATGTACAAGCAAAAAACAACTCAATTAAAAAGTGGGCAGATGATATGTGGGTAATTTCTAGAAATATTTACCATGATGGAAATGAAAATCGATAAATTTTTAAAATATGAGAATACATAAACCCACCTTCTATTAGCTGTCAGAGTGTTGCTGTGAGCCCACATCACGTAGCTTCTGGAAAATTCAAGTGTACACTCATGAAAAAACAAAAGTGAAAAAAGGCAAATAACTCAGTATTATAAAAATAGTTTTGGCCTTGGAGATGCCCATTTCTGTAATGAGAACCTCTGCTATAATTTAGGTTCAAATTCTGGCTCTGTCACTTACTAATTAGCCAAGTTGCGTAATCTCACTAGGATTCAGTTTCCTCATCTTAAGTTGTGTATAGTAATGTCTCTTCATTCAATAAAATAATGTATATAAATACCATAGCTAGTTCCAGGTAAGCCCTCAATAAGAAGTAGCTGTTATTAATATGTGTTGTATATCTAACTGAGAAATTTTAGCCCACCAGCAGTATTAGGTAAGGGAGCAGGGATTGTCTGTACCCAGGCAGTATTATATCATCAATCCTAATGAGGTCTCACCCAGCCTGTTTCCCTCCGTTTCTGAGTAAAGTATATTAGTAAAACTATTTCTAAAATGAATATGACTGACAGAGAAAGAAAATAAAGTAATAGTTACTGAATACTTCTATAACTTCTGTGCATTTTGATCTATTAAAGAGGAACATTTATGTATTTTATTCACATCATTAAATTTTCGTTTAAAAACAAAATCTATTTTTACAGAATGATCTATTCTACAAAAATGGTATTTGTCCAAAGGAAAAAGGCAGTGAGGAGCTATCACAACAAATATTACTAAAGTTAGTATCTCTGATATCCAAAACAGATATTCTTTGATTTATTATCATTAGTTTTTTGAAACAGGGACTTTTCTATATTGCCCACGCTGGATTTCAACTCCTGGGCTCAACTGGTCCTCTCACTTCAGCCTTCCCAGCCTGAGTAGCTGGGATAACAGGCGCATGCTATCATGCCTGGCCGAATTTTCAAATATATGATAATAGCTTACTTATTTCAGGATCTCTTTTATATATAACATTGCAATGACATTGCAGAGTTGGGAATTTGCTGAGACCTGATTTGATTCGAATAATTTGTGAATAGCAATTGTTTATGGGGTAGGGTATTTTGTAGAAAAATGCTCTGAAAACATAATGGAAAAGAATGTATAGATATAAATTTCATCTTGGCTCCATGTATAATGAAGTAAATGAAATATAATTTTAAATAAAAATCCCTATGATCTTCTTTATCTTATTCTTGCTATCAATAAAGTGTCTGCTTAGTCACCAAAGAGCTAACACTTGGACAAGTTAGGATTGAAATGTCCACAGAAATCCGTAGCTGAATTAGAGGGAAAAAATAAGGTTCACAAAAGTATCTAGAGTTTTCATTTTTGAGAAAGTAACAAAATGAGAAAGTAAAAGATGTCTAAAATTTGTTCCCCAAAGCAATGTCTATTGGATGTCAGCTGAACTTCCTGCTTCTTCAGAAGTGCTCCACAGTAACTGAGGGTTAGCATCAGAGTCCTGTGACTCTGCAAGACTCAGGACCATTTTCTAGGTGAGGATGAAGAGGGCTGCCTCGGTTCAGAGGGCTTCAGGATCAAATGGATCCTACTTGATCCTATAGATCCTACTTGGTCACATAGAGGGACCTTGAGGATATCATGCTTAGTGAAACAACAGTCACAGATGAGTAAATATTGCATGATTCTACTTAGATGATATATCTAAAATAGACTCATAGAATCAAAGAGAGGAATGGTGGTTGTCAAGGGCTGGGCAGAGGAGGAAATGGGGAGTTACTAATCAACGGGCTTAAAAATGCAGTTAAGCATAATGAACACATTCTAGAGATCTGCTGTACAACATTGTCCCTATAGTCAACAATACTGTATTATATACACTTAATTTGTTAACAGGGTAAATCTCATGGTAAGTGTTCTTACCACAATAAAACAATATTTTTTTTAAAAAAAGCAAACTATTTTCTCTGAACATTCTGGGTTAATGTACTGTCTCATGAAAGTAAAAGGAAACCGACCTAGTCAGACCCAAGAAACACAGTTGCAGGGCTTTCTCTTCGACTTGTGATCAGGCACGAGTGACTCAGGCAGATTCTGACTATAGTTTCTCTGTGATGTGTTCTTCAAGTTAAGTGGTGTTTTGAGGAGCAGTCATGGCAAAAACTCCAATTAGTTGTGAAATTATTGAAATAGGATCTGCATGTGAGAGTTGAGAGGACATCTTGTGATCCTTAAAAGCAAATGGTAATGTTTGCTTTTATCCTATTTGTTTTTAGAGAAATCTGCAATGGCAGTAAAAACCAGATTATAGGCTAACAATGAAGAGTCAATAATGAGCCACTTCAGGCGAGAATCCTAAAATGACCCCTGCCAGGTGCTCCAGATGTTTCCTCTTGCCTTGCCTCATCTTTTCAATTTTATCTGTATTGCACTTTTGCCAATTTCTTCTACCTAATTGCACCCCCCCCACAGTAACCAATACTCCCTTTAATGTCTTTAAATAAGCCACAGACTAAGAGTTGAGAAAGGACGTGTTGACAAGAGTGATCGTAATTCTCCAAGCAGTGTCTACTTATCCACAAGTGTAAAAACACGTCCTTATCTCTTCTCAACTCACTGAATGATATTTCCATGCCATCTCCAGAAGGTGTTTGGGTACCTATGCCAACAGTTTTTCTGAAGCCATAGAGTGAAAAAAGAATTTTCCCCAGAGGACAGAAGATTATTTATGTTGGAGCTACCCAGATATTTTGCAGGATCCTGTACGATCATTTCAGCTGGTGATGAGCGGAAGTTAACTTCTTCTGACACGCAAAGAAGAAAAATGCAATGTTCTCCCTGTTCTGATGTCATCTCCGATTGTTATTTTTATTGTACTTCTGAATAATAGGATTTCTGACATAAAGATTTATCTCAGGATTCAGCACAGTAGTGTTCTGAGATCAGGGCCACTTGTGATGATGGATTTATACCGGTTGTGATTCTCTGATTAATTTGCTTTGAATGAAATGAACACTTGGAAAAATCAAAACATCATTCCCAAGATTCTACCTCCTAACTAAAAATACAACAGGAACTGTAATGCAAAAATTTATTTATTTTTTTGCCATGGAATGACAAGATAAACTTTTTCACTTGTTATTTTAAGTAATTTAAAAAATAAATGCTGATAAACTCAGTGGGACTAATTTTTTCTTTACCCAAAAATTGGAAGACCCTGCAGTACCTTTTTCCCTTTTTGCTAATGTGAATGATTTTAAACACTTTCCATTTTGCTGGAAGTATTGATTGTTTTCATGGCTTCCCCTCCATGTTCCATAGATATGTATACTCATGTTTTCACTTTCAACAACAGAGATGAGGAGGGGGTTCAGGTCATGGTAGGGGTCTGTATGAATCTGCTGGGGATACCATAACAGAATGCCACGTACTGGGTGGCTTAAACAACTGAAATTTCTTTTCTCACAATCCTAGAGCCTAAAAGGCTAAGATCAAGGTGCTGGCAGGGTTGATTTCTGGTGAGGGCTCTCTTCTTGGCTTGCAGAAGACCACCTTCTCGCTATGTCATCACATAGCCTTTCTTCTGTGTGCCTGTGATCCTGGTATCTCTTCCTTTTCTTATGAAGACACAAGTCCTATTATGAAGACATAAATCCTATTGGATTAGGACCGTACCCTTATGACCTCCCTTAACCTTAATTACCTCCTTAATTAGCTCCAAATATAATATATAAATTCTGGGGAGACACAATTCAGTCCACAACAAGGTCTCTGATAGCATCTTATGATTATGCAAAAAAAGTTTGTAGAGTTCTTACATCGATGGAAAAAAAAAGGGAAAGAAAAATGATAGTTACATGTGGCTAACAGCAAGTAGTTATTTGGAATTTTATGTATGAAAAACAGAAGTTAAAGAACTGCTAATTCCCTTCTGCCGAAACAAGTGTCAGAGAGGACCAGTGTCCTCATGCAGTGAAATGGGGGCCTCCGGGGCCAGGCAGCCAGTCAAAGTCCTTGCAAATCAAAGCAGAAGCAAAAGCATTTACGCCCATCATCTGGTGTGTAAGAACTTCGGCTGAACCCAGTCATCTTTTCTTTAAGACTTGGGGAGTGGGTGCTCATGGTGATCAGCCAATCTGTTTTAAGGCATCGGGGCATTAACTTCATTGTACTTTTCTGATATTATTGTTCCCTTCTGGCTACCTGCATAAAATATGAAGTATGTCAAAGGTTTATTTTAAATAAAAGTACACTATTTTATGGTCTGTGATCAATTTGATGAGGTAGAATAGGGGAGGTTTTATTTTTATTATTGGGAAAAATGTAATACAGGGTGATTTTTTCAAAAGCTTACTTAAAATGAAAGCAGTGGAAGGAATATGGATATTGGAATTACATCTCATCTAGTCACTTGCCAAGTTACCTGTGTGACTTGCTTAACTACCTCTGCTGAAAAATTAACATCTCTACTTTTTCTTTTGAAACGGAGTCTCGCTCTGTCACCCAGGCTGGAGTGCAGTGGCACCATCTCGGCTCACTGCAACCTCTGCCTCCTGGGTTCAAGCGATTCTTCTGCCTCAGCCTCCCGAGTAGCTGGGACTACAGGCGCGTGCCACCATGCTCAGCTAATTTTTTGTATTTTTAGTAGAGATGGGGTTTCGCTTTGTTAGCTAGGATGGTCTCCATCTCCTGACCTCATGATCCACCCGCCTGGTCCTCCTAAAGTTTTGGGATTACAGGCGTGAGCCACTGTGCCGGGCCAACATCTCTGCTTCTTGCAGTAGTTGTAACTATGTGACAAAATGAATCTAGCTCTCAAGGAACACTTAATGAATGCATATTATCTACCAATATGTGCTAGGTAGTACCAAAAACATTTTTATTTTTTATTTTTACAATTACATAAAATAATGTGAATTTGTGGCCCTTAAAAAATTCATTTTTAAGTACTTTCAAATTACTAATCTCATTTTATCAATAACTGGAGTGGGAAAAGCTGTTATTTTTTTTAAAATGAAAGAACTACTGCAAGTTATAAAATATAGGCCTTACATGATTCTTAGGGATGAGCTGACCTAACTCTTCCTGTCTTAAATGAGGAAACTGAGACCTGAACGAGTCAAATGAATTGCTCAAGGTCACACAGTAAGTTGTGAGACTGGATTTATCTGTCAAACAGTTTCAGAGTTTTTACTCTTGGCAAGCATCTTGCTAGGTATTGAGCTTGCTCTTGGTGTGGAAGAGGAGTCAGCCAAGCACAGACCATGATGGTGCATTACTATGCATACTGAGATGAAGATGGTCTTAAGGTACAGTGAAAGCATGTAGGAGGCAGGCTGGGGTGGTACGGGAAGGCTTCCTGGAGGAGGAGTTACCTGATAGGAGTTTTGATGCCTGAGTACATTAATTAGGAGAAGGAGCAGGGCAAAGACCACGTCTGACAAAGGAAACAGTGTGTGCAAAGCTACAGTGGCTTGACAAGGCCTGGTATGTCTAGGGAACTACCAGTGGTTCAGGACGGCAGGAGCCCAGAGTGGTTATGATGTGCAAAAAAAGAGAGGCTGGAGAGGCAGGGTAGGGCCACATGGTGCCTTCCTAACCTGTGTGCCCTGCTGAACAGTATGGATTTTCACCAGAAGGTAAAGGGGAGTAGCTGAGGGATCTTAAGCAAGGATTGAGAGCTTGTCCTTGAGGGGAAATAGAACATCTCTTCCACTGGGTTGGGCAGAAAGGAAGTAAGAATTAGGTATTGGTGTGAAACTGAGAGACAATCCAGGCTTATCCCAGCACACTTCCTTCCACGGTATACTGTTTTAATTCTTGTTACTACATGTATGTTCTAAAGCACCATGTCTTGAAAAAAATTATGTAATTGGATCACATTCTAATTCAGAGTAATCAAGGCTAACATTTCTCCATAGATTTGTGGACAATGGGAAATGTATACCTGAAATGTTACCTTGGTACATGAAACAGTAAATATAAATCCAATTCTGCTCCAAGTTAGGAGAAAAAGCTAGGAATACGCAGCTTTGGAAAGTAAAGACACAGGATCTGGGAAAGAGCACTAGGTGAGGAGTCTGGAGAGTGGGTTTAGCCATAGCTCTGCCACCAGCTCCCTTGGTGAACCCTGAGAAACTGAGTTTGCACTAAGAGCAAACACTTGCATTGTGTATACAGTATGCCATGGCACGGTCCTAAACACTGCATAGGTTTTAATTCTTTTAAACTCTCATAATTGTCTCCTTAGGTAGGCTTAGTAGTATTATCCCCATTTGAAAACTAACACATTGTTGAGTTCACAACTTGCCCGAATTTCTACATCTGGAAAAGTTCGGGTGATTGCGAAGGCTCACCTGGAGCTATGAGAGTGGAAGGTCTTACTCACGTAGCTTCTGTAGCCCTTTCTCTCCAGACGTTTTTTGGAGCTTCTCTGCACATTTCCATTAAGAAGCCCAGAATAGACCCTTTGCTGAAAGGTGGTCACACAGATAAGGTCACCCAGGAAAAGCAGGTGAGGTGGAACAGATGAGGGGAGCTGCCATTCCCTGAATGCCTCCGGGTGCCTGGCCCTTTTCTCCCACACATCCCCCAAGGAGGATGCATGATCCCAACTTTGCAGACAGGAAAACTTTGGCTTGCAGTGGGTCAATTGTACGTCTAATTTACAGAACCAGTTCGTGTGGGAACCTGGATGGGAATTTGCGTCCACCCAACTGCAGGAATCATTCACTGCATCTTGTATTTATGTCTAACTGGAGTGAGAGATGGTGTGGAATGTTCTGAGGGGTAGAAGTCAGTGTTGGTATGGGCATTTGGATTACATTAAACAAAATGTTTTGGATGCTTTGGATGAGTTTCTGCAAGAAAATTATCTTTTTCTAACTCCTCAGCCGGAAAAGTTCCTAAGATAGGCCCCGATTCTGGGAGCTTGCCCTCTGCCGGATCTTTCAGGGATGATCCTTCAGAGTCAAAGGTGGAGCCACTCCTGGAGGCTCCTGTGTTGTGAGAGGTGAAGGAGGTGGCCACTAGGTTGCTGCTGATTGAGACCCCCTGGTCTGTGCATCACCCCCGCCACCAGGGCTGGCTGCCAACTTACACAGTGTCACCTCCATCCTTTTCCTCCCTTGGAGTGGTCTGTTTTTTCATTTAAGCCATTTTCTTATGTATCTGTGTGTTTCTGAAAAGGAAGAAAAAGATGCGATTAAAAAAAAAATCTGGGTCACACACACCATGCAGCTTGCCTGATACACTCACAGGAATTTTAAATGATTTTCAAGAACTTCATTAGATCCGTACTTGGAAACCACTTTTCACATACTCTTTCTCTTTAAGTGATATCATTTTTGTATGAATAAGTCACACAAACTCTGCAGGCCTCACAGTTAACTGAACTATGAAAAAAAGGGAGTTAAATAACATAATATTAAATGTATTTAAAATAAGGTTCTGCAAATCTCAACTGTGTGGTTATATATATATCCATTTTAAAGCAAGAATGTAGAAACAACTTGATTGTGTAGACCATAAGCATAGACCATAAGCTCTTCAAGGGCAGGGACCACCTCTTTAATTTCTTTTGATTCCCCCTAATGCTTGGTGCTTAGCACTGAGCAGGTGTTTGTAAGTGCTTGTTGGCTGTCAAGCCAAGCGCTAAGATGCAGAAGCTTTATTTGTCTTCATGAATCTGTGCTGGGGCCATCCCTGCCAAAATAGGCCAGCGAATTAAATATTCTATAATTAGACATACAGTGTTCCACCAGGCACTCTGTGTTCCTGCTTGTCAATGTGTCTCCACAATGACGTAGTGACAGTTGCCAGTCTCTCTGAGGCCTGTGTTCAGCTGATGAGAATGTTAATTTCACTTTATTTTTATTCTTGGCAGAGGAGAAACTCATCATTCAAACCTATCACAGAAGGGCTGTTATTTTATAATTCAAGAAAGGGATTTTCTTTCCCTTGAATTGCAAGTAATGGGTTGGGGGTCTAAATTAGAAAATTGAAAAAAGGTCTGTCTGTAAAGTCAAACAAATGTAGTGTGAGTTGTCTGAAAAGGGAAATACATACACAATTTACTCCCATTTATTGAGAACTTCTTATGTGTCAGGAATTTTGTGTATAATATGTTATTATCCCACTTTATCTTGACAGAAACTCCCTGGCAAAGCTCTTATATTATTTCCCCATTTTACAGATGAGGGGATGGGTTCAGAGAGATAAAAAAGCATTCTCAAGGTCACATAAATGGTGTTAAATACAATTTGTAGGAGGCTACTGATTTGGCTAAGCCCCATGCACTAGGCTCTCATAAACCAAACCAAAATGGAATCACTTGTGCTAAAGTTTCATGTCACCTAACTGGTTTATCTAACCTTCCGAGAAATCAGGAGAAAGAGATAATAGCCAAATATCCCAAGAGGTCAGTTTTAGCAGGTATGATAAGTAAGTCCCTCTGCTTTAACCCTTACCAGGAAAGTAACTTTGAAATGACAGATCCACTTGGTGTTCTTTGTTTCTGCTCTCTTCAGCCTTTTCCTGCCTGTGAGTACTCAATGCCCACAGTTTGGAGTAGAGTTCTCTGAACCTCTTCTGGTCCTGAGTGCTGCCTCTTCGTGAATCGCTCTTTGATCAAATAAAATTTAACAAATACACTTTGTTAAACTGATTTTGACTAAAGTTTTCATTTTGTCATTGGAGACTGGTGAAGGGGGTCTCCAGCATGTCTCTCTGATCTCAAACTGCTGTGCTTAATCACTTCCTCTCCTCTCCCCTACCTCCTCTTCCTCTCTTGCTCTCTCCACTCCTGCTTGGTAGTTAGCCAGGGAGCAGGCACTGGTGTGTGTTTGCAGTGGCCCTTCTTCCTTCTCCCTATCTGTAGTCTGGGTTAAACAATAAATGTATAGTTTTCTTGAAAATCTTCTAGAATTGTTCTGTTTGTAGGCATTTCTCTGTTGGGCTCTAGCAACTGTATATATTTCACAATTTTTTTTTCATGTGCATTCTTTTTCCATTTCTATTACTTTAGCCAAAGAAAGAATAGAAGCTAGGATTAGGAACCATAGCCACCATAAACACACCAGTGTTTGGCACTGAGGTATCGTTTTACTTGATCCTCACAACAAATCCTGGGGAGGCATGGAGGGCAATATTGCAAATCCTCAATTTTTGCTCGAGGAAGAGGAACCTCACATTATACGTGCTCAAGATCACTCAGATGGTGAATAAGACACCACACTGGAATCCAGGTCATTGACTCTAAATGTGGGATTCTTGAAAATACAGTGGAGTGTGATTTAAATGCTCAATTCCCAAAGGTTTCTCAGGGATTTGAGGCAGATGGCAACCTGACTCCATCCCACTCCCCCTCCATTCCCAGCTCTAAACTTGTTGTCTGTCCTGAGCCCAGCAGTTGGGGGGCTGGCAGGCAGCTCAGAGCAATTAAAAACTTGGGCTCCATGGCGATTCTAACAACTGGGTGAGGCCCCTAAAAGCAGGCAAGTAACAATAACAACACATACAAGAACACCCTTCAGCCAAGTAAGTGAAGATCAAAGAGAACAATCTGAATAAAGTGGAGCAGCCTGGGAGATATTTGTCAACTTTAATTAAGGAAAATAAGGTGACTTAAGGGAATTCAAGGACAGTTCAAAGAAGACTTTGCAATTAAAGGCTATGATTTGAGAAATTCAAGTTAATAATTTGGAAGACCAAGTAGAAAAAAATACTCTTAAAGGAAAAAGAAAAAGTCAACCAACCAACCAAAGGGAGGAAAATAGTGGGGAAAAGAAAAAAGCATTAGTGAATAAATCCTGGATGGCTAATATGAGACTGTGAGGAGTATAAGAGGAAACAATGGAAGAGATGGAGGAGAAGCAATAACAAAACGAAGAAAAGGAGAAAAATTTCCTGAGTTGAGGCTATTAAAGAAAACTAAGAGGGGAATGGCGTAGTGGGTAGCTCCTCTAGCCCATGGGATTCAGACTTTGCCTGTTCAGCAATGAGAGGTTATTAATTTGTACACATGGTCCTTGACTTACCATGGTTCAACTTACAATTTTTCAACTTTGCAGTGGTGCAAAAGCCATATGCAATCTTGGCTTAATGATGGGGCTACGTCTGGATAAATCCATTGTAAATTGAAAATATAAATTGAAAAAGCACTTTTGACTTATGAGATTTTCAACCTATGATGGGTTTATCAGGATGTAACTGCATTGTAAGTTGAGGAGCAGCTTTACTTGTTTCTATGAATTGAGCATTATGTGTATGTATATGTATAAGATTTTATAGTCTAAGGGTTGAAGAGACACATATGGGGAGAATAGATATATAAAATTTGTATTGCTATATATGGGTGTATACGTATAACGTATGAAGGTATTGCTTGCAAATCCCGCCCCCCCCAACTATGTGTGTGTCTCTTTGTACCTTAGATTGTAAGTTTTTTTTTGAGAGACAGGGTCTCACTCTGTCACCCAGGCTAGAGTGTAGTGGTATAGTCATGGCTCACTGTAGCCTTGAACTTCTAGGCTCAAGAAATCTTCCTGCCTCAGCCTCCCAAGTAGTTGGGACTGCAGGTACATGCAACTATGCCCAGCTAATGTTTTAATTTTTGGTAGAGACAGGATCTCACTATGTTGCCCAGGCTGGTCTTGAACTCCTGGGCTCAAGCGATCCTCCTACCTTAGCCTCCCAAAGTACTGGGACTACAGGTGTGAGTCACCATGCCTGGCCCTAAACTATAAGTTTTTAAAGACAAGACCTGTATGTTTGTGTTCTTTGTAGGTCTCTGTGGTGGCTTGTATTCTGAACCTAGAAGGTATTTAAGATTGGTGACCAATTGACTTTTATCTTTATGTTCTACTTCTTTCTGTTTGTACTCTGGCCAGAACTTTAGGCTTTTTTATTTTGTTTTGTTTTTGTTTGTTTAGATGGAGTTTCACTCTTGTTGCCCAGGCTGGAGTGCAATGGCACCATCTTGGCTCACTGCAACTTCTGCCTCCTGGGTTCAAGCCATTCTCCTGCCTCAGCCTCTTGAGTAGCTGGGATTACAGGCATGCACCACCACGCCCAGCTAATTTTGTATTTTTAGTAGACCATGTTGGTCAGGCTGGTCTCCAACTCCCGACCTCAGGTGATCCGCCCGCCTCGGCCTCCCAAAGTGCTGGGATTACAGGCGTGAGCCACCCCACCTGGCCTATGCTCTTGATAAATATTTGTTGAATATTGGCTGCTTAGGGTGGGAAAGAAACCAGGATAAATGATCTTGGGAGGGGAAGGTGGCTAACATTTCTTTTTCCTTAAAATCACAGCTGCTCCTAGGCAAAGTTGGGAAGAGGTATGTGGTTCCTCACCCACTCACCCTAGCCTGAGAACTCTCTGTCTCAGTCTTGCTGTCAGCTATCTGTCCCCAGTTCAAATGGGTACTAATAATCATTGCTTTAGTATGCAAAACCTCTCAGAGTTGTTTGTGATTCTTCCTTTGGTTCGACCCTGAAAAAACCTATAGGAACAACTTCTGAAGAGCTGAAATATTAGATATTAACAGGCCATGAAAGAAAGTGGGGGCAGGAGAGCCTTTCGTGAGCCCCGCAAATGGCAGGGATTGGCCCCTAGAAGAATCGTCGAATAAGAAACACTAACAAGTGTGTGGGGCAGAATCATTCCGCCCAAGTGACGAAGAAGCTGAGCCAATGCTCTGCAGTTTCAAGCGGGCGGCGACCGGATGGGAAAACAGGCAGATTTCCATACAATCTTCTTCCCTACTCACCGTCTGAATTACCCCGCTCGAGAGTGGCTAACCGTGTGTAAGATACTCAGGCTTCTTTTAAAGTGGATCCGAGAAAGGGCTGACAGATCAGTGCACAGCACGGACTGGGGAATATTCAACTGGGAGAAACTGAGCAGAAGGAAAAGTAAGCAAACAGCTGAGAGGGCTTCCCATTAGTATTAATTTAGGCATCAAAGAGAAACCTGACAACACAATGAAAGCAGCAGTCAAAGACCTTGGTTGTAGGAACAGAGGATAATAAGGCAGAATTAAAGAGCTGTAAAACACTCAGTGCCAGCACCTCCCCAGAGCCAGGCGTCGCAGCTCCTAACTAACGAGGAGGGTGAGGAGGAGGGAGGAAGAAACGGGAGAACTGGAGAGACGAATTTTGCTCCCTATCAGTGTGGGAAACCAGGAAGGATGGAGGAAGGGAAGAGCCTTCAGCATTGCGCCACGTGGCCAGCTTGGGCCAAGCTGCTGTCCCTTTCTCTCGCCTCCCATATGATGCAGTGCCTAGCCCAAGGAGGGTGCTTGGTGAATGTGGAATGCCATTTGCTTGTATGAAGTTGGGTCCATGTTTAGTTGAGACTTGGCTGACGGTAACTTCTCTGCTTCCTTATTCTTGAGACGGAGTCTGAAGCTGGGAAGACAGCACCAGTTATCTTTTAATAATCTGCAGAGAAAGCAAAAGCAAATTAACTAAACCCCACAAATCCCTAGAAGTGAAAGCCTAACATTCACATCTAAGGGCATGTTTTACTCATCAGGGTACTGTAAATTCCGTTTCTCTCTTTCCTCCTTCCTTTTTTTTTTTCTTTGTGGGCGGCTGGGGGGGGTAATTAGTAAATGCAAAATTGGAAGAAGCCACACTTCTGAAGACGTGTTTAGGCCTTCATTACTTCTCTCTTAGACCAATGCTTTCCAAATTTTGATGTGCATTCAGATCTCATAGAGATCTTGTTAAATGCGGAGTTTGATGCAGTAGGTCTGGGGTGGGACCCTAGACTCTACATTTGTTTCTTTTTTTCTTTTTCTTCCTTTTTTTTTTTTTTGAGACGGAGTCTTGCTTTGTCACCCAGGCTGGAGTGCAGTGGCGCAATCTGGGCCCACTGCAGCCTCTGCCTCCCAGGATCAAGCGATCATCCTGCCTCAGCCTCCCAAGTAGCTGGGATTACAGATGCCCACCATCACACTGGGCTAATTTTTATATTTTTAGTAGAGACAGGTTCACCGTGTTGGTCAGGCTGATCTTGAACTCATGACCTCAAGTGATCCACCCACCTCAGCCTCCCAAAGTGCTGGGATTATAGGCATGAGCTACGGTGCCCAGCCCTCCATTTCTAACAAGCTCCCAGGTGATGTCAGTGCTTCTTGGATCATGGTTCTTGGTTCCCCTTGAATCTCCTGGGGAGGTTTAAAAATACTGATGATGGCTGCCTGATGTGGTGGCTCATGCCGGTAATCCCAGCACTTTGGGAAGCAGAAGTGGGAGGATCGCTTGAGCCTAGGAGTTTGAGACCAGCCTGGGCAACACAGTGAGACCCCATGCCTACAAAAAAAATAGGAAAATTAGCCTGGCATGATGGCACACTCCTGTAGTCCCAGATACTCAAGATATTGAGGCAGGAGGATTGATTGAGCCTGGAGGTCAGGGCAGCAGTGAGCCGTGATTGTGCCACTGCACTCCTGAGCGACACAGCGAGACCTTGTCTCAAAAACAAAAACAAAAACTAAACTGAAGTCAGTGTCCCACTCCAAAGATTCTGATCTTTAACTCTGGGTGCGAGAGTTTTCCAAGCCCTCCAGATGACTTACATGTGTAAGTCAGGGTTGAGAACAGCTGACATGGAGAGTGGAAGGAGGGTGGAATGGTGGTGTGGAAGCACATGGGCTGGCAGCAGATTCACCCTGGTTTGAATCCGGCTCTGCCCTTGACTGGCCAAGTAACCTTGGGTGTGCAGTCCACTATATAAGCCTCAGTTTTCTCATCCATAAGAACAGGGGATAATACTGCCTCCCTCCTAGGATTGTGAGGCTTAGCCCATTTATGCCTGAGGTTGCCCTTTTTTGAATTTTTGCAATCAAACCTTGGCAATGACCTTCAGCAGTAGGATATCAAGAACTCCTACATGCTTAGCACTCCAATAATGGAATACTAGGTATAAATGCGTTTTAAACACATATGTTCAGTTCCTAATACAGGGCAGGGTATACATGATCAATCCATATGAATATTTGTTGCCTTCCTTCATGTTACTTTCTAGTCTAGAAACACCTGGAGCAAGATTAAAACTCACGGTTTGTGATTCAAGTTTGGTCAGTAAATGAGTTTTAATGGACTTGGATAGCATTTAAAAATTTTAAAAATCTATTGTTTAAATATCCGAGGGTTACATACAAGTCTAGATTTTGGTTTCTTTGGAAGCATATCAAGATTTGGTAATAATGGGCAACATTTGGCCTGTCTGGAGCTGAGTAGCTCTTTCCCCCTTTAGAAAGGGCATTGCCTTTCCATTTGCCGAGCATCCTGTCAGTGTCTCCATCACATCCTCAATGTCTACATGTGCACCTACATTACCCTTCCAGCTTTTGCATTTACAGTGCCTGCCTGCACCTCATCAACTTTTGAGCTTGCCACTTCTGGTCTACAAACTCACATTGCAATTCTTCATCTTCCAGGATCTGGTTACAAACCACTGGGCATGGCACTTCTTGCCATTTGTTACACAGACTCCAGATGTTCACACAATAATGCTTAAAGTTTTCTCCCTGCTTCCTGGGAGTGAAATGACTTTCCTTCTTCATATGTTGCTTGTCTCAGTTGTGTGGGGAAAAAACAGGTGTTATGGAATTTTATCTTCTTCCCAATTCACATGTTGAAGCCCTTTGCTAAGGAATATTTATATCCTTTTTTTTTTTTGAGATGGAGTTTTGCTCTTGTTGCCCAGGCTGGAGTGCAATGGCGTGATCTTGGCTCACCACAATCTCCGCCTCCCAGGTTCAAGTGATTCTCCTGCCTCAGCCTCCTGAGTAGCTGGGATTACAGGTGTGTGCCACCACACCTGGCTAATTTTTGTATTTTTAGTAGAGACAGGGTTTTGCCATGTTGGCCAAGCTGGTCTTGAACTCCTAGTTTCAAGTGATCTGCCCACTTTGGCCTCTCAAAGTACAGGGATTACAGGTATGAGGAGATGTTTCAATAGATAAATAAATTAGTACAAGATTCAAGGAATCAAATCATTTAGTTATACTTTGGGGAAAAGCCCCTGGATTATTTGATTCAGCCCAAAACATCCAGAGGACATTTGTCTAACATCTGTTGGGGTACGCATCAGCCCTTGGCTCATCCAGAAGTCCCTCAGTGGCACCAGTCTGATGCCCACTTTCCCTGGAATTGCTCATCTTCCCAATATGTTGACCGCATCACAACTGGCTCTGACAGCCAGAGATGGTATGTCAGAACAGGCTTGCTCAGCAGTGAGATGAGTTTACCTTTGATGGGCCAGGAAAAGATTAAGTGGCTAGGGTAGAAGCAGTACTGGAGGAAATCCTAATAGCAGTAGATAAGAAGTACAAGGCCAAGCGCAGTGGCTCATGCCTGTAATCCCAGCACTTTGGGAGGGTGAGACAGGTGGATCATGAGGTCAGGAGATCGAGACCATCCTGGCTAACACGGTGAAACCCCATCTCTACTAAAAATACTAAAAATTAGCTGGGCATGCTGGTGGGCGCCTGTAGTTCCAGGTACTTGGGAGGCTGGGGCAGGAGAATCGCTTGAACCTAGGAGGCGGAGGTTGCAGTGAGCTGAGATGGTGCCACTGAACTCCAGCCTGGGTGACAGAATGAGACTCTGTCTCAAAAAAAAAAAAAAAAAAAGTATGGCCAGAAGTACGACCAGGAGGGAAATGCAGTCTCCTTGTGGTAGCCACGTGCCCACCTAAAACCTGGAATTCAAATACTAAGGAATGAAAGTCACATTTTCATTCCTTAGTATGAAAGCCTCTGCCCCAGTTACTCAGTCTTTGAGTTCAGGGTTCATTGGGTTTCCTCTTCCTATGGTTGAACTAGTTCTAGAATATCCAGAGACGCTTGGGGCACGCATTCATTCATTCTACAAATATTTACAAGTGAGCCCTTTCTATGTGTCAGACAACATGCTAGCTGCTGAATTACGAAGGGTAACAGGCAGACAGATTCACAGCTTGGGCTATATCTGTTTCTCTTAACCTGATCTGTTCTATTGATTTACATACTTACCTGTTGATGGCAATAATAATATCTAACATTTATTGCTTTTTATATGCTTGTTATAATTTTATCTTTATCATACCAGATAAGATAGGTGCTATTATTACTACTATCCTCATTTTACAGATGAAAAAATTGTGGCTCAGAAATATTAAGTAGCTTGCCTAAGGTCATAATTAGTGGATGGCAGCTCCAGGATTTGAGCCCAGATATGTCTGACTCAAAGCTCATGCTTTAACTGCTACTTTATATGGTCTTTCTAAAAACGTAACAGTGGTTCTGGGCCATGAAAGATGGAAACTTCTTAGAAGATGATGGGTCTTTACATTAAAAAAATTTAACAAAGATATATATGCACATAGTTTAAAAGTCAAGTGGTTCTGCAATGCTTATAACAAAAACCACCAATGCCTTGCCTACTTATATCTCCATTTGCCATTCCCTAGCAACAAACATTTCCAACTAGTCTGGCTTTTCTGCTCTCATTTCTTAATTTTTCAGTTTTAGGGATTATCCAATGAATTCTCACCATGGAAGACAAAGGTTTATCTCTCTTTAACTGTCCACCTCCACTGTAACACACATATTGCTTTCTGCCCACCCACCTGCATCCTCACAGTATGGTTGAATCATACTTTCACTTAGCTCTGAACCCAGCATTTACATGATTTTGCCTATATGAATGCTAATCGCATGTGAGCCATGTAGTACATCGTGATTATGTCTCTTTTCTTGTGCAACTGTTTGTTTTCCTGGAGTTAATAATTATCTCATGCTTTGCTTTGCTTAGCTTTTCTATGTGGTCATCACTAATTCATCCTCCAACTCCTCTCCCCATTGTCTAAATCTCCCTCACACACAGCAGGAATTCTGTCCGTTTCTTCTCCTGGGAGACAGCTCTCCGAGAGCCTCCTGACCTGCTCCATTCTGGGCTGCAACAGAATGGTCATCCTGGATTTTTTTTTTCTTCAGCATGTTGGGGATTCCCTTTGTGTTCCTCTTGAGTTAGAGCCTCCTTTTCATGGATCCATTTTCTTCCTTTTCCTTGATCTAGAAATTTCCTGAGAAAGGTGCAGAAAAGGAATATTTTGAGACTTCGAATGTCTAAATATATCTTTACCTTCATGTGTCTTTGATAGTTTTGCTGGGTGGAGAATTCTGTGTTGGAAATATTTTTCTCCTCAGTATTTCAATGCATTACAACTTGTCCTACAATGCTAAACTGATTCCTGATGCTTTTAAAGGGACATGCTTTCCCCCACCCCTAGAAGAGTTAAGGATCTTCTCTTAGTCCCCAGTGTTCTGAAATTTTACCAGGATGTGCTTTGTGTTGTTTTATTTTCTTCCACTGTTCTGAGCACCCTATGGGCTCTTCATCTGGAAAACTCAGGGAAACTCAATATGGGAAATTTTCTAAATTGTTTCCTTGATGTTATCCTCTGAGGAAGAATGTTTCTTAGAACAATGGGCTGGGATTTCTTAGTTCCCACAGGGGAAAAAACTTTATATATATATATATATATATTTTAAAAATTTATCTTTACATTATTTAGCAATAGCACTGGGCACTTGGTGCTCAACAGTTGTAAAACTCAACAGAATTGAGGTAAGCTTCTTGCAAAGTTGAAGTTTTAGGATTTAAATTTATGACTGTATTTGTCATATTTCTCAACAAAGGCACAAGATGCTCAGAGTGCTGAGTGACTGGCTCTGCTGGTGGCCCCTCATTCCATCTGAGGGTTCAGTCCAGCCAGATTTCAGAATGACTACCTGTTAATATGGTGCTCCCAAACTTCCCATAACTTTTCCCTGAATTATTCCTCCATAGCCAGCTCATCACTGTCTATCTCTTGCCACAATGATGCTGGATTTTCCGTGGCTGGGGTGGGTTGTGAGGGCAGGGAATAGTGGTCAAAGAAGGAAGGAGGAGACGTATCCACCAGTTTCCTGCTGAGTTGATGGAAGTGTTTCCTGCTTGACCTGCCTTTAGAAAGAACTGCCTGCTAAGGCGTATACTGATGGCTGGGAGAGTCGGGGGCTGAGGGTAGGGCTGGAAAAGATGTGCAAACCTTTTGGGAAAATCCAAAGAAATGAAGGTTAAGTGTAAAAATTATTGAATTTAAGTGGAAATCCTTTGGAATACTTTTTAGGGATAGTTTATCTTTTAACTCAAGATTTATATTTGAAAGGTTTATGGTTATAGAGAAGAGGAATACTCAAATATCTTCTTTAAAAAACGAACAAAAGTGTCATTCTCACCTCCAAAACACTGCACTTAATTTTAGATTAGTAATAAGTAAGACATCTGGATGGAACTGAACAGAAGTGTTTTGAAGAATTTTGGGAGCTGGGCAGGCTTTTCTGCAAATGAACAGCAGGCTCTGTTTTAAAAATATATTTTTTAATGTCTAAAGAGACAGCTAAGGATAGGTTTCCCATTATTTTCTCCCTGGGTTACCTTCACCAACCACAAAAATTTTACAGAGTGTCTTTGGGGCCAACTCCTTATAATAGGTGATGTAGACTTGGCTTATTACTTATTATTTAGGAAGGGGAGACTGGGTGCTGGTGGCTTATGCCTGTAATCCCAGAACTTTAGAAGGCTGAGGCAGGAGGATGGTTTGAGACCAGGAGTTCAAGACGAGCCTGGGCAACATAGTGAAACTCTGTCTCTGCAAAAAATAAAAAATGTAAAAAGGAGGCAAAAGATTGAAAACAAAGCCAACTTTTTATGAGATCTGGTTTAGTTTAAACCAAAGATAAAAAGGATACCCCATAAGGAGTAGCAGCCGATAGGATTAGATTAGTGAGGAAGGATCGTTGAAAAGGGGCAACCCAGGCTTTGTTTTGTTTTGTTTTGTTTCTTTCCTTTCTGTCTATCTCCTGCTTCTATAGAAGCCATGCCAGAACTGTGGGATGGCCTTCAATCTGGTTTTGCTCTGTTCCCTTCCACAAATATTGATAACACAGTCAGCCTTGCTGTCCCTGTGTCCTCTGTTCAATGCCCTGCTTGACCACAAGGTAATGCAGAGGAAATATAACATAGAGCTCTAATAATGTTTCCTGTAGTTCAAGAAGTTAAATAGATAGTGTGAAGTCCACTTCTTTTGTCCCCAATATGTACAGGTGGCTTTGAGAGCATCTACTCTGGGCGAGGCACTGGATTGTTCCTCATGAGGGGAGTACAAAAGAGAAATGGCGGCGACTTTCAAGCAATTCTTGTGAAATGAATGGATGGAAGGCCAGCACAACAAACCCATATAAACAGATTCTCAAATGTGTATGATTTCTGCTATGGATGCAGCTCTTGCAGGAAGAGTCCTCCAAGCTTGGAGCAAGGAATCTGCTCTGGGGGATGATGTTGAAAGCGTATCCCAATCCGCCTTCTCCCCTTCATGTCTCATCCCTCGGCTGTTGCATGGGGCATGTGTCCCTCTTCAAGTAGATCCTAGGTCAAGAAGGGCCCATGGAACTTTGACTCTTGTACATAGGTGTAATGGCTTGAGTTTTTATTTTACTTGTAAGAGAATCCTCTCCTTAGGTAATGGGCTACTTTTCACCAAACATGTGGACTTTTCTCCTTGTAGTCTTCATCCCTGCTACATAAAGGGTGGAATACAACTCCTGCTATTGTAGTGTGTTGTTTCATTAGCATTGCACTTTTGGAATACTGCTATTTGGGAACTACTTTCATGCCATTTCATTGCTCAAGAAAGATCCTGGTTAAATTTCCAAATTTAGAGATAGTCCTTATGCTTTCATCACTTTGTAGTTTAATTCTAGACAGAAAACCCACAGCTCTGAAGATAAGCATGCTACCTGAATAACCAGGCTGCCTGAAATCCTGCCTAACCCTGGAAGCATTGCAGTTGCATGAGTACAAAAGGAGGGAATTCCCCTGAAGGCAAAAATGAAGTCTGTCTGGTCCTGCTGAATACCTATGTCTGGCCCAGCACCTGGCACATAGTGCATGCTCAATAAATATTTGTTCAGTGAAGGAGAACAAACAGCAAATGCAATTTAATAACTCTCCCCAGTCCTTGAAAATGTTCCTGTCTGCATCACATTCTGACACAGCTGGTATCTAATGGACAGCCATTAGGTACAAGGGCTCCATGTTTCACATTTGCCAATTCATCGAATCCTTCTAGCCATCCTGTGGTATTGCTTAAAAAATCAAATCTAACAATTACAGTTTTCTCACCAGACTTGAGTAGAATATGCTTGCTAAACTTGTCCCAAACTTTTCCTGTAGTGTCAGGTTTTACCTACAAAAATTCAAGGCAGGCTGGGGCAAAATTTCTTTAGCAGCCTGGAAGCTCAACACATTTCCCTGTTACAGCGTAACAACAGAGTAGTTCTCTGGGGCGTTATCTGCTTTTAAAGTTAAAAAATATTGTAAAAGTATCAATATGCTTTGCCAAACATTCAAACCATACAGAAGCATATTTAAGCAAATACGTTACATGCCTGGTCTCTTCTCTCTTCCCCAGACCTTTCTCTGTGAACTTCATTCACCATAGGTGGCTACCACAGCCACCCATCACCTTCAGATGCTTCCCTGAACTCCTTCTGGGCCTTTCCCTAAGAGCATAGTATTCACATTGCTTTGCAACCTTGGTTTTTTAATTTAACCATATGTTGTGGACATCTTCCAGGTCAGTACATTTGATTTAACTCATTCTTTTTATCGGCTGCCAAGCAGTGATGAGCTGCCAGTACCTAACATTTGTTGAATGTGTCTATGTACCAAGTACCAGGTGTCATTTTTATTTTATTCTCACAAAAACCATATGAGATAGGTACTTTTTTCTATCCTATTTTTGTATGAGGAAACTGAGGGTTTTAAAAAATTATAATCCACTTAACTAGTCCCTATTAAGGCATAGTTAATTGAATATATATTTATACACACATACACACATCTGTAGGGTAAGTCCTGGATTCATTCATCCCACACTGATTTTTGAGAGCCCACTATGTGCCAAGAAATGTGGTAGGCACTAGGAATGCTGTGTTGAAGACAATATAGATCCTGCTTCAGTGGCGCTTATACAGTAGTGCCTAGACAGGCAAGAGTCATGACATCAGGTGGTGACGTAAGCTAAGAACAATAAGACAGTGGAGGGAATGGAGAGTGACAGAGTTACTATTCCAGAGTGTGTGGTCAGGAAAGACTTCTCTGGTGAGAGACTTGATGAAGCAAGGGAGAGAACATTCTGGAACAGGAAATCAAAGATGGAAATGTGGCAGGTTCAAGGACAGAAGAGCATATCAAGGATAACTCCAGGGTTCCGGGACTTCACTAATATGCTGAGTGGCAGGGCCATTTACTAAGAGGGGATGGGGAGCAGGAGCAGTTTTGAGAAGGTAGGGGAAAGGAAAAAGAATTCCATCGTGGACTGATGTTTGCTGTGTTTATTACACATCCAAAGGGAGGTGTTCAGAAAGGAGCCTGGGGTGCAGAGGAGAGGTCAGGGCTGGAGACTTAATTTGGCCACTGTCAGTCTATGAGACATGTTGAAAGATACAGGACTGACTGAGTGCACCTGAGTGAGGGAGGCAGAGAAGACCAGAATTTCTAAGTCAAGGAAATGCAAACATATTCCTAAATGTTGTCAAATTGTTCTTGAAAAAGTTTTGCCAACTTATACTTACCAATACCCCAGGAGAAGGCTGACTCCATACCCAGGGGTGAAAAATAAACTATTGTTTCCATTTAAATTTGTATTTATTTACTATGAATTAAATTGAGCACATTTCCAATGTTTCATTGGCCCTTTGCTCCATTTTATCCTGTGATATGCCTCTTCATGCCGTTTGCCCATCTGATCAATTGATAAGAATATTGATTTACAGGATTTATTGATCTATACATTTATTGATTTATAAGAGCTCTTAGAATATTTATATTTAAGAACATTAATTCTTTGTCATATGTTTTACAGCTTTTTATTTTTTCTTCTGATTTTCAAAGTGCTTTTTGAAGTTCAGATGATTAAAAGTTTTATGTAGTCAAGTCTAATAATATCTTTTCCTTTTAAAGCTTCTGAGTTCAATACTTAGAGCGGTCTTTTAAAATCTAAGACGGCAATAGGATTCCCCAGGTTTTCTTGTAATTAAAAGTTTCCAGTGTGTCTGATTTCTCTTATTTTCACTGCAGAATTACTCAGCAAAGGAATCCATGGAACTAATTTCTTTTTAGGCTCATTTGGCAACAGTTTGCTGCTGGTGAAGCAGGAGGAGGTTAAATAGCAGCTGCCAAGCTTTTGGTTGTGCCCAGAGCCCAGCACACGATAGGTGCTTAACATATCTTTACTGAAGGAATGCTTTGCTGGCTTTTGTTTTAACATGGGTAAAACTCTTCATAGTTGCCAAGTACTTCCCTGATGTTATCTCTTCCGAAGCTCCAGCCTTTCCTGCAGTAGAAAAAGGGGCCGGGGAGGAGGCCAGGGTGACTTGGTCAGCACTGACCAGAGCTAGGGACGACAGCTTTATAGAGGAAACGCCTCGCAGACGCCACTGGGGCAGTTCCTCTTCACCTTTCTTGGATTTGGTGACTGGAGAATTTCAAATACACAATTGCAGTTTCTACTCTGGAGCTCGCTTTGAGGAAGGAGAAAGTGTTTGCTACTCTAAACGAAATATATTGTAGGCAAAATGCATTTTGTTTTGCAAGCAGGGAGCTAGTGTGTGTGTGTGTGTGTGTGTGTGTGTGTGTGTGTGTGTGTGTGTGGTGGGGGGGGGGGTCCCAGTTTCCAGTCCTTTTCTTGTCACTTTCTGCCATCTACTGGCCATAGCACAAAATACTCTGGAATGACTTCAATGATGCCTATGAAGAAAGAGGCTTTATTCCTGTACGTTCTCAACCTGAAATGTAATTTCCCAGATAAATTTTGCCATAATTCACCAGGATCCAACATTTATTTTTTTCAAAATAACAGTTCTGTGAAGGGACTGAATTATTTGAGCAATGACTTTATTATTTTTGTTCCTTTGTCTGAGAAGCAGTATTTGAACTCTGACCACCTGAGTTTAAATATTGGCTGTATAATTTATTGTCTGTGTGACCTTCAGCAAGAAACTCAACCCCTCAGTGCCTTATTCTCCTCATTTGCAATGTGGATTTGATACTAGATCTTGCCTCTTAGGGTTTTGCTTAGATTACGTTGAGTTCTCAAATATAAAGCATATAGTATCTTGCACTGCAAGAGTACTCCATAAATGTTATCTGTTATTTGCTTGAAATCTATGTGAGTTTAGGTAGGCATTACTCTGGGACATAGAGAATTCCATAAATTAGGTATTTATAACCTATGCCCAATATTTGTGTACCAATTTTGTTTCCAAACTGCTTGCATTTTAACTCTGGAAATTCAGCCCAAAAACAGCAGCCTCTGTTCTGGAGCCCTCTTTATTACCTCCTGCTGGAATAATCCATATTACCTCTGAGCTCCCATAGCCCAGTATCTGGTCCTCTCTTGGACTGACGATTTCACCTTGGAATGTGAACTTGTCTCGCCTTGTACATTGCCTGGGTCCCTGAGGGTAAGACGCAGTCTGATTCATCATTATCTCTCACAGTCTCCCTTACACTATGTTATTCAGCAACTACTCAACAAATATTTGTTGAAAAGCCGAATGAATAATCTCATTTGATTCTCCCAGGAATCCTGAGTCAGGTACAGCAGATATGAATTGTGCACACTGAATAGATGAGGAATTGTGAGACTTGCCCCAGATGAGATGGAATGGGGCTAGAATTCAAGGCTGGGGAGAGTCTGTGACATGCCAAGAATGTGCATGAAAGAGAATCAAGGGAGCAACATAGAGGAAAAGGCTCATCCCCAGCCCGTATGCAATGGAGCTACACACTGAAGAATAATTTTGGTGGGGCTAGGAGGAAGGGTTTCGTGTCTGAAGCTGATCTTCTGGCTGTCATGCCTCATCCAAGTCCCACGGAACTGCATTTTCATAGTCCAGTGCCAACTTCCACATTTCCACTGTCTCATCAATGATTGTCAGTCTCATGACTAATGCTTTGGGACTAGATGTCAAAATATTTATTTCTCAAAATCACTTATGATTGTCAAGGGGCCACAGAACCCCTTCAGAATATCCCTGTTACTTATGATTAGGTACAAAGATCCTAGCTTTACTGGGAGTCAGGGACCATGAAGATGTCTCTATTCTATTATTCTCTATTACATTTTCATCCTTTGCTTCCACAGACGAAGGCCAAGTGAGTCTCTCCTGATGATGTTCAACCTTCATTCAACAAGTTGAATAATTACAACAAGCCATAATTACTGTTGTACATGTGTACAACAAGTGCCTATGGAGCACCTGCTAGGGGCCATGTTATGCTGGGTGCACAGGGAAGATGTGGTCCTTGTCCTCTTGCTTACAACCAGGAGGAAAGCCAATTGCACATATGAGCCATTGATATCAGTCAGCCTGGAGAGTTTGATTTTAACTGGATAACTCAATCTAAACATTTTTTTTTAAGTAGAACTCTTTGGGTGATTTCAGACATACAGAGGCTGACTGGCCAAGGAATCTATTCCTCTTTCTAATATTAGAAAGGAATATATTCTTAGGAATCTATTCTTCTATCTAATATTTATTGTCTTTAGGCTCACTTTTGCATTCTTTCGTAAAAGGTGGCCAAGTATCAAGAAAAGGCAACCCTTTCCCACACCTGCAGCTACTAGCTGGTCATCACCCCAAAGAGAAGGCCTCTAGCTGAGAATAAAAGTGGTACATCTTTACAGTCTAACAGATACCCTTCCCTTGTGTCAGAAACCATATCTCAGATTTGTAGGGAGGTGAGACTACATAGCTAGGAGATATTATGGATCCTAGTGAAACATTCTAACCCCAGTAGTAGGGGTAGCACATGACAGTGTTAGGACCTGATGAGACATTATTGTCCCTCTGGAACCTGGGGCTGCTGGAGAAATTGGCCTGTATCCCCCAAGGACACCTTAGCTGTGGAGGTTACATGGGGTTCTCAGCCCAGCCAACAGACACTGTACATGTCAGCAGTGGTGTGATGCCAGCTCTTGGGTGTGGCAGATGGGACAAAGAAAGTGGAGGGTTTTCTCCTCTGTCCAGCTCTCTTAAGTAACTAAACTTTGGCCCCCAATTCCCCGACCCCCACTGCTGATTTTCTGTAGCCCATCCAAGCAAATGAGATCAGAGAACCAAACCAGACCAGAAATGTGATATCTTTTTCCTCCCTATTCCTCATCTACCAGAGCTCTATGATTTTCACCAGTCTAGCCAGGAGAGAGAGCTCTGAATGAAGAGTAACTGAGACAATAATATTCAAGTATCCTAGACCATGCTAAATCTCTAGAGCTGGGTAATGTAAGTGTTTGGCTTTCAGCAGAGCAAAGTGGAAAAATGTGAGGCAGACAGAAGGTGTTTGAATCTCCCACTGTTAGCTTGGTAGCCACAGGCAAGTCATTCACCTTTGCATTTGTTTCCTCATTCGAAAAATGGAAATGCTAATATATCCCTTTCAGATCCATTATAAGGATTAAAAATGTATAAAGCATGGAGCATAATACAGCATCTATTATTATTGTGAAGAATATGTTGTCTTGCCCTCAAGAGACTTGTAGTGTAGTTTGGAGAACTAAGACCATCACAATAACAATCACAAGAATGTGGTCTGTAACAAACAAATGCCTGCGCAAGTCAGATAGAAATTGAAAGTAGGGAGAAAATTATCCCACCAATTCCACTACACCTGCTCAGTTTTGTCCAAATACATTTATTAAACATTTACCATGTAGCAGGCTATATTGTCATAGTTGTGTAATTTACAGGTTCAGGAGTAGTGCAATTTACAGGTTCAGAAAGACCTGGCTTTGAATCCTGTCTCTACCATTTACCAGAGGTATGACTTTGGCCATTACTTAAACTCTCTGGCTTTGGCCATTACTTAAACTCTGAGTTTATTACCGAGTGTCCTCATCTGTAGGATAGGGTTGTTAATAGTACCTGGCTCACAGGTTGCTGTGAGTAATAAATGAATTAATGTATATAATATATATTATATATATATACTGTAAGTAGTAAATATATAAGTATATAAGTATATATAATACTGAGTTATAAATGAATTAATATATGTAAAGGAAACAGCAAAGTCCCTGACACATTGTAAGTGCTCAATGAACAGTTGCTGCTATCATCATCGTCATCATCATTATCATCATCACCACCACCACCACCAGCACCACCAGTCCCTATGCTTAATGTCAGGGATTTTAAAAATGAATGATACATTTTCTGCCTTCAAGCACTTCACAGTTCAGTAGGTCCTCGTATTCCATTGAATCCCAGAAGCCTTTGGTAAGTGATCCAGGTGAACATAACCTATTTTTCTAGAACAGAAACAAATTTTGCTTAGGAAATTTGCAATATTTTGACCTAGAGCAGGGCATTGGCTTTTACCCAACGACGTCTGCTTTGGGAATGTGCTTCCCTAGAGCTCCCTGTGAAACTGAGATAGAGATTTGAGTCTTTCCTAGGCCTATTGGTTTTTACAAGAGTGAAATTTATCCTGTTCAGTCCTCATAATTATGCAAGTGAACAGACTTATTTATAGATCAGGAGTCTCAACTTACTGTATCCTTTTATATATATATATATATATTTATGCATAGCTGTGGCTTATATATTCCAGGGTATTCTAGAGTTCCCCAAAAATATGATTGAGCTGCAATTGTACTACATAAGATTAGGAAAGATTGTACTACATTTAATTAGGAAAGTAGCATTTTAGAATTAAAATGCATAAAAGTCATAAAGTGTGCTGCAGAAAAAGGATTTCCTAGTATCTGAACTCAGAATTGAGGATTTCACTCCTGGTTTATGGGGTTAGAGTGGTAGAATCACGAGAGCTTATTAAAGTCATTTAATCTAAGAATATTGAATGGTTACGTGTAACTCTGCTCAGAGGTGGGGGCTAGACCAATTGGTTTTAAAGTTTTTTTTGCTTTGCAGTGTTTAGCTCAGCTGATGGAAAGATGAAAAGAACACAGAACAGTTAAGTGGGAACTCCCACCAATCACAGGCTACATGGAATTCTCATAAGTTTTTCAAAGCTGTCCCCAAACTATCTATAACAAGTTAGCACCACTAAGGAGAAGGACATCTGTGTATTTTTAGACAGAAAAGTGCTGTCTCCTTGTCACTTTGTAGAAAACCCTTTTCTCTCTGCTTCCTCTCATTGGGCCTTCTGATATCTCAGAAGGGAAAGGAGCTACCTGGTAAATAAAGATAAGCTGTGCTTATTAGCAGAGATTTGCAAGGAAAGTGGCTGTTTAAAAAGGGATAAGGAGGTCATTGTGTTCCTCTGGCTCTAAAGCAGGGACTCATTTTCCCCAGCCAGGGCAGAGCAGCCACGAGGAGCTGAGCGAGTTGCTGGCCACCCCAGGGTGACCTATCGTTCACATGGAGGAAGCTGCACTCCCTTCGTCGCAGGAATCCTTAGGCCTTTGAAGCTGCCCGGTTGTCCTGACAGTAGGTGCCTTCCATGAAGGACTGATGCTCTGCCAGGAAAGCAAAACCTAGTGATTTTTAGAGGGCCCTTTGGAATAAAAGACGCAGCTGTGCCATGCAGCCCTGGTGCCAGGCTCACATCCGATGGAGCTGCCACTGTTGAGTCACCTCCCTTGGCCCTTGGCTCCTCACTGAGTGAGGACCAGGACACTTTAGGGCTCTTCTGTAAGTTGTTGGGAGGACCAGGTAAACAGTTGGCTACGGAAATGGTGGGTGGTGGGACAGGCCGTGTCTTGGGATGCCTAACCTCCGGATCTAAACTGAGTTCAGTCAGCTCTCCGGATGTTTTTACATGCACAGATGTTTGCCAACAGGAAGACAAAGCAATCTCTTGACCGCATGTTGCTGCTTCCATCTGATCTTTCTGGAGAAACTGGTCTGTGCTATCAGGTTTGCGTTTGGGCCTGACGAAGTGATCTAAGCCAAAAGACAAAGGCACCCAAGTTTCTCTACTTAATGTTCATCTCCGGCATATTCCACTTCCCTGCCATCCGCATCACGAGCTGTGTGAAGCAAGCAGAGATCTCTATGCTGAGGCAATGAGTCTGCTCTTTGTCCACACATGAACTCAGCTTATCCCGATTGTGCTGACTCTGCGGGATTCCCAGAAAATAAAAGCCAGCGACAAAGCACCAGGAAAATGACCTGGTCCCCTTGAGCCTGGCCTCTTTCCCAAATGCCCGCTGTCTGTGTGTAGACGGGAAGTCGTGCTTGGAAAGGTTATGCTGAGAAATGTGGCTACCTCTGCAGGCCCCACGTCCTCTTCTCAGGCTAACTTAGGAGGTAGAGCGGGCGTGTGTGTATCTGATGCCTCAGACGGTGTCTCGACGCAGAACACAAAGACTGTTCCCTGGTATTAGCTGCAGATCAGTTGTCATCCCCTACCCCCACCTCCTGTGAGTTTTTTGCTTAAGACATTTCAAATATCGTCTGGATATTTGGTTCCTTCTGAGGAATAAAGAATAGCTGTGCACTGAATGGTATTGGAACATCCATTTACAACTGTGATTTTAATTGCTTGGAAATGTGGAAATTCAGTTTTTAAATGTCCTTACTCCATTTCTTCCTAGCAGTGTCTCTTTAGGCTTCCTTTGCAAAAATAGAAAGACCCCCAGATACTTCCGGACTAAACCTGCAATTTAAGAATACCCTCAGTTAGAGGTGTGTTTACCATGAATGAATAAAACTTAAGCTGCAGGGCTTCTCAATTTCACAGGTTGCTTTCAAAGACCTGAGAAGGGGTCTGGTGATGTGGTCACATGGTCCCATGTTTTTGTTAAATCTGTGAAAATAAGACTTTTTAATACAGTTTTCCTTAAAAACTTTTTCCCTTAAATACCCCAATTGTGTAAGCTTTAGGCCCCTGAGCAATATCTTAGAGCATGTGAGTAATTTCTTATTGCTGCCAGTATCCATCTTAATCAGGGAATATAAATTAGGCTAACAGAATAATTTAGGAGAGAATTTCTTTCTTTCTTTCTTTTTTTTTTTGCAATTGCCATTATCCTCTCAATATGCAAAACACCATTTATTATACTTGGATTTGTCTTGAGAAAAATTGCTGCAGATGATTGAAGAGTTTCTGGAGGGTTTCACAATGCTGAATAATGGGGAAGAAAATAATACCTCATATTTCATGACAGAAAGGGCTGCCTCCTTGTTATTTGGTGAAACATGAGCTATTGACAAAAGAACTGCAAGGCACATCCTCTGGGCCCTTTCTCTAGGACTGGGAAAAATGAGAGGAATGTTTGAAATGACATAGGGGCCTTCAGATTTCCTTTGCTCCTTTCATCTATCAATTTTTTGGGTGGCAAGGCTTCGGCCTATGCATTTACTATGTTTGGCCTTGGTGAATCCAGTGGTTCCAGAGAAGCAGGGAGCCAAGAAGATCCCTAGGGCAGTGTGTGGGCTTGGGAGGGGCCCGAGTTTCTTGAGGATCTGTGTTGAGTTTCTTGAGGCTCAGTGAGTTTCTGGAGGGTTTGTGTTGCCTGGACCCCAACTCTGCTTCTTATAACTATACCATCATGAGGGAAGCTTGCTGAATCAGAGGCAGGACATATGAACATCATGTGCCCTGGGATTTAGTTAGTATGGGCCAGGCCTCAGTGTGTTAATGTACCCTCTCTCTTTCCTTCTTGCTTTCCTTGTGTGTTTTAAATTAATTCAGTAACTCAAGTGATCAGAGCATTTTGACTTGCTCTGTTAGCCTTTCTGTTCTGTGACCTCTGAGGTAGCCTGCCTGGTAGTATCCTTGCAGGCTACCTCTGAATCAAGGTGAGTTCCTACATGACCTCATTAATCAGGGTTATTTAACTCTGGTAATAATAACTGCTAAATTTAACAAGTTTAACAAACTTTGGGTTTTTTGCTCAACAACGATTTAATGTGGATGTTTGTTTTCAGGAAGCTTTTCAGAGCAGGTCTCCTTAAAGCTCTGATTTGGGGACATGGAAACCTTCCATCTTTTGGCTGCACCTCCTTTAATCATTAGAATTCTCTCCATTAAATGGGCAGATGGGGAGGATTCCATGTGGGAGGATTTTATGGGCCAGAACTGCTACACATTACTCCCACCCACATTCTATTGGCCCAAACTAGGACACATGTCTGTGCCCAGGTGAAAGGGAGGCTGGAAAATGTAGCCTAACCATGTGACCAGAAGCAAAAGGGAAACTGGGTTGTCAATACTCAACCAGTGTGACAACACACCTGTACCAACTATGAAGGAAGCATGTGGAATCTTCATCCTCAAAATTAGTGTAGCAAGATTATTCTAATTATTTTCCTTGAGGCAGGGCAGTTGAAGATAGTGCCTTCTTAAGCCAATTAAAAATGGCACAAATAGGCTGGACATGGTGGCTCAAGCTTCTAATCCCAGCAGTTTGGGAGGCAAAGATGAGAGGATTGCTTGAGGCCAGGAGTTTGAGATCATCCTGGGCAACGTATAGCAAGATCCCATCTCTACAAAAAACAATTCAAAAAAATTAGCTGGATATGGTAGCATGTGCCTGTAGTCCCAGCTACTTGGGAGGAACGCTGAAGCAGGAGAATCACTTGAGCTCAGGAGGTTGAGGCTACAGTGAGCTATCAATGTGCCACTGCACTCCAGCCTGGGTGACAGAGCAAGACCTTGTCTAAAAAAAAAAAAAAAAAGACAAATAATCAACGCCATTTTGGTAAAATGAATAAACACAGATTTAGGCAGCTACTTGTTATACATTTTCATCAATGTTGTAATATATTGGTACAATTCTGCTGGCTGGTAAGGTGTGTGCAGCATGATCTTTTAAGATTATATTGAATCACAGAATAATTTAAGCAAATAACTAAGTTGAATAATATAATTTTAGAATTAGAAGAAACCTTAGAAATCACTTAATCCAAAGTTTTAATGGCTGATGAAACTAACTGAAAGTAAAGCAAAGGGAAGGTAAATTTCTTGATCCTCTATGATGCTCTGAGGTTGATGTTCTCTCCATTCCATAGAGAAGCATAATGACTTGACTTACCCAAAGTCACACAGCTAGTGAGAGAAGTGAGACTGGGACCCCATGCTTCAAATTAGAAGTCAATGTGCTCTTTGCATATATTTAATTAATACCTCCCTCTGTATATACACACATACATTCATGCCCCTCTTCCTACCCATTCACGTGAGCTTAATTTACAGTCCGCTGACATGGAAGGCAGATATGATTAATGTGCATCATTCTCAAAATATGAGGCTAGCAGGTCTGTGGTGTTACAACTATAATAGCATCATTTTCACAGCTTGTATGCTGTTTTGCAAATAGCCTGAAAGTATTTTGCGTGGTGGTCACCAATTTCCAAGAGAAATGAGATATTCTTTTCACTGGTCTGGAAAAGAGCAAGTTGCAGTGGCTGACTTCAGAATGACCCATTGTTCCAAGCCTAACAGGTGCAGGTTTTGACACTAAGGGTCGGATCCCATTACCACTCAAGTTGCATGGATCACTGATTTCGAAAGGGGTCTGCACACACATCAGTGTGGGATCTGTCCTTTACGAGCCACGGCCACTAATCTGAATGGCTATTTAGGGTGTGAATAGCATTTAGCTGGCGTCCCTCCATTCTTCCATGCTCATTGAAGAATCTCAGTCCTTCTCCTCCTGCTCATTAGAACTGACACTTCCCAGGCCAGAGGGATGACCAGCGTGAGTCAGAGAGATGAGATCTTCATCGTGAAAGACAGGGTACAGTTTGGGGCCAGCTGGGAGTGAAAGAAGGCACGTTAGGCTATTGGGACTTGGAGATTATGATTGTGCCTCCATCACAACAAACACACAGTGACATGGAATATCTCAAAGATGCCTTGGCTTAAAAGTTGGTTGATCCAATCAAGTCATTTTATAATAGCCTGTTAAAAAAAGAACGAATCTTTTGCCTCTCCTGGGTACACCACCCTTGCCCACTCCTGATTTCTTAAATAATCAGGCATTTTCTCTCTGAAGCTGGTTTAATTTTTTTCTGTTTTCATTTTATTTCCCCTGTTTAGTGTGTAGTTTGCTTTTGTGTACATGGAGGTCATATTTATCACTTTGACTAATTTCTGGATATTAAAACATGAGAAATGGTACTACAAATGTTTTAGGAATCCAACTGAATTTTAAGGGCCTGTGGCCACTGCATGGCAATTTCATGGAGCAAATTTGTTTGCTACTGGGTGTAAATGAGATATTTGCCACTCTCAAATCCCACAGTTATTGTCAGTTGCTTAACTAATTCTCTACTGATTGATTGAAGGCAGTAAATAGCATTACATAGAAGTATCAAAATAACTTTTGTTTAGAGACGCCAGGGTTTTGATTATCTAGCTAGTCCATCTATTTTAATTGAAGTAGATGCAGTCTACAGTTGTGGATGTGAATACAAGGAATGATGGCAACATGGGGAATGATCGCTTCCTTTATATACTTTGAGGATATCATGAGTGATCTTTTCAAAAAAACAACACTTTGAAAAATTTTCGATTATTTTGAAAAGTATCACTGTGGCTTACACCTGATAGTTATTTATCATATTAATTAATGCTTTCATTCATTCATTTAGCAAACAATTGAATACTTCCTATGTGCAAGGTGTCAGAATACAAAGATCAGTGTGACATGGTCCTGGCCTTCAAGGGGCTCACAATCTAGTGGAGGAGACAGACGAACTCCTGACTATCACATGATGTGCTAAGCGTTTTGATGGCTGATATCGCTTGGCTGTGGCCCCACCGAAATCTCATCTTGAATTATAGCTCTCATTATCCCCACGTGTTGTGGGAGGGACCTGGTGGGAAGTAATTGAATCATGGGGCTGGGTTTTTCCTGTGCTGTTCTCGTGATAGTGAATAAGTCTCACGAGACCAGATGGTTTTATAAAAGGCAGTTCCCCTACACACACAATCTTGCCTGCTGCCATGTAAGATGTGATTTTGTTCCTCCTTTGCCTTCGGCCATGATTGTGAGGCCTCCCCAGCCGTGTGGAATGGTGAGTCCATGAAACCTCTTTTTCTTTATAAATTACCCGGTCTCGAGTATTTCTTCATAGCAGTATGAAAATGGACTAATACAGCGGCCATACATGCAAACTTATGTATATGTAGGCATTTATACACTCATGCTCCTCTTCCTAGCCATTTATGTAAGCTTCATTTATAGCTGTCTGGAGGACTAGGGCAGTTCTCTAAGGGGCATGTGGAGGAGGGATAATGAGTTTTTCCAAGGAAAGTCAGAGAGGGTATCAGGGAGAAAACATGGGGGGCTTTGCCTGAAAGGGTGGGAGAGGGCATTCTAAAGACAAGTTATGTGGCCCTAAAACTCATAAACATGGAAGAGTAATGAGGGCAGTGGAAATCTAAGTCCACGTGCTCAGGTGCAAGGGGCATGTACCTTCACTTATTCTTCTATTGATCAACCTATTTTTTAAAGCTCTCATCCTGCCACGTGAAGAAAACTTAATCTCCATCTATTCTGGAATCCTCTCTTCTTTTCCTAAGTTTTCCCTGGGTTCCAAGGCTTTAAATAGATATCAATGGGAGTGGAGAATGGTCAGGTGACTGCTATCCTGCCTGACTCTTGGTCGTCAGCTCTTGATGGCTGCTGCTAGGTCATTCTGGGAAGGCTGCCGAGCTGCTCCCAGGGTCCCAGGAGGCAGCCTCAGGCTCTGAGGCTCTCTGACACTAAGATCTGCTTTGCTTAATCACACTGCATTCACTTCTCTGAGCTCCAGTTGCCTATTTGGGGCTCTATTTGGGAAGTAAGGCACAAGGCCTTCTGATTTTGGATCCACAGACTTATCAAGAAGGATTTTGTCTCCCTTCTCCCCTCCACCCCAGGAAGACAGAGTACAAGCCCTCCATTTCTCAGAGGCGACAAGCTTCCAAGCGCTGTCCTTACCTCCTTTTCGACTCTCTTCCCAACCAGGGTTAGCTTTTGTCATTTTCAGGGTGTGGATTTAGGATGTAGAAATGGTGGTGGTCATGATGGAGAATCTTTGCTCTTATCCATTGTGCATTTTACAAAATTTTTGTTTAGGTCCTGTGTTCTGTTCATTTCTTTTGAAAGCTAGGCTTTTGACACTCAAAAGCTGACAACAGACCCCTTTTGTCCTGATTCCTACCTTGTAATTTCTTTCCTGGGCGATCTAGAAAGGTCTAGCTCAGAGTCCTCCGCCACAGATGCATGTTACTATCACTCTGAGCCATAACATTGAATACAGATGCAGAAGTCTACTGGCTGAGGCTCTGATTTGATTGGTCTGAGGTGGGGCACAGATATTGGTATTGTTCTGAAAGCTCCTCCCCAGTAGGTTCTAACTATAGTCAGGTTCAAGAACTGCTAGTCTAGCTGAATTGTTAAGGAAAGGTCCAAAGTATTAAAGAAAATGATGCAGGGAAAACATTGGCTAATATTGCAAAGCATTATCCAGGCCAGTAGGTCAGGGTTGCATTTGGAAGAATTGTGAATGCCCTCTTATGGAATTTTGACTTTATCAGGTTTAGAATACAAAACTTCGAAAGAAAAAGTTAATTAATGTTAACTTGCTTACCCTAGGTTAAGTGCTATGCTTTATATATCTATCTATTTTAAAAATGTTATTGTAAATTGACAAATTATAGTTGTATTATTTATGGGGTACAAAGCGGTGTTATGGTCTGTGAATACAATGGGGAATAATGAAATCAAGCCAATGAACATATCCATCACTTCAAATGTTTATCATTTTTTTGTGAGAACATTTGAAATTTATTCTCTTAGAGATTTTGAACTGTATAATACATAATTAATTAATATACTTAATAATAATGTATATTGGCAATAGACCTAAAAAACCTTATTCTTCCTGTCTTACCAAGGCTTTGTATCCTTTGACTATCATCTCATTTCTTCCATTCCCTACCCTTTGGTAACGACCATTATACTCTCTGCTTCTATGAGTCCAGTTGTTTTAGATTCCATATATAAATCAGAACATGCAGTATTTGTCTTTCCATGTCTGGCTTACTTTGCTTTTTGTTATGGCAAATGACAGAATTTCTTTATTTTTTTAATGCTAAATAGTATTCCCTGTGTATATGTAGCATATTTTCTTTATTCATTCATCAGCTGATGAATACACAGGTTGATTCCATAACTTGGCTATTGTGAATAGTGCTCCAATGACCATGGGAGTGCAGACATCTCTTTGACGTGCTGATTTCAAATCTTTTTGGTAAATACTCAGAAGTAGAATTGCTGGATCATATGGTAATTCTATTTTCAGTTTTTTGAGGAACCTCCATACAGTTTTCCATAATGGCTATACTAATTAACATTCCCACCAACTGTGTACAAGGGTTCCCATTTCTCCACATCCTCGCCAATACTAGTTATCTTTTATTTAGATGGTAGCCATTCACACAGGTGTGCGGTACTATCTCATTGTGAATTTCATTTTCATTTCCTTAATGATTAGTGATGATGAGCATTGTTTTCATAAATCCATTGGCAATTTGTATGTCTTCTTTTGAGACATGTGTATTCATGTTCCTTGCCCATTGCTATGTCTTACCTATTTATCCAATATTAGCTTGAGATGAATCCTATAAGGTAGGTCTTATTGCCCTTGATTTTGCAGATAGGGAAATCTAGCTTAGTGAGATTATAAGAATGCCTCACAGTCACTGGGCATGAAAATAGGTTGCTGATTAGAGTCCAGTCTGTCTGCTTCAAAACTCAGGCTGTTTTGAAATGCTGTTGCCTCCCAAAATGAAATAATAAGATAGTGTATTAATTGAACAAATCAGTGAATAGTTCTGTCAACAAAATAGCTGGAGTTCAAAAAATTAGCCCTAAGGAAATGACTTAGCTTATTGGCTGTGGTTGTCTTCTCTTTCGGGTGCTTGTGGTTATCTCTTGAATTGTTACTATTGCTTAGGTCCTAAACTTCCATTCAACATGTATAATACAGGTGGAGTATCCCTTATCCAAAATGCTTTGGACCAGAAGTGTTTTGAATTTTGAATTTTTTCAGATTTGGAATATTTATATTCTATACTAACCAACTGAGCATTCCTGATCTGGAGATCCAAAATCCAAAATGCCCCAGTGAACATTGCTTTTGAGCATCATGATGGTGCTCAAAAAGTTTCTGATTTTCTGGTTTGGAGCATTTCAGATTTTGAATTTTCAGATTAGGGATACTCAACCTGTGTAGAGAACCAGAATTCAACACACAAGTTAATACACTTGCTCGTACTTGCTCTACAAAAATATAATTCTTTAGTAAGTAATCAGTTTCATAATTAATTTTAGCATTACTTTGCACAAGTGGAATATAACATTACAGTCAGAGCAAAGATAAAAAAGCTTTGCTTTTCTTACATACTTTGGAGGAAGACCCTTATCTTATTTTCACCTGTGAGTGATTTCAATCACTTTTCATGACAGTTACCAGCGTTATTCAGATAAAAGTTGCTAATTGTTTTCTTACCTGTGAAAATTACTTTTCTCACTTTCTGTTCATTATTATTTAGGGTAGGTACATGACTATCCATGCTTACTACCTCCATTTCTCCTTCTTAAGATGAGGGTGGGCAAAGCTTCTTCAAAACTTGTTGCTGAATAAGGTACTTTCTCAGAGATTGTCCTCTGTTTTTTAAAGTAGTTTCTTATAGATGATACCAGAAAATCAGAATATATGCAAAACATGGTTTTGCCCCCACTGGTTATCGTATATTTACCTTTCCCAGTAATCCAGGCCCTCGCAGAGTACCTGGCACAGCTCAATAAATGTTAATTCTAATGGGATCTTCATGTGCTAAAGCAGTGTGGGATAAGCCAGGTACATTTAATCACCCATTGTTGAAATGCAGATGTCCTTGTTATGCATCAGGTGTCCAGAGGTATCTATACAATTCTGATTTGAGAGGAATGCCTAATGAATCTTCCTTTTTCTGATGTTTAGGTCATTAATGCACAACCCTTTCCTCCTCGTCGTAATAGTGAGCTTTCCTTTGATGTCCTGCATTCTCCATATTTGTTTCATTTCCTCTTCTGGACTCACACACTTACTTATTCTCCCTGTGCATGTTTTGGGGACATATCTGCTTAGTGAAAGAACACTTTCAGTGACCCTTTCTGCTTTTATTATGTTTCTATTAGCTATGCCCTTCTATTACACAAATTGACCTGGGCCCCATCAAAGAAGGAAGGGGCTTTCCACTTGCATGATCTGGGTAAGAGAGAAGAGAGACACATAATGGTGGAAGCAAAATTTAGTACTGAAGGTCGGGGCATGTAGAAAGATGGAGAAATCATGGCTAGAAGTAAGGTGACTGGGTGGTGGGGTGGAGAAGCTGTGCCTCTGGAGGAATGGAAGCAGCTACTAAGTGACTAGTTGGCGTGTAGCATGGATATGATGGACGAAGGGAGGATTCACATCTTGGGTGGAACAGAGTGGAAAGGTGTGAGATTTTGTCATAGTACTCAGAACAGAACACAATTTAAAACATAAGTTGTTAATTCTGGAATTTTTTATTTAATATTTTTGAGCTGCACTTGACTGTGGGTCACTGCAGATAAGAGAGGGACTACTGTAAAGGGAACATTTTATTTTATTTATTTATCTTTTAGAGACAGGCTCTCACTTTGTCACTCATGCTGGAGTACAGTGGCTCCATCATGGCTCACTGTAACCTCAGTCTCCTGGGTTTAAGTGAACTTCCTGCCTCAGCCTCCTGAGTAGCTGGGACTACGGGCACGCACCACCATGCTGGCTAATTTTTTTTATTTTATTTAATTTTTGTTTTAGAGACGGGGTCTCGCTATGTTGCTCAGGCTGATCTCCAACTCCTGGGCTCAAGTGATCCTCTGCTATGGCCTCCCAATGTAAAAGGAACATTTGTATTGCAGAGTATACGGAAGATGAAAAGACCAGGAAGAAGGAATGGAGAAATTGAAAGGAGACACTCTGCAATGTTTTTAAATAGTTATAAACCTGATGCTTTCTTCAGGGAAGTTGCTGCCCTGAATTTGTCTGTTGCTGGCATTCTTGGAGTTCTCTAAAGTGGTTCAGCATTGGTTTTAGATGATGTTTCTTCTTCCTGTTTTGTCCTGTCCAACTAACTTCCCATTTTGGTGAATGAGATCTGGATCAGTTGTAGTAAGCAATTGCAATGGCATATAGAAAAATAAGATGCAAGCAAATAATAACAAAATTGTGCTTTGAAAATAGTTTCCTGCAGATTGTAGGTAAACATACACAAACAATGCCACCCTACTCTCCCAAATTTTACGTGCAATTCTGTCTTAGCTCAATTAATTTATATTTTATGAAGACTTTTTTATGTCTCCAGCAATGTTTGTTATTCCCCTTCCTTGCCCTATGAGAAAATGTTTAGCTTTGTCTTATTCCCTTGTAGACAGAGTTAATGCCTTAATTTCTTAAAACTTGCATTTAGCAAATGTCTAGTAAATATTTTTGAATGAAATATAGGTTGAAATGCATGGAAAATATTAAAGATTCTTTATAAACTGAATTGGCATGCTCTATTTTCAGTTTGTAATAATTGCATAGCTATATCTATACACACACGTGCATTAACCTTTACCTGTGTACATGCGTGTTTGAAGGCAGTGGTGGGCAGAGATTTGGCATTTAAGCTCTGGAGCTGCCTACCTTGGCTTTCTTTTTGTTTTTGTTTTTTGAGACAGGGTCTTGCTCTGTTGCCCAGGCTGTGGTGCAATGGTACAATCAGGGCTCACTGAAGCCTCCACTTCCCAGGCTCAAGCAATCCTCCTGCCTCAGCCCCCCAGGTAGCTGGGGCTCTGGGCATGTACCCCCATGCCTGGCTAATTTTTTTGAATTTTCGTAGAGACAAAGTCTCACTGTGTTGCCCAAGCTGATGTCAAACTCCTGAGCTCAAGTGAACCTCCTGCCTCAGCCTCCCAAAGTGTTGGGATTACAGGCATACCCAGCAACCTCAGTTTTGGCTTTGAATCCTGAGTTTATTCAGGTGGGTGATCTTCGGCAAGGTCTTCAACCTATTTTATTTAAGTGTTCTCTTGTGTAACTGGGGATGATACTAGTATCTGTCTTGTAAGACAGTGGTCAAATAATACATGTACAGCTCTTAGAACAATGCCCTTCATTAGTAAATATGTGATCAAGATTAGCTATCAATATTATTATTATTATTATTATTACTGTCTTGCTTACAAATTCTTTCATCTATGTAAGTCTCATGCCTGATTTCAGGTTACAAACTTCTTTTGGGTAGAGACTGTTTCTTTCTTTTCTATATTCCCTAGCTCAATCCTAAGCATACCCTTTTAATAATTACGTATTTCTTATTTGTTGGAATTAAAGTGATACACCAGAGCCCAGAGAACTCATGGTGCCTCACAACATTTCCCTGAAGCATTCCAGGCAGTAAAAGTGTGAAGGTAAATGATAGTTCTGAACCCAGAGAATCCCATATTTGGCTGGAAAAACCAGGGGCCTCTGGAACTTTCTGAGCTGGCCATAAGAAATATTTATAGCTATAGGCAAACTCTTTTTCAACAAATAACATTAAAAAGAAACTATAAACATTCCAAGCTCTAAGAAGGCCCATGTTTTAGGGGTGCTGGATTCTAGCACATCTGATGAATTTGGAGTATTTTTCTTTTTCTTTTTGTCTTTTTTTTTGAGATGGAGTCTCGCTCTGTCTCACCCAGGCTGGAGTGCAGTGGTGCAATCTCGGCTCACTGCAAGCTCCGCCTCCCGTGTTCACGCCATTCTCCTGTCTCAGCCTCCCAAGTAACTGGGACTACAGGCGTCCGCCACCATGCCTGGCTAATTTTTTGTATTTTTAGTAGAGACGGGGTTCCACCGTGCTAGCCAGGATGGTCTTGATCTCCTGACCTTGTGATCCACCCGCTTCGGCCTCCCAAAGTGCTGGGATTACAGGCGTGAGCCACCGCGCCCGGCCTATTTTTCTTATTGTTTTATTTTAACAGTAAGATTTGAACTTAAGCTCTGCTTCATTTCCATGTCCTGAATTAAGCTTATCTAGGACAGCACTGGTTTCTAGTTGGTACAAAATGAGCCTGGGAATATTTTAGTGCAACTTTGAAGACTCTATTCAAGGAGGTAAAGGAATACAGGACCTAGCAAGACTATGGAATTGTAAAGATAGCTTCATCTCTTTTTTAAACATTTTGGGATGAGTGAGACCTCACATGCATATTACTAAATAAATGCCTCCTTTACCACAAAAGCATCAAATATTTCAGGAGAAATGAAATCCTTCAGACCCCGATTCTTTTACGCTTGACTCATCAGGATCTTCTTTTGTAAGAGGAACTTGATAGTTAAGAACGCCTGAGAGCCTTTATTCTTGAAGTAGGAGGTCACATTTTTGCCAGTACTCATTGCAACTTGAACTGAGGGAAGCTCAAGTGCAAATTTGGAACCCACAACCTTGAGTGAGTTATAATGCTGGTAAAATCTATTCTCCCTGTAAACTCATTCAGAGGCAATGCTTGGGACTGTATGGACATCACAGAAAAATATGTGTTCTAGGGGAGGAAGGAATTGTTAGGCTAGTCAAGATGTGTCCAGTGGGTCAGGTCATGGGCAGAACTCAGTCCCTGCTGTGACATTCTGGGAAAGATGAGAAGTGGAATTCCAAGGTAGTGAACCCCATGTGCCAACTAGGGAAAGGGGTAAAACATCAGTGGTTGTGGACAAGGTGAATGAGTTTTGTGGACTGAGCTGTCAATGAATTCTCCACAGTGAACACTCACTATATGTATTTGTTCAATAAGCAGACACAGTGAACAAAGATTGCACAAATACTGGAAATATGGTAGTAAGCAAGGCAGAAGGGTCTCTCCTGTCAAAGATAAGCAAAGCTGGGCACTGGTTAAAGTGGTAAGGACAGATTTTAATCAGTAATAACTATCGTGATAGGGAAAAAGTACAGCATGAACTGAACTGAACTTCAATTTGTACATTGGCAATTGGGAGTCTTAAAGGTAGAATGAGGGAAAGGGAGAGGGGTGAGCAAGGGCTTAGTACAATCAGGGAAATGGATAAATACAAAAAGTGGGAAGGAAGGGTTGGTCCATGAAAAACCCATCTGTTTTTTTGCTAACTTGTGCTGAATGAAGTTAAGCTCCCACCTTCCCACAGAAACTGGAAGACAGCACTTTATCTTCATGTGTTAGCTGGAACCAACAGTGAATTCTTTCAGCAGCCTTAAGTTTTCTCAAGCTGGCACTTTCAAGGGGACTAGGGTCATCCCAGGGTTATGTCCTTGAGCTGTCAGAAACTGTGTTAGTGCATGATCATAGTCTTTATCAGCCAAGGTTGAGCCTCGTCAATAAGAGGGCTCAGATCATGGGCAAATCTATTCTGGAGGGCTGGAGTTTGGTCAAGAAGAGAGACTTCTCATTTCCCTTGTGAAACATCATTCTCTCCAGAAATTACAGGGTAACACTATTTTTTTTTTTTTTGAGACAGGGTCTCACTCTGTTGTTCACGCTGGAGTGCAGTGGCACAATCTCAGCTCACTGCAGCCTCAACCTCCCAGTTCAAGTGATCCTCCTACCTCAGCCTCCTGAGTTGCTGGGACCACAGGCATGGCCACCACCATGTCCTGTGGCTAATTTTTATATTTTTTGTAGAGACAGAGTTTTGACATGTTGCACAGGCTGGTCTTGAACTTGTGGGTTCAAGCAATCTAGCTGCCTTGGCCTTCCAAAGTGCTGGATTACAGGTGTGCACCACCAGGCCTAGCTGAGAGTTATGCTTTAATGAAATGTCTGATGAAATCTTTTCATCAGTATCTCTTTATGGTAGAGTGCTCGTTTTGTACTTTAGATGTTCCTAGCAGGATTGGTAAAGAGGAAACTTGTCAACTTTCCATGAAATTAGTTAATGTGGGAAATTCATGCAAGAACCACACTGAGTCAGGTGTAACATGTAAATGAGATCCTCCCATTTTGGGCACGCTTGTTTCACTGTGCTCAAAACGTCTGCTAAGATTCTCAATAGTCCACTTTTCACTGGGCATCCCAGAATGATCTATGTAGGTCATGTTCTTGATGTATGTCGTATTCTGAAGGTCTGAACTCTTCAAAATCAATGATTCAGATAAGTCATTTCAAACACATGCACACATTTCCCCCCAGATTTTAATTTTGACAAGATGACTTGAATAGTTTCAGAACCAACTGCGGCCCTATCTGGAGATAATTTCTGACTTCAGTCTCCAAGCACTACCTTCCTACCATTTTTGTATTTTCAAAGTGGGAAACTCGTAATGTCAGGACACAATAAAATATGAGCAAAAGTGGAACCTGAGTTCTGATTTCATCTCAGTCACACTTTCTCTAAGATACAGGAGAAGTCAACACTTTGGGGTATTAATTTCCTACTCAATTCAGTGGTACGAGTGCAATGAGATGTTCCCAGATGGAAGGGCACTGTGAAGACCAGAACATGCTATGCACCTGCTAGTTTCCATGGACTTCGTAAGCAGTTTCCATGGACTTCGTAAGCGTGCATTGAGCCTGAAGGACACAGCACTGGATTAGGTACTGTGGGTGACGCAAACTATGTAGAAGACTTGATTCCTATCCTTAAGATACTGACAATCAATTTGGGTTGATGATATAAAGAATTAAAAGTGAAAAAGAGTGATACTACAATTTTTGTTGTTGTTTTGTGTTTATTTTAGGGGAAGGAGTTGAAAGGAGCATTAATACTCTTTTTTTTTCTTTTGTCGTAAGCCCTATATCAGAGTGGCTAGAAAACATACTTATATTTAATATGCATTATGATTGATTAGTACACAGGATGCAAAGTTAAGTAGTGATCTGACCACATACACAAGGAGATCCAGACATATCCTTCTCTGCTGCAGTGTGTGATGATGATCAGGGGGCCATGTGGTGTCTGTCTCCACGGGGCCTTTTGCCCGGAACGATGACGACTGATAGGCTCTCACTGGGGAATGTTACCATTCAGAAGGGCCTTTTCTTCTTCTAAGAGAGGCATTAGATACTCAAAGTGGATCAAAATCTCATTTCTTCCTCATCTTCGGCTAAAAGGTTCACTTATTTGTCAATTTAAAAGCAACTGGGGTTCAAAGTCCTGTTAGTTCACAGTCCTTGACTTCTTGTCTGTTCTGGCCCCTTATCAATACTCTTCAGAGGGGGCTGTGGCAATACAAAAGGAGCAAAGAGCTATTGTGTGCATCTTACAGAGGTCCTTGGCATTCCACACCGGGCATGCCAGGTCGTCTCCTTTCCACCCCGTTGCCCTCACATGAAGCAGTGGTTGAGGACTGAGTCTGCAGCGAGTGCAAAGCAGTGAAGCAGTCGGGACACAGTGTTCCTGCGGTCTGCTTTCCTCTAGTGTGAAAATTACGCTGCATCCCTCTGGGAGAAGCATTTGCAGCCTAGGAAGGGGGTGGTGCTCATAATAAAAACTCGCTGAGAAGCCAAAATCCTAGGCCTGATTTTCCTTTGGTTTGAAATGCATACTGTTGCAAGGGCAAGTGACCTTCTGTTATTGACGAAATACCTTGAACATTTCTTTCACAGTCTGTTGCTGCCATGCCTGACCGAGCAAATCCTGCTTAATTCCTCTGCTCCCTAGAGGAATGCCTCAGGACCACACTGGAAAAAGTGAATGATCGATTAATGATGAAATTGGCCAACTTGCCAATAACGATAAATTGCTTTGTTCATCCCACAGCAAGGATGCCAGCTCAGTGTGTTGCCTGTGCCTAGAGACAAAGGATGGGAACTCTGGTCAAAATTAACATAGATGAGCTTTCAGACCTATACTGAGCACAATGACAACAATGAGTGACTCACATGTCTGTCTCGTTTTTGACCAACTTAAAATGTTTCACACAGCCTTATGATCAGATATTTATATTTGCAGAAGAAATACAATGGTAGCAGTCAAAATTTGGTTACAGCAGGCTTCTTTCTCTTTTATTTGGGTGGATGTGAGTGTCGTGGATGAACATGCAAATTTTAATGTGTATAAAACTCTCTGAAGACAACAAAACCACTAGAAGATCCACTAGGAATCTGCAGTCCCCTTGAGAAAATAAAATCTGCACATGAAACAACATAAAAATAAATACAAAACGACATGTCAACAAGGACAAATTACCAAACAGTCACTGTTTTTATTTAGTATTTTTGAAATCATGGAATGAATTTTTTTTAATTTAAGGGTAATAATTACCCTATACAATATTTTAGAAATAAATAAATCTAATAAATAAAGATGAAAATAACTACTAGCAGCAATCTACCCCCCAGGAAAAAGAAAAGAAACCATTTGTGGATAATGATAAGGGAGAACAAAATTTTAAAATAAAAAAAGAAAAGCAATCACTTGACATTTTAAAGTAATTATTTCTGGGCTTTAAAACAATGTTGTAACTTTATTCATGGAAGAGTGCTTTACCATAATCTCTTTATCTTTTTTTAAAAAAAATTAATTGTGGTAAAATAGGCATCATATAAAATTTACCATCTTAACCATATTTAAGTGTACAATTCAGCAGTGTGAAGTATATTCACATTGTTGTACAACTAATTCTGGTCTTTTTAAAAAGACATATACTCATTGATATGGTAGATTTTAAAATTATATTTATTGTTGCAAGTAACATTTTTTCCTAGTATCAAAAATAACCCATGTTCAGTACAGAAAACTTAAAAAATACCATTCATCTAATCCTAAGAAAGAAATAATGGTAAATTTTACTGGTTTGCCTTCCAGCATCTTTCTTTGTGAGTACATGTATAGATCTAGGTCTGTATGTATACATCATTAATATTTGCATCTATAAAGACAAAATTACATCAAAGATATCACATGCCTTTTCCTTTAGCACTATTTTGTGAATTATCTTATGAAAATAAATAAGCCTGTGTATATAGTTTTCTTTTCCTTCTTCTTTTTTTTCAGAGACAGGGTCTTGTTCTGTCACCCAGGCTAGAGTGCAGCAGGGCAATGATAGCTTACTAAAACTTAGAACTCCTGGGTTCAAGCAAAAAAACTTAGAATCCCCAGGCTCAAGTGATCCTTCCTCCTTGGCCTCCCAAGTAGCTAGGATTACAAGTGCACACCACCACGCTTGGCTAATTTTTAAAATTTGTTTGTAGGGACAGAGTCTCGCTATGTTGCCCAGGCTGGTCTCAAACTCCTGGCCTCAGCGATCCTCCCACCTTGGCCTCCCAAAGCACTGGAACTACGGGCTTGAGCCACCACACTCAGCCTTGTGTATATAGTTTTGTTGCCTGATTTTTATTCTCCCATTTTCCACTTTAGTATGAGCATTTTGTGGTTACTATATATGAGAAGGCCAGAGTAATTTAAAGTAAAGGGAGGAAGTGAATTTATGATGAGAAAGCTTTCTGGAGAAGGCCCTGAAGCCCCCTCATCCACTGCCCACCTGCTGGCTACCTCCCAGGCACTTGGGCCTCTGATGCACTTAACAGGCTACAGGCTGGATTCACTTTCTACCATAGGCATGGGTCAAGGGCAAATTCCGTCGGTTTTAGTGCAGTGGGTCCACTCAACTGTTGAAAATCAGGCTTCCTGCCTCTTGATTTCTTTCTGGAAATGCCCTCTTATCAGGTTATAAGATAATGGTGCTCTTTCTGAGCAGCAAGCATTGAAGGCAAGAGGAGATGATACTGAAGGGCAATTACTTACCTGCTGTCTACTGAGATATTATGTTTCAAGATATACAAGAGAACTTTAAAATGCTCCTTAAAATATAAAATCATTTCAAAAAATTCTAAGCCATTAGTAACAAGTAGTAAGTTAGCCAGATTATAGAATTTGAATTGTATCCTGGGAGTTGACAGATTGAGACTCTGAGTTCATAGTAGTCCCCTTTAGTCAGTGACTCATATAAACTGATACCTATCGCTAATCACTAATCATTTTATCCAGTAACTACACTGGCTGCAGACAAGCTGAGCGATTTGCTATCAGGTTCTTGGAAGGGGAGAGGAGGTAGCATGTGTGACTGAGGTCATAAAAATTTAGTTACTATGAAAAACTCTTAATATATACAAACTTCTCAGTGGAAAGTGATCTGGGTACTAGATTTAGTTTTGTTTTTGTATTTTGTTTGAATGGATTAGCCAAGCAATCTTAGCTAATCACTTAACTTTCTCTGTGCCTTGGGTGCATTTTCAGTGTAATAGGTTTAATACTTCCCAGTTTACCTACTAGGATTTTTGTAACGCTTGAATTTGTTAATATATATGGAAACACTTTGAAAATGTAAAACACAATATAAAGATATTATTAGCTAAGGACTTTTATTATACAACCTCATAAAATAATTTGGAAAATGAATTAAGAGAGCAAGATTTGTTTTCCATGCAGAGTCAAGTAGCTGACTGGCTGTTACGTTTGGAAGTATGTGGGAAATATTTTTTGTAGATATACGTTTGTATAAACCTCACAGGAAAAATTAAACATCTTTATAGAAGCTAAAAAAGTTGATCTCGTGGAAGAAGAGAGTAGAATAGCGCTTCTCAGAGGCTGGGAAGTGTTGGAGGAGGGGGGAGACGGAGAGATTGATTAAATGCTACAAAATTACTGCTAGATAGGAGGAATAAGTTCCAGTGTTCTATAGCACAGTGGGATGACTATAGTTAACAATAGTTTATTATATGCTTCCAAATAGCTAAAAGAGATAATTTTTGGTGTTCCTAACACAAATAAATGATAAATGTTTGAGGTGATAGATATGATAATTACCTTGATTTGATTGCTGCACACTGTATGTATCAAAACATCACTATGTACCCCATAAATATGTACAATTATTATGAGTCAATTAAAAAAAAGTTAAAAACATTAAAATCAATTTCCCTAGACTTAGAATGAAAAACATTGAGCATCTTTAAAGAGATACATCACTAAAAACATATTATTAAAAAGAAGACAGTTATTCTGTATACAGCCTAATGTTGTCTTTTTATGATCGTATTTGAATTTGCATTCAGGCATCTGATTGCTGCTTGGGGCAAGAACTATGCATTAGTTATAATCCCATCTTTGGTGCCTGGGACAGCGTCTGACATATAGTAAGCATTCAATACTTGTTGGATGAATGAATGAAAACTGGTACTAGACATAGGTTTAAAGTGTTTAGCAGGTGAGACAGTAGGTTACTGACATCTATTAGAGAAACTGCTATATACCAGTTAGACTACTAGGCTTTAGCTCATATGCTATAATGTTTATCAAAAATCCTTGGTAAATATTCTATTAGTTATTACATGATAATGACTCTGTTCCCCAAAGACACAAACATGAAACATGGGTGTACAGATAGACCATGGACTATTTTGTAGAATTCAACCAAGCTATGGGACACATCTATCCATCTACCTATGTACTTAGTGAATACATACATGAAATGGACACAAAAACACATACATGAACACACACACATATGGCATATGTTCCCATTGCCTGGTTTGATTATAGAAACCAATTATTTTGAGGCTAGTTTGGAAAGAAGATTCTTGTTTTATAGTTGAAGAGATGTTGAGTGACTTTGCTTAAGGCAACATGGAAGATTCGTAGTGTCTGACTTCCTTTAATGGGTACATAAAGGGCCTGGGCTCTGATTTGGGCTAGAGTCCAGGAGCCTGGACTGGGTAGGTGAGTGGACAGAGTATTACATAGCTGCAAGCTATGGAAGTAAAGTTCGAGTCTCAGCAATGGCAGTCCACACCTAGCATATTCCAGAAAGTAAACAAGCATATTCCAGAAAGTAAACAAGCAAAAGCAAAAGATCAGTGTGGTGGATATTGACATGGGTGCCACCCACATCCCCTTTAGGAAGAGAGGACCAATTTCTTTAGCTGGAAAACCCCAGGCTGTCATCTGCTTCTAGGGAATTGCCTCTGCAGAAGAAACTCTTCCCTGGGAGAGCCTGAATCCAATGGCTCAAAATAGGAGGATAAAGGTATGGTCTCCTCATGTCAACTTGGAGCAACTCTGAAGAGTCACTCTGGCTTCAGAGCTCCAAGTAGGATGGCTTGAGGATGGCATCGAAACTGGGTCACAACTCAACTTCTCCCTCTGCCCGTTTCTGCTTCCCTTCCCTTCTTTTCCCTAGATGTTGATTCCAAGACCTCTCGAATAAACACCTGCAAGCTAACCTCCATCTCAGAGTCGGCTTCCCAAGAGCCTCAGAGTCTGTGTCCCAAGGCCAGACCCATTTTCCTGGCTGACAGTCTGCATTTGATCATTTCAACTACCTTGTGAGGTAGAGAGGACAAGTATTTTTTTGGCTCACTTCACAGATTTGGAAACTGAGACTGACGGCAGGTTAGTGACATAAACAAGAACCCACGACTAGTGTGTGGCAGAATAGGAAATCTGACCTGAACTCTTTTGATCCCTGGCTTAGTACCTTTATAAAATATATGAAAACAGAACTGTACTAGAAAAATAAAAGATGGGGATTTATGGGAAAACCCCAGCCAGGGAGGCAAAAGCATTGCGGTAAGGATGTACTGAAGTGTAAATGACATGGCATAGATGTGTAACCATGGAAAACGGCAGCAATGGAGACGCCCGCTGGCCTGGGAACTCTCGGAGGCAGTGGAGATAAGGGGTGTGGGGTTCGTAGAAGTCGCTCTGCTCTCCCTGAGGGGGAAACAGTGAAAACTGAGACCTGTGGCAGTGTCTGGGATTGGTAGCTCTAGCCCCAAACTGAAGAGCAACTTTTCTGTGCCAGACTTCATGGTCCTACCTGAATCACACCACTTCTAAAAGATATTAATCTTTTGTTAAAGAATAATTTTCTCTTTAGTCACACAAATTACATACATGGAGATACAAACATTTACACATATAATTTTATAGCATATGTGTGTAATTTATATCCTATGTATGTAATTGTATAGCATATATACTGTGTGTGTATACATGCAACCTTTATATGTATGTGTGGTGTGTGCTGTGTGTGTGTACTGTGTGCGTGTGCTGTGTGCATATGTGTATATATGCATATATATGTAACGTTTCCCCCCCATCGATTGCTTTGCATCGCTTGTCCCTCAAACTATTTTATAAGCATCCGATGTTTTGGCTGCAGGGACGATTTCCAGATTAGTCTCGATTACATTTATTTCTAAAGGATCTCGGTGTGTTCTGAGCACACGCCTGAGAGCGGAGCCGGGTAGAGCTGAGCAGAGCGCGGCGAGCTAAGTTTTCTCACGGGCTCCTGTCCCCCTGAAGCCCCCTTGGCGCCTGCCCTGAGCGTTCGCAGGCAACCGAGGCAGCGTTCTTCGGGATGTGCCAAGCGCCGCCCGCCCGCTCGCTCCTCCAGCTCGGCCCCTTCCCCTGCAACAGACCACACGGTTCAAGACGACGATGTGACAGAGAGAAAACAAGCCGCTCTCTTGTCTGTGACCCGCGAGGCGACCGCGGCGAGCGGGCACCAGCTCCCCACTCCGATTAGGCAATTAGCTGATTGCTGCCTGCCCGCAGCCCGAGCGAGCGGTGCGCGGGGATCTCGCTGCCTGCCCACCTCTCCTGCAAACAGAGGCACGTTCTCCGACTTTGATAGCTCCCTGGGTTCCTGTGAAAAACAACCACAGCGTTTCCAGAGTGTGTTTCTCAAATACCAGCGTCAGGGGATCGCAGAATTACAGCAGCAAATGTTACGAGGTAATGTTTCCAAATAGACACGCTGAAAAATAATCCAAATAGGACCATTAAAGAATAATCCTCATTAAACCCAAACCAAACCAAACACAATCATTCTTAAAAGTGTATTAAAGGGGGAGAAAAACACCAAATGTTTTAAGAGAAGATTAATAATTTGTTCATTAATGTGATTGGATAATTACACATCATTGGTCTTTCCAGAGTAATGCATTTTAAAAATTTATTATTTAAAATGCTTTTTAGATTTGTCACATACAATGTGCACATCAGGTGTGCAGAGAGCTTTTTAGCAGGCAAAAGTGGCTCACAATATTAGACAATGTGCTATTTTTTTCTATGAGAAAGCAGCCTTTCCTAAAACATTAATCTGCTGAAAAAAGATGCTTCTAATTTAGAAGAAATTAGACGTGGAGTCTACACAGCAAACACCTCTGCTAACGCTTCATTAGTAAGTATTTTCACATAATTCAATTAGCCAAAACACATACGCATGCTAGCAGAGCTGTTCGCTGCTCTGGGAGTGTCAGCAAGGCTTTAAGCAGATCTGAAACAAAATTGCATAAATGGCATGTAAAGCTCTGTGCATACAAAGATACCTTCAGGGTTCTAATAAATTCATGAAACTTTTTAAAGTATGATTTCCTAGCAGGCAATCACTTTTAATTAACAGGATCACCTACAGCAACACATGTCCTTCAAAAACTTACATTATTTTTTCTTTTTGAATTTCAAAGTTTCTGTAGTAAAAGTTGAATAGCTGAGTAGCTTAACCTCAAAAGGATTCCAGGCTTTTATGACAGTTATAAATCACTGTGGTGCCTTCTTTATAAGAAGAAAAGATTCTTAACACAACAGAGAAAGAAGGAAATCTCTTTTTAGTCATAGCTAGAAGCAAGCATTTTCTCCAAAGGTCAAAAAACTTTTCCTCAGTTAAAGAATAATTTTAAGGACATTGCAGCTACTTGTACAAGTAATCTCTTGTAATTTACTCTATGAATTAAACATTCAATTTCCAGGATTGTAGTTCCACATGGGATGGACTTCTCTCTTTCTGGAGCTGGCTTTGTAGAGTTTTTTTTTCCAGTTTAGTTTTTAGTAAATATGGGCCAGGGCTGAATGCAGGGTCTTATACTTAATGAGCCCTTCTCCTTGAGGAAAAATCAGAATCCGTACATTTGCCAAAAGATTCATTTGAGTGGTTGTTGCCGTTTCTTTTTCACGCCTTTGTTTGAAAGAAGGGACGTGCTCATAGGCTGTGCTAATGGTTGGGTTGCAGAAATCTGAAAAAGAGACTTTGATGATTCTGAGACAAGGGACCCCTATGCTTTCCTCTAGATGAGGAGGCTCTCTGCTTTGTGATTTCCCTAAGTGCAAAGGGGGTAATCAGGGAGACATTTTGAAAGTGTAGAATTAGGATGGTGACTTTTGCTCTTCTGAAAAACCGTGAAGATACCTGCAGGGTGAAGATTGCATGTCTTGACCATCGGGGTGAAGGGTGAGAAGCAACCTTTGCAGGCGGATGTAGCAATACTGTCCACCACCACCCCAGGGGCACTTGGAGAAGCCAGTCATCATTTCTCACCTGAGTGGCTGCAGCAGCCTCCCTGCTGGTCCACCTGCCTCTAATATTGCTCCTCTCAAATCCATTCTCCACAAAAAGTTCATTTACTGGTTTTTTTGAGGAATTATTCTGGCCACAGACTGCATTAGGTGTTAGGGATATGTCACCATTTTAAAACATAAATCTGATCATTTACTTCCAAGCTTAACTCCTTCAGTAGTTTCCTATTCCCCGTAAGATAAAATCAAAATGCCTGAATTTGGCATAAAATTCCTTGATGATCTTACCCCTGGCTTGCATTTCCAGCCTTAACTTTTGTTCCTCTTTTGCTTCTGAATCTGAGTTGGACTACTGGGCTCTGTCCCTAACAAAAGGGCCATTTTCTTTCTCAGATTAAAAAAAAAAAAAAAGGCTTTGTATTTCTGCTCTCTGGAAGGTCCTTTCCCCGTTTTTTCTCAGTTTGAGTCAAAGGTCACCCTAGTTCATACCTACTCATTCTCCAAGTTCCCACCTAATAATCACCCCCTTCACATCCTTTAGGAAGCCCTCCCTGACTCCCCCGAACTGTCGACCCTTCTAGGCACTCTCAGTGCATCCTCTGTTCATTTCAGGGGGAGCCCTCATTCATTCAGTGAATATGTATTGAACATTTACTCTGCGTCAGGCACTGTTCTGGGGACAAACTGATCAGCAAGACAGGCCTGTGTTCTAATGGAATTTATATTTTAATGGAAGACAATTAGCCATGACATAACTATTCAAATAAGTAAATAAATAAGATAATTTGCAATTGTGATCATGGTGGCGAGGATAGGGTGGCCCACTTTAAGTTAAGGTCTCTGCGAGGAGATCACAGGTGAGCTTATATGTATGAATAATGAGAAGCAGCCAGTCCACGGATATCTAGCAAAAGGTTATTTCATAAGCCAAAGAAGGAGCCACAAGCACGAAGTCCCTGAGGTAGGAATGAGCTTGTTGTGTTCAAAGACGGCAACCCAGTGTAGCTGTTGTATCCCAGGCATGTCTTGTGCTTTTCCTCACCTGTCTTCATCTGTGGTCCTGTTAGCAGACCCATTTGGCTCTCTCACTAAGCAATGTATGACAACTAAATTTTAACCAGAAATAAAATTGTTTTGACCTCTAGATTCCACTCCTTTATTTAATTTCTCAGTTTGTCCAGAATTAAGACAGGGTAAAGTGCTGTCATTTGTTAGGGCTCTCAAAGACTTCAACACTGCCGGGCGCGCGGTGGCTCACGCCTGTAATCCCAGCACTCTGGGAGGCCGAGACGGGCAGATCACGAGGTCAGGAGATCGAGACCATTCTGGCTAACACAGTGAAACCCTGTCTCTACTAAAAATACAAAAAATTAGCCGGGCATGGTGGCGGGCGCCTGTAGTCCCAGCTACTCTGGAGGCTGAGGCAGGAGAATGGCGCGAACCCGGGAGGCGGAGCTTGCAGTGAGCTGAGATCGCACCACTGCACTCCCTCATTCTGAAATGAACAGAGGATGCACTGAGAGTGCCTAGAAGGGTCTACAGTTTGGGGGAGTCAGGGAGGGCTTCCTAAAGGATGTGAAGGGGGTGATTATTAGGTGGGCATTTGGAGAATGAGTAGGTATGAACTAGGGTGAGCTTTGACTCAAACTGAGAAAAAACGGGGAAAGGATCTTCCAGAGAGCAGAAATACAAAGTCTTCTTCTTTTTTTTTTTTTAATGTGAGAAGGAAAAAAAGACTTCAACATTAGTGAATATGGCTTGCAAAGATTTTTTTTTCTGGTGTAGTTTTTTTCTTTATGTAATTTATGGTGTTTCTTTTCCAACTGGAACTTTCTATTTTTACATAGTCAAGTTTATTATTTTTCTTTTATGCTTTCTAGGTTTGGATCATAATTCAGCTTTCTCATTCTGAAATCTTAAAAAGTTTCCCATTTTTTTTTAGTATTTTTAATACTTCATTTTTTACCTCTAGATCTGTGATCTATCTGGAATTTTACTTTTGATGTAAAATGGTAGAGATCCAACTTAATTCCTTTTAAAACTTTCTTGACAATGTATTAAATGATCTATGTTTTTCTCACTGAATTTTGTTGCTAACTTCGTTAGAAATTACATTCCTTCATGTTTTGGGGTTATTTCTGGTGCTATAGTCTGCTCTATTTATGTGTGTGCTTAATCTTTTGCCTTTGCCCTGCTGTTTTAATTACTGTATCTTGATAGTATGTTTTGTATCTAGCAGAGTTAGTCACCCTTCATTATTGTTACTTTGTATAATTTTCTTAGGTATTTGTGAATGTTTACTTTTGTTGGTCTGAAGATGTCTTCATCTTGCCCTTAATCTTAAATAATAGTTTCTCAAAATCTACAATTACAGCTTGACAGTTATTTCTCCTCTGCATTGTGGAAGATATTGTTCCACTGATTTTTTTGGCTTCCATTGTTGTTGTTAAAAGCATGATTTCTGTCTAATTATCATTCCCTTGTGAGTGGGCTGCCCTTCTTATCTGGTTGCTTTTAAGATTTTCTTTTTGTCTTTGATGTTTCATCATGATATGTCTAGTTGAAGATTTCTTTTTATTTGCTTGGTGTTGGTTGTGATTCTCAAATCTGAGGATTTATGTCTATCATTAATACTGAAAACTAAGCATTCGGCCAGGCACGGTGGCTTATGCCTGTAATCGCAGCATTTTGGGAGGCTGAGGTGGGTGGATCATGAGGTCAGGAGTTCGAGACCAGCCTGGCCAACGTGGTGAAACCCCATTTCTACTAAAAATACAAAAATTAGCTGGGTGTGGTGGCGGGTGCCTATAATCCCAGCTACTTGGGAGGTTGAGGCAGGAGAGTCACTTGAACCAGGGAGATGGAGGTTGCAGTGAGCCGAGATCTTGCCAGTGTACTCCAGTCTGAGGGACAGAGCAAGACTCAAAAAACAAAAACAAAAACAAACAAACAAAATAACAAAAAACAAAAACACAAAAAACTAAGCAGGCATTTTTTGTCTCTCTCACATAGTCTCTATTCCTTCATTGTGGTTTTATCTTTCATGTGTATTAATCTTCTTCTCTGCTTTACTTCTGCTCCATGACTCAGTCATTCTCTTCCTAGGCAAATTCATCCACTTCCTGGATTAAACACCATTTCCATACTGATGGCTTCTAAATTTTATTTTCTTCTTTTTCTTTGATCCCTCTGGCTTATGCATTTATTTGCCTGCTTACCATTTCCATTTGAATGTCTCAGAATTAAACTGCTCATCTTCTAACCTTCTCCCATTTCAGAGAATGGCACCATTTAAAATCTAATTATTTATACCAGAAGCCTGTGACATTTTTTACACCTCCCTGAACCCCATACCCAATCAATAAAATGTTGTGCCTTTCAAACAATTAAAATGGTATTGAATCTGCCTTCTTCACTTAATCTTTTCTGTCAGTACTCTCATCCAAATCCTCCTCCTGTGTCGAGACTTCTGCCACAGCTCTAACTGGACTCCTTGCTTTGATCTGTTTTCCCCCAAATCCTTTCTACACTCAGAGAGATTTTCTTAAAATGTAAATGAAATCATGCTCTTGCTTACAACTTTTTAACACCTTTCTTGTTGCACATAAAATAGCAATTATTAATATGTTACATAAATATCTACATAATATAGTCCTGTAGTCAACTTCTTCAACATCATTTGCTGTCATTCAGCTCCTCTATTACCACATTAGAAAGACTGCGTAAGATGATTACCTTATAAAATTATCATCTTTATTGTAGGAGTATATTTTGTCCAGAAGTCTGTTTTGTCTGCAATTAATATGGCTATTCTACCTTTATTCTGATCAGTATATGCCTGGTATATATTTTTGTCCTTTAATTTTTACCTATTCATTTGCTTATATTTAAAGTGCATTTCTCGTAACCAGCACACTGTTGGGTCCTTCGTTTATTCAGAGTGATAAAGTCTCCCTTCTAATTGGAGTAGCTAGAAGAATTACATTTACATTTAATGTAATTCTTGATGTGGTTGTATTTTAATCTACCATCTTACTGTTTGTTTTTTATTTGTCCTTTTTTCTCTCTGTTTCTTTTCCTGCCTTCTTTTTGAAGAGCTAGCTGTTTTTGAATATTCCATTTTATCTCCATTGTTTGTTTATTAGCTACACTTCTTCATTTTATTTTACTTATTTATTTTTTTTGAGACTGGGTTCCATTCTGTCACCTGGGCTGGAGGGGAATGGTGCAATCATGGCTCACTGCAGCCTTGACCTCCCAGGCTCAAGTGATCTTCCTGCCTAAGCCTCCCCAGTAGCTTGGACTACAGGCATACACCACCATGCTTGGCTAGTTTTTTATTTTTTGTGGAGACAAGGTCTCCTTATGTTGCCAGGCTGAGATTTTATTTGTTTTTATGTTTGCTTTCGGATTTTCTTTATGTATTTTTAACTTATCACTGTCAGCTTCCAATAACATCTTACCACTTTATGCTTAATATAGCAAACTTACAACAATATACTTCCTTCTCTTATTTCTTTGTATTATTTTTGACATATATTGTATGTCTACATGTTATAAATATCACAATATACTTCTGCTTTTTCTATAAGCAACTATATTCTATAGAAATTAAAATATGAAATAAGTATTTTATGTTTACCTAAGTATTTAGCATTTCTAATGCTCTTTATTTCTTTATTCTGAAATACTTTCTTTTGTTTTTCTAAAAATGTCTTTATTTCACATTTACTTTTGATGGATATTTTCATAGGGTATATAATTCTAGATTTCTTTCTTTCAGCACTTTAAAGCTACATTATATTGTCTTCTAGTTTTCATTGTTTCTGATATGAAATATACGGCCATTCTTATCCTTAGTCCCCTGGAGTATGGTGTACCTTCTTCCACTGATGGCTTTTAAATGTTTCTTCTTTTCACTTGTTTATAGCAATTTGATTATGATGTGCCTTGGTGTGGTTTTCTTTTTGTTTACCCTGCTTGGGGTTTGTTGAACTTGTTGATCTCTGGGTTTATTGCTTTTATCAAGTTTTGAAAATTTCTGATAATTATTTCTTTAGATGTTTTTTTCACTCCCTAGTACTTCAGTTACACATATGTTATACTACTTGATGTAATGTCATAGTCACTGCAATTCTGGGTTGTTTTCCCTCTGTGTTTCATTTGGGACAGTTATATTGCTCTGTCTTCAAGACTTTATTTCTGTAGTGTCTAATCTTCTGGTAACTCTATCTAGTGAATTTTCCATTTGAGATGTATTTTTCAATGGGATGTTTCATTTAGTTCTTTTTTTGTTATCTTTCATTTATCTCTTATGTCTATATCTTCTTTTAAATTTTTTGACATATTTGTAATAGCTGTTTTTGATATCCTTGTTTGCTAATTCTATCATCTCTGTCATTTCTGCATCTATTTCTATTGACTTGTTTTCCTTCTGGTTATCAGTCATAGTTTTCTGATTCTTTTCATGTCTTGTATATTTTGCCTGGGTGCTGCTCATTGTGAATCTCACATTGTTGAATGTCTGGATTTTGTTGTCATCTTTTCATTAGTATAGATTTCTGGTCTGGCTGATAGTTACATTAATTGAAGATCAGCTTGGTTTTTTAAAACCTTATTTTAAGATTTTAAAGGGCTGATATGGAGTAGTTTTAATTCTAAGGCTAATTTAGCTCTATTACTTAGATGAGATACTTCTGGAATCACTACTGAATGAACCAAGTCTCTCCATTTTGGCTAATTAGAACTTGAACTTTTTCTAGCATTGGGGGAGCTCTGAAAGTTGTTCAGTTTACAGTCCCCTAGTTGTTATTTGTCTTGTTTTGGGGATTTTCACCCTATGTAGTAACAATATATTTTTCAGCAGCAGATTCAAGGGGTCTCCTATACATATTCATTTACCTCTTTTTCTAAGTTGTACCTGTCTGGTAATCTGCTCTATAAATTCTAGGTGATTCTGCTTCCCTGAGCTCATTTTTGCCTCCTTGACACATTGTGATTGCTATACTTTGCTTTGGTAACCCCTCCTTGCACTGCTGTCCAGAAAATGCCCCCAGGCAGAAATCTGGATTTAAAACACAAGGATCACACATTTGGCATGTGGCAGAGCCCACACTTCAGCCCAAGGCTGTGAGCCTCTATAGCCCATGTCCTCTTTCCTAACTACATCACAGAGCAATTCTTATTGGTTTTCCAGACTGCAAGACTCAGAGGCCACATGGATGAAATGCCTTGCTATCTGAATAAAGTGACTTTGCCAATGATCAAGGGCCCACTGGCCAAAGCAGATGAAAGAACTGAGCTTGTAGAGAAGCCCTAGGAGTGAAGATAATAGTAAGAAGGAATGGGAACATACACGATAGATAGAGTTACCAGATTGCCTTTTGCTCTGATAATTTTTGGGATAATTGATAGGTAACAATTGTACATTAAGGTGGCAGGTTGGCAAACATAATGCTATAGACGTTTGCCTGGAAGATCAAAACATGTACATCCTAAACTACTTCTTCTCAATGCACTTAACACAATGATACCTTTTTGATGGTCACTGACAGCATGTAGATTCTACTAGGACTCATTAATGTTATTCCTCTGTAGCTCCTTTTGCTTTTTTATAGACTGGCTAACCAAAATAATAAAAACTTCCGTAAGTCAGGCACCCCTGGTTGGAAAATTCTAACAATAGCAAAAACATCTGTGCTTAAACTTGCTTTTGTTCTACTTATGAGGGATTTGTCAAGCAGGATTCCTATAGGTTGCCATGGCCTTTCAGAGTTCTGTTTTTATTAGCTGTTTCTTCAAGCACAATATAGGTAGAGTCTGAGGGTCTCCTGCCTCAGCAGAGGCTGTTCTCTGCTCCCCATTTCCCCCCTGCCACAATTATCTTATTGAATGTTATGACCATCCAGTAGGACTCACAGTTGTTGCTGAGGAGCAAATTTTTCGGGACTTTGCTGCTAAGAATTTTAAAAAGCTCTGGGTAAGAGACATTTATCTGACTTTCCAAACAACTTAACAGCTAAGATACCAAGCTTGCAAACAGATACTTGAAGATCGAAAGGTGTTCTAGTTATCCAAAAACATTTGGTAAAGATATCAGAAAAGAGAAAAAAATAACAGAAAAAGAAGTCAATGAAAATGTTGGTGTATTGGCCTCTCCTTTTGAAATCTAAAGAAATCATTGAAGGGACACTTTGTAAATGTAGCTACCTGTGTTCAAGGTCATGTGATTTACCTATCTGGCAGCAACTGTGTTTTCAGATCACTTGGGATTTTCCCTTGTAAGGACTGTCAAATAGAGAGGAAATGGAATGTGTTGCTTTTATGGGCTAATACTAGTCTAAGTAGTTTTGTATGTGGATGGTAAACTATTACCTATAAGGAGGGTGACCAGTTGTCTATCGGTACATAACAATCCATTCTAAAAGATAATGTTTTAAGGCAACAATGTATTATTTCTCATGCTTCTCTAGTTTAGCTGGGTGGTTCTTCTTCACATAGTTTGTTTGGGGATCACACATGTACTTGAACACTTGAGGGCCTGGACTTCTTTAGAGCATGGCTACTGAGTTGCAAGAGAGTAAAAGCAGCAGCTGTCACACTTACACTAGGACTACAAACAGCACAGTATGACTTGCACTGCATTCACTTGGTTAGAGCGAGTCACACCGCCAGTTCAGGATTCGAGGGAGGGGAAATAGATTCAATCTCTTGACAAGAAGAGCAGTGTATGCATAGACTATGGAGAGGGGACCATCTTTAGAGACTAAAACACATACATTCTAGGAGTCATCCTGGTTTGCTTGGGATCATCCTGCTTTATGCCCATCTTAGTGTAATTAATAGCACCCTTTAATTTCACAATTGTCTTGGTTTGGATAATAAATAATATGCTCACACTATCCATAGATACTTTCCAGAGTGAAAATACCATAATGACACAAATTCTAACTCGTAAGACTGTTCAACCATGGAATGAATTGTGGGACCCAGGTTTACTCTCAGTTTAATATCCAGCAAGGTTTTTCCTCAGATAAGGGCAATGGTGATTTAGCAAGTCAGTCTTTGTATTTCTGGGTCAACTGCTTACTATATGGCATTTGTGAAGTGGACTTTGAATCTGTGAAGGCCAGTCAGATAATATAGTGATCATCTCTTCTGTATCTGTCTGAGATATTTTAGGTTATTTTTATCAAAAATGTCCTAGCAGAGGATGGATGGAAAGAGCAGAACTCAGATATAGCAACCTTTGTGATTGCTTATGTTTTAGCTCTGTGTCTGCTCAAATCACCTGCACATAACTGAAGCATCAACCTCTTAGGCTGTTCCCTGGGCTAGGCACGTGCAAAGCTGTGAGGCGGGCTAAGCATGTGTTCACATCCTTATCTCTCCATCTCCTCTTTTCGTGTCTTCCAGGCTTTTTAGCTATATCATGTTCATAGTACTCTCCTGTCATCCCTCACCCATCATGACCTTCACTGTAGAGAAAACCTAGGCAGGGCCCTCTTCCCAGGTCTTTGGTTTTGCCTCATCCTCTTCCAATAACTGGCAACATTTGCCCATCGTGTCCACCATCCTTAATGTGGGAATTGATGAACACCTCAATACTAAGATGGAAATGACTATGAATGTGTTCTATCTCACATAAATTATTCACATTTTGACAACAGGCTCCTACTAATGAGACCTAATATTCCTTATGAGCCTTTAACACGAAACAAAATGTCTCAGTGTCGATCAGTGCCTTAAAACTCTCTCCTCTCGAGGCTTCTGTGGTACCCAAGTCCTCTTCCTATGAGTGAGTATTCTCTGTGCCTCTCTCTGCACTTCACCTACTTGCTCTCTGTGTCTTTATTTTACTCTCTCAATTTCTCATTTCTTCTCCTTCACCTTAGACCTCCCTATACACTCCAGTCTCGCCTGAAAATCTTTCATAGGAGAACATTTCCCCACCTGCAGGAAGGGTCTGGGATTAATCTTGTTGTTATAACGCAGATAGCTGCTGTAAACCCATTTATTTAACATACATCCCCTGAGGTTTATATTGGAGAGAAGTGCAGTCTGCAGTCTGGTACCAGTCTGCAAAATGTTTGTAGCTGGTCCGTGAGGAAAGAAGTATGGAAAATGAACATCGCTATGCCTGTGATGGTATTTCTTTAGGTTCTGGAGTTTATCACCATCAAGACTATCACTAGCAGGCTTCTCCTGCCTGCTCTTAATATTGAAGAATTTAATGCAGGCTGAGTACAGTGACTCATGCCTGTAATCCCAGTACTTTGGGACTATGAGGCAGGCCTGGGCAACATAGTGAGATCCTGTCTCTAAAATAAAAAAAAATTGCTGGATGTGGTGGTGCATGCTTGTAGGCCCAGCTACTTGGGAGGCTAATGCAGAAGGATGGCTTGAGCCCAGGTGGTCAAGGCTGCAATGAGCCATGATTGCACCACTATGCTCCAGCCTGGGAGAACGAGTGAGACCCTGTCTCACTCTCAAAAAAACAAAACAAACAACAAACTTAATGTAACTATGTATGCACATATAAAAATGAAATAAATTATCACTATCTAGAATGGAGAATTCAAAATGAGATGATTCTATTAATGGGTGGGATAGATTATATTATTTGTTCCTAATTATTTCCTTCCTCCCCATCCTTGCCAAGCTTTCTTATAGGAAGGATATATATTCCCTACCCAGCTGACTTTGAGTTTGGCCATATGACTCACAGTGTCCCGTGGATATGACCTACATAGAGTCCAAACTGAAGCTTTAATGTGCTTGTGTGGTTTGACTCAACTTCCCCTTTGATCTTCTGTCCTCCACCATGAGAAAAGCATACCCCAGCAGCGAGTGGTCCTTTACCCTGGGTCCCAGATAGAGAAGACTTTTAGAGCCAATCAGGTGTCATTGGAACTCCAAAGAGCCTAACAGAGCCGGGTAGATCTCAGCAGAACTAATCTAACCCATAGCCCTCAAGTGACGCAAGCAAGAAATTAATGCTAGTTGTTAGAAGCCACTGATATTTTTGTGGTTGTTGCAACCACAAAAGCTGATAAATACAGGAATTGGTACTGGGAGTGGTCTCTGCCATAAGAAAAGCTTCAAATATGTGGCATTGTTTCAGGCATCAAGAATATAATGGGAATCTGGAAAAATGGCAACTTACATTATACATTGGTGAAACACTTGGTAAAACTGTCATGGGTGGGAAATGTACCTATTGAATTTATGGCTTTGTGTGAGGCGGCTTTGAGATAGAATGCTGGTCACATAGGTTAGTTGTTACTGGCTGCATTTGATAAGAAACTGTAAGAAAGAGATGAACCGAGAAAAGAATTAGCCTGTTTGTAATGAGGAATGAAAGGGAAAATATGAGAATTCAGAAATTCTGAGATTTGCTGATTTAATCTATGCTACTGCTTCTCATTTCTTTCCAAAAAAATTCTCATTCTAATGTGTAACCTGAGGGCAAGGGCTAAATGCAGGTGTGTTGCCACTAAGATACAGCCTGGGAACAAGACCAAATCAAGAGCATGGCTTACACAACTTTCACTGAGATATCTGACTGAATAAATAAGGTAGCTCCCAGTAAATTATATCAGTTGGACAAAATAGCTTACAGCAAAAAGAAGGGCATGGTCCCACTGAAGGCTGACAAGCTTAAGGTACCATGATTAAGGGAGAAAAATAGAGAGAGGGTGAGATTCATGAGTAGAAAATTATTGTGTATATAGCTATTAACATATGAAGTTGACCGGAATCAAATAGATTAAATATAAACAAATAAATCTCCCCAACATTTAAACTAGCCCTGTGTTATGAAAAGCACTTTGGCACGGACTAACAAAGACTGTGAGTGAATTGCAAAATAACCTAAGTTTATAGGGACAGATGTAAGAAGCTGCTTAAACACTAGGGGAATAGATTTTCTGATGCCCTTTTCCAATATGGCCAAGGATGATCATAAAAGAGGACAGAACTCCTAGAGAGTGAAGGCAAGAGATGAGAAGAAGAATAAACTCAGGTAGCACTCTCAGGGAGTAGAAGTGGGGCCTAATCAAGGAATATTTTCTATTGGCAATGTTTGCTTGGTGAGATTTCAGAATGGCTGTGGACTGGTGTCTCCCATTTCTTCTGTTTCTGAGCAGAAATATTTATTGTGGTTATTCTCCTCCTAATTTATTACTGTGTGTTGAGTGTGTGGGGACAAAAACATTTTCCCCCTAAGTTCATAGATCTTTGGATCAAGAGGAGCTGCAATTGGGCTTGATGGAAATCATGAGATCCTAGGCTTTAAGCCTGAAGACTCGATTGGATGTTACTTTGGTTCTCTGGAAGAGAGCAAATAATTGTTTTCAAGAGGGTGATCTTGGTAGATAGTACTGTTTACAATTATTCATCCTCTCCTTTCACTTGCCATGCATTTCTCTAGTTAGAATATACTTTTCCATTCTATTCACTCGTGGCTTGGCTATGTGATTTGCCTTGGCTGAAGAATGTGAGAGGACATGATATACGCCTCACCCAAGGAGAAGCTTTACACGTGCTTGTGTGGATTGCCTGTGTCTCTACACAGGTCTTCTGCCCTCCCCTTTGAGAACCTCATGCTCTGGATAATGGATGTTCCTTCATCTTGGGTGCTGGAGTAGGAAGACTTGTGGGACCATGCAGAGCCCAGAAGAGCCTAGAACAGCTTACAAAGGCCTAATATGGTTATACTCTACCCCAAACCTTTGTGAGCAAAAAGTATTTATTCTTGCAAGTCACTGAGATTGTGGGGTTGTTTGTTGCTGCATCAAAAGCTGACTATTAGATAGGACTGTAAAATGAGAGAAATCATGCGTGAAACAGAAGGAGGAAATATTGTGCAGACCAACTACATTGTGCAAGAGACTAAAATCGGTGTTGAAATCTAACATTTATTGCATGATTCTCTTGAACTAGCAAAGGAAGAAAACAAGAACATCAAAATAAATGAGAATTTCAATGATTTTATACCTGAGATACAGGCTTAATTGAAGAATACACTTTTCAATGTTAGGGATTGATTAAAAGTTTGTCAAAAGCAACTGGGATGTGGTGGCTCACGCCTGTAATCCCAGCACTTTGGGAGGTTGAGGCCGGTGGATCATGAGGTCAGGAGTTCAAGACCAGCCTGGCCAAGATGGTGAAACCCTGTCTCTACTAAAAATACAAAAAAATTAGCCAGGCTTGGTGGCAGACACCTGTAATCCCAGCTACTTGGGAGGCTGGGGTAGAGAATTGCTTGAACCCAGGAGGCGGAGGTTGCAGCAAGGCGAGATTGCGCCACTGCACTCCAGCCTGGGAGACAGAGTGAGACTGTCTCAAAAAACAAAACAAACAAACAAAAAACACAAGTTTGTCAAGAGCAAGCCTTGGATAATAGAGTTAACATGAGTGCTTAGAAAAAGGTGTACATACTAGTATTTCTGACACTCAGATGTATTCTTTGTGTCATGTTGCATGCATAGTTCGAATTTGTTACTAGGAGACAGGACATCAATCGATAATGATGAAATTCATTGGAACATGTCAAATATTATGTACTTAGGCCATATTGCTTCATAAATGAAAACAAATACAAAAAATCAAAGATTATGTACTATATTTTCTAAATTTCTCTGAAGATGAAACATCTCCCTGAAAAATATAAAATTTGACCTTACATCTACTCTTAGACTTATAAAGGAAATGCTAACACAATGATATTAAAATAACTAGACTAAATTTAGATAAGATATGAGATTCACTAGACCAGTTAAGCGAAATAATAGAAAATCCTCAAATAAAAAGGAGATTGTAGACATTGGTAGAAAATGAAATTAATTTTAAATTTGTGCTATGCATGGTTATTTGGTATACACTATAAATTTTTATTAATCTCAGAAAAGTTACAAAACAGATAGATTTGATTTTGCCTAGTTTATTTTTTTATGGCTAAAACATTTTTAAATTATAGAGAAAATAATTTTTCTATAATGAAAGGAACTGCATGTGACATATTCAACAATAGTGACATTGCAATAAAAAATAAGAAAATTAAACCAAGGAAAGCAAACATTTGCAGGATGGTGGACAAGAAGCAACAAAATATAGTCTCAATTGAAAAGGGATTTGAATAAATTGAGCAACATATTGTAACGTTTTTGGTTTTCTTTAAATATCCAAACATTGAAAAATTCGAAAGAACTCAAGAAATACTATATCATTCCAGATACTGCTCAAAGAGCTGATGAAAATCGCCATATGAGTGATGATTTATATAATGAGCTTCAATATTTTCTGCAATGAAGATAATTTTCATGTATAACCCCATTATAATGTTTATACATGATATGTAAAATTCATGGTGGATTTCTGAATCTAAGTATTGCTCTAAGTATTTTTTTACTGACAATTCCAGTTACTACTGCAAAATTTTTAAATAAAATTAAATTTAAAAAATTATTTAAAAATGGCAGTGGCTCAAGAAAGTTTGTCTAATTTGGTATTACTGATAATGGAACATAGATTATGTGAAAATCGTTATTTTAACAATATAATTCATGATTTTGCTAAAAAGGAGGTAAGAGAAATAAATTTTATAAGTGGATATAATATACATATGTAAAGATTACATTTTTATTGCTCATCCATATATTTCTGGCTCATCAGTATAGTATTTAGACATACTCAATATTAATTTCATATTTGCTATTTTACCTAATTGTGTGTGGGTGTGTGCACAAATTTTAGTTTTAGATTTATTTTTGCATATTTGCGTTATGGAGAAATATTTGTTAAGATAGGAGTCTTGAACATATTGCATTTAAAAATTTGGTAGCTTGATTTATAAATTTTAAACATTCAGAATTATGGTATGTGGGCCTCCACTTACACTCTTGTCCTAGAGCCTGTAGATGATGGGGTGCCCTTGGTCAGAAGAACCATTTTTGTTTTCAATTTTTGATTTTCAATCTTAATTAATTAATTTTTAATTGGCAAATGAAAAGTGTGTATATGGTGTACAATGTGATGTTTTGATGCATGTATATGGCTGTGGAATGGTTATATCATTATACTGATAACTTGATATATATGTTATGTATTAACATATATATGTTAATATGACTGTATTAACATATCCATCACCTCACACACTTATTTTTGTGATGAGAGTATTTAAAATCTACTCTCAGCAATTTTTAATATACAATACATTCTTATTAACTGTGCTCACCATGCTGTACAATGGATCTTCAGAACTTACTCCTTCTGTCTAACTTGAAGAACCATTTTTGAGATGCTATTTTGCCTTTTACTAGATATGTAACCTTGAGCAAATCATTAAACATGCCTCATATGCAGGTTTATGATAATATCTCACCCATTGCCTCCTAGGGTTGTTTTGAGAATCAGCTGAGATGTTGATGATGATGATGGCAGCATTTATTAACTCTTTAATCATCACAGCCACCCTAAGAGAGAGTATTATTGTTAGCGGTGGCAAATAATTCACGGCACCAAATGTGTTATGGGTGGCAGGAATCTGAGTTACCTGCATTACTGGCAGTGTATCCGCACAGGTCCGTAGCAACTTCAGTCCTTGCCTCCTTAGAAGAAATAATTCAACTCAGGGGCATAAAGCAGAAGAGGAGACCAAGGGGAGTTTCTGAGCAGGAGTGAAAGTTTATTAAAAAGCTTTAGAACAGGAAGGAAAGTACAACTTGGGAGAGGGCAAAAGGGGCGACTTGAGAAACCAAGACTTGGGGTTTTATACATTGACATACTTCAAGGATCTTGCATTACTTCTCCCCACTTCTGAGATCTTACTGGGAAGCTACTGATCAGTTTCAGGTGTTTGCTCTCTATTAGCTCCAGCTGCGATCAATTATTACTTTAGAGAAGTGGTTAACAACTGCCTGACCATCCCTGATGGTTGCCCACCTCTCGTGATGTGTGCTGGGGAAGCCCTCTCCTGTCCTGCTCATACCTGGCTAGCTACCTACTGTAACATTATTACTGTCCCCATTTTATAGATTAGGGAACTGAGCCACAGAAAGGTCAAGTGACTTCACCAAGGCCACAAAGCTAGTAAGGATTGGAGTTGTGGTTTGAACTGCAGCAGTCTGGCTTGTATTTTGTAAACCATAAAGTATATATAAGGTATTGTCATTATTATCTTTTTTTTGTGTGTGTGTAAATGTGTTAACTTGAATAATTGTAATAGCCTATGCAGCATCCACATGTTAGTTTGGTGGTAGAATTTTGGCCTTCTAACTCTTTACGTAAGAGTTAGGAGTTTGTGAGTTCATAATGCTCAAATTTTCTTGCTGGAGTTCATGGTATAAATAGAAACTTGACCATGAAAGCTTCAACTATCATTACCATTTCATAAAAGTGACTAAAGTTTGAAGACTGATATAATCTATGCATTGGAACGAATATCATAGATTATGTAGTTCAGTGTGAAAACCCCTTGATGTAGTTTGGATGTTAGTCCCCCTTAAATCTCATGTTGGAGGTAGGGCCTGGTGGGAGGTGTTTGGGCTGTGGGGGTGGATCCCTCAGGAATGGCTTGGTGCCGTCCTCATGATAGTGAGTGAGTTCTCATGAGATCTTGTTGTTTAAAAGTGTATGACACTTCCCCACTCTGTCTCTTGCTTCTGCTCTCACGATGTGATGCTCCGGCTCCCCGTTAGCCTTCCGCCATTATTGTAGGCTTCCTGAGCTCCTTACTGGAGCAGATGCTGGCACCACTTTTTGTACAGCCTGCAGAACTTTAAGCCAATTAAACCTCTTTTCTAGCAATATAAGAATGGCCCAATACATCCCTTTTAATATATTCCTGCTACTTCAGTTGTCTCACGTCTACTAATTTGATTTGGTTTGTGGAAGAAATAAAAAAAATAGTAAGAGATGAATCAATCACAAATTAGATAAATACTAGTTACAAATCAGATAAATAGCTAAAAATTGGGTGGGATAGAAATTTGTAGTCCTTTAAAAATCACCAAATTCACAAAAGCAAATCTGGCATAGGCTTTTTCTAATTAAATGAAGTAATGCATAACTAAAACATTTAAGCCCTTCTCAGACCCTCAATGGTTTTAGAAATAAATAGGTAATTTATAAAATTATTTTGAAAAGTCTATTCTGACAACTCTTTTATCACATTACCTTATTATAATACAATAGTGAGTCTAAATATAAATTCATCTTAATCTGAAAAGTTTTATCATTTCCATAAAATTTCTGCCTACAGAAAGAAGAGAACCCAAAACTTCATGGATGTGGATGCTGGGTGGTAATTTGAACTCACACACTAGATATGAAATGTGTAACTTGGTTATCAGCGGGTTTTAGCAAATTGGAAAAGGACATATCATGGGCATTTGAGATCCCTTGTGAATAGTTGAATTTGCCTATGCCAAACCGGGGAACACTTAGGCCCTACCATAACCATATCTATACATTGACCACAGGATATAGATGTAAAAAGATTGGTACGAGCTTTTAGGTGAAAAACAAAAACGAAAACAAACAAAAAACCCTAGAATTTAGGCATTCAAATAAAAATTTTCCCCAAGTAATTGTCTTAGGACACCATACCCTTATCCTTGTTTACCTTTATTTAAATGTTGTTTCTTTTGGGAAAATTAGTCTTGAATTACTCTGATACGTTGGAGTCAAGGTTGGTTTTTTGTTTGTTTGTTTTCGGTGTTTGAGACACTCAGGAAAATTGGTTCCATTCCCTCTTTTGACTACAGTTGTTTTGAACTATGACAACTTTGAGACAATAAATGCCCCGCTTCCCGGCATGGCTGCGGAGCCACCGGGCTATGTCAGTGCTGTGTACTCATTAAGGGGAACCAAGAACGTTCCTTCACAGCAGCACCCACCAACGAGGCTCTGATGGGAGGCTAATGGGTGTTAAGTGAAAACAAGCTTTATATTCAAACAAATTTGGGAAACTGCTTGAGAAAATCAAATGTGTCTATGTTTCTATGCTGCAGGACTTCTCAGAACATTTAGTATGTTAATGTGTACTGTGATCTCTGCAGGGGGCTATTCAAAGCATCTAATCGATGAAAGTTCTGTAGGACACACTTTAAGGAATGATGCTTTGTAGTAACACTTCATATGTCCTCATCTGTGCCTCCTAAAGGAATCGGGTTGTTTGAAAAAATAGAGGGTATAATATTAAGGCTGTGTCTGAATGAGAAAGGGGTGGAGTAGACATCACTGAAGCGCACCTGTCTGTCCCTTCCCCTTCTCAAATGCAGGAACATGAATGGCTCCCCTCCCCCCACCACTGTCTTTTCTTCCCCCAAGAACAAGAACCAGGGCACTTGGAACAAACAAAACTGCTTGTGCAAAGAATCAGGCACAGTGGTTCAGAGTTGCTCTAAGGCTTATGCTTGAATTAAAGGCGAGGCCACATAAGAGGAAATAAAAGGGTCTGCTCAGAGATCAAATGAAGCATTTGTATAGAACCTTATTCAAAATGGATACAAATGCATCAATTCTTCAGAATTATAGGTGAATCAAAGGAAAATTACATCCAAGGAGATAAAGCAGCAGCCAGCAGTCTAACCACGAATGGCGCAGAGATGCAACTTTGAAGCTTCCGGCCTGGCGTGCCAAAGAGCCAGATGTGGCAGGTGGAATTATAGCGGCTTCAGCTCAGCATCTGGAGTGTATAAATCTGTCCCACAGAAAATTAAGAGGTCTGCAAGAAGGTGGTGAGAATGACCAGTTGAAAATACATTTTTAAAAGAAAAATCGCTTCGAAGAACATAGAACAGCCTCTTTTTAAAAAATAAAAATTAGGTTTAGCCTTAATATTGCTCTATTTATTGGTGGTGGTGTGAAAGGATTATATTTGAGAATTCTTAAATAGTTCAACTCCTGAAATTTCCTTTCTGGAAAAAGAGAGAGAGAGAGAGCGAGAGAGACAGCGAGCGCGCTAAGGCAATGTTGTGTTATTGTGTATGTATGCAGAAAAGATGACGCTCTGAAGCTAAGATCATAGTTCAGAATGAGAACCCTCATTCAGTCACTCTACAAGCCTGAAAAAGGCTTCTATTCCCTGAGGCTCTCTTCTACTGTTTGAAGAACGATGATTACTTCTATTACCAAAAGACATGTAATAGACATAAAACACGTGTCACAGATATGAACGATTTCATAATGACAGTATGCAACAATGCAGTGACGGTGTTGCTAGTAAGCATTTTTCTAGATCAAGGAATCTTCTTGCTTGATGGGACCTTAGAGATTGGCTCTGCACATTGTAGAAGTCACAACTGAGGAACAACAAAGAAAGTGACTTGTGTGAGGAAGGTTCAGTTAGCGGCTGTGTCTTGAGTGGGTGTCAGGGGTCCTGATTCCCAGATCAGCGACCTCTCTGTTTGCCATGTTTCCTCCAGGTCTCAATGTGCTGCCCTGTCATGTAGCTCTTCACTGCCACTACCATCATAGGAGCGGACAGGAATATAGGCACATGGTGGCTTCAGTGCCAGGGAGGTCTCTTTTGTAGTGTGTAGCAATTGTCTATATCTTTCATTTTCTAAGAAAAGCAGGTAAGACAGGGACTTAAACCTAAGTAATGAGAGAGGGTTAGGTTAGTGATAAGGAGATTCTGTCTCAGGGAGGTTCTTCTGGAAAGTGACAAAGCCTTAATCTCTGGGCATCTGTAATCATTCAGGAGATTGTGAGTGCAGAGAATGGATAACCGACTAACTTGATAACACACACCTGTCCCTTGTATGGAGTGAGGATGGGTAAAAAAGAGATGAGACCTCCAGCCTTCATAGTATACCTCCATAGTATAATTCCAGATTGTACTATGAATGATAATTTCATAGTATAATCTCATTGGATTCTGTTCTCCTTGCCTCCAGAAGCCTCTCTCACAGCCATAATCTCACAGGACAGATGTTATCAAGCCCATTGGCAGAAAAGGAAATTGAGATTCTGAGAAGTTAAGTGACTTGCCCAGAGGCAGGGTGCAAATCCAGGTAGTCTGCCTCCCAAAGGTGTGCATTGCCTATTCCCACAAGCTGCTGTGGTCATCATGTGATAAAGGGTGACTGTGGTGGACTAGGATGTTGTTTTCCCTGAGTGAAGGCTACTGTGAACATGGGCTGAGTTAAGAACCCAACCCTTACTTTTGGGGAGGACAAAGCAGGTTAAAGGGATGGTAGATGAGGAGGCAAATTGATGGAGGGTGCTCACAGGCTGAGAGAATTCAACTAGACATGATAGGCAGTAGAGACTGCTGCCTGGTCTTGTCAGATGACAATGGACGTGATGGCATTTGGGGAAGATGATTTTCTCAGATATCATCAGCAACATCATCCACAATATCATCAACATCCTTCCTGTGCCGGATCTCTGGGGCTTCCCAATGCTGCCTGTCACTGTGAGAAAGATAAAAAGCCTTCTCAGTTGGAATCTGGCCAGCTAATCTCAGAGCTCCAGTTCAAGGAGCAGGCCAGATGTGTCCTAGCAAGGAAACACTACATGTTTGGGCAAAGGTTTGTTCAGGTATAATATATAGCTCTGGGGTAGGTGACAATTCCTACCACATGTGTAGGAAAAGAGACTCAAAAGCCGGGCAGTGTTGCAGCTGCCATTTCTTTCTATGGGAACTATACCCAGGACCAGCTCTGCACATCTCGGGAAGCGTGGTGTATGCTCAGTTCTCTAAGCAGCCAGGGATTAGCATATTTTTATTTGGGATCAGCCTCTGTTTCTTAACTTCTAGTTAAGTCTTACTAACTAGGAGGTGCATTTCGGCTTTCTTGACGTTATCTTATAGGGCATGTAGTGCTAAGGACAAAGCATGGAAGTTGGAACCAGATATTCAAAATTTTGTCTGTGTAACTTCTTAAGATTCCCCATCTGTAAGATTATCTAAGCAAAATGTTTATAAGATAGTGGATGTTCAATAAATTCATGTTTTTGGCTAAGGCTGCACATAAGAATCAACTTGGGAGTTTTTTTTCCAAAGGGTGCACGCTCATTTTTTTCCTGTCCTTCCACAAGTGCCCTGATGGAATACATTTGGAGTGAGTCTGGGCATTTGTATTTTGAAAATACCCTGGGGTACTTTTGATGAACAGCTCTGGCTGAGAACCACTGCAAAAAAAAAAAAAAAAAAAAAAAAAAAAAAAAAAAAAAAAAAAAAAAGCACTTGCTGTTGCTTTACATTGTTTGTGAAGAACTGAGCCTAAGGACTTAGTAGGTTAATTGTCTGCATCTAGATAATTGTTTTAATTATGATATGGCCTTACCTGTTCATTGAAGCAGTCTCTACTTGGAAATGATTTGTTGTTTTTGTTTCCCACCATCTTTAATATGTTTTTAAAAAATATTTATTTATATTCTGTTTCATTCCAAAAAGAATGAGATGTTTTTTTAAAAAAACTTTTCTACATGAAATGTACTCTAATTCAGATTGATCTTCATCCTTAATTAGGTTGAATTAAGGAAGTTTTTTTCAATGTTTGAGTAGTAACGTTTCTCCCAACATTTATTTCTCTGAACATGCTCCCCATCTTCTTTTAATTTCTCTCTAGGGACAGATAGGGCAGAACTGGTGAATTGTAATGGGTCTTGGGATCACCTTAATAGAAAAACAGACACCTCCAGATTGAGGAGGCTGTGTCAGATTCTCTCAAAAGGATTTCGCTAAGCAGTCTCCGAGTAAGTCATTGGAAGGGCCGTAAATGGGAATACAAATGAGCTCATTATCATGTCAATTTCCCATCCTATATGACTGCTTGAGTTTTGCAGGTGCCATAGGGTCTACCAAATGTTCACCATTTTTTCTCCTCAGTAGTAGCATAGGCTGCCAGATAAAGCCATTATCCCAGAATTCCGTCTAACTTCATTTCCTGAAACATCACTTTTGTAGGGAAGGAGAAAAGGAATTACCGTCTATGGAGCACAAGGTATTCTAGGGTTATTTCCGTTTGGAACCTGACAAAGAAATTATAGAATTATTTGAGAAGAGGTAATACAATGAAATGGACCAAGTTAAAGTTGCAAAGAGCAACTAAAACACCCAAACAAATAAAACCCTCTGCATCTATAGAATTATAAAAATCGTCATTCAGGACTGAATAGAGTGCGGCCTTGCTAATTCCCTCTCTTCTTGCTTCACTAGCATGGACGCTGATGCAACCCCTCGGCTGGCATGACATGCCTCTGCCTTAGACCCATCCGTTACGGTATTTTGGTTTGGTGGTTTGGTGTCACACAACACAGGCTACTTTCCAAAATATAGCTGGTCAGTTAATTACAAAGCATGCACAGATGTTCTATTTACAAATGCTTGAAGTCCAGGGTGCTCCTCACTGAATTTCGGATTCTCTAGTTGTTTCCATTTCTATTCACTAAGAGAAAGTGCCTTCTAATCCCCAGCTCACATGGGCTGTTTGGGCTACACACAGCCAGCCAGCAGCCGGGGTTCTTTTCACTACTCCATTTGGTTGATTTCTTTGATTGATTTCATAAACACAAGGTTACAAACACAAAAAATGAGCTGTTTTGATTATTAGAATGTTTTTGCACTTATTGTTTCTTCCTTAAATATGGGAAGGAGGTTCAATTTTAAACATCAACTTTAAAAAGTGCTGCAATACTCTCAGTATTTTGATTTGTTTGTGTAACAGCTAAAATTCTCTAAGAATTTGTGGCTCCTTCTCAATTGTTACTTGATTCCTCTTTAATTTTTTCTTTTGTATAAACTATGAACTATCTGTGAATGGCTTTCAAGATTTATCCTCCTTTTTTTTCCCTTCATATCCTAGATGACTTTTTTTATTTTGAATGTTTTTTCCTAATGGCTTTTTGATGAATTAAAAAAGTGGATTGTTGTAAAGCAGCAATTTTTTTTTTTTCCCCTGAGACGATGTCTTGCTCTGTTGCTCTGTCGCCCAGGCTGGAGTGCAGTGGTGTGATCTCAGCTTACTGCAACCTCCGCCTCCCGGATTCAAGCGATTCTCCTGCCTCAGCCTCCCGAGTAGCTGGGATTACAGGCACCTGCCACCACGCCTGGCTAATTTTTGGATTCTTAGTAGAGACAGGGTTTCACCATGTTGGTCAGGCTGGTCTCAAACTCTTAACCTTGTGATCCACCCGCCTCAGCCTCCCAAAGTGCTGGGATTACAGGCATGAGCCACCACACCTCACCCAAAAAGGAACAATTCTTTTTCTGGGTTAACTGATGTAGTCATAGTCTCTGTGTCTTTCTTGGTTTTGTTTTCTCTCATTGTATAATTGTACAGCAAATCTAATGATCCTTCTTCTATATAATATTTCTTTCATCAACACTGCTATGCAGTAGGAATCATTGTCCACACACAGTTCCACCGTCTATCCACTCCTGCCAGTTAATCGTGCTAACAATGAAGAAATTTAACAATTTTGGGGGGACAATTTTTATCCATCTTTTCTCAATCTAGATCAATGTTTTTCAACTGTGAGATGCAACATATGCATTATCGGGTGTTGAAATCAATTAAGTGGATCAAGGTTGACATTACAGAAATAAATCGTATAGAATAAAATAACCTACAAAATGTAAAATTGTCTTGTGGAACTTTTTTTCACATCTGTGTGTGTGCGTGTGCATGTGTGTATCCTGGAAGGAGGTAAGGTCCTGTGTGTGGATCACGGTGAAAAATATTTGAAAAGCAGTGATTTAAATTACTTGTTTTCAACCTGTGTTCCTTAAATTCTAGAGTTCCAGAAAGATGCTTGAGATAATTGGAAGGTAGGAACCCCCATCTCTAGTTCAACTACTAAAAAATTCTTTATATACGTATATGTGGGGTACTGCAGATGATTTCATTTGAAGAGGCTATTCTGCTTCTAAATTAAAACATTTCAGGCTGGGCGTGGTGGCTCATGGCTGTAATCCCAGCACTTTGGGAGGCCGAGGCAGGCGGATCACCTGAGGTCGGGAGTTTGAGACCAGCCTGACCAACATGGAGAAACCGCGTCTCTACTAAAAATACAAAATTAGCCGGGCATGGTGGCACATGCCTGTAATCCCAGCTACTAGGGAGGGTGAGGCAGGAGAATCGCTTAAACCTAGGAGGCGGAGGTTGCAGTGAGCCGAGATCACACCATAGCACTCCAGCCTGGGCAACAAGAGAGAAGCTCCATCTCAAAAAAAAAAAAAAAAGTTTGGAAATCACTGGTCTATATCAAGAATCTGTTGATAAGCTCTCTATTTAGAATTGCATTGTTCCACCTAAGAAATAATTATTCAATTGCCCCAGCCTTCTTCCAGGCTAAACATTTTCATTTCCTTTAATGTTTTCTTGTTGGTTGTATTTTTGCAACATTTCCTTAGTTCTTATTACATATATGTGGCTCCTTTTTTGTTTCTTCCTACCTCCCCAAACTTGGAGAACAACCAGGGCACAGTTGTCGCTGTTATATTGTCTGGTCTAGGTCATGACACAACAGCACGGGTTTCCACCTACTCCTCTAGCTGCCTTTCATTGTGCCGCATCTCCCAAATCTGAGAAAGGGGATCTTTATTCAAATAGCAGCCAACAAAAGACAATCTGTGCCCATCTGTCTCTAGATCTCTCCCCTTCCCAGCTTGTGACATGAAGCGTCCCTAGTCTTTCTGGCTATATAACATAATTTTAGACTTGAAAGGCATATCAACATCATTTGCTCAAACTCTGCCATTTTTGCATGTTAGGAAGCTGAGACCCGGATAAGGAGTCCAAAGTCAACACAGCTTATTAGTTTACATGCTCTTCTGCAGAGAGGCCTCATTCTAAAATACCATTACTTTGTTTAACTAACAACATTTATCAAGCATAAGAGACACGCCCTAAGGAGTGACTCTAGAACTTTTCTGACTGCAATCCAGTATTTAAATTGCAACCCAACATAGAGAAACATATATGTGATCCCTTCATATATCATGAAACAAAAATTTCACAAAACAATACATACCCTTCCAACAAGTGGTGCACTCTGATATTTTCTATTCTATTTATGTATTAGGTACCTTTTAGCCACTGTAGCACAGAAATCCAAAATGCTTGCCTTAAATAAGATGGAAGTTTACTTCTTCCTCATGAGATTTTTCCGTGATGAGTATTTCAGAGTGGTGGAAAATTTTGCCTGACAAGGCCATTCAGGGACACCGTTTCTTCTATTTTGTTGGTCTTCTTTCTCTGAGTGGGTTGTCTTATCAAGTTGGTTGAATTTGGTTCACCTATTTATCCACATTCTAGCCTAAACGGAGGAAAAAGAGTGTCCCAACAAATAGTTTTGTCTCTACGAGGATAACCTACGTGTTGCATAGACATTGCTTCTTCTCATTGCTCATTAGTCCAAACTTATCCATGTGACAATACCTGCACATTTATCCTAGCTTGTAGTCATATATCTAGCTAAAACTCGGGATGAATTTCTTGAAGGATAAAGGGTGAATGGGGGTGCTTGTATAAGATTAGTGGTATCTGCTACTATTGTATTCCATTCTATTCCAAACATGTCAACGGCCACCTACTCAACTGATTTCATAACCCCCTAATAGGCCACAACATGCAGTTTTAAAATCATTTTCCTGAAGTATAATAGGCTATATATTATAAGAAATTTTACCAAGCCAGTTCACTAGGAGAAGTTTAAAAAAATAGATATGTTCAAAATATTGCTACTATTTTAGCTAATTTTAATTTCTATAAGTTATACATGCACAGAATGTAAAGGGTTGAATAGTATTATGAGTACCCACAACCATTCCCAACTCTCACTTTCCACTTCTCACTTCTGCAGTGCTACCATTTGCAACTCTTGAAACTGTTTTTTTTCATATTTATCTGCATATAATCATAGAGCACATTCATATGTCTACTTCTCAAATTTTTAGTTTTAGGCATTATCTATTGATTCCTCACTCTAGAAATTTACTCCCTGGTCACTCTCTCACCCTACCCATACTTCTTCTCCTTTCCAACTTGCAGGGTAGCTATATCACCGTTTTCATTAGATTAGTATTCAGGGTTTACGTTGTTATGGTTATAGAAATGCTAGTCACAGATGTTTCATGCAGTTTCCCAGGATTAATTTTCTTTTTGCACAATATTTTGTATATTATTATTGTCTTTTCTAAAAATTTATTTAGTGTTCCATATGTTCATCACTAATTCATCCCCCAATTATTCCTCCCAGTTATGTAAATCTCCATTCAGTATTTTCAAACATATTAGGTATTCTACTACTTTCATTTGTTTAAAGCAGTTTTTTTCCAGAGTCTTCCAATTTGCTCTAATCTGGACTGGTTCTCCAGAACAGCTGCATAGCTATTGTTTTGGGTTCTCTTTTCACCATCATCTTAAGAATTCTCTCCATCCTCTTAAGTGTTGAATATTTGTTTTGTGAACCCCAAATATCTGGGTTTATTTAGGAAGTTTATTTTGCCAAAGTTAAGGATGCATGCCCGTGACACAACCTTAGGAGGTGCTGACGACATTTGTCCAAGGTGGTCTGAGCACAGCTTTGTTTCACACATTTTAGGGAGACATGAGACATCCATCCATATATGTAAGATGAACATTGGTTTGGTCCGGAAAGGCAGGAAAACTGGAAGCAAAGGTTGGACAACTTGAAGTGGGAAGGGGGCTTCCAGGTCACAGGTAGATAAGAGACAAATGGTTGCATTCTTTTGAGTTTCTGATGAGCCTCTCCAAAGGAGGCAATCAGATATGCATTTATCTCAGTGAGCAGAGGGGTGATTTTGAATAGAATGGGTGGCAGATTTGCTGAAGCAGTTTCCAGCTTGACTTTTCCCTTTAGCTTAGTGATTTGGGGGCACAAGATTTATTTTCCTTTCACAGTTTTTAGAATCCCAGTCCTCCTTTTGCTTTTGACTCCTTCATTTTACTGGAGAACATCCTCCAGCAACTACCTGAGAAAGAGTGTATGTAGGTAAAATTAATGCATTGAGATCTTGCATGTTTGAAAATGTCTTTTTCTACCTTGATGTCTAATTCACAGTTTGGTTGGACATAACATTTTAGGTTAGGAACAATTTTCCTTCAACATTTTAAGACATGATTCCATTGTCTTCTAGTTTTTGGAATTGCTGGAGAGAAATCTGATACTACTCTGATGCTTGATCCCTTGCAGGAAACCTGTTTTTTCTCTCTGGAAAATTGTAGGCGTTCTCTTTGTCTTCAGTGTGCTGAAATTTTACAGTGGTGCCTTGGTGTGCATCTATTTTTAGTCATTGTTGGGAGCACACTGTGGATTGTATCCTTTTTATCCTGAAAGAGTTGCAACAATTATTTTATAATTTTCTCCCCTCCCTTTTTTTCTGTTCTCCCTTTTTGGACTCCAATTATGATAATATTTGCCTTCCTGGACTGGCCTTTTAATTTTATAATTTTTTAAATCTACTGTTTTCCATCCTTTTGTCTTTGTGTTCTTTCTAAGTTATTATCTCAGATTTATCTTTCAATATTTCTGATTATAAACAAAATGGATTTGTTTATTGTTTTTTGATTTTTTTGGCTGCCATCTGATTTATTTTCCAAAATTGATCTTTTCTTCTTTCTTTCTTTCTTTCTTCCCTCCCTCCCTCCCTTCCTTCCTTCCTTTCTTCCCTCCCTCCCTCCTTCCTTCCTTCCCTTCTTTCTTTCTCTCTCTCTTTCCTTTTTTTTATTTCTTTCTCTTTTTCTTTCTTTCTTTTTCTTTCTTTCTTCTTTCCTCTCTCTCTCTTTCTCTCTCTCACTGTTTCTTTTTTTCTGTCTGTCTGTCTCTGCCACCTTCTAGTTGTTCTTCGCCTTTTTTTCTGACTTCATTTTAGATGATTTTCTCAAAAGTCTGGTGACACTTGGCTGTCTGTTCACATTTTACTATGGGGCTGTAAAACTCCAGTTGGAAACTGTGTACCTAGAGGGCTTCCCTGTAAGGTAATCTGGTTGGGGTTTTTCTTTGGGGAAACTCACACATCAGTACCTTTACATCCTTTCCCTTAGGCTGATCAGCTACCTTGGAGAAGGGTTTTCAAATTCCCTGCTGCCAGTATTCTGGGAGCCAAGTGGGCATGAAGGAGGGGTGAGGAGGCAGGGTAGGTGGACCTCCACATTCAATCACATGGACTTTTTCTTGTTCTTTCTGTTTTCGCTACAGTCCTCCCAACCTTGAGTGCACTTTTGTCCCCAGTCTAGAGCCCTTCCCTGGGAACTAAGCCTTCAGTCTTCTGCTGGCTGAGGCAGGGGAGGGCAGTTGTTCAGCTTAGTAGAATATGGATGAGATTTGTGCTGGTTACACAGACTTTCAACCAATCCCCTGCTCTTAGCTCTACCTGCAACCCCACTTCCAGAGGCGCCTGGTTCCACCAAGTTGTGAATCCTTATGAATTCTGAATTTAAACGAAGTTATTTTTGTGGTTTCCTTTCCTTACTGGTGGGCAAAGATGCAGTTTTCTTGAATCTGCAGTCAGTTATCACTTGGACATCTGCTTTCCAGATTCCAACATATGATTTTGTCTTTTTTTCTCCTTTTATTTGTCCCTGTGGTTTTATTTCTTTAAAAAAATAGAAATCTCATTTCTGTTATATTAGCGGAGTGGCTAAAGGAAGCAGAGGTTCCAGGCATGTGTTCATTCCATGATGTATAACTGCTGTATTTAGGCCTCTCAAATTATTTTAAACAAATAGCTTTAATCCTTTCTTTATCTTTCTTCCCTGTAGTCCTTCAAAAATTAATAAGTAGTGTAGTTGTCTAATCTGCATGTCATTTCTGTAATGTTATCTTTTTTTCTCTAGTAGAAATACTTTTGAACTTTAACAGCCAAATGTGTGAACAGTGGAGAGGAGGAGGAAGAAAAGTAATGGAAACTAGTTAATCCTCAAATTCAATCATCTCTTGAACTATCAAGAGGTGATTGTATCAAACAGTTTAGAGGATTAACAAGTAAAAAGTAGATCTGAACATTGAAATTTGTATTGACTGCACAATTTTTGTTTTGATGGTACCATAAAATATTTAGGGCAAAAACTTGAAAACTCTGCTGTTTTAGGTTTCTGACCTTGATTATTGGCTGTGAAAATAAATGAATAGAAGTGGTGGTGTAGCTCCTAGGGCTCTGACAGAAAACATGTCCATGGTTGGGTGGCTTTTCTCTTTAATTAGAAGAGATAGGACATTTCAGACTGTGACAATAATAATGAAACTGCTCAATTAAGTGGCACCCAAATTTCCAGATTCCAAATTTCTCATGCCCACTGAAGTGTCTCTAGGGAAATGACACTGCTCCTTAACGTATTGCATTTGTAATCATTCTTTCTGGTCAAGAGTAGCAGCAGTAGACAGGCTGTTTTGAAAAGGTGTGTGAAATTTGGTATCAAACAGACCTAAAGGACCATGATTCAACTTCTTGTTTCATCACTCAAAAGCTATGTGAATTTGTACCGGCTGCTTAGTGGCTCTGACCCTCAGCTTCTCATCTGTAAATTAAGGACAATACAGTCTCCCTTGAAGGGTTACAGGAACGTTTGTCAACCCCTAGCACATTGTCTGACACTTGTTAGGTGCCCAGGGAGAGGTAGTTGCTATGTTATTACAATGGGCAAAAACATGGAGATGGCTTACAAGAATATGAGTAGATTTCCTCCTGGTAGGCTAGAGAAATATACAAGGTATAATAGCTTGGTGCTGGGGTATCTAAGGAGACTGGTGGACTAGAGAAATATACAAAGTATAATAGCTTGGTGCTGGGGTATCTAAGAGGAAATAAAAAATGAAGACAAGAAAACAAGAGATGAAAAAAGAGAGAGCGAGCCCTCAGTTGGGAATCATGTCTCCTCCCTTCTGGATAAATGGTTCCTTGTGAACTATCCCAGATTAGTGAAGCAGGGAAGTGGTGAAGTAGGGCATATAATTCATGTTGCAGTCCATTAGGATGGATCAAGTCTCCTCTGCTTCACACAAAGCTCATCTCTTGAGCTCCATTTAAATAGAGTGCTGAGCCCTAGTGCATGCAAACCATCATGTCACTAGTCACTGCCAGCAAATAACCTTTTTTTTTTCCCAGCAATAAACTCCAAAGCCTCCAGAAATTAACGTGGAGTTAATTTTAGCAGAGACATAACAAATGAGGCTGCCTGAACTGAAGGGAGCAGGAGAGTAGATGCTATCACCTAAGTAGGGCAGAAACAGCAATCAAATTATGCTAGGAGATCTGAAACCTCTCAATGGCACAACAACTTTGGGTGTGTGCATGGATCTATATATAAACTCTGTATGTGCGTGTGTGTGTTCAACATATGTAGACACACACATCTCTCTGCCACAGGCAGCTTCTGCAGGGCTGTCATGGGGGAGGCTGGGGAGGGGGGCAGGGAGAATGGAGGGGGAGTGGTGAGACTGTGCAGACCTGAATTGCAGGCACAAGTCTGGGATAGAGACTTCCATCCTTCTCTCCTTTCTCTTCCCTTGCCCTTGACTTATATTGCTTTAGATACAGGAAACTGATGTTTCTCACACTGTTTTAAACCATGAAAAGTAACAAGATTGCCTTGATCTTTTGTTCAGAAAGCCTTGAAAAATAATCCATTTGTGAAGCTGAAAACCAGGAATTAAAAAAAGAAAAAAAGAAGAGGAAAAAAAACCCCAGCAAAAACCCTTGATGTTTCACTCGCCTAAACCAAAGTATTAACTCTTGTTTCTCTTCTTTCTAAATGTCATAAAACAAGCTTCCCTTGGATGGAAGTCTCTTTACTCTGAAGCCACCGATTTAACAAGAGACAGCTAGCTGCCTTATAAAGAAAGCAGCAGTTCTCTTAAATAGCTTTCCTTTTATTTGTTTCTAATTTTATTGACCACTATGAGCAGGTTGCCTTATTTTACTGCTTGCCTTCCAAGGCTTTTGGGTGGCACAGAAGTTAATACTGAAGGTGTTGGGCCCCAGAGTGACGTAGAACATGGCTGCAATGTGTGACTTCAAGTAGAAGTGCAAAATGTGGTCCTTTAATTTGAGGCCAGACTTAAAGTTCTTTTTAAAGGCTGAAACATTTATTAGAATAAGTGCAGCTCATGTCTGATAAATGGGAACACATCTGGTTCTATCCCTGACTCAAACCTCACAGTATTAATTATTCTGATAGTTAAAGCTGAGGAGGGAGTAGAACATTATTTATAGTGATCTTTGCTAAGTAAATCATTTTAAAAATGGCTTTCTAAATGTAATATTTCCCTTTTAAGAAGCCCTCCAGAATTAAAGGGGCTTTACAGTGGAACATGAAACATATTGCAGGGAGAGAGACAGAAGCCGTCTTGATTAATGCCCACGATTATCAGCGATGCAAATCACTTTCACTTATTAAGTCTTGTTTAATATCCTAATGAAGGCTTCCTGAGCAGATTTGGTAATTCCAGAGAAAGTGACTGTGAACTAATGCCCTTTCAGCATGTTGAGAATGAGCAGTACTATAAAGAAAACCTCATTTACCATAATTCCTCCCCTGCCCAGGACCCTTTTCTCAGTTTCTACTTCGCAGCAGGAGACAATTAACCTTTTCAGTGCCAGAAGTGATTCCCAGCACATTCCAGCTGCGAAGGCCAGCAGGGTCAGGGGAAGATGGAAGTCCTCTTTAGTTTTCACTCCCATAGAACAGTTCTAAGAAACTGGACTGCAGAGTCAGGGTTTAAAATGTAGCTGCTGCTTAGGTTGTTTGACTTGGGCATATGTGGTATCTTGCACTCTACCAAAGTCTTTTGCAATACCAACTTTAGCCAGGATGGCATTGCTAATTCAGCTCAAATCAAAGAGTGACAGAAAGGACAGCAGAAATGCTGAAGAAAAGCCGATTCCACCCCCAAGTGCTAGACTTCCTTTGTGATCTGTCAGGAGGTAGGTTTTATTGAAGTTGAAAGTCTGGCAGGTTGAGGTGGGGGTACTGATTTAGGTATTTGCCTTTGACTTTGTTTATAGTGTTTGCTCCCATTCTGTGGCTCTGTTTGCACCCAGAGCCACTAAGATGACCCAGGGCTGGGGTCTCTGCTGGGCTCATCTCTCTCTGGATGGCTATGCCCGCCTGTGGATAGGTAATGACTTTCTAACATCACCACTTCTTGTTACCAGAAGCCCTATGTAGGGGTGAGGGAGAGAAGGGCCCAACTAGGGCGGTAGGAAGTGAATAAGGCCATACAGCTGGGGAGGGGAGTCCTCCACACACGCTTCCTTTCAGGGCCTCTTGGTGCAGGCACCTCCACTGAGCATTCTCCTGCGAGTTTACTTCTGGATGTGTCAACAGAAGTCCTGGTATAAAAGAAGGCATTGCATTTGGGTAAAGACAAAGAAAAGAGCCCTGTTTGCTTTGGAAAGTAACGCAGCACCAAACTGATCACCTGCTTAGGGAAGAAAGTGACCTTCTCTTTGTCCTAACTGGGTTAAAACCAAAGCTGGACAGCCCACGGTACAGGGACTCCAATGGGCTAAACATAAAACTTTCTTCTTTCATAGTGTGAGCATGTGAAGACTTCCTTATTGCTGAGAAAGAAAGACCATTATTTTGTTCTTCCTAAAGATTTTCAGGACAGAGCAAGATCCATCTGCAGGGGAGCCATGGGTTCAGGGGAGAGAGGAGACTAGTGAGAGCTTGGAGGATAAAACTCCGGTTCTCTGTCAAAGAGGAAGACAAAGCATTGGGATCAGCTGTGGGGCACTTAGCACTTAACAAACCCTGGGTGGGAAGAGTGGTTGCCCGTTGAGTCCACTGCCTTGGGGGGTAGAGGGGGGATGCATCCCATGTGAGCGCTAGCTTAGAGAGGGCATTTCAGAACTCAATGAAGCCATCAGGATTGTGGATTGTGCATCATCTCACCTTCTCACCCCGGAATCCTAATTCATGCTTCAAGATGCCCCACGCTGCCCCACACTACATTGTATTTTTCATCCTTTTTTTTGAGACAAACTCTAGCACTGTCACCTGGGCTGGAGTGCAATGGCGCAGTCTCGGCTCACTGCAACCTCCGCCTCCCAGGTTCACGCAATTCTCCTGCCTCAGCCTCCCAAGTAGCTGGTATTACAGGTGCACACCATCACACCCGACTAATTTTTTGTATTTTTAGTAGAGATGGGGTTTCATCATGTTGGCCAGACTGGTCTTGAACTTGTGATCCACCTGCCTCCACTTCCCAAAGTGCTGGGATTACAGGCATGAGCCACCACGCCTGGCCTATATTTTTCATCTCTTAGTAAGCTAGGGACTTTACTTATTTAACTTATTTACTGCTTGTTTTCTGCCTCCCCTTGCTAGAATGTAAATACCACAATGCATTTTGTTCATCGATGTGTTTAGTATAGTGCACCTGGCAGGTGTTCAACAAAGACTAGCTGAACAAATGAACGAGTCCGATGGTTAAAAGGCTTGTGTTTCACTTTGGCGCAATGGAAAGATCCTATACTAGAAGCTGAAAGAACTAGGTCTGTGCTGGCCCCACTCTGTTTAAGCCACTGCACATTTGAGACCTTAGAGCAACTGTTTAAACATGGAACCAGCAGGCCCTCATCCCTAAAATAAGGATGGATGTGGCCTCATTCTTTCCCCACCCCTGCCTGGAAGGCCTGTGTTTCTCTGCAGCACAGTGGAATGGCAGACTTGGTAATGCTTTGAAAACCATGGGGGATTATATGAGTTTTGGGTGGTTGTTTTTAATGGGAACAGGCCTGAAGCTACTTCATCTTATTTCAGCCTCACTTTCCTCATTCTCATTCTCCATGTTCAAAGCTCACATATCCCAAGCTCACATGTCCCCTTCTCTATGAAAAGCTCCCTAATATTCCCAGGCAGGATTCCTCACCGTGTTGTGTGTGCTCCCCTGTTTACAGCCTCATTCCTGCTTGTCTTGTCATCTATATTTTATGCCTGTCTGAATCCACAGCAATGAACTCAGCTAACACTAGGAGGACCCATTACCTATGAAGCATTGTAAGTGTGTTACATTTATTAACTCATGTCAACCTCAAACCACCCATTTTATAGATGAGAAAGCTGAGACCCAGAGGGTTAAGTCAACACGTCCAAGGGCATGCAGCTGGGAAGTGGGGTAGTCAGGATTTGAACCCAGGCAGTGGAGCTCCATCTATGCCCATGGCCGCTCAGGCTGCACAGTGCTTTGCACGCTGGAGTAGCACAGCAAAATTGGGACAAGTGCGCAGATCTATGGAATGGGGCGATGCTTCAGATTCTGTCTACTCCCAGAGGGTTATTCTGAGCAGCAAAAGAGAATGGATGTGAGGGTGCTTTGTAAATGAAAAAAGCACTAAGCACTTACAGGTTATTGTTATACTTAAATATTTTTAATGTCAGTGAAAGTAGAAATGTCTAGAACATGGCTAAAGAAGCATCTATGAAAATATTCACCATTTGTTCTTGGGCAGTTTTGTAAATGCTCTATGAAATGGCTCACAGATTTCTAGACTTCTTTTTTGACCCTCTGCCAAAAACTTTCAGGTTAATGATATCTGAGCATCTTTACTTCAACCTCATTCTGATTTTTTTAACCTTATATTTATTTTTTATTTCTAAATTGTGAAATATTTATAACATAAAATTTGCTCTTTTAACCATTTTAAGTGTACAATTCAGTGGCCTTAAGCACAGTGGCCAAAGTACATTCACATTGTGAATCCATCACCACTGCCATCACTAGAACTTTTTATCTTGTAAAAAGGAAACTCTATGCCCATTGAGAAATAACTCCCCATTCCCCTCTCTCCCCAGCCCCTGGCAAACACCATTCTACTTTCTGTCTCTATAAATCTGACAATTTTAGATGCTTCATAGAAGTGGAATTATATAGTATTAAGTCTCTTGTGACTGGCTTGTTTCACTTAGCATGGTGTCTTCAAGGTTCATCCACATTATAGTGTGTGTCAGAATTCCCTTCGTTTTTTAAGGCTGAATAATATGCCATTGTGTATACAAACCTCATTTTTTGTATTCATTTATCTGTCAGTGGTCGTTTGGATTGCTTCCACTTTTGGCTGCTGTGAATAAGGCTGCTATGAATATGGGTGTGTAAGTATCTGTTGAGTCCCTGTTTTAACATTTAGGGTATATATACCTGGCAGTGGAATTGCTAGATCACAAGCTACTTCTATTTCAATGTTTTGAGGAGCCACCAACATGTTTTTCATAGCAGCTGCACCATGTTACATTTCCCTCAGTTGTGTACAAGGGTTCCAATTACTCCACATCCTTACCTCCACTTGTTATTCTTATTTTTAAAAATAATAGCCATGCTAATGCACATGAAGTGGATCTCACTCTGAATCTTCAAATGGTTTGGTTTTATCTGCTTGTCTTCCACATCTCTGAATTATTTTGCATCTTCAAAAAACAATCTTTGCCACATTAAATCGATTTGATTCCATCATCTTGAATTTCTTCATTCCTTTATTTATCTGGCCCTCAAATAGATCTCTCGACATCTGCCAGGTACTGTCCTAGTTGCTTGGAAACCCTGATGTACAGCACCCTCATAGCTCTCTCAAAGCTCAGGGTTGAGTTTAGTCATACAGCAAGCAGAGAATTATGGTGGATTTTTACCCAATGGTATAAATTTTGCCATTTATAGCTAAATCTGAAAAGATCTTCATTTAAATTATATATGATAAAAGCTTAATTACACAAAACACTGAAATTGTTATTTCTGGAGATGCAAGTTTTCTGGATGTATGAGGACTTGACTCTGTAGGCCCTCTTTTTCATTTTTGAAATAAACTTTCTGTTTTAAAACAGTTTTGGATTTACTATGAATTAGTATAGAGAGTGCCCATAAATCCCACACCATATTACTAGCATCTTATATTAGCATGGTATACTTGCCACAATTAATAAACCAATACAGACACATTATTATTAACGATAGTCCATTGTTTATTCAGATTTTCCTAATTTCTACTTGATGTCTTTTTCTGTTCTGGGACCACATCCAGGACACCACATTGTGTTTAGTTGTCATGTCTGCCTGGGCTCTATCAAGGTGACAATTTCTCAGACTTCCCTTAGTTTTAATGACCTTGATGGTTTTGAGGGCTACTGTCAGGTGTGTTTTAGCCTGTTTGTCTATTGGGGTTTATCTGATGGTTTTCTCGTGATTAGATCGAGGTCATGGGTTTAGGGTAAGCAGACCACAAAGGTGATGTGTATTTTCATCACATCATATTAAGGGTACATACTATGTTTTTTTTTTTTTTTTTTTTTTTTTTTTTTTTTTTTTGCAGACAGAGTCTCAGTCTGTTGCCCAGGCTGGAATGCAGTGGTGCAATCTCAGCTCACAGCAACCTCTGCCTCCCAGGCTCAAGCAACTCTCCTGCCTCAGCCTCCCAAGTAGCTGGGATTACTGGCATGTGCCACCACATCCGGCTAATTTTTGTATTTTTAGCAGAGACGGGCTTTCGCCATGTTGGCCAGGCTGGTCGGCTGGTCTTGAACTCCTGACCTCAGGTGATCCTCCCGCCTCAGCTTCCCAAAGTGCTGGATTACAGCCATGAGCCACTGCACCCGGCCAAGGGTACATACTATCAACATGACTTATCACTGTTGGAGTTAAACTTGATTACCTGGCAGAGGTCGCGTTTGTTGGGTTTCTGCACTGTAAAGTTCCTCTGTTTTGCCCTTTTTATATACTGTATTCTTTGAAAGGAAGAGTATCACTCTGTGCCCATACTGAAAGAGTGGGAAGGCTTTGCTCCCTCTCTTTGAGGGTGGTATATCTACACAAATTATTTGAAATTCTTCTGCATGGGAGATCTATCTTTTCTCCCACATTTCTTTATTTATTCAACTATTTATTTATGTCAGTATAACTCAGATATTTATTTTATATGTTGGGTTGTAATTCAATACTATTATTCCTTGCTCAACTTGTTCCAGCTCTGACCACTGAGAGCTCTTTTTATTGACTCCTGGATTCTTTTGATACGTTCTCAAATCACTGTGTGTGTGTGTGTGTGTGTGTGTGGTTTTCTTGTTTGAATGCCTCCTTACTTTCTGGCACTACAAGTTGCTCCAGGTTCTTCACGTATGTTTCCTGCCTGAGTCCTAGAATCAGCCATTTCTCCAATGATCCCAGGTTTCTTTTACTAGAGAGAATAGTATCAGAAATGGAGAACCGGCACTAGGTATGTTTGTTGCTACTGGGGTGCTATTGCATCTAGGCCATCTCACCTGGCCTTCAATTTTGATGACTATTTTAAGCGTTTGGATAAGAATCTTGATAAAATATATTACACACTTTTATGCATTCAGAACAGAATATAATCAACATAATTTAACCAGTTCTTGGAAACTTGGATACTTTCTTGACTGCTGGTTATCTGGTTGGGATGCAGAGCTCACCCTGGTCCCCTTAGTGCTTTGAAGACTGTTCATACACTGTGACTACACACTGTTGTGCTATTTGACTTGTGTTCTTACTTTTTGTGATCTTTCTCATATTTTTCTTCTTGATACCTTTAGAAACCCTCTCTCCTCCCCTCTGATTTACTGTGTATAATCAACTGTGTTGATTTTAGAGCACTCTCAGGTGCAGTAAAAGGAGCAGGAACCTTGAAATCAGTAGATCTGAAATGCAGTTGTGCTCTGGTCCACTTGCTCCGTGACTCTGGCAAGACACTTAGCCCCTTTGGCTTTAGTTATCTGATAGAAAATGAAAGGGTTAGCCTGGATAACTCCTACGTTTGTCTCCAGCTCTGACACCCTATGAGCTTTATTAATCTTAGGAGAGCAATGTGATCAAATGGGCTGGAGAGCATGTAATCTCAGTTAAGCTGCCTACAGACTGAGTGACCTTGGGAGAGTCACTCTGAAAGGACCTATCTTGGAGATACACAAGTGTACATGTGGCCACTTATGTAATAAAGGAGACACTACAAATAAAGAGAGGAAGCCTAGATTGTGTGTAGACAATATCAGGATGACTGGATCACAGTATAGTGGAAAAGAAAACTACATCTCCACATCAGGTCATGAGATGGATTAAATTCCAAAACAAGAAAGATTAAAGTACAAAGGTATAGAAGAAAATTCAGGAGAATATCTCTGTGATTAGGGGTGGAGAAGGTTTTAAACAAATTTCAAAAACACAAGCTTTAAGGCTTAAAAAAAAAGATGAAATCAATTCTATCAAAATTAGACATATGCCAGCAGTGTGGATGGATCTGAAATAGGAAAAAAACAAGATATGATATGTAGCAATATCATTTGCAAAATAAAAACATATTCACATGAACCAGCAATATATGTTTTGCTAGAACAGGTGCACATAAGAGGATAGACTTTAGGAGGTTGCCTATGGAGAGCAAGGGGGATGGGAGTGGAATCAAAGTGAATCTAGGCCAGGTGAGGTGGCTCACACCTGTAATCCCAGCACAGTGGGAGGCCAAAGTGGGTGGATCACCTGAGGTCGGGAGTTTGAGACTAGCCTGGCCAACATGGTGAAACCCCCGTCTCTACTAAAAATACAAAAATTAGCTGGGCGTGGTGGCAGGTGTCTGTAATCCTAACTATCTGGGAGGCTGAGGCAGGATAATTGCTTGAACTTGGGAGGTGGAGGTTGCAGTGAGCTGAGATGGTGCCATTGCACTCCAGCCTGGGCAACAAGAGTGAAACTCCGCTTCAAAAAAAAAAAAAAAAAAAGGTGAGTCTATCCCTAAATAAACAAATACAACCAGAGAAGGACCTTGCATGGCTGTCTAATGTTCATGTGAGAGAAATATATACTTACTTGAACATGTATATATTTTTACTATACGTTGCTTAAATGTTACCCTTAATACACTGTGAGCTCGCTGAGGGCAGGAATTAGCACTCAGCATATAACAGGCATTTATATTGGTGGGATGAATGAAAGAAAGTACATAGGCTTCCTCTGCAACTGGTACTTTGCTGGGATTCTGTGGGGACAACCTGAGATAACAGGCATCCATACTCACAGAAAGTTTAAGAAGTGTGTTCCTGGAATGTTCCTTAGAATTCATCAGGCCCAGTGGTTACTGGACTTCTGAATTTCATAAATGGAGTTAAGAATAGGTGGATGGATTAAAAAAAAATGTTGCATACTCCAGGTCAGACTGCCCACCTTTTTTTAAACCCATATGTGTGTTAAAAAACCCAGTATTATTTTTTTCACAAAAGAAAGGGCTTATAAACATCATTAGGTAAGAAAAATATCAAGTACTATGAGGATTAAAAGAACTATTGGGATAGATTGATGGTATCAGAACAGGCTTCTGAAAGGAGCCAATAGTTGAAGTAGGCCTTGAATGGTGCTTTTTTTTTTTTTATTAACGTTAGAGAAGTAGAAATTTTAAAGGATAGCACGTTCAACAAAATAACTTAGCTTAATAAAAAATTCAAGACATTCTTCCCATTTTTCTCACTTCTCCACAGGAACCTCATTGCAACCTGGCCCGTTACCATGAACAAACGAGCTGGTCCAACTTCAGAGAGTTAGTGTCTTAGCTTGTTCTGATAGATCTAGAGCTGCCACCCTAGCTTCTGACTCACAGGGAAGCTTTGTCCATCCCAACACACTAAGTTCTTCTGAAAGAAGCTCCCAAGATTCTACTAAGTCCTGGTGGAAAATTCTGTCCTATTTTGGCCAGCTCGGGGTCAGCTGGCAGGTATTTAAAGAGAAAATCTCTTCTGATCTATTGAAGGGCAAAAAGGTGCTTTGAACTCGGGCTGGAGAGGAACTTGAGTTCATCATGTCTGTATCCCAGACCTGTTGCTATAGCACCTGAAATGAATGAGTCACAGGGGAAACACGGCAGGGTCCAGGAACAGCCATATGTGCAAATTGGCAGTTGGCTTCATAGCCAGCCAACAATGATAAGCTTCCTTTCGGCCATAAACCTGACCCAGCTGTGGGTGTGAGCAAACCTGTGTAAAAGGAGGGAGAAGGTTTATTTCTTACTGGCATCTGGTTCATTTGAACCTGGAACTTTCTCAAACTGTCCTTATTTGAGAAATGCAAGGCACCAGAAACCCAGTAAGTAACAAAATGCCGTGCATCAGCCATTTAAACGACAGACCTCAGAAAGAGATAGAGAACATCAATTCTACTGCAAGAAAAGCAATAAAGAAATGTGTGTAATTTATAAAATGCACCAATCCTGGCTCCTCTGAAAGCATTTGATGTAGGTAAACAAATATTGGAGCCATCCCTTCAGCTCCTCTGATTCACTATTTTTTTTTTTCTTTTGAGATGGAGTTTCGCTCTTGTTGCCCAGGCGCTGGAGTGCAATGGTGTGATCTCAGCTCACCGCAACCTTCGTCTCCTGGGTTCAAGGATTCTCCTGCCTCAGCCTCCCGAGTAGCTGGGATTACAGGCATGTGCTACCACACCTGGCTAATTTGTATTTTTAGTAGAGATGGGGTTTCACTGTGTTGATCAGGCTGGTCTCAAACTCCTGACTTCAGGTGATCCACCCACCTTGGTTGGCCTCCCAAAGTGCTGGGATTACAGGTGTGAGCCACCACGCCTGGCCTTGATTCACTTTTGAATATACCAGTTCATCCATAATTAAGAAGAGTAAACACACCAAATAGATGTGTAAGTATTGTTCATGTTTCTGACATATCCTGATGGGGCCTAAGAAAGCCATGGTAGCAAAGTTGGTGGCTCTGTGGCTGTTATTTATGCTAACAGCTACCCTGGTCACAGCTGTGAAAAGTAAGGTAGCCAGCAGTTTTGGGTTAATGAAACCCATTTAGTCCTCTAGTAGGACTAAATGAAACTTTTATGAAGAAGCACCAAGAACTCAGAAGGAGACACAGGCAGCCTGTGCATATGTGTGCATATGTCCTTATGCACACTCACGAGCAACCTCCCATCCACAGAAACTGCATGGATAGAGGCAAAGGGGAAGGGGAATGTTAAACTTGAAGCAGAAAGAAAAAAAAGTGATTTTCGTATTGCGCTATTCAGAACAGCTGCTTATATTTGTGATTTCCTGCTGTATACTTAGATTTTTTTTAAAGGAAGATTATATGTTTCCCATATTAAAAGCTTTTATAATATTCAAAGAATGAATATAGGGAAGATACACTAGTGGAGGTAAACAACATCCTTAGTAAGGAATGTATTTGCAGAAAGGCAGAGGGGATGTTACAGTGAAGAAGGGACCCAGGGCAATGTAGGTGTAGAGCCCTGAGTTCCTAAGCCCTCAGAGAGCCACCTCTCCCGCCGCCACCTTGGAGTTCTGAAGGCTAACGGTAAGCTGCTATAACCTAATGGCCTTCTTGTTTCCACACTCCTGTCCCTTCAAGTCACTGCCAAATTAATTGTCCTAAATACAGTCCAGATATATAACACCTTCTTGCTCACAATCTTCTATAGTTTGCCTTTGTCCACCAAATAAAATATAGATTTGTTAGATGAGATTTCAAAACTCTCTTGAATCCTTGATTTTGATTCTCAATTCCTTTCCCCACCCTATCCATCCATCTCCATCATCTCCATGCTTTAGTTAAATGACCTGGTCTCCATTGCCTTGGTGGGGCAGCGGGGGTGGGGGGGAGGGCCAGTCTAACATTTCTCCCCCTTTGCTCCTGCTCTTCCTTCCTGATTGTAATAAGTAAAGTAGAGGTTCCTCTTCAAAGACTTCCCTCCCCATCTAATTAGGAATAAATAGTAACTTCTTTTAGAAGCAAAATTTATTCAAAGACCTGTGCTAACATTCTTAAATGTCTGCTAGCCGTGATAAAGAAATCAATGTACTTTATGTTCTTAGCTTCTACAGTTTAGCCTAAGTATATGCCCTGGCATGCTTATGCTGGTCCAAGCAAGGATTAGGTCATAGCCTGTTCCCCTTCCTTATTTGAAGGTGTCTTTACCTTTCTCAGCATTCCACAAGTTACTTCCTCCTTCCTTTGTTCTCCTCTGCCTTTGCCTCTTTTAAAAAGTTCTAAGTTGCTAGCCAATCAGGACAAATACAGAATGTGAGGTCCCGTTCCAGCCAATGGAAACCAGACATAGCAGTAGGGTGGACTCATCAGGTTATAAATGACCCCGTCTCCTTTGTTTGGTGTACTGGCGAGTGTACCCTTTATGCAGAAAGTAAAAAATGGCCTTGCTAAGGAAGTTAAATTTATGTTCAAGCGCTGTTTCTTACGACACTGGGGAACAAGCATTTCTAACACTGATCAATGCCCGTCTCCCTTGAGTTCCAGCTTTGTTGCTGAATTCTTGTCCATCTTTCTTTCCTATTTCAACTACTGCCTTCTATATGAAGCCTTATCTAATAACCTCAATCTATCCTGATGGATCTTTTAATTCCTATAGCAATTTATATTTATCTTATGACATTGATCACACATCCCCTTGCATTATATGCAAGATAACAGTTATATATTATCTTCTCTACTAAGTTGAAAACTCCTTGACTGGGCTTTTCATATTTGCTTTTTCTTTTCTTCTTTCTTTCGCTTTTTTTTTTTTTTTTTACTGTGAAAAGTAGCATACGATTATAAAAGTGCACACAACCCAAATATACTACTTAATACATTATTATAAGGAGAACAGCAAGTAACCAGCACCCAGGTCAAGAAATAAAACATTGATAATACCTTAGCAGTCCCCATCACTTGCCCCCATGGGCCCCTTCCTTTGCCTTCCACCATATTCACTTGCTTCTCTTTCTTAGCACCTGCCACAGAGGTTCAGGCTTAGCAAGTGTCAGGAAATGCTTGAAAGAGAAACGAATAGTTGATGAGCAAGGTTCAGCCTCAGGGAGCATCAGATGAATTCATTATCATCATCACTGGAAAAAGGGCCCAAACTAATTTCCCTACCTAACGGCAGGTCAGAAGTCTCTTCGCGTATACAAGATGCATTTCCTTCCAGGGTAAGGAATTCTCGGTGCCGTGGAATCAAAGTCTTGACTAAGGAAAGGCCCTGCTGTGCTAAGTTGTAGTTTAAGCTGTTGCGAAGTTAGAGAGAAATACTGGCACTCTTTAGGGGCTCTAACAGGGGCCTAACAAAAGCCACGCAGGCATCTGATTCTTGGGAGCGGCGTCAGGGGAAAGTTCAGGTTGTAACCGAGCTCTTAGTAAAGTCAGGGTGCTAAACTTGAATCTCATTTTCTGGACTTCTTGGAAGCCCCCAAATGGGAGAGTATCTGGAGTGATGTAAGGGTAATGGAACCAGGGAAGATAACAGCATCTCATGCCATCTTGTTGCTGTGACCAGTCACCTTCTCAATATTTATGTTTTATTTTTATCTCTGTATTAGAGAGGCATTATTTGTGCACAGGCTGTTAAAAACAGTTCTGAGGGAAACACGCTTCCAGCTGCTTCCTCCTGTTTTCCATCTGCTGCATTTATGCGTCTTTGTATGCATTTAACTGTTGCTTGTCGGTGTAATTGGGATTTTCTGAGGACAGGGAAAAAAATTCCCTAAGGGCGGGTTGTGAGTTCAATTGATCGGAAAGAGATTATCTTGGTTAGTCACTAATAAACATTAAACTTTGAAGTGGAGCGATAAAATAAGCACCAAGTAACTTCAAGTTTTAAGAGTTAACTTGCTTCAGTTATATCTTTGTATTCCTATGTTTATGCATCAGCTACTCTTTCTCCCATTTAATCTTAAATATGTAAATCCTCAATTTATCTGGAATTACTTAGTGAAAGGCTGATGTGTGAGTGTGGCAGATTATAATATTCCATCACCACCCCTGATCCTCTTTACCTCTTATTCTTTTCATAGCAGATCAAAAAATCTGTGTGCGTGCCACAAGAATATATTATTTTAAGAGACTTGGACTTAGAAATTGATTTCCTTGATGAGAAAAAGAAAAGTCTCCTTCTGACCCAGAGGGTCACTTTATAATCCTGTCACTCGACATCAAAAAAGCCTTTTTTTTCTTTTAACAGAAGATGAGAATATTTCTGAAAAGGAATTAATTTTTCAGCTCCAGTAAAAACAGTGACTTGCAGACTTAGCCATTGCGAGAGGAACGGTCCTATTCAGAACGCATCTTCTGTGATTAGAACAAGCTTCTGATATATTTTAGGGTCAGGCAGTTTTAGATGGAGATTGGGATTTTTGTACCATGGGATGATACTGATATTTTATTGATGATTTTTGAGGCTTAAGCTTGAGTCTCTGTCTCTTTCTTTCCCTTTTGTAAAGGGATTTCACTGCTTTCAAATATATAATAATGACGGTTTATGGGAGCAGGCTATCCTCCTTGCGTGTGGATTTAAATTCATAGGCTATTAAACAGCACGTGATTTTCATCACCATCCGATGGAAGTTCAACTCAACACTTTTTGGTGCATTGCAGGAACACCTGTACCTGTGATGGAATTATCTGTCCAACCAGAGCAGCGATTCTTTTTTTTTTTTTTTTTTTGAGACAGTCTCCCTCTGTCACCCAGGCTGGAGCGCAGTGGCGCAGTCTCGGCTCACTGCGGCCTCTGCCTCCCAGGTTCAAGTGATTCTCCTGCTGCAGCCTCCCAAGTAGCTGGGACTACAGGCGTTTACCACCATGCCTAGCTGATTTTTGTATTTTTAGTAGAGACGAGGTTTTACCCTGTTGGCCAGGGTGGTCTGGAACTCCTCACATCAGGTGATCCACCTGCCTTGACCTCCCAAAGTGCTGGGATTATAGGCGTGAGCCACCTCACCTGGCCTAGAGCAGCGGTTCTTAATCCTACTGCACATTTAAACCACTGGGAGAGTTTCACAAACTACTGATGCCCCAGCCATACTTGTGGAAATTTTTATTCTGTTGATCTGAGGCCCAGGCCTCAAGAGTGTTTAGAAGCTTCCAAAAGTGATTCTAATGACCAAATAGGGTTGAGTACCACTGAACTGAGTAAATTCTGAAACCACATGGCAGTCTGGTATTACGAAGTATCTGTTGCAGAGATCTGACATTTGCATTTCTAGAGTCCCTTGTTAAACTTGCTTACATAAAGTTCTTTTTAAAATTAATTTTTTAAATATTTATAATTGACAGGTACAAAGTTACAGTTAGACAAGAAGTTCGGATGTTCTGTTACACAGTAGGATGATTATAGCAAATAATAATGTAGTGAATATTCCAAGATAGCCAGAAGAAAAGATTTTGAATGGCATTACCATCAAGAAATAATAATTATTTAGAGTTATGGATAAGTAATTACCCTAATTTGATCATAAAGGTACTTTCGATGAAAGATTTCTAATCTCTTTACTAATATGAAATCTCAGAGCATCTATTTGAATTGCCCAAATTAATATTGTAGTGTCTGTTTTACTGATGAATACAATAAAGTTAAAAAAATCTTCTCAGTTCAGGAAATATATGTGTATTTATGTGTATTTTACACTTACATTTAGGCATACTAACATAAAAAACTAATACGTGATGAGATATTAACAAAATAGTGGAATTTAAGGTTCTTGCCAGCCCTTTAAGCTCTATCCAAAATTATCTCTGCCACAGAGGCCAGGAATTCCACCATTAGTGATTCATTTCTTAGTGTTAAGCTTGTCACCCCAGTTGGTTATCTTTAAAAATCACTTAATTCCTGAGGAGACTCATTAAGTGCCTGGTGCCCTAGTGAGAAAGGCATGGCAGGTCCTTCTGGGCACAGGGTTGTGGAGAAAGGCATGGTTGGGGCCAGCGTCACAGGCATGTGACCTTGCCATGCTTCGAAGGGCCCTGTGCTTTGTTTAATGCTCTGCTGCCATGATCTTGAACTTCTTATAATAATTTTTAAACAAGAGTCCTGCTGGGTTTTGGTGTGGCCTCCAAAGATAAATTGTTCATTGCTCTTTAGTGTGGTTTCCGCCAGGGAATGAGTGGACTCAGAAAGAGGTGTTCAAGAACTGTGAAACCCAATGGAGGGGCCAATGTCCTGTGGCTATAAGTACCCAGGGATGAAGGGCTTGGGCAAACACCCACTGTTTCCTTGGGTTCTTAGGAGGGTGATTGGGTGCCATGTGTGTTCTGTAATGATATTGTGACCTAGCACTCATTGGTAAATAGTGAAGCATATTTAAGTGCTGATGATGTGCCAGGCACTGGATTAAGCCCTGGGAATATCATAGCAAGCCTCCATGGAGGGAACCCCCGAGCAGTCCACTACTACATGCCATGACATGGAATGCATGAGGTGCTGTGGGGGCACACACAAAAGTGCCTAACTCGACGTGCCGTGGCCAGGGAAGGCAGGATGTTCAATCTAAGTCTGAAGGATAACTAGTAATTAGCCATGCCAAGAGGAAGAATTAGAATGTCCTAGACAGTGGGAACAACATGTGCAAAGGCACACGGGTACAAGAGAGAAAACTATGCCCAAGAAGAAATAAAATGAAATTCATGGTGATTGGCAATACTGGGGGCTGGGGGGAGTGTTAAGAAGCTATTTTGGAGTGGCACTAGGGGTAAGGCCATCAATGGGACTCATAAGTTAAAAAAAAAGAACAAGCATAGTTACCATTGCACTAGACCACAGAACAAGGGCTCTGGATGCATTTTATCATTTCATCCTCACAGCAACCTCCAAGGGAGGTCCAACTGTTAACCCCATTTTACAGAAAAGGAAACTGAGTCTTAGATTGAGTAATTTGCCCAAGGTAACACAGCTAAGAGACTGTAGAATTAGTATTCAAATGCAGATGTGTCTCTGCACAAAGCCTGCATGCTAAATCACTGTATCACATAGTTAAGAGATTTGAACTTAACTTTTGAGAAATTGGAAACTATTAAAATATTTTCAGCAGGCAGGTGACATGAAGAACTACACATTTTAGAAGGCCAATTTTGGCTACAACACCCAGTTGTGTTCAATGACTCTGGGGCTTGTTTCGTCAGTTTATGGACTATAATTTAGCCTCACCTTCTCCTCTGGTGGCTGAAAGAGATAAAGAAGCCCAAACTAGGCTGGATACTGTGGCTCACGCCTTTAATCTCAGCACTTTGAAAGGCTGAGGTGGGCAGATCACTTGAGGTCAGGAGTTCAAGACCTGCTTGGCCAACATGGTGAAACCCTGTCTCTACTAAAAATACAAAAATTAGATGGCAGGCATCTTAATACCAGCTACTTGGGTGGCTGAGGCAGGAGAATTGCTTCAGTCCTGGAGGTTGAGGTTGTAGTGTGCTGAAATTGCACCACCTCACTCCAGCCTGGGCAACAGAGCCAGATTCTGTCTCAAAAAAGAAGCCCAAACTGACCACCTTAATTTCTGATGGAAAACTTTGGATGAAGTTAGATGGGGCAGATCATGAAAGCTCAAGGTTAGAAATGAAGTTCCCCATTTGTCCGTGGCAGTTCGGCCTCTTTATGGAGAATCACCTGTATATTGTAGGTCAGTATACATAAGACAAGAAATAAAATGATTCCAAATGGCAGTTTTCATTGTGAAATCAAGTCCTTTCAGTGCCTCATTAGATTCAGTAAAAATAAACACACACACAAATAAAACAAAACTCAATGAAAACCTGTCTATTAATATACAATCTCACCCCTCTCTGCTTTCTGCCTCCTTCACAAGGTTCTTTCTACCTGGGCCATCCCTTCCACTCCTTCCTGAGGGATTCTTCATCCACCTGCCCAATCTTCTTCCCTAGAGCTTTTTCTCAGGGGCCAATGTCTTTCAGTTTCTGAGGCCATATTTATCTGCTGTTCTCACCTTTTATGCTTCCCAGGATATAGCATGATCAAGTGGCAAGTACTTTGGGGTCTGCCGTAACTGGGTTTAAGTCTCAGGAATCTTTGACACTAAGGCTCTCAGTATCAATTTCATTTTGTATGAAAATGGCAACTTAATCTCAACGCAGAAGGTTTCTTGGGGACTAAATGAGTCCAAGTATTTGAGAGTGCTTGGTCTTTTTTAGGTTACCTGTTGATTTCCTTTCCTTCCTTCCCACTGAGACCTCAGTTCAAATGACTTGTCCATCTAACACTTCTCTCAAATCCCACCATCTGTCCCAGGAAGTTTCTTGACCCAGACCCCTCTTTACTCTGTGTCTCTTCAGCAATCAGAGACCTTGTGGTAATCCTTGGCTTTGCAGATTGTTTATCCCTTCCCATGGGTGTGTTAGGAGCCTCCCTGGTCAGGCTCCCTGGGGTAGAAACCAGGTCTGGTAATTTTTTGAAACATTCCTACAGTGTCCACTACAGGGAAGGAAAGATAGAACATTCATTGGCCATCAGGGCACACACCATGTAAGGGACAGAATGCTCTTCCATCATTAATGTCAGTGAAATAATTTTTCAGAATTCCCTAAGCTTTTTACTTTATGTTTATTAAGGGATGGTGACTGTGCTTATGGCTTATTTCTTAATGTCTCACCATTATTGAGTTCCTAGAAAGCTTGTTAGAAGACGAACTTACTGTATTTCATCCCAGAAGAGGCAGATGTGGTTACAGTTGATTTTTATAGAAGGACCCTGAGTGAATCTCTCAGGATGTGGGGCTCTCATTAACTCCACACATAAAGAATGCACATATTTTGTTTGTTTATTTACTTTTTCTACTTGGACATAATACTATTGGAGAGGAGAAACCAAAAAGGGGTGAAGGGAAGGAAAGTTCAATTGTTCAGCTATTGAGTCTGACCAGGCTAGGTCAGTAATGTAACAACCACAACCATACGGCACTAATGATCACACACAGTGGCACTTACAAGGAGCCAGGCACTGTTTTAATGCCACGCCCATCAGAACTCTTTTAATCCTCTTAACAATCCAGTAAGTAGGTATTCTTCTCCCCACTTTACCGGTGAGAAAACTGTGGCACAGACAGGTGAAGTAATTTGCCTAAATTTACTCAGCTACAAATGGCAGAGCCAGGATGTAACCCAGAGAGTTGGCTCAGAACCTGAGCTTATAATCTTTGTGTTTTGCTGCCCATGTGGCACAATGACTTATGATAATAAAGACTTTTTAATGGTAGGTATCCACAGATGAACATGGTGACTAACCCTGGGGCCCTGTATGGCTCTTGTACAGAACCACGAGTTCCTAGAGGGAGAAAGACAAGGGTTTCACCAACCACTTTCTAATGTGTTCAGCCTTGCCTTTGTGTGCCTGAGTGAGGGGGATACAAAAGGCCTTGGCATGGTATTCCACACTCCCTGGGCACTCAACAAATAAGCCGGGCAGGACCTTTCTCTCTTTGTTATGCCCCACTCTCCTACCCCCATGATGGATATCAATAATCCCGTCAAGCTCTCCTTTCTCTAGGACCAGGAAATGACTTCAGAATGCTCTAGAAAACTACCTCCAATAGATGACCGTAGGTATGGAGGATGAAGCCTGTTTATTATGCTTGTCTTAGCCCACAGGGATAGAAAGTATGTCATATTTGTATTTAGAATCGAGTACACTCCTCAGTATACAGTCGGTCCTCAATGGATGAATGAATGCATGAATTGAATACGTATGGAACTCGAGCACATTTACATTTACCATATGGATTCTACCATGACTCTCATTAAAACCAATGGTTTTAATCAAGGCAGAATATCTTCTTTAAACACAAGGATTAGCCTCTATGAACAGAGAAATGTAAACAGGACTCTAATTAGAGAATTTACTAATTATTCTTCCCTGCTGAGGACATTAGCTGGGGTTTAGTCTTTAGCTATGACAGCCATACGACTTTCTCTTTATCTCCAGAAAGATAAAAATTGACTGGAAAGATTCATTTCAATACCCTGATTCCTTTCCCGCTCTCTTTCACCCTCAAAAAAAGATATTCCAGCATGAAAGATCACAGACTCAGCCCAAAACAGTGGACGCAGGTTGACGGCATTCAGGAAACTGCACACTCCTGGAGCCCCAACTGCTGAGGCAAAGATAAATCGGCAGGAAGATTTCTTTGGAATGATGTGAATTTAATGAATCATGAAAAATATCCCCAGCTGTTCTTAAATTTAAGGGAGATTGAGTGATAACAAAAGATAGTTTCCCTTCCTCTTAGATGTAGGTTGGAGCGGAAAGGGCTGTGGTAAAAAAAAAAAAAAAAAAAAAAAAAAAAAAACCCTGAGGCCAAAAGCTTGCCTTTTTCTTTTCCATCTCTTCTATTGTTAAGGGGAAAAAAAGCTGTCTGCAGTTAGCAGCCACTGAAGGGCATGATGAAGAGTGTTTGCTATTACCAGACTTGAAGAATTCTCCACTCCGATTTCAAAGGTCAGGCAGGCAAACATTTAGAAAATGACGGGTTCTTCCCTCAACCCTCCCCAACCCCCAACCACCCCCATCCTCACATTTCATTCAGCCCCTTTATTAACACAGGGACTTAACTGAAATTAAAAATAATGATTCATCCCAGCTGCTGCAACCTTCACTGCCCGGCCCTCAAAATCCTTATTAACCCATTGATTTGTGTGGTCTCCCAGGCCTGTCCTCAGCTGGAAGATCTAAGCCAGACCGTTGTGGCTTTGGCTAAGCTTCAGGGATTCCCAATTTAGATGCCGGTCGACTGGGCTGGAGGGTTCCGAGGAGAATTGGAACCATGTGAGTGACTCACCTTCTTTCCCCTTAGGCCCAGGCTGACATGGGCCCCTGAACATGCCATGCGCCACCCCCAGTGGCCAGGCCCAGGCCCAGGTGCTCCGCTTGCTGGTCTTACCTGAAAAGGCACAAGGCAGGGGGGTAGCTGCAAAGGTCATGAAGGAATGCCTGCTCACTTCTGCTACCCTGGAGTCTGTTGCCTGTCTTTAGATAAATTTCCCTTTTCTTCAAGGTGGGAAGAGCAGGCACAATGGCTGCTAAGCAAAAAAGTTTATTTTCCCTTAAAGCAATTTTTAACTTCTAAGTATAGGTAAGAGATGTGGTTTGAGGGGTAGAAATGCTGGCCTCTCTGTGTAACTACTCACTACAAGGGGATCAGAGAGGAGCATGGATGATAAAGATGATAATTATGGTAAATATTAATGACAAGCAATAAAATTGATGGCATACAACACACCAGGTACAATGTTAGATGCTTCTCATGTATGACACACTAAAACCACCCACACACAAACAAACAAAAAAAACCCTCCAAGAAGTTGTTAATTGCAATTGCATATTGAGAAAACTGGACTTGGTGAGATTTTAACAAGAAGAAAATCTACTTTTCACTACCACTTTATCTAAATACTGTTGAATCACTTTCCTCCTTACTGGATGGTAAGTTAGGCAGATCCATAGACTTGCTTGTCATTTTTTCCATCTTAAAAAAATTATCTCAATCAAGACTGTGTGATATTGGCAGAGGGACAGGAACATAGATAAATGGAACAAAATAGACAACACAAAAATAGGGCTACACAGCACAACCAATTAATTTTTGACAGAAGTGCAAAAGCAATTCAGTAAGGAAGGATAGCCTTCTCAACAAATGGTTCTGGAGCAACTGGGCAGCCACAGGCAAAAAAATGAACCAACCTAAGCTTCACTCCTTATACAAAAATCAACTTACATGGGTCATAGATTTTTTTTTTTTTTTTTGAGACAGAGTCTTGCTTTGTCACTACCAGGCTGGAGTACAGTGGCACGATCTTGGCTCACTGCAAGCTCCACCTCCTGGGTTCAAGTGATTCTCCTGCCTCAGCCTCCCAAGTAGTTGGGATTACAGGCATGCACCACTATGCCAAGCTAATTTTTGTATTTTTAGTAGAGACGAGGTTTCACCAGGTTGGCCAGGATGGTCTCGATCTCCTGACCTCGTGATCCACCTGCTTCGGCCTCCCAAAGTGCCGGGATTATAGGCGTGAGCTACTGCACCCAGCCATATCATAGATTTTAATGTTAATGTAAAACCATAAAACTTCTAGAAGAAAATATAGGAGAGAGTCTTTGAGACCCAGAACTTGGTAAAGAATTCTTAGATATGACATCAAAGCATGATTCAAAAAAAGAAAAACATTGATAAATTGAATAAAAATCAAACTACGGATGGGGAGAAAGCATTTAAAAATTGCATGTTTGAAATTTAATCGTATGTAGACTATATGGAGAACTCTCAAAACCAAGTTTTTTTTTAAAAAAGCAAATAAACAGTTCAATTATAAAATAGACAAAAAGCATGAAGAAACCTTTCACCAAAGAATATATACAGATGACAAATGAGAACATGAAAAGATTTCCACCATCTCTAGCCATCGGGGAAATGCAAATTAAGATCATGATGAGATCTCACTACGTACCTATTAAAACAAAACAAACAAACAAATTTTTATACTGCAAATGAATACTACAAAATTATCACAAGAAAACAGAGAATCTGTGTCTTTTATACATTGCTGATGGGAATTTAAAATGCTACAGCCACTCTGGAAAACAGTTTGTCAGTTTCTTAAAAAAAAAAAAAAAAAAGGATAAACATATGCCTAACATACAACCCAGCAATCACACTCCTGGGTGTTTATCTCAGAAAAATGAAAACTGACAACATAAAACCTATACACAATTGTTCATAGCAGCTTTATTTGTAATAACCAAAACTGGAAACAACTAAAATGTCCTACAATAAGTGAATGCTTAAACAGAATGTGGTACATCCATACCATGAAATACTACTCGACAGTGAAAAGGAATAGATACACACAAAAACTTGGATGGATCTCAAGGGCATTTTGCTGAGTTAAAAAAAAAAGCCACTTTCAAAAGGTCAAATCATGTATGCTTCTACTTATAACAATCTCTAAATGGCAAAATTATAGAATGGAGAACAAATTACTGGTTTCCAGGGTTTAGGTATGGCAGGGATGGTGGTGGCAGGTGAGTGAGGTGGGTGTGACAATAAAGGGGTAGCCCCATGGAGATCTTTGTGATGATGGAAGAGTTTTGTATCTTGATCATGCTGCTAGCTGGTATTTACACCAGTCTATGCATATAATAAAATGGTACAGAACTGTACAAAGATATTGTACAAATGTCAGTTTCCTGGTTCCAATACTATAACATAGTATTGGAATATGTAACCATTGGGGGAAACTGGATAAAAGGTACCTGAGATTTCTCTATACTATCTTTGCAACTTCCTGTCAATTTGTAATTATTTCAAAGGCACACTGAAGCCCCTTTTCATCCTGCCATATGAGGAGGCACGGTGACTTCTCTTGGGCAGAATTCTCTGAGATAACTCAGACTGATCCACAGGGATACAGCATCCTTACATCACCGAAAGCAAGCTGGAAGTGCAGGCATTCCCACCATGGTCCTCTTACTGACATTGCCATCAGAGAAAGCTTTAACCAAACTCTTGCCTTAGGTTTATTTAGGCAAGAGACAGGCAACGCAGGCCATTTACTCCCAAGATCTCTGTCACTTTGCTCTTCATAGGACCCCAGAGTCTCCTCACTTGGCTTGAGGAGGAAAACTCTCTTTCTCTCCCTGCATGGGTGAGCAGAAACGGAAAAATCTATCTTCTCTAGTCTTGTGCAAGTCAACTTCCTGGTCTCCTATTACATACAGGCAAGAGATGGTGGACTGCAGGACCCATACCCAGTTTTGCCATCTGTTAGCGAGCTAACATAGATGGCTGGACTCCTTTCTTTAGAATATGTTGCTACCTAACACCCATTATCCTCAGCTTTAAAGCATCAACCGAAATGTGGAGAGAATTGGAACTGTTGTATGTAATGTCCTGTTAAATAATATTATTCCCATTTTATTTACGTTCCTGAGGTTCAAAGTGGATGAGGAATTTGTTCAAAGTCACCCAGCTATACAACTGTATATGGATTTTAAGAGCAGTGGTGGGTGAGAGACAACATCTAGGGTGAGGAAAAGAGATATGATTATATTTAGTTTTGGTATGTCAATGTGTGAGTAGAGGAGAATTGGTTCAATATGGTGCTAGTTGGGAGACTAGAAAGGCAATAAGAAATAAGTTATCTTTGCAATTTTTTTTTTCCTGAGTCTCTTAGCCCTCCCATTCTAACCCATTAACTTCCAGCACTTTTTCATACCACCAACTCAGGAAACCCAGCCTCACCATAACATCCTAATAGCCCTTAGTGTGTTCTTACTTAGTGCGATGACAACAACGATCATTTAAACAACTGTAACTAGTGGGCTTTGTAGGAAGGGAAATTTGTTTGGGAAAATAATTTGAAAATTTGAAGGTATCAGTTAGGAGGTACCTGTAAAACAAAACAAAATTGCTGAAGTATCATGTATAAGAAGTGGAACAGGACTTCGGGGGTGAGAAAAGCAGAAATAAGGGGAGGGAGGCAGAGAACAGAGAGCGGGGGCAGGAAGACCAGGCCTTGGACCTGCAGAGTGGAGCAATAGTGAAGGACACGAAGAACAAAATTGTCCAATAGCCATTTGACATTGCTTGAGGTGTAAACCATCTCCATCCCCTCAAACCTTCTGTTAAGGCTTCTGAACATTGCTGGGGAAGGGGGAAATCAAGGACAGAGCAACTTTTCCAAGACCACGTTGGTGAGCAGCACAAAGCAGAGAAGCGGTGTAGAAAGAGGGGAGTAAGACCGAGTATAAGAACTCGAGCTTAGAGCGAGAAGTGGCTCGAGAAGCACAGCCCCAGGAATTTGCAGAAATCTTGAGGAGAGCTTTAGATGTCCCACTGGACGTTGCAGAGTCAGCTTGAGCTAATTTAATCCAAGTCTTATGTGACAGGGCCACTGCAGCCGACATCTGGGCTGTGCTCAAGTAATCAAAAGTCCATTTAAGAATATACTTTGTCACTCCTTCCTTACTAAGCTTTTTACCCAACTTGCTACAAAGAATAGTTTTGAAACTGCTTTTACTTAATTGTCCATGCCTAGCCTTTGTGAGAAGGTGCTAGAGAGGAACAAAATAAACACGAGACAGTTAGATTAAGGAAGAGAGAAGCAAGTGGTGTGAGTAATATGATAAATTGATGATAAGCTCACAATAATTAGGTCTGATCAGTGAGTTAGCAGAAAGCTTGTTCAGTATATATGTTTGAGTGTCTGCATTTGAGAGCAGTGCTTCCTAAATTTTAATATGCACTCAAAATGTCATGATAATTTTTTTTGTGGGGTCGACGGTGGCTGATGAGATTCCTCATTGCTGACAGCTTGCAGGTGGTGCAGTTGTTGCTGGTCTGAGGACACTATTTTGAGTAACAAGATCTCAGAGCATGAGGCAATAACTTCCTAACCCAGAAGGTCATTAATGGTGCCAAAGGAAAAAGGAAGAAATGGAAAATAGGAAGGTAGAGGAGAGAAGGTTAAACAACAACTATAACAACAGAGAAACAGGAATCTCCAGTAACAGGAGGAAGAAGTCACTAGCAATGGTTCCAGCACTTCTGGAAGTTTATTGCAATGATATAGGGTGCTTTGCTCTCTGTTAAATAGCACACATTCTTTGTGCCTTCACAGTGCTTAGCTTTCAGGGGTCAAAAAGCAAATGTCTGACTCTCTAGTCCTTCAGTAACATTTATTCATGTGTATGATGTACATTGAGCATCCCTAATCAGAAACAGTCTGAAATGCTCTCAAATCTGAAAACTTTTGAGTGCTGACATAAAGGCACAAGTAGAAAAGTTCACACATAAGTCTTTAACACAAACTTCGTTTCATGCACAAAATTACTAAAAATATTGTCTAACATTACCTTCAGGATATTTATATAAAGTGTATGTGAAATCTAAATGAATTTCATGTTTAGACGGGCCCCATCTCCATGTCTATTACATATCTCATCATGTATATGCAAATGTTCCAAAATCCAAAAAAAAAAAAATCCAAGATCTGAAAAACTTCTGCTTCCAAGCATTTCAGATAAGGGATACCCTATGTCTATGTATGTGCAGACGTGTTTTATTTTTAATTTTTTTCATCAGCCTACATCATGCTTTGAAGTGCATACGTGTTTTAGACATAATTTTGCTAATTGGAAACAAATTCTTCCATTAATATCATCCCATCAATGTTACCCTACTGTTGTAACTTCATAACATTTTTTAACCCTAAATAGTTTTGTAGTCTGACAGACAACTTTAATAATGTAATACAGCCGAATTTCCACCTAAATTGCTCATGCTGGGTAATGCACATGTTCATTGATGCCTGCCTCCTGTAACTTATTATGCATATAGAAATTAATTAGTCAATTGAAATTTGCTTTGGGAGAAAGAGTCTGGTGGTGGCAGAAAGGGTGACACAGAGCCAAGTTTCATACTTGTGAGGTTTTGTTGTGATCTGTCTGGGACTCACCAACAATATACACCAGGGTCATCGCACTCCTGTGGCCTCCTGGCATTATGGGTAGTGAATGAGTGCTACGAGGGATAGTCATGTTATTGCTGGGATAATGGATCTCTATCCTTAATCCTGCTCCCTCCTCAAAATACATTTACATTCCTCCTTTCATACAGTATAATTTTTTTCCCCATTTTACCAATTCCCAGTCTTTTCATCATCTTAATGTCTTTGCATTTAGAATATTCATCTATGTCTCTATCCTTAACTGAAGTAGACAATTAAAAACAATACAGATATTGATTTTTTTCTTTTCTATTCCTCATTTTCATGCAATAATTCCTGGAAGGATCAGCCAGTTTGCTTGTCACCTCAGGGGTCCGAAATGCAGAGTTCAGAAGTGGGCAAATGTGAAGGATTCAACACATGAACTCTTGAGAGTTGCTTGATATAGGAGGTTTGGGGTACAAGGGAATCTCTGGGTTCACCCCTTCTTACATCTTAACCCACTGCTAATTTTACAGAGGGTGGCAAAGGGGGATCAAAATATATTTTCTGGATTTATTGATGGCCAAGTTGGATTGGAGAACATAGCAGGAAGTCATGCTATATCAAAATTAAAAAGAGGAAGTTTCCAGAGATAGAGTGAGAGAGCCAAAAGACATTGGAGACAATATATAGCAATGTCCCTTCCTAAGCCTGGTGTGGGGGTGGGAGTAGAACCTCTGGTGGAGGTGTAAAGCGATTCTAGAAGCCCTGGCACTTTCTTTCCTCTTCTCCTGCCACCTTGGGAAGACATCAGGTTGGGTATGTTCTTTACAATCTCCTCAGATCTGAGGAGGGGTCAAGGTAAGGCCCAGGGGCAGAGCTGCTTTTAGGCCCAGGTAAGGGGGTCCCCAGCCCTCAGTCCTGTGCTCTGCAGGCCCCCACTGTTGCCCTCTCCTGGCAGTGCCCTTCTCCATGGAGACAAACGGAGGAGCCCATCCTGGGGCTGTGCTCTCCTTTTGGATCATGTTTAGAAATTCCCTGTCCAAATGTCCTTGAGCCCACCGAGAGGTTGTGTGGACTTCTCCCTGGGTGGGCTGGCAGGTGTCTCTCCTCCTGCTGTGCCCCCTTCCCTGATGTTGGATCCTGCCACTGTTTTGTAGGCCTTTAGGCAATTTCTTGAAAGAACTCTTCTGTTATTCCAACAAGCCTATTACAAATTTATTTTTCCATAAAAATCTGAAACTTTAAGCTTTTGTCTGGCCTATGTGTTTTGTTTTGTTTCATTTTGGGTTGGTGTTGAGAGATGGCCAAAGCCTGGATATATGCAGTGGTGGGGGTCAGGGGTATAATGGATCTTCGACATTCGGTGTTGCAATGTGGGGTGGAGATGGAGACAAGAGGAGGGGAAAGGGGGCAAACCACAGGCAGATGGCCAGTTTTCCTAGAACCCCAGGTTCCAGTACCCCAGGCTCCAGAACAGAACCTTGAGGAGTACAGGAATTTTAGATTAGAACATTTCAGAATTGTTGTAATGGTGTATTTATCAGTATAGGAGGAAATAATGTATTTTACTTAGTTTATTAGCTTGATTTATAGTTTTAAAATATTTAGACATATGGTATGTGGGCTTTTATTTGTATTCTTGCCACAGGCCCCACAGATGTTAGAAATAGGAAAAAGAGAGTTCCAGTTCTGGCCCTTTTCTAGGCTTTATAGAAGAGGTAGAGTCTGGATTGCTGAATAACAAAACACCCCAAACATAAGACACTAAGATGACGAGTTATTTTAATATGACAGCTTCTGGGGATCAGGAATTCAGAGTGGGCCCACAGCAGGGACAGCACCTTGATGTCTGGGAAAATCCACTGGGAAGACTTGAAGGCTGGTGGGGACTCAATGGCTGGGGCTGAATCACCTGCAGATGCCTTCCCTCACTCATCTGGCCATTGATGTTGGGTGTTGGTGGGGAACTCTGCTGGAGAGTTGGCTGCAGCCTTTACATAGGGTCTCTCCTTGTTGCCCAGGATACCTCCCAGCCTCGTGGCTGGGTTGGGGTGAACAGCTTGAGAAGGCAAAGAGCTGTATTGCATTTTATGACCCAGCCTTGGAAGTCATATAGTGTCACTTCTGCCGTGGTGGTAAAGTCATCTAGGTTCAAGTGGAAGAAATATAGACCCCTCCTCTTGATGGGAAAAATGTCAAAAACACGTTGTATAAAGGGTCTGCAAGATGAAAAATACTGTTAAGGCTACTTTTTGAATATGGAACCTGTCACAATATTCTTCGCTTAAGAGAGCATGGTAGACACGGATTTGGGGAGAAATCCCTGGTGCAAAATTTCCAGGAGGATATTGTGAGTTAATTCAAGTCAAAGGCTTAGAATAGTGCTTTGGCATATGGTAGGACTCAATAAACAAGCAGCTGCTATTTTCATTACCAACACTGCTAAATGACATCATCATCATCATCGTCATCACCATCATCATCGTCATCTCTATGAGGAACTTATGGAGGTGGTTTGATCATCTATATGAGGGAGGAAACTGAGGCCAGACAGGTGATGTTTTGGGTGTCACCACACAATTCCATGGTAGTTCTGTGTTTGAATTTGGGCTTCTGACTTCTATTAAGGAACTCTGAGGTGATGGTTTGAGGACTTTGTAAAGAATGGGCCGTATATTCTAAGACTTTAAATTGGCTTAGGTGACTCTGGATCTCAGTCACCGCTTTTGTTTGTCTCATGTTAATGACTTCAGAGATGATTTTGTTGGTGGATTTTCCTGATATCCTATTAAAAAACAAAAAACGAGGGAACAATTTTTAAACTAGTAACCCAAAACCTTCTCTAATAAGGTGTCCACGAATTCGGACAATTTAGATTTTTTAAAAAATCAGACCTTTCTTTTTTATTTGGAGACAGTATCTCTTAAGGCAATTATCAAAACAAGTTTGTAGGGGGTGATGTTTAACTATTAGAGGAACCAAACTTCATCTATGCAAAAACTATATATGCACAATGACATAATTGAAAGATTTTGTCTCTTGTTCATTAAATTCTGTCTCCAGAAACTCATTTGGCAGTACTTGCCTATCTAATGGTGTTTAGTATTTGAAAACTAAGCAATTTCTTTAAAGAACCCTTCTGTTAGTCCAACAAGCCTATTACACATTTATTTTTCCATTAAAATCTGAAACTTTAAGCTTTTGTCCGGCCTATGTGTATTATTTTGCTTCATTTTGGGTTGGTGCTTAGGAGCTGGTCGTCCTCTGAGGGAACATGAGGAGCACAACCAAACCAATCAATATCCACTGATTCTTGGCCAAGTTGGGCTAATGGCAGGGCCTGTGACAGATAAGAGCAAATCAGACATCAGTTTGTGCTTCTCTCCTGGTGAACCTCAGTGTTTGCTCTGGGGATCCAGGAGCAACTCAGGGTGTCAAGAATATAGGTCAGCATTACCTTATGTAACTGTCCCTCTTTGTGTTTTCAGGTAGGAGGCCAAGTCAAAGGTAACTGTACACAGAGGTCATTCATCCAGATCAAGCCTGGGGCCTTTCCAAGGAGGCAGAGTCCAGTTGATGTTGGATGTTCACTGACTGCTGTCAGCAGATGAGGGGGACACTGATGAAATCTTCCACTCGGGTTTTCTAGGCAAAAATGGCAGCTCAACTATTTAGATCAACAAACTGACCTTCCTTTCTGAGGAAATCTTCTGGAGCCAGACAGCTTGGGGTTGCCATTTACTATGTGATCGTGGGCAAGGAGGCCTCAGTTTCCTCATGTATAAAATGAGTATAAGAATAGTGCTTGCCACACAGGATTCTTAGGAGGTGAAATGAGTAAGACACGCAAAGAGCTGAGAACAGTGTCTTGCACAAAGCTGGCCCTCAGGAAATGCTGTTTAAAAGGAAATACCCAATACCAATAACAACCATTTTTTGAGAATTTGCTGGTTGTAAGCATCATGCTAAGCTTGTTATGGACGTACTTAATTTTTTTTTTTTTTTTAACAGGGTCTCACTTTGTTACCCAGGCTGGAGTGCAGTGGCATGATATTGGTTCACTGCAGCCTCAACCTCCCAGGTTCAAGCGATCCTCCTGCCTTAGCCTCCCAAGTAGCTGGGACGACAGGTGTGTGCCACCACTCCCAGCTAATTTTTGTAGAGATAGGCAGGGTCTCACCATGTTGCTCAGGCCATTCTCAAACTCCTGAGCTCAAGCTGTTTGCCTGCCTCTGCCTCCCAAAGTGCTAGGATTACAGGTGTGTACCACTGCACCTAGCCTGACATTACTTAATTTTATCCATACAACAAAAACTCTGTGGGATAGCTGTTTTTAATCCCCATTTCACAGATGAGACAATTGAGGCACAGAGAAATTTCAGAATGTGCTTAAGGTAACACATTAATAAGTAAAAGAACAGGAATTCTAACTCGGTTTTGTCTGGCACAAAATCTCCTCACCACCCCATGGCACTCTGATTAAAACACAATAAAACAAAGCAAAAAGTTATCTTGTCATTAGCATGCTTGATGTTCCCTGAGAAGGCTATTAGGTTATTCGTAGACTGTACACTCTAACATGGCGGAGTTGTAGCTGTGATTTTTTTCTAGAACAGTTTATTTAAAGCACTCTTTCTGTAATTCTAACCAATCTATTGCAAATTTATTTTTCCATGAAAATCTGAAACTTGGAGCTTTCGTCCAGCCTATATGTTTTGTTTTGTTTCATTTTGGGTTGGTTGTTTAAAGAGCCCGTCTTCCCTTGAGGGAACATGGGGCATGACCAAACCAATCGATACTCATTGATCTAGTTTGATGCTGTGTGCAGAAGACGCCGAAGACACCTAATAAAGGCTTTCTGTTCTGGCTGCAATGGTTGTTGCTGATGGCAGGCTAAGTCGGAACCTCAGACGTGTCCTGCAGAGTGGTGGGCAGGGACGCTGCACAAAAATGTCAGCCTGTATGTTCCAGGAAGCTCAAGCTATGGGTGGTGTCCTGGATGGTGGGGGAGATGATTTAGAGAGTTCCCCGCCATGAATCCTTGATGCCCCTACATTTCCATCCAATATTCAAGAAAAGACCAAGTTATTTCTTTTCAGGTCTGCTAAAATAAAGCTGAGTTACCTTTTTGATTACACGTCCCTCCTCGAATACTTCTCTCTTTCTCTCAAACCACAACAAGGGAAGATTGATAGCTGGAATGGAAAAACCCTGGTGTGGTCTCACAAATACTGGTTTAGGCTAGGGGTGAGGGGCAGATCCTCCTTCCTCATCTGTTTGTTTAAAGATAAAGAGGCCCTTTCAGTCCACATGGGGTCCAGTAATTTAACCGTGAACTATATTAATGGCTGCCAGAAAGAACCTGCTGTACTGGGCTGAGTCAGGAGAGACGTGAATCTCAGGTTCTCACCAATCCTGGCCAAGCTTCCCCAGACTTCTCAGTTTTAAAATGTTACCTTTGAAATATTTATTCTAGTGTCTCATACACCATGGATTTTATTTTTTATTTTTACTTTTTCGTTTTGAAAGCCCTTGTGTTTCTAATACACAGAGATCCTGGAATTTTAGATCTGCAAATAACACTCCCTGTTCCATAGAAAAAAGTCTTTTATTTTTCCTTACTGGAATTTTTTCATTCCTTCCCACCCACCCCACCCCCATTTCTCATTTCCTCAGGAAGCCATTTAGCTGGAGACAGAGGGAAAGTTTTCCAGCACACTTCCCCCGGCCCCCACAGACTCATGCACACCCAGATAGCAATCTAGCACCAAGATATGCTGTAATAGACTCAACGCTGCCCGTAAAGATTTCTGTCTCCAATGCCCTGAAGCATTTGGAAGGCCTTCTGGTGAAGGCAGCCTTCATCTGTGCTAACACCCGTCAACCTCCAGGAATCTTAGGAGGTCGCTAGGCTGGGCCCTGGATATTGGCTTTTTGCTCTCTGCTGTCGATGAATGGGAAAAAGAGTCATTAGAGAGCTTCCCTGGATGGGATGCTTTTGCGGGCTTTCTGGAGTGAGGGATGGTAAAGTAGGGACTCCCTGGAACTATGGGAGTGTATTGTCATTCTTTTGTAAAATAAGTATTTGAGAAGTTTAGCATGTCATGTATTTTAGGTACTGGGATATAACGGTGGACAAGACCACCAAGGTTTCTGTTCTCAAGTTTATTTTCTAGTTTTCAAGAGGAGAGGTGTGTTGAGTAAGGAAGGCAAAACCAGGAGGATACAGGTGAAAACCAAGAAAACAAACACATGAACAAAATACATTTTGTTTTTAGTGATACATGCTACGAAGAAATCAAATAGCATTTTAGAATAGTGACTGATTTTCTTTCTGCTTGCAACGTTTAGGACACCTCCTTCTCTGATACTCCCAGACACTAGTACTGGGAATCACCTAACATACCTTTAGGCCCTGCACGTCTCATTAGTGGATGCCTTTGTCCTATCCAGAGTGAAGGTTCTACATTTTTCTCTGAAGATGAAGTTTAAGAACTTTTGTGAGCAAGGATTTGAGGTTTCACGCAACATGCTGAGAGGTAGAAGAGTAGAACAATGCAGAATGCTTCAGAAACCACTGTCTACTCTGTGGCCCCCAAAAAATGGGGAGCTTTTTAAAATATTTGAATGGCCAAGAGAAAATGAGTACAGCAGAATTATTCCCAGCTGCAAGAAAAATGTTACCTTTAACCAAAAGAGACTTCCCTGTGTTATTTATTCTCATGACTCATCAAGTCTGTTGGGATCAAGTCTAATCTTTGTCTAAATCCAAGAAGTGTTGGTTGTCTCTAGAGAAGGCTGACTTTTCATTCTGGTGGCCAACACTCATCTTCTCAGAACCGTGGGAAATTGTTTCTGTTGTTTCTTAGTTTGCTCTTTTGCTTTCCCTTTGGATAAAACAATTTTGTAAGCTCAAGGGGAGGCCTCCAGGAATCAGAGGCTGGGGGAGTGTATTGGAATCAGAGACAAAAGTCCTTCCAAGACCGAGATTACACTCCGCTTAGTTACCACCAGATGTCAGCAACTCATCTGATTTCAGTTCTCTAGCAAAGGGAAAGAGCCAGGAGGGGAAAGGACCGCCCGGGCTGACATCAGCTTTTTGTTTGTTTGTTTCAGGTGTGAGTTAAGGAAGTTGTCTGCCTCAGGAAAAGTGCTAACAGCTCAAGCAGGATGGTAGCCTGAGGACAAGTAGGACACTCTAACGTGTTCACGGGATGGAATTCTTGAACTAACACTTTAATTTGATTTTTTTCCTTTGTCAGCATTATTTATAGATATCAAAGTTTGTCAGGCAACTATAGCTTTGTTGGGAAGATTTTTAAGGCCAAAGGCAACTAACAGATAGATTTGCTTTCAGCTTTTTTTTTTTTTTTTTTTAAGGAATCTTGCTAGGCTCTTGAGAAAAACCTTAAGAAGGAAAAGAGAAGACTGAAAAATACACACATTATTTCAAAGAGAAGGTCTACATAAGGCACACAAAGGGCAAGAGGTAATTAAGACCAGCTCCTGTGATGGTTATCTATTTTGCAAAACTGGGTTAAGTTCTCAATATAATAAAGTGTGAGACAAATGTCTTCAGTGAATTAAGTGTCAATATAGCTACAAATGCCTTCAGTTCTATGGAGGAAGCCTCCTCATTAGTTTATGGGTTTTATGTGCCACTATAATGGATTCTTCAGGAAGCCAAACTCAGGGTGCAAATACAATAACATCATATTTATTAATAGTTCTCAGATTCCTAAGGGCTCCTGTGGCAGGGATACCCCATGCATTCTTCTTCTTGACGGGGTCTCGCTCTGTTGCCCAGGCTGGAGTGCAGTGGCACGATCTTAGCTCACTGCAACTTCTGCCTCCTTGGTTCAAGTGATTCTCATGCCTCGGCCTCCTGAGTAGTCCATGCATTGTTTTCTAAGTCATCCTCCCATGTATCTTCTTCCAATTTCAACTTTTATTCTTCTAGTTCCTTTATTGATTCTGTACTTCAAGGTCAAACCTGCATCAGTCACTCCATTGTTGAGCAAGTCTGTGTGCAGCTAGAAGTATGGAGGAGGCGCCAAGTGTGCTCCGTGGCAAGTCTCTCAGGCTGGTTACGGACTCAACTCCACAGGCTGACATTTGAGGTCTGAACTGGCGCCTTCATGTAGGCTTGGGGTCTGGGCCTTGTAGGGACTTTGCCAACAACTCCCTCACCAAGGCCCAGTTTGGGGCTTGCAGGGTGGGTGCTGAAACTGTCCATTGACAAAATAGGACGTCACCTACCTCTCCAACCTACTTCCCATCTTTCTCATGAACACGTCTCTCACATCAGCCTCATTCATCCATTATGGTCCCCGAGACTGTGCCAAGGACATTCCTTCCTTCAAGTCTTTCCTTCAGCCAGCTTTCCCCACTATCTCCTGGAACTGACTTTGATCTCACTTAACTTCAGCTGATGGTTCAAACTCTACTTCTTCCCTAGAGTCTTCACATCTTACTCCAGCCTGATGTTATTTCACACCTCTTAATTCCTAAAGCACTTGCTGTATCATAATTTTGGTACATTGACACATTGCATTTTGGTGAAGTCAGGGCCTTCAGTGCATCCATCACTGGAGCAATGCACACTGTACCCACCAGGCAACCTCCCATCATTCACCCTCCCCTACCCCACTGAGTCTCCATTGTCCATCATTCCACACTCTGCTTCCCATATTTTTAATCCTTTTAGTTAACAATCTTATATCGCATCATATGAATATTATATAAATACAATTATATACCAATAATATAACATGTAATGTAAATTATGCTATATTGCCATCTATATTAAGTAAATGTATTTCTTCCACACTTTATTCCAAAATACATTGTAAATTTCTTGAAATCTTAAAATAATTTTTAGTCAAGTATTTTACTTATGGTAGGATGCGTAATAGGCACTCGTTAATTGAAAGCAGAAATGTTCTATTTGCTGATCTCAGTTTATATGGTAACTTCCAGAGTAGACATCCCTGGAAGTAAATTTCTAAGATAAACAAGAAATGGAGCCTGGAATTCTTTGCTCCTTCCTCATTTACCGCTCCATTTGAGATCCTTAAATGAAAAAAGACCGAGAGAAGTTCTTGTAGTTCAACCTCCACCCCTTTCTCCGAAGGCTGTGGTTCCTTTTGACAATGAGGAACGCCAAGCCTCAATTCCCTGAGGGTTATTTGACCTGCTAATTATATGCAAAGACTCAGGTCCCTAGTAAAAGACCCGACTTTCTCGTCACCTGGGAAATGTCAACAAATGACATTATCTCCCTTTGAGGGATCTCTGTGTCTTCTGGATGGACAAGGGGAGTCAAAAGGGAAGCCAGGTGAGTCAGGGGCCTTGGAGTACCAGAGACTGGGATGGGTGGGGCATTTAATGGTGCTCTTCTTGTAACTTTGCTCCTGTTGCTGAAACTTAAAAAATTGATCATCGTTCCTTTATCAAGAGAATCTTGAAAGGAAAATCACCTTTTTGTTTTCTAACTTGGAAATAAAGAGCTACGATAAAACTTTGACGAGCATGTGTAGCATCATAACATTGTTCTTGCTGGCTAGACTAAAGCCACATCTAAGGCCACCAGTGTGCAGTGGGAGGCCGTCCCTTCTCTGCCTCCTGCTAAATTAGGCTGAGGTTAGTGAAAGGCAGTGTGGTTAGTTGATTACGATAACTTACTATTCCATTTAGCCAGTGCTTGCTGTGAGCTATGTGATTTACATCATTACCTTATTTAATCCTTACTACAACTCTTGGGAACATATTAATTTCCCATTTATAAAAAAGGAAGTTGCAGTTCAGAGAAGTAAAGAAGTTTGTTCTGAGTCACACAGCTTATAAGGGGTGGGGTTGGGTTTCAAATCCAGGCAAGGTATCAAGTGCCTTAGATTCTGATCCTGACTTTGCCTCTATCTGGCTACGTGACTTAGGAAGGACAATTCATAAAACTTATTTGAGTCCCTGTACGTTTTTCTTAAAATGAGGGAACTGGGCCAGATGGTCTGGAACTGCTCTACTCGACATGATGGTTCCTTGCTGCATGTGGCTGTTCAGCACTTGCTGCAGCTGATCTGAATTGAGAAATGTTGTCAGTGTTCACTACACACTGGATTTCAAAGACTTAATATAGAAGAAAGAATTTGAGGTATCTTAACGGTATTTTTAAATAATGATTACTTTTTACAACGATAATGCCTTATGTAAAGAGCTAAATAAGCTATATTATTAAAATAAATGCTACCTGTTTCTTTTTACTTTAAAAAATGTGCTTCCTGGAAATTGCATGTGTGGCTCACACACTGTGTTTCTTTTCTTTTCTTTTCTTTTTTTGAGACAGAATTTTACTCTGTCACCCAGGCTGGAGTGAGGTGGCACAATTTCAGCTCACTGCAACCTCCGCCTCCTGGGTTCAAGTGATTCTCCTGCCTCAGCTACCCAAGTAGCTGGGATCACAGGCACCTGCCACCATGCCCAGCTAATTTTTGTATTTTTAGTAGAGACAAGATTTCACCATGTTGGCCAGGCTAGTCTCTAACTCCTGACCCCAAGTGATCTGCCCTCCTTGGCCTCCCAAAATGCTGGGATTACAGGCGTGAGCCACTGCGCCCGGCCCTCACACTCTGTTTTTATTGGACAGTGCTTTCTAGACTTTCCTGATGACTTGTCTCTGGAGGTCACATATCTCAAGAACTGGTGTTTCTTTAGGTGTTCTTGGATCTGGAGTTGGTGATGAGAGTAGGAGCAGAAGCTGAGGCAAGAGCACAGAGGCAGCCGGAGCTACCCAGGGAAATGGCACAAGTTCTGACTATGGGGACCCAAACTGGACACTCAGTTTTGCTACAGATTGCCTTGCATTTGGTAGCACATTGATTGAACAAGCAGGTAAGAATGTAGTTTTGCACTTTTCAGCAGGACAACCATCATCACATTCACAGGTGAAATTCTTCACCTGTACAATTTAATTTAATCCTCATAGCAACCCTATGGAAGTAAATTCTATTATGCAGATTTCACAGATAATAAAACTGAGACTCAAGAGAGATTAGGTTATTTGTCCAAAGTAAAAAAACTAGTTAGTGTCAGGGCTAGGCTCAAATATCAGTGTCAGACTCAAAAGCTTATGATTACATATGTTATACAATATTACCTAATCCAAATTCATTTTCTCCAGTTGTAACCAGGCAAATAATGGACAAAAGCATCTGCTTTGTGTGTAGGATATTGGTGCTGGGAGAATGTCCAGGAGGCCTCTGATTCTGCTCAGAGATTATTTATATATCTTTGAGGGCTTGTCTATCATTATCCACTCCTCAGGCAGAAGTGCTCCAGTGGGCTTCCAGCAGTTTAGAGAACACTGTGCTTTCTAGGCCCTTCAGTTGAAGAAAGGCAGCAATGATGCACGATGAAATTAATTGTTTACCATGTACAAAGCTCTACCAAACAATTGGCTGAAAGCTGAAGAGTTTGCCTGCAACTTGAAGGTTTGTTATCCAACCACTTTCAGGCTCTCAGATTTGGCAAGTAAAGGATTGGAGTGCTAAATTTCCTTCTGGAATGTGATGCTATGTGCATCAGTCATGGTCGAACCAAGAGACAGAAACCACACAGTAATTTGAATATTAAAAAGTTAATGTAAAGAAATATCAACTATAATAGGGGATTAGAGTAATGAGAGATTGGCCTGGAAAAAGTAAAGAGAACTCTAAGAATATAGGAATAACAGATACAAGCAACAGACGTTACACTTGAAATTGAAGTAGAGGCCTGAGGAATGTCCTCCCTTATCCTCCCTGACCTCCACTCCAAAGGCTGAAATCCAGACATTGTGGAGAGAGCACAGCCATGGCCCAATGGCTGAAAGAGGAATACCTGCACTTGTAGAATTTGCTCTCTGGAACTTGCTATAAATCAACTCTCTAGGGTGCCAGGGAAAGCTGTTCAGGAGGCAGTGTCTCTCTGGAGGCACTTACTGTGAAATTACCAGAGGTGATGGGGGAAGCTACTGGAAGTAGGATACTGCTGGCTGCCGCATTTTGTGGGAGTCTGATGTTAGAGAAGCTGCCTTATCTCCAGGAGCTGAGTGCTGGGGTAGCTGCATGCCCTGAAGGAGCAATGCTTGAGAAGTCACTTGTGCTTCATTAGCTGGCTGCTGGAAAAGCTGCCTAAACTGCAGAAGACTGGTTCTGAATAAGCTGCCTACTCTGCAGGAGATGGGTGCTGTGGAAGCCATGAGTGCTGTGGGAGCCTGGTGCTGGAGAACCCGCCTGTGCTGCAGGAGCCTGCTAAGCCAGAGCATCAGAACCAGAATGGAAACTTCCTTCCTACTGCAATGTCTCTCCAGTGCTGTCTACGGACAAGACTTAACATTGAACCAGCTGGCAAAGGAAAAATGTGTACAGGGCCCAGATCCATTTTTGCAAAGCAGGCAATGAGGGGTGAATTTGGAGGTGTGAGGCAATGAATTGATAGTTGGCACATCATAGAAGAATGGTCTTTAAACTCTAGTATACTTAAGCAATACCTGGGGGAGTATTTGTGAAAACTTCAGTCTTGGGTTTTCACATTCTGGTTCAATGGATCTAAAGTTAACTCCTGGCATTCACAGTTTTCAGGTATTTCAGGTAATTATGATGGCTGGTCTGCTACCACCAATTTTCACTTAGATTATTATAAAAGCCTCCTAGTTGGTGTCCTTGATTCCCTTCTCATTCCTCTATGATCTATTTTTTTCACACAGCAGCCAAGTGATTCTGTTAAAATATGAGTTAGAATCACCGGGCTGCTCAAAATCTTTGGTGATTCCCATCTCACTAGGAGAAAAAGCTCAAGTCTTTACAAGGGCCTTCATAATTTGGATGCCCACTACCTCTCTTACTATTCTCTCCCTGGTTTACTGTACCTGGGCCATACTGGCCTTCTTGTTGTGCCTTGAACACTTCAGGCACATCCTAGCCTCAGAACATGTGCTATTGCAGTTCTTTCTTCTCAATGGGCTCTCCTCCCAGATTTCTGCAAAGCTCACACACTCACAGGCTTCTGGTCTTTTCTCAAAGGATACCTTTTCAGTAGGCTCTTCCCTGACCACCCTATTAATAAGTGCACCTTTTTCCTCCCTCTTTCACTCTCTGCACTCGGGACACTCTCTGGGATTCCACACCGGTTGATTTCTCTCCAAATCACTCCATATCTCCGTATCTAACTTAATATATGTTCCACTTATTAATTTTGTATATTTTCATTCTTGTTCCACTGGAATGTAAACTCCATGAGATAAAAAATTTTTATATGTTTTGTTCATGGTTGTGCTGTCCAGGGCATTGAATGGTGCCTGGGACAACAGTTGCTCAAAGAATATTTATTGAATGAGTAAGTGCAGCCTGCACTTTGAGAAACTTCTCTGTAGAGTATATAGATCATAAGGCTATTGTATGGCCAGCTGAGGGTCACAGTAGTTTTCCAACACTTTAAAATCGTCATATGTGCAAACACTAGCATGAGCCTTTTCAAGGAGCTGCCCCTCATGAAAATAGAGCCTTCTAGAGCAGTGTGGGTAGAACGGACAAATAGAAGGTTCCTCCACCTACTTAGAAGGGTAGGAAAGCATCCCAGCTTGTCAAAAGAGCACGTGCAGTTTTAAACAGAAAATTACAATTATTCAAAATGACTATTTTTGAGAAAAGTCTGCATTCTCAGGCATATTTATCTTGGAAAGTTTCTATAGACCTCTGCATTTAGAAGACAAGTTTCCAAATACAAATACAGCAGGTCTGTCTGTCTTCTTCCAAGAGCCAACTTTTCTTGTTCTTGGAGGAAGGAAGCATGCCTCAGATTGGTACTTCCTCTGGGCTCTGGAAATTGTCCTCCATCTCCATCCCAATCAAACCTTTCCCGCCTGCTCTTAACGCTGAAGGACTGAGTGAATTCCAAGTGTGGCCTTGCCGAATGAGTCATATCCCCATTTCATGTGATTTGGACCTTATTTAGCCAAGGACATTTAAGAGCTTCTGGATGAATTATTTAAGGAAAAGGCAAAGGGAGACTGAGAGGTAGATCCTGAGATTCAAGTTGAACTCAGCAGAAAGAAAGGGTTGGAGGCAAGAAAATAGGTTTGGCACATCCTGTACATATGAGTTTGGAGGGCCGACCACCTAGACAGAAAAAGTCTTTAGTCCTGTTTTCAAGATAGAATTAGAAAAACACCACCTTGTGATTGTCAGAAGTTGGAGGAAAAACAATGACACAATTAGAGTTAATTTACAGTTAATAGGGTTATTAGGTCCATTTATAGGGTCTAAGCAATTTAATACTAGTATGACTACTTCATCTAATATTGACATGCTTACAAGGTATCAGCCACATACATATTATAATATTCTGCTATTGAGAAGACTCCACTCAAAGGCGTGATAGCCTGATAATATCCTGCTTTGTAAATTCATGAAGGGCTGAAAAATGTATTTTCCAAGAGTTGTCACCTCACCAAAGCTTTGAAAAATGCACTGGGTTCTGAGGAGTTCAAATGGGAAACTCCCCACCAACCATCCTGAACCTTAAAACCATGATCAGTCGATCATCATTTTATCATCGGCATCTCTAGAGTGATGAGAGATTTGTCTGTCACACAGAAAACCAAATTATATAATGAAGAAGAGTTTAATGAGGCCACGGGACCCTCTGGCACCTCTCAGCACCATAAGACAAGGATGGTGAAAGGGTGTAGGTTCATCCCTTCCCTAGCCCAGTGCCCCTGCTGGAATGATCTCTTGGTTTGTTTCACTTGTCCATACTGGTAATATGTGCTCTCTATATTGCCGAATCTAATGGCCAGTTCTCAGTCCACGTCATATTGTGTCAGCAGCATTTGACACGGCCAACCACTCCCTTTGACTTGAAATGCTTTTCTACCGGCCTGGACAACCCTCTTTTTAAACTGTTTATTTTTGTCACTGGTTGTATCTTTCCAGCCTCCTTTGTGGTCTCCTCCTCACGTCCTCAATATCTACCAGTTAGAAGGCCCAAGGATTAAGTGAAGACCTCTTCTCTGTTGTAACTAATCACTGCTAAGATAACTGCATTCAGGAATATGGTTTCACATACCATCTATCTTCCAAGAACTTCCAAAGTCATATCTCAAGCCTCGACCCCTCCCTGAGCTCAGATAATAGACAACTTTGTACTTAACACATCTACTTAGATGTCAGCTAGGTATTTCAAACCTAACATTCTCCAAAACATGGCCCTGATGTCTACACCCCTCAAAAAACTTCTTCTAGTAATTTCTCTGGCTTAGTTAATGGTAAGCTTCTCTTTCTGTTATTCAAAACCAAGAACTAGTTATCCTTGACACTTTCTCTCATATCCCATGTCTGATCCATCAGAAAATCCTGTTGGCTCTGCCTTCAGAATAAATCTAGAATATGACCACTGCTTCTCACCTCCACTATCTTGATCCTAGCCAGCATGATCTCTCCTCCAGGTTACTACCAGCTTTCAACTGGTCATTCTGCTTCCATACTTGCTCTTCCAATACTGATCTAGTCTCAAGACAGTGGTTGGAGTGACACTTCTAAGATGTAATTCACATTCCTTCTGCCAAAATTTTCCAGTGGCTTCCCATCTCCCTCAAGGTAAAAGCCAGAGTTCTATGATGGTCCCAAAGGCCCTGTCCTCATTCCACCCACTCTCTAATCTCCCACTGCTGCCCTCCCTACTCACCTGACCCTCACCACACTGGTTCCTTGATGTTCACTGGACACACCAGTCCCATTCCCAGCTCAGGGCCTTTGCTTCTGCTGCACATCCCGCCCTGGCGAGCTCTTCTCCCAAATAACTAAATGGCTTGTTTCCCCATTCTTTCAAGGTCTCTGCTCACATGCCACCTTTCCTGCAAGGGCGTCCCTGACCATCCTAAAAGACAGCCATCTGTCTTAGCCAGGTTTTGCTATGCACAGCATGAATAATAGCAAATAATAAGACAATCCCCCACATGTGTCTTACTGCAACTCCCCTTCCCATCTCTCTGTGTCCCCCTGGCTCTGCTCAATTTTCTCCAGTGACTAGTTTGTCTTACTTACTATGTGACGTAATATATATTTACTTGCTTATTTACTGTCTGTCTCCTTACACCGAAATATAAGCTCCACAAGTGCAAAGGAACTTTGTTGACTGTGTTCACTGCTGTATTCCAGTTGCCTAGAATAGCACCTGGCACAGAGAAAGTGTTCAATGAATATTCACGGAACTAATGAATATATAAATAGAAAACAGATAATGATAGATTAGGATGTGCATACAGGATGGCCCTGTGAATTTAGGAGAGTTTGATGGAAATTGATGCCTTTAAGAGAACAAGTTCACAAGGGCAGTGATAGTGTCTCTCTCCTTGGAGAACTCGCAGCAAAGAGGTTAAATGCTGCATGTCCACAGTCAGTTTGGACTTGTGTTTAACTGGCTTGCCACTTACCAGCTGTTTGTCTTTAGACAAGATATTTAACCTTGCTAAATCTCAAGTTTTTCTCAACTATAAACCAGGGATAGTAATAGAACCCACTTTGGGATTATTATGAAGAAAAATATGTTAAAAATATTTAGCATGGTACCTGGACATAATATGTGCTCAATAAACATTGCGATTATTATTATTGATGTACAAAATAACATGTTGGCTAGGTACCGAAAACATCAACAATGGTGAGCTTGAGGATTGGGATTGTGTATGATTTTTATTTTCTTCTTTTGGCTTGTATTTTCATGTTTTTAAAATAATGAACAAGCATTATTTATTATATGAAAACAGATGAGAATTATTGCTTTTTAAAAAAGGATTAGACCAATGCAGCTGTGTTTTGCTTGGGTTAGGTCAAGTGGACCAATTTGAATGGGTTTGATGGTCTCCTCAGGTTCCTATGAGCCTTTTTATTCAGCTATTTCTAAGCTAAAGCGAGGGGAGTTGTGGTGCATGTAAGAGCTAATGTTCTGAGGACAAGAGTGGGAGGAGGAAAGAACAAGAGAAACTGGGGAAAAACATTGAGATTATAAAGCTAAAGAGGTCCACATGCTAAAGTGAGGAGTTTCTCAGGAACGGAAAACTAAACTTCGTATGTTCTCACTGATAAGTGGGAGCTAAGCTATGAAGATGCAAAGGCATAAGAATGATACAATGGACGTTGGGGACTTGGGGAAAAAGGTGGGACGGGGGTGAGGGATAAAAGACTACACGTTGGATATAGTGTACACTGCTCGGGTGATGTGTGCACCAAAATCTCAGAAGTCATCTCTAAAGAACTTATTCATGTAAGAAAACACCACCTGTTTCCTCCAAACCTATTGAAATAATAATTTAAAAAGTTAATATTAAATAAAATAAGGAGTTTCTGAATCTAGGTTCTCATTTCTTGGTTTGGAATGAGTTTAACTTTAGGGGTCCTATGCTGGGAAAAAAGAAAACAAATAAATTCCACTTTGGTTCTGGCATTAAAAGGTTTCATGAGGAGGCAAAGTCTGAAAACGGGCTCTTGAGAAAACTGGATTGAGTGTGCCGCAGCTCAAGATTCTCTAGAGCTATGCTGCCCAATAACATATGAGCCCCATGTAATTTTAAATCTTCTAGTTGCCACATTTAAAAAGGAAAAAACAGATGAAATTAATTTTAATAATAGTTTATTTAACCCAATATATCCAATATATTATCACTTCAACATGTAATCAGTATGCAAAAATTATTATGATTTTGATATTAAGCCTTCAAAACCAGTTGCTTTTTTTTTTTTTTTGAGATGGAGTCTCGCTCTGTCTTCCACGCTGGAGTGCGGTGGCGCTATCTCGGCTCACTGCAAGCTCCGCCTCCCAGGTTCACGCCATTCTCCTGCCTCAGCCTCCCGAGCGGCTGGGAGTACAGGCGCCTGCCACCAAGCCGGGCTAAGTTCTTGTATTTTTAGTAGAGACAGGGTTTCACCGTGTTAGCCAGGATGGTCTCGATCTCCTGACCTCGTGATCTGCCCACCTTGGCCTCCCAAAGTGCTGGGATTACAGGCACCAGTTGCATGTTTACAGCACATCTCATTTCAGGCTTATCACCTCCCAACTGCTCACCTGTGGCTCATGGCCACTGCACAGGCTGGGCAGCTGTGGACTGTGCAGCTCCCCGTCCAGGAATGGAGATTATCAGGAGTCAGCCTAAGTCCTATCATTTTTCTCTTCTATCTTATCACTATCTCTTCTTGGAGGGCCTCGGATGTGTCTGGCCACTTCCTGCCAGGGCCATTCCCTGATGCTGCCAACCTTTCCCAGAAAAGGAGTGGCTCCTAGAAAGACAAGGCCTACCGAGAAATGCAGAGGGGCAGGAAGTGAGCCATTTCGAGGGCACTCCTGTGTCACCCTGTGCTGTTGGAGTCGCCGAGGATACAGTGTACAGGTAGCGGGATAGCCGGTTGCCAGCACAGGCTGGGTTGAGAAACCTCCAAGGTCAGCAGATGGCATGGGGAGGGCTGGGCAGGGAGAGGTGTGGGTTGACCACCCGGCTGAGTGCGTAACCTTCCTTTGTCTTTCCTACCTTACAGCATTGCTGCCTGCTACTTCTCTCCCCAAGCCCGGCGCTCATTCCTCCACACATGTAGTAGCCCTGTGTTCCTTTTCTCCCAACTAAAGGCAATTCAAGATAAATAAATATGTTGATCTTGCCTGGGGGGCTCAACTAGTACGTTTGTCAGCACTGGGACCGGGGTTTAACCATGACTAGCTACTTCATTTGTCACAGGGGTGTATTTATCTGTGTTTGGAAGATTTAATTTTTCCCCCACGAAGAACTGTATAAATAGGTCTAATGAGCCTTGAGGGCTCTCATTTCCTTTCAGAGTTTCCAGCAAGCTGGGAAGTCTCAGGGCACGCTTGCCTCTTAGGACTCTGTGGTGCCCACTACAAGGGGGACTGGCGAAGCCGCATCATTCTCCTGGAGGGCACACATGGCCTTGGGATGCCCAGGTGCTCTCATTCAGGGGGCTTACGTTTGGGGATGTGTAATTAAGATTATTTTTTTCTCTTTGCTTATGATAATCTGCATAATCTTTTGTTTGTGTAGCTGGCAAAGTGCTCTCCAGATAAAGAGAAGGGCGTAGTTAATATATATGAATAGAAGAGTAACACTGGGGGCTGCTTGCTCTGAAGATTGCCTCTCCATCCAGCCAGCATCCACTCCTGCCTTTCCTATATCATGTTTTTCTTTTATGAGAGAGTTTCTGTCTAAGTAAGAGCCGATGTTAATTCCAGCAGCATGTGTTCCAGGGGCTTGGGGTGGTGGTACCAAGAGAATGACGATGAAACAGAGAGAGAGAGAGAGAGAGTGTAAGGCTGTGGTGCAGAAAAGGGAGAGGAGTGACAGAGGATGTGCAGGGGGAGGCAAGGTAAGGGAAAGAAGATTTTTAAGAAATGAGAAAAAGGAAGATAATGAAGGAGGGGGGAGGATGGAGGGAGAAACACATGAGGTTAAAGAGGGAATATCATAGATGTCTTTGATGGGAAAGGCCCCAGAAATCCCATTTTGGTTTCATAGCTGGGGAAACAGTGGAGAGCAAGGGAAGTGACTTTCCTGTGCCCACCCACCATGGTTACTGGCAGAGCGCGGGTTCTCATGCATGGCTCTGTCCTCAGTGGTACCTCCAGGAGGAAGAGTGGAGAGAGACGTACAGGGGGCTGTTTTAGAACTTGGTGGGTTCTTGTTTCAATTAGTGTGTCAACATTGATGATCTCGGGTGAGTCCTCTTTGTCCCCTTCCTCCTGACCACCACTGGTCATTGCGGCTCTGGCTACTTCTTTGCAACAAGTGCTCTCTATTCTGGTCTAAGTTTTCATATCATCTGGGTGAGATTAAGAAAGCAGAAACCCTGGCTGGTCGCATTAAAAACAAAACCAAAAATAACTCTGCATACTTACCCCATGTTGACTCCGTTAGGAGTGTCTGTGCTTATTTCTTAGGCTCCCCATGTTACTAGAACACACTTTGAGAATTTCTTTATGCATCACACACACACACACACACACACACACACACACACACACACACACACAAAGTGGGGGGCCGTGGTACAGGTTCTACTCCCAGCTCTGAAGGAGTGTGCCGTTTTACTCCTTGCCTCAGTTTTCTCTACAGAGGAATGGGCAGGTTGACCTGTTGACCTCTGACATTGGAGGCCCCCTTGGCTTCCATATTTCGTGACTGCAGAGGCAGAATGGTTTGGGGGAAAGAGCTTGAACTGTCTACTACCTGTAAATAGACAATTTCTAAATTCTTTCTGGCTTCTTTGCCCATTGCTGAAGCAATAGGTCTCATCATTTCTGCCTCATAGGATTTTAAGTTTGAGATAATTTTTATGAGGAAGTGGTCAGGAAGGCCTTGGTAAAGTATAGTGGGTACAGGTTTTAAATTGCATTTTTCTTGTTTGCTTGTTGTCTATTTCCTTATTCCTGTGACTTTTAGGCTGAAGCTGGCTCATATTGGCTTGCCAAAGCTGATGAAGCTCATCTATTTCCAACTTTGTTCAGTCATATCTCCTTGGTAGCCTGAAATTGGTCATGGTGGGAGTGTTTACACCAAGGAAATTGGCTCACGCCTGTGATCCCAGCATTTTGGTAGGCCGAAATGGGAGGGTCTCATAAAGTCAGGAGTTTGAGTCCAGCCTGGCCAACATGGTGAAACGCCTACTCTACTATAATAAAAATACAAAAATTAGCCACGCATGGTGGTGTGTGCCTGTAGTCCCAGCTACTCAGGAGGCATGAGGCAGAAAATCACTTGAACCTGGGAGGCAGAGGTTGCAGTGAGCTGAGATTGCACCATAGCCCTCCAACCTGGGTGACAGAGTGAAACTCCATCAAAATTAAAACAAAAAAAAAAAAAAAAGGAAATTGGCAAATGTTGTAAATCAAGCCTTCTTTTCCCCCCTGAAAATTCAGTTGGGAAACATTACCAGCACTCCACTGAGCCTGACCTTCCTATTTTATTTAGGTTTATTCTGATTTCTCTGGATTTTGAGCATATTATTCACTTATGTAGCACCTGCTCATTTTGAGCTTACTGCATAAGTACTATGGATAGCAATGCCAGATAAAATACAGGATGTCTAGTTAATTTTAATTTTAGATAAACAATGAATAATGTTTTAGTGTAAGTATGTCCCATGCAATATTTTGGATGTATTCATACCATAAATGTATTATTTATCTGAAATGGAAACTTACCAGGGGTGTCTTGTATTTTTCTTTGCTAAATCTATCTACCTTAGCTATGGAGAATCTAGACTTATAAGATACAGTTCCTGCCTGGAGATGCTTATCGTATAGTAGAGATTACCGACCTTATGAAATTTGAGATGAGAATGTAAACTGGGAACTTGGTACACTAAAATCCTCATCTACATCATCATGTACCCTTTATTCAATGTTTATTGAACAACTATTCTATGCTGGGCACTATTCTAGGTTCTGAGGATTCCTCAGTAGACAAAACACAGACCCTTCTCACAGAGCTTCTCTCTGGTTTGAGAGAGACAGATAATAAATAAGATGAAAAAAAAAAGACTTAAGATATTAGTAGTAAGCACTGTGGAGAAAAATAAAGCAGAGAAGGGACCTGGGGCAGGTAAGGGAACAAGCCTTTCTTAAAAAGAATGTTTAGCCGGGTGCAGTGAATCACGCCTGTAATCCCAGCACTTTGGGAGGCCAAGGCGGACGATCACTTGAGGTCAGGAGTTCCAGACCACCCTGACCAACATGGTGAAACTTCATCCTTACTAAAAATACAAAAATTAGACAGGCGTGGTGGCACGTGCCTGTAATCCTAGCTACTGGGAGGCTGAGGCAGGAGAATCCCTTGAACCCCGGAGGTGGAGGTTGCAGTGAGCTGAGATCGCGCCACTGCCCTCCAGCCTGGGTGACAGAGTGAGACTCCATCACAAAAAAAAAAAAAAAAAAAAAAAAAAAAAGAATGTTCTAGGAGGAGGGTGCAGCCAGTGCAAAATCCCTTCACTGAGTCCTGGCCACATACCAGGCATGGTGCATGCTAAGTGCTTCATTTCCACAAGGTCATTTCATCCACACAGTAGCCCTTTGTGGTAGGTATTCATCTCATTTGCCTTTGCATGTGAGTAAACCACAGACCTGGGAGGTTAAATCTCTTGCACAGCTACTCAGGGATGGAGCCTACTCTCTCTCACCCAAGGCGAGCTCTCAAGCCCCTGGCACTTTCTTTCCCAATGAGACTAGTTTTAAAAGAGGTACTTCTGGATTTTCTCTGCTCTCAACCTCACCTGGCTCTGGGAGGAGGTGGGGGAGGCCCTGGCAGGCCTCAATGAGGCCTGTGTGCAGTGGGGCACCCCGCCTGCCGGAGAGGATAGCATCTTCCCTGCATTGTGGGCCTGCGGAGCACGCCTTCCTCTGCCCAGGAAGCCTGGGGGCCAGGCTTGGAGCTGTTCTCCCAGGAGCTGGGCTGGGGGTGGGGGTGGGAGGCGGGTGTCACCCCGAGGTCCTACAGACGCTGACCTTGCACCTAAAAAGGATACATTGTTTTCAAACACAGCTTCCTATTCCTGCCAGATAAACCACTACATTAACAATGCGTCCAGGTTGTAAAATGTTGGCCGGGGTTTCGTTTTTAGCAGCGAACTTTTTGTCAACAGATTGGCATTTTCCTCTCCATTCACCAGGGCTCAGCTCTCCTTTCAGGGCTGGGCACTGGCCCCTGGGTACCCAGAGATACACACACACTCAGGCTCGGTTCAGCCTTGCAGCGTTGATAAGGGTGTTATTATTAGACGTGGCCTCTGGAATCCCGGAGTTCATTCCCAAACAACGGCTCTTCTGGGTGAAATGAAAGAGCAGCTCCAGTTATCGCAGCAGCGGCGCGGATCCATTACCTCCTGGGCCTGCGAGTGCGGACCGCCCTTGACAGTTATCCCTGGAACCCCGGCTTGGAACTGGGGCCAGGACAAAGTGCATCTGTCTGCCCCTCCCCGCCAGCCAGTCCCACCTCCTCACTCACTCTCTGGGATGCCCCCATCAGCAGGAGTCCTGACACAGGGTTAATTTGCCCCTGGGCCGGGGGTCCCACACCTTGCTTTTGCTCCACGCCATTTCCTGTCCCCTCCCCAACCCCCTACCCCCTATATCTCCTTATTCCTCTTCCCCATCTTCAAAGCTGAGCTGAGGACTTACCACACCCAGGGGGTCCTCTGTACTGCATATGGCCCTGAGCAAGAAGTTTGCAAAAATTGATTGCCTCTTATTTGTCGTTTTCTTCCTAAGGGTGCTTTAAGATTTGTATATGTTTTTATCACAAAATAAGTGCCCTCAAGTATTTTTATGTGGCTCCCCAGCCAGATGGTAAGCGGAGAATCTGATGCCTGTGGTGCCTAATAATAACAGTGCGAGATCCTTGGGGGCAGAAAAAGTGTCTCTTTTTCCTTGGTTGAGGTATAAAATATTTGCAGTCAAATACAAAAATTGCATTCATCTTAGGTGTACGGCTCAATGTGTATTTATACATACACATGCATATATATGAACGTCTATTTGCTAACCAACACCCACATCAGGATTCAGAACATTTCCAGCTTCCTCCAGTGTCTTTCCAGTCAATGCCTAGCCTGCCCCAAGATAACCACTGTTTTGACTGCTACGAGATGTCTTAAACGTCTCTTCACGCCACATGGCAAACGCTTGATAAACTTCTTTTAAATTAAAACATATTATGCTGCAAAGCACTGTACTCAGTTGACCGGATGAGGTCTGCTATTGGCTCTTGGGGAATGAGTTAATCGCGTTAGCCTGGGGTTGTATTTCAGTAGCTTTGCCCGTGCTGGATTTAAACACAGTGGAAACCAAGTTAAGGGCAGTGCTGTTCTGTATATCAGTATGCCCACTGAGCCAAGGAGACCCATTTATTTTTAATTGAATTAAATTGCTCACAAAATGAAAGTAGCATACTTTCGTTCATATTTAATTACATACAGTGTTAAACAATGATCACCAAGAAAACTTTGCAGCTTTTTTTTTTTTTTTTTTGCCTCTGCTTTATTACTTTGTTAAACAAGATACTCTTATTAGCTGTTTTATGCTTGGAATTTTAAGGGCCCTGCTCTTCTACCACTCAAGAAGTGCTTAATTGGCAGGACACAGCTGAGTGAGGTGGTAGGTTGGCTGTGATACTGGCCATAGGCATTGTGTATGTGTATTATATATGTGTGTGTGTGTGTGTGTTTGTGTGAGCACACGTGCGTACTGGCTTCAATCACTGGGTTAAAAAGAGATAATAGTGGGAACAATTAGGGCTTCTAGCAAGTAAAACACACATTCTAGTTATCCTGCAGTCTAGAGCCATGCCTACTTCTCCAAAAAATTCCGTATATGCTGAGAAAAGACATTCCTTTTTGCAAGAGGTCATCCCCGAGGAAAGAGAGTTCTACTTTGCATAACAGCTTATTTTTGTACTTTATCCAGTTTTTCCTACATAATAAGCAATGATTCTTAAACTTTAGAGTACCTAAGAATACCCCGAGGTGCCCGTTAAAATACAGATTCCTTGGTCACATGGCCAGAAACTTTAATTCAGTAGGGGCCACAGAATCTGCATCTTCCACAGTGTCCAATGTGTTGATTTTGATACAGGGACTGGAAGGCCGCACTTTGAGAACTGTCATCATGAAGAACAGAACATAGGACAGAATTGAAGAGATCATCTAGTCTTATTTTTAGCAGTAGAATGTTTTTCAAGCTAAATCTTATACAGAACCCCCACAGATAAAGCAAATGAAAAGATTGTTGCTGTGCTGAAAGTGATGATGGCGTCTCATGGCTTCTCTTTTCTCCTGTCTCTGTAGCCTCTTCCTGGGGGTTACAGTCACAGAGCTAATGCACTTGGACCCACAGTTTGAAAACTCCTGAATTCATCTTATTAGTAAACAAATAATGAAGGTTTTAGTTGGGTAAATTGATAACATCAAGCACGAATTGTCTAAGTTGTGTCCAGAGACAAAATAGCTTCCTGGAGAACTAGTGCAGAATCTGTCATAAGAAGGATTCTGTAATTTTTGTGGAACGAATGACATTTTAGATGTTGTCTTAGATGTCACTGGCTGCCACTTGACTGGGTTATTCATTTGTTCATTCATTTATTCGTTCAACAAAAATTGTTGAATGACCATGATGCAAGGGACGTTAGTGTAGGCACTGGGGATACAGCAGTGAAGAAGACAGACAAAATCACTGTCCTTTCACAACTTGTGAGTAGCAGTGGAACAGAGATGGTAGATAAGAAAGCAAACACATAAAGGGTATGGAGGATGTGAAAGAGTCACATGTATTAGTCAGGGAAGTTCTCCCAGAAGAGGCAATATTTGAGTTGAGACCTGAATGATAAGAGGGAGGCCCCCATGGGAAGAACTGAGGGAAAGGGAAGGGGATTTTGTTCATAAATGTCCAAACTCTGAGGTATGAAGAAAAGAAAGAAGACAGTATAGCTGTAGCATAGCAAGAAAATGGTGTGAGATGTGGGCAGAGAGGCTGGCAAGGGCTACATGAAGCTCCAAAGGCAGGAGTTTGATATAGAGGCTATTCTAACTTTGTGGATGTCATTGAACTAGTGATTATGGCAGGCTGTGTTTTCTTTTCTTTCTTTTTTTCTGCACTCCACCTATGCTGGAGTGCAGTAGCACTATCATAGCTTACTGCAGCCTCAAACTGCTGGGCTCAAACAAGCCTCCCGATTCAGCCTGCTGAGTAGCTAGGACAACCAGAGTGAGTTGCCATGCCCAGGTAATTTTTATCTTTGTAGAGATGAGTCTTCCTATGTTGACCAGGCTGGTCTCAAACTCCCAGCCTCCAGCAATCCTTCAACCTTGTCTTCACAAGGCACTGAAGTTACAAGCATGAGTGACTGTATCTAGTCATTATTTTCCAATGATGGATGCAATGCTATCTCCCATCTCCCAGTTTCTTCTTCAATGTGATGTTGCTTCCCCCCCGTCAAAAGAGTGGAGTTTATTTCTCTACCCTCTTGAATCCGAGTGGGATCTGTGACTGCTTTGACCAATGGGATACAGCAGAAGTGACGCTATGCCAGTTTCAGGCATAGCCGTTTACTGGCCTGGAAGTATCTGTCTTCTACTTATTGGACTGTTCACTTTTGGCGTTCTCTCACTTAGGACCCAGCCATTGTATTGTGAGAAGCCCTAGCTGCATGAAGGAACTGTGTGTGGGTGCTCTGAACTTCCACTCATCAAATGCCATTCAGGAGGGGAGTCACTGGGGATGTGCAGCCCTAGTGAGCCTTCGGATGGCTGCAGCCCAGCCAACACCTGATTGCAAGTACAGGGAGAAGGCCTATGCAACAACCGTCCAGCAGAGCCCAGTCAGTTCTCAGAGCTGGGGAAAATAGTAACAAATTATTGTTTCAAGCCATTATATTTGAGGCAGATGCTTATTCAGGAATAGATATACAGATCAACACTAAGATGGCCTGATAATAAGAATCTGAGCTGCTAGTATAGCTCTCTTTCCCCCTCTATCATGTTGCCATAAGCCTCTTAGTGAAGAACTTCTGAGCCAATGAGAAGCTAAGAAGAGCTTTTTAAGACAACTCACTTTCAAAATCTAAGTAGTTTTCACTTTGATATGAATAACTTCTCGCCCTAAGAATTTTAGTAATTTTAGTATTCTTTTCTTTGATTACATGCTGCTCTTTTTTTTTCCCCCCCTGGGAGCTTAAGTATCACAGAGAAATGAGAGATTTAGTTCAGAAAATCCTCCCAAAAGATAATTTTTCTTCAGCAGAGAAGATTGCTTTGGATTAGCCGTACACCCCAGGGCTTACTAGGAAAGCCCTGGGCTTTAAATTCAGAAAGAGAAGAGGTTGATTTCCAGTTCTGCTATTTCTACTCATTGTGTAATTTGGGTCAAATAATTTAAACTTTCTGAGTCTGTTTCCTCATCTATAAATTGGGAGGATGATACTGAATAATGGTAGATCAAAGACTAAATGAGATTTTTGCAGAGTGCACGGTGCACATAATGCATGTAGAAAACATTATTTCCATCCTACTCTCCTCCATTCTTCTCCTACTCTGGTTTTCCCCACTTCCCCTTCCTGTCCTTCTTTATCCCTCTCTGATAAGAATGCAGAGCTTAGGAGTACAAAAAAAGGGGCTGGGTAAATGAGAAAGCTGCAAATAAAGCCTGGAGTCCTACAAGCATGACGTGTGGCTTAGTCATAGAGGATGGAAGGAGCACAAAGGTCCCCCTCAAAAGTCCTTGGAGGCTTATGTTTCTCCCTTTGCTGGGTGATTCATGATCTCGTGGCTATTTCAGGTTATTGTTAATTTGCCTTTTAGTTTACAAAGCACTTTCACATACCTTATTGCATTTGATCTTCACAATAACTGCAGGGCAGTTATTATTTTCTTCATTTTACAGATGAACCAAGTGAAGCTGACAATGGTTAAGAAATGAGCCCACAAACAGTGAGGAAGAGGCAAAGACTTCGCTTGAACCCAGATGGTCTTGATCTCTTAGTGCAGCTTCCAGTATTCTCATGCTGTCTCCTGAAAATAATTCTCAAGTTGGTAACACAATAATGGTTCACTCATCAAGAGATGTCTGTTATAGGAACTTTTTAAAAGGCACTTCTGGGGATAGAAAAATAGGTAAAAATCATAGCCCTTGCTTCTGGAATTCTGCCATTTAGGATAGAAATGAGAAAAGAGATTTCTGGCCAATCTTTTCTATTTTTCTAGCTCTCTCCCTTAAGTACTGTGATGACTACAATTCCAATTAGCCTACCAGGATGTCCTTTGAACCTAGCACTATTTTAATGTCATGCGCTTGACTTATGTCCTTGTTTCTCTTCTTCCCTAGTTGAGATTCTAAGGTCCATCATTAAAGTCATTCCCTATGTAACATTCTAACTCTCACACCCCTTCCCTCCTCATCAAACTTGTCTGGAAAACCCCAGCCCTGGGTAAATCTAACACTTAATCTTCAGGGCACCTGCACCTTCCTAGCTGAACATGGCTGGAGAAAAATATACCACTACGGTGAGTGATCTCAGTTTAAATTCAGATGACTAACTTCAACTTTGCTCTCAGTGTTGGCAGCCAATTCCACTCTAATTTCCTAGTCCATTCACTTTGTCTCTGGCCTAGACAACTATTTCACACCCTCTTCTCTTTCCTCAAATATTCAATATCTTCCCTCCCATCCATACTCAGAGGGAAATTCCATAAACATTATAATCCCATCTACCCACCTCTGTGCCTTTGTGCTGTGTGCTCTACCTTTGATGTACAGGTTCCTAGATAAGGAAAACCCCTTCACATTTGCTGCTAGATACTACAAGCAGCCTTGAGTCTTGCTACTCAAGGACATCACTCTGCATTATCGACTTCTTCCTTTCTAATGCATAATCTCCGTTAGCATACAACCATTGCTATTTTTTCCCAGCTTAAACAAAATTCCTGCCTTGAGCTCTTATTACCCTTTAGCTTCTTCCGTTTCTCTAGTCTTCTTTACAGCAACACTCAGAAGAGTTGATATTCAGTGTTGCAATTCCTCTTTAATTCTCACTCCTCCAATCTGCTTTTCTTCTCCACCAAACAACCAAACTGCTTTCATCAAGGTTGCTGATGACGTCCATGTTTCTGAATTCAATGGCTACTTCTCAGTACTCCTCTTCTTTGTGTCTCAGAAGCATTTGACTATATAGATGACTTCCTCTGACTTCCTTCTCCTTGAAGTGTCCCCCTTACCAGGCTCTTAGGATACAATGCATTGCTGGATTTCCTCCAATTCACTGGCCACTAATTCTCTTTTGCCAGTTCCTATTTATCTTCCTGACCTTTAAACATCTGAGGAGCACCACAGCTCCACCTTCAGACCTCTTTTCTCCTTCCTGTATGTTCATTCCCTTAATGATCTTATCTAATCTCTTTCAATAAGCTGAGGACTCCCTTTTATGGGCTGAATTCTGAATTGTGCCCTCCCCTCCAAATCACACGTTGCAGCCCTAATCCCTGGTGTGACTGTATTTGGAGACAGGGTCTTTAAAGAAGTGATGAAGTTAAGATGACGCTGTTAGGGTGGGCCCTAATCCAATTTAACTGGTGTCTTTATAAGAGGAGGAAATGTGGACACACAAAGTGACACCAGGGGTGTGCACAGGGAACTGAGCACAGGAGGATACAGTGAGAAAGCAGCCATTTGCAAGCCTCAAGAGAAGCCCACATCTAGATCTTGGACTTCTAGCCTCCAGAACTGTGAGAAAATAAATTTCTGCTGTTTTAGCCACATAGTCTGTGGTTTTATTATGGCAGCCAAAGCAAAGTTATATGCTTTCAAATTTCTGTCTCTAGCCCAGAACTCTCCCTAGAATGCCTATACCCAACTGCCTATTTGACATTTCTACTTGGATATTTAATGGGCATCTCAGGCTTAACATGACCTGCCCCCTACCAGCCGCCAAACCTACTTCTCCAACAGTCTTCCCCATATTAGTAAATGAAAACTCCAATCTTCTTGCTCAGGTCAAAAACCTTGGAGTCACCCATGACTTCCCTTTCTCCCTCTCCCATTCTCTCTCTCTCTCTCTCTCTCTGTCTCTCTCTGTCCTATTGTGTTCTATATTGAAATCATAAGCAACTATTTCCAGCTCTACCTTGAAATTATATCCAAAATACATTCTTTTATACCACCATCATGACACCACCTTCGTCCAAACCCCATTATCTGTCATCTGTCACCTGGGACAGGTGCTTACTCTCCAGAACTTACTATCTTTTCCTCTTCTTTCTTTCCTCATCGCCTTCTCAATGTCTGTACAGCTCTGCAGTCAGAATGCTCCCATGAAGACATATTGGGTCCCATTACTCCTCTGCTCAAAACCCTACTACAATTCCCATCTTGCTCAGAATAAAACCAAAGTCCTTACAATGCCTCTTTGACCTCGTCGCCTGCCATTTTCCCTTTTGCTCCCTTGGCTCCAGTTTAACTGGCCTCCACATTTTCTTCGGCCATGTCCAGATACGTCCGCCTCAGAATTTTCACATTGTGACTCCCCTGGCTTTGCATGTTCTTCCCCTCACATACGTTTATCTCCTTCAAGTCATTTATGGCATCTTTTCAGGGAGGTGTTTTCTGACCACTTTCTACCTCTGCCTGGCATTTCTTGAACAACCTTCCCTTCTTTGTTTTTCGTCACATATCTACTTTTCTATATACCTTCCTTATTTATTTGTTCATTGTCTGTCTCTACTAGGAGGCAAGCTCTGTAGGCCCAAGTTAAGAGTAAGTTTGAGGTGAGGCTTTCTGTTTTGTTTCCTACTGTTTCCAGTGCCTAGAACAGTGCCAGGCTTCTGGTGGGCACTCAATAAACAAATTCAACTAACGGGTTCAATGAACTAGTGAATGAAACTAGTGGAAGTCTTCAAGGCTAGGCTGAGTAGTTTGGAATAAATATAATAGGAGAAAATCCATGGAAGCTCTTGGGTGGAAGAATTTGTTGACTGTGGTATCTGAGGAACATGATTTGTGGTATCTGAGAATAATATCTCTAATAAGTGTTGTTCCCTCTTTTCTCCATTAAAATTTGTACCTGGCAAATTTCTAGTCATCCTTCTGGATGAATTGTAGACTTTGGCTTTGTTTAACTTCCTCTGACTCCTTGGGCTAGAATCAACCCTCCAGTCTTTTGGGGAACCTCGTCTGTGCCCCTCAGTTTTGTTCTTATTTTGGTTACACTTATTACTATTAAGTTTTTATGTATCTGTCTCCTGCACTAGACTGTGGACTGCAATGTGTGGATCTAGTGCCTTCTTAACCTAGCAGGACATATAGCATAGGTAACTAACAAGATTTAATTTCAATAACTTGGAAGTAAGAATTACAGATTGTCTTAAGGTCTATAAACAGAGGAAGGAGCTTTTTTTTTTTTTTTTTGACAGAGTCTCACTTTGTAGCCCCAGGCTGGAGTGCAGTGGTGCAATCTTGGTTCACTGCAACCTCTGCCTCCTGGGTTCAAGGGATTCTTTTGCCTCAGCCTCCTGAGTAGCTGGGATTACAGGTGTCCACCACCAAGCCTTTTTTTTGTATTTTTAGTAGAGACGGGGTTACACCATGTTGGCCAGGCTGGTCTTGAACTCCTGACCTCAACTGATCCACCCACCTCGGCCTTCCAAACTGCTGGGATTACATAAGCCATGGCACCCGACTGAGAAAGAGCTTATTGCTAAGAAATATTAAGTTCCAGGTTGTGAAAGGACTCGTAAATTCAGTCACTGTAGCACAGTCTAACCTCTTTGAGGAACTGGAGAGAATGAGAGGTATCAGAAGACGACATGTGAGCAAGTTTTGCCCTAACTCAAAACGAAATAAAAATATGGATTAGGGAAACTTTACACCAGTGAGTCTGACAATATAGTGCCATAATAGATTGTCCTTGAGAAGTTTCTAAGAAACATATTCATCAAGAGCCAGGGTACATTCACAAAGAACAAGTCATTCTGGAATAATCTATGTCTGTCTTTGACAGGGAAATGACATTAGTGGGTGTGGGTATGGCAACTGAGGTATTGGATATGGTACTTCATTACTTGATACTTGGGCATAAGATGGAGAAAGAAGGTCTGAATGAAGGGGGGGAGAATAACATGGCATTTATAAGCACAGATTAAATCACAGTTCTGTCAGCATCTTATTGTGTGACCTTGAGCAAGCTATGTAAAGTCTTTTTTTTTTCCAAAACACCTTTTTGTATTGATTTTTCTTTTCTTTTCAACTTTTATTTTAGGTTGAGAGGGTACATGTGCAGGTTTGTTACTACATGGGTAAATTGCATGTCATGGAGCTTTGGTGTACAGATTATTTCATCACACAGGTAATAAGCATAGTACTTGACAGGTAGTTTTTCAATCCTTACCCTCTTCCCTCCCACCCTTCACCCTCAAATAGACCCTGGTGTCTATTGTTCCCTTCTTTGTGTCCATGTGCACTTGTAAGTGAGAACATGTATTTGGTTTTCCATTTCCATGTTAATTTGCTTAGGATAATGACCTTCAGCTCCATCCATGTTGCTACAAAGGACATGATCTGACATGATATTCTTTTTTTATGGCTGCAGAGTATTCCACAGTCTATATGTACCACATTTTCTTTATCCAGTTCACCACTGATGGACATTTAGGTTGATTCCATATCTTTGCTGTTGTGAATAGTGCTGTGATGAACATATGTGTGCACATGTCTTTAGGGCAGAATGATTTATATTCCTTTGGGTATGTACCCAGTAATGGGATTGCTGGGTCTAACGGTAGCTCAGTTTTAACTGCTTTGAGAAATTGCCAAACTGCTTTCCACAGTGGCTGAACTAATTTACATTCCCACCAGCAATGTATAAGTGTTCCTTTTTTCTGCAACTTCTCCAGCGTGTTATTTTTTGACTTTTTAATAATAGCCATTCTGGCTGGTGTGAGATGGTATCTCATTGTGGTTTTGGTTTGCATTTCTCTGATAATTAGTGATGTTGAACATTTTTTCATATGCTTGTTGGCCATGTGTATGTCTTCTTTTGAGAAGTCTATTTTCATCTCCTTTGCCCCTTTTTTAAAATGGGGTTGTTTGTTTTTTGCTTGTTAATTTGCTCAAGTTCCTTATAGATTCTGGATATTAGACCTTTGTTGGATGCATAGTTTGTGAATATTTTCTTCCATTCTCTAGGTTGTCTGTTTGCTCTATTGATAATTTCTTTTGTTGTGCAAAAGCACTTTAGTTTAATTATGTCCCGGGTGTCAATTTTTGTTTTTGCTACAATTGCTTTTGCAGTCTTTCTCTTAAAATATTTGCCAGGGCCTACATCCAGAATGATGTTTTCTAGGTTTTTCTTCTAGGGTTTTTATAGTTTTAGGTTGTATATTTAAGTCTTTAATCCATTGTGAGTTGATGTTTGTATATGATGAAAGAGTCCAGTTTCAATTTTCTGCATATGACTAGCCAGATATTTCAGCGCTATTTATTGAATAGGGAGCCCTTTCTCCATTGCTTGTTTTTTCAGCTTTTTCAAAGATCAGGTGGTTGTAGGTGTAGCTTTATTTATGTGTTCTCTAACCTATTCCATGGGTCTTTGTGTCTATTTTTGTACCAGTACAATGCTGTTTTGGTTACTGTAATCTTGTAATACAGTTTGAAGTTAGGTAGTGTGATGCCTCTGGTCTTGTTCTTTTTGCCTAGGATTGGTTTGGCTATTCAGACTGTTTTTTGTTTCTATATGAATTTTGGAGCAATTTTTTCTAATTCTGTGAAAAATGTCATTGGTAGTTTGATAAGAGTAGCATTGAATCTGTAAATTGCTTTGGATAGTATGGCCATTTTAACAATATTTATTCTTCCTATCCGTGAGCTTTAAATGTTTTTCCATTTGTTTTTGCCATCTGTGATTTCTTTCAGCAGTGTTTTGTAATTCTCATTTTAGAGATCTTTCACCTCCCTGGTTAGTTGTATTCCTAAGTATTTTTTTTTTTTTTTGGTAGCTATTGCAAAAGGGATTATGTTCTTGATTTGGATGTTGTTGGTGTATAGAAATGCTACTGGTTTTTGTACACTGATTTTGAATCCTGAAACTTTGCTGAAGTTGTTTATCAGAACTAGGAACTTTTGGGCAGAGACTATGGGGTTTTCCAGGTATAAAACCTTATCGTCTGTGAAGAGAGATAGCTTGACTTCCTCTCTTCCTATTTGGATGCCTTTTATTTCTTTCTCTTGCCTAATCTCTCTGGCTAGGACTTCCAGTACTATGTTGAATAGGAGTGCTGAGAATGGGCATGGTTGTCTTGTTCTGGTTCTCAAGGGGAATGCTTCCAGCTTTTGCCTGTTCAGTATAATTTTGACTGTGGGTTTATCATAGATGGCTCTTATTATTTTGAGGTATGTTCCTTCAATGTCCAGTTTGTTGGGAGTTTTTAACATAAAGTGATGTTGAATTTAATCAAAAGCCTTTTCTGCATCTATTGAGATGATCATGTGTTTTTTGTTTTTAGTTCTGATTATGTGATGAATCACATTTTTTGATTTGTGTATGTTGAACCAACCTTGCATCCTAGGAATAAAGCCTACTTGATCATGGTGAATTAGCTTTTTGATGTACTGCTGGATTTGATTTGCTAGTGTTTTGTTCAGGATTTTTATGTCTATGTTCATCAGGGATATTGGCCTGAATTTTATTTTATTTTATTTTATTTTATTTTATTTTATTTTATTTATTTTATTTTATTTTATTTTATTGTGTCACTGTGAGGTTTTTGGTGTCAGAATGATGCTTGCCTCATAGAATGAGTTATGGAGGAATCTTTCCTTCTCAAATTTTTGGAATAGTTTTAGTAGGATTGGTACCAACCTTCTTTATACATCTGGTAGAATTTGGCTGTGAATCCATCAGGTACAGGGCTTTTTTTGGTTGGTAGGCTTTTTATTGCTTATTCAATTTCAGAACTCATTATTTGTCTGTTCAGGGTTTCAATTTCTTCCTGGTTCAATCTTGGGAGATTGTATGTTTCCAGGAACTCATCCATTACTTCTAGGCTTTGTAGTTTGTGTACATAGAGGTGTTAATAATAGTCTCTGAGGATTTTTTGTATTTTTGTGGGATCAGTGGTAATGACCCCTTAGTGATTTCTGACTGTGTTTCTTTGGATCTTCTCTTTTTCTTTATTAGTTGAAACAGCAGTCTATTAATCTTATGTATTCTTTCAAATACCAACTTTTGGTTTCACTGATCTTTTGTATGGTTTTTCGCATCTCAATTTCATTCACTTCAGCTCTGATTTTCATTATTTCTTTTCTTCTGCTAGGTTTTGGGTTGGTTTGCTCTTGTTTTTCTAATTCCTCTAGTTGCAATGTTAGGTTGTAAATTTGAGATCTTTCTGAGTTTTTGAAGTGGGTGTTTAGCACTATAAACTTTCCTTTTAACACGGCTTTAGCTGCTTCCCAGAGATTCTGGTATGTTGTTCTTTGTTTTCATTAATTTCAAATAATTTCTTGATTTCTGTCTTAATTTTATTGTTTACCCAAAAGTCATTCAAGAACAGGTTGCTAATTTTCATGCAATTGTATGGTTTTCAGAAATCTCAATATTGATTTCTGTTTTTATTGTGCTGTGGTCTGAGAGTGTGATTTTGGCTTTGTTGAATTTGTTGAGAATTGTTTTATGGCTAAGCATGTGGTCAATTTCATAGTACGTGCCATGTGCAAATAAGAATGTATATTCTTCTGTTGAGTGGATCGTTCTGTAGATGTGTGCTAGGTCCATTTGGTCAAGTATTGAGTTTAGGTTCTGAATATCTTTGTTAATTTTCTGCCCTGATGATCTGTCTAATACTGTCAGTGGGGTGTTGAAGTCTCTCACTGTTATTGTGTGGTTATCAAAGTATCTTCATAGGTCTCTAAGAACTTGTTTTATGAATATGGGTTCTCCAGTGTTGGGTGCATATATATTTAGTATAGTTAAGTCTTCTCATTGAATTGAAACCTTTATTATTACGTAATGACCTTCTTTGTCTTTTTTGATCATTGTTGGCTTAAATCTGTTTTGTCTTAAATTAGAATACCAACCCCTACACTTTTTTGTTTCCCATTTGTTTGATATATTTTTCTCCATATCTTTACTTTGAGCCCATGGGTGTCACTGTATGTTTGATGAATCTCTTGAAGATAGCATATAGGTGAGCCTTCCTTCTTTATTCATCTTGCCACTCTGTGCCTTTTAGCCTATTTATGTTCAAGGTTAAGACTGATATGTGCAGATTTGATCCTGTCATCATTAACTGGTTGTTATGCAGAGTCGATTGTGTAGTTGCTTTATAGTATCAATGGTCTATGTGTTTCTGTGGTGGGCAGTAACAGTCTTTGTTTCCATGTATAGTACCCCCTTAAGGATCTCTTATAAGACAGGTCTGGTGGCAATGAATTCCCTTAGCATTTGCTTGTCTAAAAAAGATTTTATTTTCCCTTTGTTTATGAAGCTTAGTTTGGTTGAATATAAAATTCTTGGTCAAAATTTCTTTTCTTTAAAAATGGTGAATATGGGCCCTGAATCTCTTCTGGCTTGGAGGATTTCTGCTGAAAAGTCTGCTGTTAGCCTGATGGGGGTTCCCTTTGTAGGTGACCTGCCTCTTCCTCCAGCTGCCTTTAATATTTTTTCTTTCATGTTGACCTTGGAGAAACTGATGATTATGTTTCTTGGGGACAGTTGTCTTGGATAGTATCTCATAGTGGTTCTTTGAATTTCCTGAATTTGAACGTCAATTTCTCTGGCAAGGTTGGGGAAATTTTCATGGACAATATCGTCAAATGTTTTCCAAGTTGCTTACTCTCTCTCCCTCTCTTTCAGGGGTGCCAATAAGTCATAGGTTTAGTCTCTTTATATTATTAGCCCATATTTCTTGGAAGTTTTAGTCATTCTTTATTATTCTTTTTCTTTATTTTTGTTTGAATTAGTTGATTCAAATCTTTGAGTCAAAGTCTTTGACTTCTGAGATTCTTTTCTTTTCTGAGCTTGGTTTTTCTGCTGTTAATATTTTCAATTGTATTATAAAATTATTGTAGTGAGCTTTTCAGCTCTATGGGATCGGTTTAGTTTTTTCTTAAAATGGCTATTTTGTCTTTCAGCTCTTGTATCATTTTTTAGATTCTTTAGATTCCTTGGATTGGGTTTGACTTTCTCCTAAGTCTCGATGATCTTTGTTGCTATCCAGATTCTGAATTCTCTGTCTGTCATTTCAGCCATTTCAGCCTGCTAAGAATTATTGCTGGGGAGCTAGTGTGGTTGTTTGGAGGTAAGAAGACACTCCGGCTTTTAGATGTACCACAGTTCTTGTGCTAGTTCTTTCTCATCTATGTGGGTTGATATTCCTTTGATCTTTGAAGTTGATGTCCTTTGGATGGGGTTTTTTGCTTTTATGTTTTTTGATCCCCTTAAAGGTTTGACTATTGTATAAGTACTTTAGTCAATTGGCTTTGTTTCTGGATGATTTCAGGGGGCCAAAGCTCAACTCAGCCCTCCTTGGCTGCATGATCTAACCCTGTGAGGCTGCTACTAGGTCCACAGCTTTGTTCTGTAGCCCCTCAAGGTTATGCACCTGCTGTACTGGAGGGGCCAAGGTGTTCCTTGGGGGATGGGCATCCCTGGTCGTGTTGTACTGCAGCCATTCCCATGACAAACCCTCTGGGCTTCACACAAGCTTCAGTCCTTGCCATCTCTCTAAGCAGCTATCCATGTCAATTCAAATGTCCATAGAGGTTCTGGGGTCTCCTGCAGCTAGGACTCTGGAGGCCTATGGTGAGAGAGGGCACTACTCACTTATTGAACTCACCCCTTCCCCAGGAGCTACTGGGGGCCAGGAATGAGTCCTCGTGCTCGGCAGCCACATGCAGGGTATCCAGCTTCCTCCTCCTTCAGCTCAGGGTCTGTGTCTTTCCTCTACCCACTCTCAATGCCTTCCTTCTGAATATCTGCTTGGAGTGTGTTAGTCTTCTTGATGGTCAAGTCTCTTGGTGGGACTGCATCTAGTTGGACATCTTGCCTCTTCTTCCATGTGAACTCTTGGAATCTTAGTGTCTTCATAGATATTATAATATTTGCCCCATGTAAGGATTACTGTGATGATTGAAATGAGGTAATATAGGTAAAGTTTTTCATGGGACACACACATGGAAAGGAGTCCATAGGTGGTAGTTGTGTGTGTGTGTGTGTATGTGTGTGTGTGGGGGGGGGTGTTTGTAGTAGAGTTCACACGTTTGAGGTTCAAGCTTTTGCTGCATGATTGATGCTGGAGATAGACAGAGGCAGCTTCTGAGAGATAATTTACCCAAAAGGAAGAGGAAACCAGTTAAAAACTTGACAAGAAAACAAAGCATCATGGTTGGAGAGGAAGAGCAAATCTGACCCGCTTCCTGGCTCAGCCACAGGAGCCAGTGTTTCAGCCCTGGAAAAGAGGTTATACATGTAAACTCCTCCCTCCAAAAAATAAGAAAAGAAAAATGAAAAAATGTACTTTGTTAGTCTGTTTGTGGTTTTATAACAAAATACTTAAGACTGGGTAATTTATAAAGAACAGAAATTTATTTCTTAAGTTTTGGAGGCTGGGAAGTCCAAGATCAAGACACCAGCAGATCTGATTGTCTGCTGAGGGCTGCTCTCTGCTTTTAAGATGGTGCTTGCTGCTGATCTTCCAGAGGGGAGGAATGCTGTGTCCTCACGTGGTTGAAGACAGAAGGGCAAAAGATCCAAATGCTGTGTGAAGCCTCATTTATAAGGGCCTTAATCCCATTCATGAGGGAGGAGCACTTATGGTCTACTCACTTCCTAAAGGTCTCACCTCTTCATACTATCACATTGGCCATTAAGTTTCAACAACTGAATTTTGGAGTGTACACATTCAAACCATAGCATATGCCAAAATTTATTAAGATATCAAGGCCTAAGCAACACTGAACTGGGCCCTTCCAACAAACAGTAGCTCAAAAGCATGAGAAAGTCTCACCAAATCTGCCACAAATCACAGCCCACTTTGGTGAACTGGAGAGTCTAGTATAAGCAATTACATGTTGGACCAGAGTTGGCAAAAGCAAAAACAGTGCTATATGGGAAAGCACTGGAAGACAGCAATGGTTCCTGGCAGTAGCAACTGGTGTTATACCAAGTAGGGATGGTAGCTGTGGTCACCAAAAGTAATAGTACCCAGTGGAATTAACAATGGTGTCTGGTAGATGGCACAAAGTAACTAAAAAGAAATATACACTAGCAAGTAGGAGACACCATCAGGAACATCCAGGAGAATTGTACACAGATTACAAGGTAGAAGTGGAGGGAGCAAGCCGGGATGTGTGTTTTTCTGTTGGGCTGGGAGGATCTGCAGAAGCAGGGGGAGGCAAACCTAGTGAATGATATTTGTGTTCTATGGGACCTCATCATATCCAGATCTAAGTGATACTAAGGAAACCTTGGTCTCCTAAAGACAACAGGGTAGATTAGCAACTGGTTTAATGTCCATGCCCAATGCAGTTTAAGTACAGGATTGATGTTACTCAGGAGAGAGGGTTGTTAGAAGGATGCTGTGTACTTCATCTTCAACCATACTTTGTCTTATTTTTTAAAAGTTTAAATTAATTGTTTAGACAAACTTGTGGAGAGCATACTTATCAAAATTATTTTCACAAAAACAGTAACTGCTAATAATGATAGCTAACATTTGTCAAGCCCTTACTATATGGCAGGTATATATGGCTTAGCCATAGCATATGTGAAAAGGAGTTAGAAATTTTAGCTAACATAAAATTCAGTGTGTAACCTCAAAATAGTAAGAGCCCTCTATGACAAACCCACAGCCAACATTATACTGAATGGGCAAAAGCTGGAAGCATTCCCCTTGAAAACCAGCACAAGACAAAGACGCTCCCTCTCACCACTTTTATTCAACATATTATTAGAAGTCCTAGCCAGAGCAGTCAGGCAAGAGAAAGAAATAAAGGGCATCCAAATAGGAAGTGAGAAAGTCAAACTATCTTTGTTTGCAGATGACATGATTCTATATCTAGAAAACCCTATATTCTCGGCCCAAAAGCTCCTTCAGCTGATAAACAACTTCAACAAAGTTTTAATATACAAAATCAATCTACAAAAATCACTAGTATTCCTATACACCAACAACAGCCAAGACAAGAGCCAAATCAAAAAGGCAATCCCATTCACAATTGCCACAAAAAGAATAAAATACCTAGGAATACAGCTAACTAGGGAGGTAAAATATCTCTATAATGAGAATTACAAAACACTGCTCAAAGAAATCAGAGATGACACAAACAAATGGAAAAACATCTCACGTTCATGTATAGTGAGAATCAATATCATTAAAATGGCCATACCACTGAAAGCAATTTATAGGTTCAATATGATTCCTGTCAAACCACCAATGACATTCTTCACAGAACTAGGAAAGGGTACTTTAAAATTCATATGGAATCAAAGAAGAACCTGAATAGCCATGGCATTCCTAAGCAAAAAGAGCAAAGCTGGAGGCATCATGTTAACTGACTTCAACTATACTACAGGGCTACAGTACCCAAAACATCATGGTACTGGTGCAAAAACAGGCATATAGACCAATGGAATAGAATAGAGAGCCCAGAAATAAGGTCACACATCTATGACCATCTGATCTTTGACAAAACTGAAAAAACAAGCCATGGGGAAAAGACTCCCTATTCAATAAATGGTACTGGGATAACTGGCTAGCCATATGCAGAAGATTGAAGCTGGACCCCTTCCTTAGACAAAAACCACCTCAATGTGGATTAAAGACTTGAATGTAAAACCCAAAACTATAAAAACCCTGGAAGACAACCTAGGCAATATCATCCTGGGCATAGGAATGGGCAAAGATTTCACGACAAAAATACCAAAAGCAATCACAACAAAAGCAAATATTGACAAACAGGATCTAATTAAACTTAAGAGCTTCTGCACAGCAAAAAGAAAATCACAACAGAGTAAACAGACAACCTACAGAAGGGGAGAAAATATTTGCAAACTTTGCATCTGACAAAGGTCTAATATCCAACATCTATAAGGAACTAAATTTACAAGAGAAAAACAACTCCATTAAGAAGTGGGCAAAGGACATGAGCAGACACTTCTCAGAAGACATACATGTAGCCAATAAGCATATGAAAAATAATCTCAGTATCACTGATTATTAGAGAAATGCAAATCAAAACCACGACGAGATAGCATCTCACACCAGTCAGAATGACTATTATTAAAAAGTCAAAGGATGATAGATGCTGGCAAGGTTGTGGAGGAAAGGGAATGCTTATACCCTGTTGGCAGGGGTGTAAATTAGTTCTATCATTATGGAAAGCAGTATGGCAGTTCCTCAAAGAGCTAAAAGCAGAAATACCATTCGACCCATCAATCCCATTACTGGGTATATAACCAAAGGAATATAAATCATTCTGTCATAAAGACACATGCACATGAGTGTTAATTGCACTATTCACAATAGCAAAGACATGGAATCAACCTAAATGTCCATAAATGACAGATTGGATAAAGAAAATGTGGTACATATACACCATGGAATACTATGCAGCCATGAAAAGGAATGAGATCATGTCTTTTGTGGGAACATGAATGGAGCTGGAGGCTATTATCCTTAGCAAACTAATGTAGGAACAGAAAACCAAATACCGAATGTTCTCATTTGTAAGTGGGAGTTAAATGATAAGAACTTATGAACACAAAGAAAGAAAAAATAGACACTGGGATCTGCTTGAGGGTGGAGGGTGGGAGGAGAGAGAGGAGCAAAAAAGATAACTACTGGATACTGGGCTTAATACCTGGGTGACGAAATAATCTGTACAATAAACCCCCATGACACAAATTTACCTATATAACAAACCTTCATATGTACCCCTGAACCTAAAATAAAAATTTAAAAAACCTCAGTACGTAAAAAAAATATTGTGAATGGCCACAAAAATGTGCTTTTAAGAAGTATTAATAGTAGTTCATGTTGAAAATTATGGAGGTGGTCGTCTTGTTTTATTCTATTGTAGTTAATACATACTTGGGATATGTTGTCTGGATGCTATACTTAAAAAAAAAAATGAAAAATGTTATGTTCCAAAGAAGGTGAGCAGGCTAAAAGAAAGACTCAAAACCAAGTCCAAATAAGTGTTGCTGAAGGCACAGAAGACTTTTAGTCTGGGGAAGAGAAGACATCAATGTAGTAGTTATCTTCAGATACAGTATTTGTCATAAGGAAAAGTTTTTAGATTTCTTCTGGATGACCACAAGGATTAGAACCAGAACCAGAACTAGTAGATAAAGGTGCTTAGAGACAGATTTTCACACACTACAAGGGAAGACATTTCTTTTCTTTCTTTCTTTTATTTTCTTTTTCTTTTTTTTTTGAGATGGAGTCTAGCTCTGTCACCCAGGCTGGAGAGTGCAGTGGCCTGATCTCGGCTCACTGCAACCTCCGCCTCCCAGGTTCAAGCGATTCTCCTGCCTCAGCCTCCCAAGTAGCTGGGATTGCAGACATCTGCCACTACGCCTAGCTAATTTTTGTATTTTTAGTAATTTTTCAGGTTCCACTGTGTTGGCCAGGCTGGTCTTGAACTCCTGGCCTCATAATCCACCCGCCTCAGCCTCCTAAAGTGCTGGGATTACAGGCATGAGCCACTGCACCCGGCCAAGGGAAGACATTTCTAAGGGAGATGTGGAACATTAAAATGGGCTGCTTTAAGAAGAAGTGAGGTCTTTTTTATCAGTGGTATCTAATCACAGGTACAATGTCATTAGGCAAGGGCATTACAGACTGGATTTCAGTGGCTGGTGTTTGACCAAATGGCCCCTTCTCACTTGGAGGTGGTCAGGTCTGATTGGTTGTGGCCATGAAGCTAGTAGCGTGTGAGGGACCATGATGCATCTGACTGAATTTCAGAGCCATCTCTGATCCCTTCAGTGAGTGAAAGTAGAGTGTCAGTTGTGGTAATGGAAAAAGAATGGTAGCTTTCAGAAAAGCATGGAAATGTGAAATCCAGAACAAAATTCTATTTGCTTTCTAGAGATATTTAAAATTGCAAGCTTTTCAAGATAAAATATATAAATAAAGTCAAATCATGAACTTGATATAAGCCTCTGATGACATGTCAAGGTCAACACAAGATTCCAGTTGAAGGGTTGGTCACCTCTACTATTCCCATGCCTCAACAACTTTTGTCCCTCTGAAGGTTTTAATCAGACCATTCTTATACCAACTGAGAGAATGCAACCCTCTGTGGACTGTACATTAACTTCATATCATAACTATATGAATCTTTGTCACCACTATAGATTGCAGGTATCCTGAGTCAGGACCATGTGTAATTAGCTTTGGAGTCTACCAAGCTCCTGGCATATACACAGAATATACACAGATGATGTTTAATGAGTATTTATTGAACTAGTAAATACAAATTTCTATTAAATAGTTTCCAAGGAATTGAGTATTTTAATGTTGTATTAGTCCATTTTCGCACTGCTATAACGAAATACCTAAGACTGGGTAATTTATGAAGGAAAGAGGTTTAATTGACTCACAGTTCCTCATGTCTGGGGAGGCCTCGGGAAACTTACAATCATGGCGGAAGGCAAAGCAGGCATCTTCTCCACAAGGCAGCAGAGGGAGTGTGTGAGCGAGTGCAGGGGAACTGCCTTTCATAAAACCATCAGATCTCATGAGACTTATTCATTATCATGAGAACAGCATGGTGAAAACCACCCCCATGATCCAGTCACCTCCCACCAGGTCTCTCTTTCAACACCTGGGGATTACAATTCAAGATGAGATTTGGGTGGGGACATGAAGCCTAACCATATCAAATGTCAAAAATCAATCCAACAGATTATTTGGTATCATACATGGTATAGATTTTTTAACCCTTCCAAGTTTGGCCTACCTATGGGAATGAGTTTTCAGTTTAGTTATTTGCATTGAAAGGCAAACTACAAAGTGAAAAAAAAACCAATTTGCATTTTCAAAGGGAATTACCCCACCCAAACTGAATTCATTAACCATTTATTGAGAGCCTACTCTATGGTAGTCATTGGATCAGGCATGATAGGCCTTACAAAAAGGACTCAAAAGTGATGCTCACTTGTAAGAAGCTCTCAATGTTGTGAGATAAAGTGATAGCCACACTGTTTTGAGAGTCACAGTTGTCTCCACTTTACCTGCATGAAAAATGACTAGGAACTGACTTGAGGTTGTGGTGGAGGATGAGAAGGCTGAGAAGAAGATAGGCGATTAAAGAGAGAACTCAGAAACTATGGGGACTAGAGCCCTAGTAAAAGGAAGAAGTGAATATTCCACAGTGACATGAATAAATATATAACTCTTAAAAATGGAGAAGTTTGAATATTTAGTTTTGCTGTCTGCTCTGCAGACAATCACACAAGCCCCTTGTCATTACTATTGAAATCTTCAGTAAAGTTTGCTCTACAGAACTTTGTCAGGTGAGAGGTATTGAGGTAAAATAAGGAAAAAGGAACATTTTTCATTTGAGGGTCCAAACAGGGTATAAAATGTGAACAGCCACATGAAGTGAACTAGGAAGGAGACTGAAAATTCATCAGAAGAAGCAAATAAGTACCAAAATGACTAGCTGAAATATGAGATCCCCAGAAAACTCTGGGAACATTGAGAGAGTCCTTGAGTTTCCTCTGAAATGGTGAAAGGGGATTTGAGACCATTTTTATTTAAATCCTAAAGGACTGGGCAACCACAGTAAGCTGAAGAACCTGAAGTCAGACAGGCAGCTGATATATTGTTTCACAAATAAAAGAGAAATACAATTTGGTAAAGCAGTTAGATGTGGGGAGAGGAATAAACAAGAAGAATTCAAAGCTGTCATTAAAGTTTCCTTTGAGTGAATGGAAGACAATGAAATGCTACTGATGAATGAGAAAGTGATAAGTGATAGCAAGAGAAAGCTTTGGACCAAACAGATCTGGCAAATGATAGCAAAATATTTTAGAGAAGCTATCCTAGAGGAAGTTGGAAATACAGGACCAAAGCTCAGTAAGATTTGGGGATGTAAATGGGAGCATTAGGTTAGGGGTGATAATGGAACCATGAAATGAAAGCTTTCAGAAAGATTGATGTGTGATATTAAAAATTAAGAGATGATGGAAAGCCAAAGATATGGAACAAGAGGAGGCAGGGAGCTAGGAGGACAGCCAAGAAGTTAATACAATGGAAGTCCAGGAAGAAGGGACCTTTGATACGTGATTGATCAACAGTATTAAATGCAGCCAAGAAGTGATGGAGGAAATAGATCAGCGGAAACCTACTGGATTTGTATTAATGTGTGTATAAAATATTTTACATTTGTATGCAGACCTATGGGATTCAAACATTATGATCACAATCACATAATGATTCTGCCATGAGAAATGCAGGGGCTATAGAAAATATTTATATGCTTTAAGATATTCCTAAAGGGTTTACAATCTAATAGGTAAGGCTAAGATTTGACCAGCACAAACACATAAAGAGATTGAATAATTATGACAGTATTTGCATGCCATGAGACATTTCTAAGTTTCAGCTTATGAGCCTCTAAAAGAAGAATTGATAAAAACAAATTTGAATTTAGCCAAAATATTTGGATTATTCCTTAGAGTTCAACATAAAAAAGTCCCTGAAGACTAAGAGAAATAATTCAAATATAATGTCTAAGACATACATTTAGAGAGGCACTAGTATTTAACTCCCTGCCCCCACTTCCAAAATCTAGCACTTAAAAATCTAGTAGGAAATTGAAAATTTGTATATCTGATTGCTGATGCTTTGCAGAAAAAAAGCCCTTATTCTGATTGCTAGACATTTTTATTTTTCAATATCCTTCATCTGGCCTTCCATGGGGATTTTCTCCCTGGCCACCTGCCTCTGAGGATTTCTTGGTTGCTACTGTGTTCTTCTACCTTCTTTCTCTCCAGCTTTCTTTCTTCTTTGCTGTTCTCCATCCCCAAATTCCTGTTCATTTATTGTTTCTTACACATAGAATTCCAGCTATTTCTGTTTTACAATCTTCATCTTTATTCCGTGGGAGTTAGGAAAGTTATGCAATCATCAACTGTATTAGTCAGGGTTCTCTAGAGGGACAGAACTAATAGGATATATATATATATATATATACACACATATACATGTATATATATATCCTATTTTATATATATATACACATATGTGTGTGTGTGTGTGTGTGTGTGTGTGTGTGTGTGTGTGTGTGTGTTGAGGAGTATAACTCACATGATCACAAGGTCCCACAACAGGCTGTCTGAAAGCTGAGGAGCAAGGAAGCCAGTCTGAGTCCCAAAGCTGAAGAACTTGGAGTCTGATACTTGAGGGCAGGAAACATCCAGCACAGGAGGAAGATGTAGGCTGGGAGGCTAAACCAGTCTAGTCTTTTCACGTTCTTCTGCTGGCTTTTTATTCTGGCCATGTTGGCAGCTGATTAGACTGTGCCCACCCAGATTAAGGATAGGTCTGCCTTTCCCAGTCCACTGACTCAAATGTTAATCTCCTTTGGCAACACCCTCACAGACACACCCAGGAACAATACTTTGCATTCTTCAATCAAGTTGACACTCAGTATTAAGCATCACATCAACCAAATAGAAATGCTTTCTTTTATTATTTGGGAATAAGGCAAGCAGTTGCATTATGAAAACAACAAACTAGAAATGAAGCACAAGTATTCTATTTCCTATTGTTATGATTCTACTGAGGTTCTGTCTGCAGATTAGCTTATTGATAATATGCGATGGCATCCTTGACAATGAGCCTGGTAGGTCTCCAACCCTACAGAGGGTAATTGATCAAGGACCCTGGCTGCTGTTCTCTGAAATTTATCACACCGAGGCTGCTCTTTCCACTGGCTTCTCCCAGCCAGTGACTGAGTGTGGCAGGGATACTAAGATAGGCTGGACCCTGGGAGACAACAGACCCCTCTTATGACTGACTTTGCTTTGAGGACTCTCTGAGTCTTGCTGAAACATTTTTAGGCTGCATGGCAGTCTAGGATATTTGTACCCAAACTACTCTCTCTCCCTTCCCTTGGGCCAGCCTTGCAACACTGTCTGGCTTTCCCTGGTTCCATCACCATTTTTTACCACAGGCTTTTTTCCCTAATAAAATTCTTTACATCTGTAATTCTCATCTTGGTGTCTGCTTGTCTGACAACATGGACTAACACATACATCTAGTAAAAAAGCAAGACTTACAATGCCTTGGTATTCTCACTAGCGTTTGGTTCTCTTCATACTACCTACGTCAAAATAGTTGAATGAAAGTGATCTTATTTGCAAAGGGGGTGGTGGTGGCTAAACAAGCAAATCTGGTGAAGAGTCAACAAGATTTTTACTGAGACTTATGATCAGAAAGTCAAGTGCTAGAAGACCTTTGCTGAAACCTTACCCTTAACTACACTCACTAGGTGTTGTATTTCTCTCTCCTACTAACATTTCACATAAGAGATAGGACGAAGTGAATGGACGTTGGTTGGGTAGGATTTGATTCTCTGATCTCTAACAGATTTATTCAACATTGCCTACATATTTGAGGAAAAAGACCGATCGACTCAGATAACAATGAAATTGTCCTGACCCAGAGAAAAGAAAGTTAACAATATTTGATTTGCTATGAATGATCTATAAAACCGTGAGATAAAATTTTTCATGTATCAGATCGGCAAATATTTAAAAGATTGATCTCATCCAGTGTCAGTGAGGGGTAAGGAAAAAAGCAACATCTTTATACTTGCTGGGAGTATAAACAGGTAAAACTTGTAGTAAGGTTAATTTGTCAGAATCTATCAATATTAAAGATGGACATAATTTATGGTCCAGGAATCCTATTTTGGAATCTTTACTACAGAAATGTTTGTACAGGAATATAAATATCTTTGTACAAGGAGGCTACTAATTACAGGGTTGTTTGCAGTAACAGCACAGGAAGCAATCTCAATGGCCAAAAAGATGATTGGTTAACTAAATTATAGTACATTCATATCATGGAATATTATATGACTGTTAACAGGGCTGCCACTAGCCCAGAGGCCACGTTTGTGTAAATTTTTAAAAAAGATCCCCTCCTCTGGGTGAACCAGGCACATGCTAGGATGCACCATTTGGTGAGTGGAGTGTGGGCTGGATTTTAATCCTCGTTACCTTCCTTTGCCAGGTGCTCCTTTGCAATTCACAATCTGAACAGTATTTAGCAATCCACCTCTTAAAAAAATGCAATAACACTAAATATAATGACATGGAAGGCTATCCATGATACTGTTAATATTAATACCTTCCCCCCAAGAAAAGAAAAAAATAAAAAACTAGTAAAGAAAGTTGGAGAATGTATTAGTTATCTATTACTGTATAAAAATGTCTTGGCCTGGGCAACATGACGAGACCCCATCTGTACAAAAAAATAAAAAGTTAGCTGAGTGTGGTGACACATGCCTGTGGTCCCAGCTACTAGGGAGGCTGAGGTGGGAGGATCCTTTGAGCCCAAGGATTTGGGGCTGCAGTCAGCCATGATCATGCCACTGCACTCCAGCTTGGGCAACAGAGTGAGATAAATAAATAAATAAATAAATAAAATTCCTAAACTTAGCATCTTAAAACAACAAATAGTTATGATCTCACAGTTTCTGTGGGTCAGGATTCCTGGTACAGTTTAACCAGATCATCTGGCTCAGGGTCTGTCACAAAGCCGTCAAGGTGTTGGCTGGGGCTACAGCATCTCAAGGATCAGTTTCCTATCTCATTCACGTGGTTGATGGCAAGATTTAGTTTCTCGTCTGCTGCTGTACTGAGGTCCCACATTTCTCAAAGGCTGTTCATTGGAGGCTGCCCTCACTTCCTTGGCTTCTCTGTAAGGCAGCCAGCAACATGACAGCCAGCTTCCCTCCGAGTGAACAAGTGAGAAGAGCCCAGAGAGAGGGCAAGCAGATGGAAGTCACAGTCTTTCATAACCTAATCTTGAAAGTAACATCCATCACTTTTGCAGTGCAGTAAGTCCTCACTTAACGTTGTCCATAGGTTCTTGGAAACTGCAACTTTAAGCAAAACGATGTATAATTAGACCAATTTTACCATAGGCTAATTGATATAAACAAGAATTAAGTTCCTAAGGCATATTTCTGCTCACAAAAACATCACCAAGCTTCTAAACAAAGACCAAAACCTTTCTACTTTTAAACATTGAAATAAATGTGGGCTATACATTTATTTAAGAAAGATTATTAAAAAGTAAAATAAGGGCCGGTGCAGTGGCTCACGCCTGTAATCCCAGGAATTTGGGAGGCCGAGGTGGGTGGATCATGAGGTCAGGCGTTCAAGACCAGCCTGGTCAATATGGTGAAACCCCGTGTCTACTAAAAATTTTAAAAATTAGCCAGGTGTGGTGGTGCATGCCTGTAGTCCCAGCTACATGGGAGGCTGAGGTAGGAGAATTGCTTGAACCTGGGAGGCAGAGGTTGCAGTGAGCCGAGATTGTGCCACTGCACTCCAGCCTGGGTGACAGGGTGAGACTCTATCTCAAAAAAAAAAAAAAAAAAAAGGGAGGGGGGAAATAATGATTTACCCAAGTTTTGGTGAGACTGTGAGTTATGGCAGTCATTGTAGTGAGTTACACCAAGGAATAAGTGTTTGCCAAGTAAAATTGTAAGCTCCCATCACCATGCAGTTCAAAACCCAGCAATTATTCTTGTAAATTTAAGTTCCTTATAGATGCTACATATTAGACTTTGTCAGATTCATAGTTTGCTAATATTTTCTCTAATTTTTCTGTTTGCTCTGTCGATAGTTTCTTTTGCTGTGCAGAAGCTCTTTCGTTTAATTAGATCCCATTTGCCGATTTTTGTTTTTGTTGCAATTGCTTGAAAAATGGTCAAAGGACATGAATGGACACTTTTCAAAAGAAAACATACCTGCGGCCAACAAGCATATTTTAAAAGTTCAATATCACTGATTATTAGAGAAATGCAAGTCAAAACCACAATGAGATCCCATCTCACACCAGTTAGAATGGCTATTATTAAAAAGTAAAAAAATAACAGATGCTGGCAAGGCTGCAGAGAAAAAGGAATGCTTATATACTGTTAGTGGAAGTGTAAATTAGTTCAACCATTGTGGAAAGTACTGTAGTGATTCCTCAAAGAACTAAAAACAGAACTACCATTCGACTTAGCAATCCCATTACTGGGTATACACCCAAAGGAATACGAATGATTCTACCATAAAGATACAAGCATGTGTATGTTCATTGCAACACTATCCACAATGGCAAAGACCTGGAATCCACTGAAATGCCTATCAGTGGAAGCATGGGTAAAGAAAATGTGGTGCATATACACCATGGAATACTATGCTGCCATTAAAAAGAAGGTGATTGTGTGCTTTACAGAAATATGGATGGGGCTAGAGGACATGATTCTTATCAAATTAACAGAAAATCAAATACCACATGTTCTCACTTATAAGTGGGAGCTAAATAATGAGAACACATGGACACAAAGAGAGGAACAACAGACACTGGGGCCCACCAGAGGGTAGAGGGTGGCAGGATGGAGAGGTGCAGAAAAAATAATTATTAGGTACTGGGCTTGGTACCTGGGTGATGATCGGTACATCAAACCCTTATGACACACATTTACCTATATAGCAAACCTACACATGTGTATTAGCCTGTTTTCATGCTGCTGATAAAGACATACCCTAGACTGGGCAACTTACAAAAGAAAGAGATTTATTGGACTTACAGTTCCACATAGCTGGAGGGGTGGGGGGGCTCACTATCATGGTGGAAGGTGAAAGGCACGACTCACATGGCAGCAGGCAAGAGAAGAGAGCTTGTATAAGGAAACTTCCATTTTTAAAACCATCAGATCTTGTGAGACTCATTCACTATCATGAGAACAGTGCAGGATAGACTTGGCCCATAATTCAATCACCTCCCACTGGGTTCCTCTCACGACAGGTGGGAACTGTGGGAGTTACAATTCAAGATGAGATTTGAGTGGGGACATGGCCAAACCCTATCAACATGTATCCTTGAACCTAAAATAAAACATTTAAAAACCTCAGCAATTACAAAATTACAAATAGGGGAAGGTGGGCAGAGCACTTTCATGCCACATCATTTATGGTCGTGCATTTGTATGATTATCTGAGACTATGAATTTTATTTTACAATAATTTGTATTCGTTCATTCATTTTCCAACCTGCTTATTCCACTTCAGGATCGGGGGTGACCAGAGACTGTCTGGGCAGCTCAAGGATCAAGGGGGGATCTAGCCTTGGACAGGCCACCATGCCATCGCAGGGCACACTCTCACACACACTCACTCACACTAAGACTATATAGACACATCAGTGCACCTAACAGGCACAGCAAACTCCACACAGACAGTGGCGATGGCCAGGAATTGATTTTTTTTTCCTCATTAACATTATAATACAATGATGTTGAAGAAAAGGGCATTATTCAATTACCTGCTGTATTCTATTTGTTAGAAACAAGTTACCAGCTTCATGCCACACACAAGGGGAGGGGATCACTCAGTGGCGTGAATACCAGAAGGTTGGAGGCATTTGGAACCGGCTTAGAAGCACCTACCACAGAGGATATGCATTGAACTGCAAATATGTAAATAGCTGTCTCTGAGACAGAGAATTGAAGGAGGTTTTTTTCTTAAATATCCTTTCAAACTTAAAAAGTTGTAAGAATAGTACAAGGACCTCCTATATACCAGTGTTCCCAGATTAACTGTTTCCATTTTGCCCCATTTACTTTGTCATTCTTTCTGTCTATACGTAAGTTCGGAGATGCATGCATATTATTCTTTCTTTCTGAACCATTTGAGGGTAAGTTGGTGATTTTGTGTCCCTTTACCTCTTAATATCTCCGTTGTTTATTTTCTAAGAACAAAGACATTCTCTTACATAACCACAATGAAATACCAAAATCAGGAAATTAAACATTAATATTATGCTATCACAGAATCCATATTCAAATTTCACCAAGTTTCTCAGGAATTCCTTTATATCTTTTTTCCCCTTGGTTCAGGATATGATCCCAGATCACGCATTTTATTTAGTTGTCATGGCTCTTTAGACTCATTTAATCTGGAACAGTTCCTCGGCCTTTCTGTATCTTTCTTGATTTTGACATTTTTTGAAGAGTACCAGCCAGTCATTTTCTAGAATATTCCCCAGTTTAGGTTTGTTTGGTGTTTCTTCATCGTTAGATGTAAGTTATCCATTTTGGGCAGGAATACCATAAAAGTACTGTACAGGCACGGTGGCTCACGCCTGTAATCCCAGCACTTTGGGAGGCCGAGGCAGGTGGATCACTAGGTCAGGAGATCGAGACCATCCTGGCTAACACAGTGAAATCCGTCTCTAGTAAAAATACAAAAAAATTAGCCAGGCGTGGTGGCCGGCCCCTGTAGGCTGAGGCAGGAGAATGGCGTGAATCCGGGAGGCGGAGTTTGCAGTGAGCCTAGATCGCGCCACTACACTCCAGCCTGGGGGACAGAGCAAGACTCCATCTCAAAAAAAAAAAAAAAAAAAGTTCTATTGAGGAGGGGTACTTTTAGTAAACATGTATTTTATTAGAATCTGTTGGAATAAAGATTCACCTTTGTAATTAAAACTGAATATTTTAATCCTAGGGAAAAAAAACCCTCTTTTTCTGTGATGACCAATTGCACCACTCTTTCCCATGATAAATGACAGGTTATTGCTTTTGATGTTTATAGTGGATACTGACCACGAGGTTCATTCATTCTCGCCATCCTCTGATCACAGCACTTTCTTGGATGCTTTAAATAAAAAGCGACAGGGCATGGCAGTCATCAGTTGAATAAATAAATACTTTGAAAATGAAGTTTTAACACAGGGAATGACTTACTAATCTTTAATAGTTATCAACTGTGATTGTGGAATTCAGCTAGGGATGTCAGCAAAAATTCAACTCTCGTTCATGCCAACATTACCTGGCCAATGATAATATTAGCGATTCAGCCAATCTTCAAAGGACAAGGAGAACTTTCTAATTTTAGGCCCAGCATTATTAGCACTTCAGATGAATGGGTGATTACTTTTAAACACTGTAGCTAGAAGAATAGTAACTAAACTTATGGTAGCTTCATTTCTGGTGAGGAGATGAAAGAAAAGAAATGGGGTTGAAAGAGGAGGAAATCACATTAGAGACTGCATCTAAGCATGCATTGCATTCAAAGATGTGTGGTTTCTGTGTGATCCTTTAATATCTTCTTGATCATGGTTGTTCATGCGTATTTTATGAGGTCTGGCCATGGGACCTTAGCCTTCTGAACAGACACTGGCCAGGTAGACTATAAATTACAGATAAGCAATGCAACCAGGGACTGTTTAACCACTGCACGGCTTTGGGTTTTGCAGTTGGAAGGGCAAGGGGCTCCTTTCTGGAATGTTCCCATGGGCACCGAGCATTTGAACTCATGCTACTATGATCCAGACATCAGCCCTGGTGCTGCAAAGCGCTGCCCATCAGGAAAGCTGAATTCTGCGCTTGGACTGTCTGCCTTGGTTGCATACAGTTGTTGCTCCCTTTCTCTCTCAGGAACACAGGGCTGGATTTTTGACCTCCATATTGCTCCAAACTGGCATAGTTTCCCAATATTCTCTTTCCCAACTGGCTCGGTGCATGGCCGGATGCTGCCACACTCACTTTCCACTCCCCTGATTCCCATCTTATTATCAGATTTTCTCCCTTTCGCCTTCACGGGAGACTCTGGGGAAGGGATTGTTTTGGCTGGAATTTGACAAGGCACAGGTGGTTTTACCAGCTGCAAGTTCTTTAGTTCTTGTTGGCCGCCCACCAACTCTTGGTCTTTTCACAGTCCTTTCTGTGGTGGTGGTGGAGGAGGAGGGGCAGGAAGGGACAGTAAGTCCTTGATGTTGTTGTTCCACATCAGCAGCTGTCTCAGGTTGGCATTGAGTCCGGAGTGTTCTTCGGGAAAGGTTTTTTTTTTTTGTTTTTTTTTTTTTTTTTTTTTTTTTTCCTCTTGAGATTGGAGAGAGCTGGAGGAAACAGCCAAAACCCGACAGCTCTGCCTGCATCTTGGTCAGTTCGCCTGGGGGTATCAGGGCCGCTGCTCCCCTCTGCACACATGCCTGCCCCAGTTGTACCAGGCTCCCATGCTCACTTCGCCACCACCTTCAGCCTCAGAAATTCAGGCTCACACTCGGCTGCCTCCCTCTTCACTCCCTGGCTGGTTGGAGTCCAATGACACCAGCATCGTCTCCCAAAATAGACGAAAATAATCCTCAGCTCGGTCTCTCAAATGCCTCTTTTTGAGGAAAGAAAAAAGGAACTTAAAACTTGAAAGCGTTTTTCCTTCTTCCTCTTCCTTTCCCAGCATCTTTTTGATAGCAACAATAAAACACTTGAATGTGCTGTTTGACCTCCTGGGCCACCCTGTTCACTGTTCTCTTCTCAGCCTTTTTTTATTTTGAAAACATTAATTTGACCCCTTTCCTTAGTACGGTTTCAAGCCCCTGCTCAGGTTTCCTCAGACTTTCCTTCCTGTGAGGCTTTGCTTGAAAAGCTTGGTTCTGTGCTCTCCTTGATGTGTGTGGGCGCGCGCCTCCCCCATTAATCTGAACCCGCGTGAAAGGGGAAGCTGAAATGGCCCTTTATTGGTTAATTCCTCTCCCCCTTCTTTCCTCGTTCTTTCCTCTGATCCTTCTATTTTCATTTCTCTCTGCCCTCCTCCTCCCTAATCACCTCATCCCTCAGCGCTAGACAAATACTGGAATCTTCACGTTGGTGTGAGCTGATTAGAACCAAAGGCTGCCTAGCAAAACCTCCACCCAGGGTAGGGGGCAAACTCCACTGAGGTCCCTAGGGATTTCCAGGGGTTCTGATATCATCCTTTTCCCCCTTTCCCATTCACAGCTGTACAAAGTGCTGATTCCTTCCTCAATCCCTGATAAAATTACCCAATCGTTTCCTGGGATTTTCACAAGTCCTACCTCACCCCATCGTCAATCATATACTATCATCTGTCACACGATTATTCTATACCTTACCCTGCTCTGACTTGTAAAAGAAAGTTATGGGAGGCATATTTTGGTAGATTTTGTGTGTGCAGAGTCAGGTTCTCCTAGTCCAGAATCTGTTCCTCCAGAGAATATAAGTCCATTAGCTATTTAATAATGCTTTGTTGATATTCCACCTCTTTGTGTTTGCTTTGCACACAGAACATTTCTTTGATACTCAAACAACCTGGAATGAAGGCAAAAAGATATTCAGGTGAAAGTGTCAGGTGTGTGTTTTAGGATGGTGGGGCAAAAGTGAGACAGCAGACAGGGCAGTGGTGGAGAAGGGGATGAGCAGAGGAAAGGTGGGGAGGTTTTCCTGCTTCCCAGATTTTCCTGAGGGAAGACATGGTGATCCTGCTACATTGTTAAGTACAGACTCCCAGAACCTCAGAGACATGCATCGTCAAAGACGGATATAAACACACATTCTGAAGCCCCATATAAATGAGTTTTAAATTACCCACTGCTTTGGATTTTCCAAGCCTCTTTTTTATCTTCTTCAACCAGAACAACCAGGAATGGTTATTATTTGATTTGGCCAGCACCAGCATTTTTTTAAAAGCCTTAGTTTTGTCTTATACGTCATTGCAAAGTATTCATCATACTTAGGGGATGCTGGATACATCTGTCAGTTCAAAGGAGAAAATACGCATCTTTCCTATCTGACTCTTTTTGCTTCAAGGGCCCAGCAATGCTAATCTTTAGCAATATTCTTTTCCCAATAAGAGCGCACATCCAATGTGAATGCTAAATAATGTTGTCACGAGGTTGCATGGGCACTGGTTAAGATCTATGCCCAAACTATAATGCATCTCTCTTCTACATAACTGTTATTGTGGCCAAAATTGGTGAACAGCCCATCCTCAAGGGAGCAGTGGGAGGAGACCAGAATATTGTGTTGGATTCTGTCCTGGACATATCTTCAGCTAGACTCCTGGAGCAGTTTAAATCAAAGGCTGGGCTGAGCAGGCCTGAATGGCTTTCAAATGACAGATTTATGGAGGGAGGCCTAATTAGATCATGGTAATTTGTAGTACGACAATGTCTTTTGCTCAAGATCTCAAAGCAAATTTCTGCCTTGATAGGTGGGCAAAACAAAGACCCACAAATGTCAAAGGAGACTCTCAATGTCACAAAATAAATCCCTGGGCAACTCAGGATATGAGTCACGCCTTGCCTTTGTAAAACACTCTACCGTTTTCCTACACATTCAAATAATTTCATCTCATTTCAGTGTCACAAAATTCTATGGTGTAGGTAGGAAAGAGGCAAGTATTACCTCCATTTTAGAGAAAGGAAAAGCAGAGGCATTGGCTGGTTGGGCAACTTGCCCAAGACCATATAGTCAGTAGCGGGGTTGATTTTTCTACACTTCATGTGGATTGACAAGGGTTCTCAAAAAATGATGTGGAGGACTCTAAGCATGAAGACAAAAGGAAACCTCAAGATACTGAGATTCTGCTTCTAATGACTTTGCAGAAAGGAACATGGCTGAAGAATACAAGCCACAGAGAAGCCAAACTGGGGAATAGTCACAAGTCAAAGGCTTAAAATGGATTGCAAACAAAGTGTTAGGGGTACACAGAAGCCTGGAGTTTGCATATCATGGTACAGCCTTGGCCAAACAATCCTATTATATGTGCGTAGGCATGAAGGGACTGTGGTGGCATGGCAGTCATTTGAGAGATGCCAATGGAGATGGCGGTGCCCTGAAAGGACAGGAACAATAGTGGATGGAATTTCTGAATGCTCTTCCCATGGCCTCTCCTCCGTAGGATCACAGAGAGTTACCTGGCCTTCCTGGTGAGATTTCTGGTCTAGGTGACCATCCATCTATGTAATTCATTGGGAATCCTCTTCCTGTTGGTGCCTGTCATTGTGGTTAGGGTTATGGATTTTGCCATTATACAATTTGCCTTCCATTGAGAGAATTAAAACACGTGCCTGACTAACAATGAGCAAGGTGGAAGGTAATATGTGTAACAAAAAATGGTGTGTCTTGGTCCCTTGTTTGCTGTGCTAGCTTGTGATGGGCATCATCTGGATTGAGGCTTATTCTTTTTGGTTTCCCCAGCAGGACTCTGCACATGACTGAGTCTCATAAATATTTGCTTACATCCAGATCATGGATTTTTTCCCCCTTTTGGTCTCTTGAGATCTCTTACTAAAATAAATCTTAAGAGACAACTGACCTACATCAGTAGTTTGGGTGTTTGCGTATATTCCTTTTTTCTCTCTGTCTCTGTTTCTGTCTGTCTGCCTCTCTGAATATGAATACTCTGTCATTTTGGAGATGGAGCCACTACCTACTACTAAGTGAGCCATTATGATTAAATGCAATGGCAGAGAAGTTTAATTTTCTACTACTTAAGTGTCCCCAGCATGTTAGGGCAAACCTTAACTCATTTATGCCTAGTGTTCCATTATTGGAACTCTAAGCTTATAGGAATTATTTATATCCTACTGCTCAAGGTCATCGCTAAGGTCTGAGTTTTCACACACAAAAATTGTAAATTCTGGCATAAATGGGTTAAACACAGCTATACACATTTTAGCAAATACAATTACCTTCATTCTTAAGGAATAAACAAAAAGAAATAAATGAGTTTCCCGTTTTCAATGAAGTCACATCACAGGGTCTTCAGTCCAGGCTCACTCTGCCTCCTCCTTAGAATTAATGCTGAGTGGGCAGATCATGGATGGGATGGGTGGGAGGCAGCTTTGGGGACCTGCAGAATCTCGAGACAGTCTCCCCCGACTGTTTAAGCACATGGATGATGAAAAAAATCACAAACTGTGGACTTAGCAGATTCTCCCAGAACAGGAGGGGAAGGTGATAGCCTTCTCCCAAGTCAGAGGAGCGATGGGTATTGAATAAATCACAACAAATATGTGATCTGTCCTGCGAATGATATGAAAAATTAAATACGAAGAAAAGTGAAGACAGGGCTTCTCAAATGACAGAGCTGCAGAGAGGGTGAAGGGGGAGGCAGAGGGAGGCAGCAGGGGGGAGGAGGAAGAGTGCTAAATTTGTGAAAAGAAAAACACTGATGCCGTGCGTAGTCTGAAAGATGACATGTTTTCCTAGTCCAGATGGCATTTTTTTAAAGAGTTTTAACTTGCATTTTCTGATTGAACAGCCTTTGCTTGGCTACTGTTATTAATGTTAGAAATCGGGGCTTGGGCTCCGGTTTTCTCACCAATGCAGGTTGACACTGCTGTTCAGGTGAAGGAGAGTTCAGAGTCTCAGAGAGCAGCAGCAGCTTGTGCTTCTGGGAAAATGGAAGGATGACTCCCAGGCAGCCGATCCTGCCACTCCGTAAAATGGAAGAACCTTGGCTCCCCGTGTGAATTCTCTTTGTGATTTGGAAGACAAATACCTCTGCTGAGTTGTCTATGAACAGGTACTGCAGATGGTTGGACCCTGGTTCTTACAGGCTGTGCTGGAAGTGAGGGAAGTGATTTCACTCTCGTTCAGCCCTCCTAAGTGGTTAGGTAAGGGTGGGCTCTTGGAAGATAATGAATGATGTGCAGTATAAGTAACTCTGAGGGACAGTAGGGGTGGTAGGTTACCATGTTAGGTCTCACTGTGAATAGATAATGTATTATATAAAGTTGTATAAAGTCATTGTGCAACTTGGAGATGTATCACCATCCCTTTGGCTGTAAGGCAGTGCTGAATACTTTTTCTTAGGGAATCCCAGGCAATAGGGAATTCCTCAGAATCTCTTCTCATCTTGATATTGGAATCCAAGGGCTACTTTAATAAGATCAAAGGACTTCAAGGGAAGCAAGAAAAAGAGGGTACCCAAATACCTTCCAGAGTGTTTTGCTCCTCTTGAGAATTCTAGATAATGATGCATGACCCACTCCTTTGTTCAGAGATGTCAGCCTGTGAATCAGAGGCTAAAGATCCCTCTTGGTTTTAGTTGTCACTGATGTCTATTTATAGTCATAGCCAAATGTGACCTCATCCTCCAGGTTTTGCAAGCTCAGCAATATGAGGCCAGGTTAGCCTGGCCACAGGTCTCCGAGGAGCACCCCAGATGCTGCAGTGTGTCTTGTCAGCAATGACAAAGTTTTTCTCTTTCTGCTACTCCTCAAATGCCTTTCAGCTCAGCATGTCAGAGAACAAGGTGATTGGAGGAGACATCTATGAGATCAGGAAGAAAATGGAAGCCCATGAATATGTGCAAGAGTTGCTAATTTTTCCGTCTCTCTCTATAGCTCTTCATTCTTCTGTTTTTTTCCCCTTCTTCTTCTCTTTTTTTTTTTTTTTTTGAAGAATGGAATGGAGAAAGTATAGAATAGTGAATCAATGCAGGATGGGATAAATCTCTGATGGAAGAATCCCCTTGAGGCCAGACCACTAGCAGTTTCCAGGGATTCAAGCGGGACCATTATCCTTTCTCATAAGCATTTCAATATTGGGACCTAGTCAGACCACACAGCTGAGAAAGGACAGCTCTTGCCTTGGGAGAAGCCAAGGTATTTTGATGCCCTCCTTTTCTTTCTTCCCTTGAAGTTGTTCGATCTTACTAAAGTACCCCTTGGATTCCAATATCAAGATGAGAAAGGATTCTGAGGAATTCCCTGTTGCCTGGGATTCCCTAAGAAAAAGTATTCAGCACTGTCTTACAGCCAAAGGGGTGGTGATACATCTCCAAGTTGCACAATGATTTAGAGCTCCTCCTAATTTCACAGTCCATTTCTTGGGGCTCCTTTTTCTCTCCAGTCAATATTTACTGTACACCTATGTGCCAGGCTCCCGCAGAAGTCAACTGCTATCCTTTTTCCTGGGGATTTTCATCCTTGGTTTGAGAAAAACTGAGTATATGAAAAAGTTAGAGCTTTATCTTTAAAAAGCAACTCCATTTCTGTGACACAGTCTACCCCGTGGAAGTCAATGAAAAATGTTCTGTCATGAAATCCAAGAGTCTTTATCAAGCCAGTGATGGCTCAAGTGATCCCTTCCTTCCTATTTCATTTCATAAATATTCATTCAGCATGACTGAAATAATGTGTCTTCAAGTCTACAAAATCCTAGGAATCAGTTGATTTAGTCGATTCACTTGAAATATCTGTGTAGCCAATTGTTAAAGAAACTTGCCTCTTTAGTCAAGAGTGGTTGCTGGGTCTGCATGTTGGTAGGATGAGCGTGGGTAACATTATGTGGGGCCTGGTACAGAATGGCTTCCACGGACAGTGTCTCTGTTCACCAATTAACCAATGCAGATCAAAATGCAGGGCACTCAGAGAACCTGAAGAATCATGGGGAAAACCACAGGAATGAGGAGAGTTCCGCAGCACTTGGGGAAAATCCAAAGACCTTATACCTAGGATGAGAGCGTACATTCTGCTCTCAACTTTTACCAGTAAAAACCATACTTAAACCCCATTTGTGTCATAACAAAAATGCGTTCTAAAATGAAACCTACTTTGATTTTTTGAAGTGTGTTTCAACTTGAGCTTTTCTAACATGAGGTTGGTCTGAGATAAAGATGAACAAAATCAAGGAGTAAAAATTTGCAAGAGATACAAATATTCCTCTTTCACCAACATCCCTGTAAACTAAAATCCCAAGCAGCTTCTTTGATTTCATTTTTGGTAATTGCAACAGAAAATTGCATCTGGACTGACAATGTGTATGCCACACTTCAGCCCAACGTGCTTACAAATTGCCAAGTTATAGCAAACCTCCAGCAGAAAAGATGGAGATTTCTCACAGAAATACTGGCAAACCCCTTAAGAGCAATGGCACTTACTGCCACGATGTCCTCGGAAAAAGAAATGAACTGGAAACTGTACATCAGGGTAATCATCAATGTCAACTGAGTCTTGATTTGTCTTCTCACCCCCTCTTCCAATAATTTGGCTTTCAAAATTGCATCTGCTGTTCTCTCTTTAGTAGATACAAAAATTATACAACATCTAGTTGGAATTCTCCTTGTTTCTCTTTACTTCTGCCTCCTAGAAATTTCTTCATTTTAAGATAAATCTGGATATTTATCAGGAGCAGAGGGAAAAATATAGATGAATCTCAATCACATAGGTGGGTAAAATAATCAATTTTTAAAAGCTAGAATATAAATATTTTAGCAAATATTTGATTCCACACCTGTTTCCCTGCCCCACCTAGAACTCTCCTGGTCATCTGCCCCAGGTTGTCAGTGAGTAAGTTTTAAGGAAATTCAACCCTATTTCAATACTTACCTGAGTGGATCATGAACAGTTCTTAACCAAAGAGAACTGACTTTCACATACATCACTGTGTGGGATTAATATATCTCTGAAGTTATGAAGGCTCTAGAGTGAATTGGAGTTAAAAGTGGATGTTAGAACTTTCACTATCGTGCAGCAGTGGCTGCCAGCTTTGGGGTCCAGACATGCTGAGTTTACAGAGTGATTTCAAGGGGTCAGTGACCCCCTCTGTCCATAAGCATCATTTGTGTACAGAATGAATGTCACAGGATGCCAGGGGTTATAACAGGGTGCTTGTCCCCAAAGAGGCTGGAAGTCTTTTCTAGGACAAACAACTTTCTGGGTTTAATCCAGGGCTTTTGTCAAGTTCCCTGGAAGAGTTAAGAATCTGATCCTCTCCCTGACAGAAAACAAACAACACCATGACATATGCACATCCCCAATACTAAATAGCAATAACATGCTTGTGTGTATGTATTTTTGTTTGTCTGATGCCTCGGGTCATGTCTATACATATAAGCCAGCTTAGAAAAAAATATACCAATATCCACTTAGTCTCACACAATAATTTCAAACAATTATTAACCAATTCCTTTGATGGTGTTCAAAATAAGCAGTTGTTTGGCAAAAATCAACTGCTGTTTCATCCTATTTCCTACAAGGTAAACAAGGGCTGAATCTCCCTCTGTTTTTGGTAATACCTGGCCGAAAAGAGGTGTTTACTGAATACAATTCACTTATTTATATACTGCAAATAATTATACCTTAATAATAATAATCATTTTCACTAAAATATAGTATTGTTTTTGTCTTTTTAAACATACAGGACTTCTAGAGAGTATTAAATGGTCACATGATAAAAATTCCCACTAAAACAGGAAAACAATAGAAAGATACACACAGTCTTGTGTTCTTTAATAGATTCAACATTGTGCAAGAAGTCAATGTCCAGTCCTCTAAATAATTATCAGTCAGCCTCATCATGCTAAAGTGGGTTTCTATCAATATTGAGGTTAGCTTTGCTTTGCCTTGGTTGACCCCGAGTGGGAAAGGAGGAATAGCCCGGGCACACCTAATGGCTACTTGCCGTCAGGCAGCATACGAAGGGCAAGTGTATTGAAGCAGCAGAATCAATCACTGGACTCATTAACCTGGCAGCCTCCCACCCTCCCACAGGCTCCCAGCCTCACAACTTCCCACCACCCTCCCTTCTCTGTGCTCCCAACTCACTCAACTCACCTTCAAGGGGCCGTGCACATGCTCACTATACCACACTTCCCTCCTGGCCCACAAGTCCATGCAAATGTGCAGCTGAAACTTACAAGAGACTATTTCCAAAACAAAACCCTCATTGGCCCCAGCACACACACACACACACACACACACGTGCATGCGCACACACACACACACACACACACACACACACAGAGATTCCACCAGTGCCTTGTCATCTGCTCACTTTCCTAGCCCCCTCATCCTTTCTGCCCCCACCACCTCAAGCTCTGGCTCTCGGTCCAAGGATGCCATGCTGCCTGCATTCTGAGACCCTCATGGCCGCTGCCTTCCCTCTCTCCTGCTTGGAAGCGGCCGCTCCCCATCAGGGCTCTGTTTGCCAGCTCTGTACTGTACTTCATTAGGCAGCTCTATTTAATGGTTTCAACAAAAGCCATCATTTTAGCCCAACTGCCTTGACTAAATTAAAATTTCCAATCTCTGTTTTAGTGTTCTGCAACTGACGTATACATAAGCAAAACTGGTCAACATCTGCCAGGGGGTTGGCCAAAAGTTCTGTAAAGACGTACTTCACATTTCTGAAGCATGTGCAAAGTAACAGCGTCCTTATCCTCCCGAGAGCTCTCATGGTTTTACTTCACCATTTGTTCAAACACACTTTCGCTGCATATGAGCATACAGTTGATTCTCCCCTTGGTTGCCGTTTTATCTGTAGTGTCATTTTGAGTAATTGGGGTATGGTAGCTGATCAACTTACAGGTTTCTCATTGGCAGAAAGGGACCGTATTGGCACCAAGAAAGAATATGATGGGTCCTCTCAGTGCATAAGCAAGTGTCCCTCTCTTGCACTTGGCTACCCAAGGCCATTACAAAATAAGCTTAATAAAGCCTCCAAGTGTATATGTCTTCACTCTTCCCAGGCAGAGGGAGGCACCTATAGAAGAAACATTGCAAACCAGTGTGGAAAGATGGTCAATGTACATATTTAGTCAGTGATCCATGAAAGTTTTTGAATTAGTTTTTAAAGCTTTGTTAAGACCAGAACGCACAGATGTTGAAAACAAGTTCAGATGTAGCGACAGATGGTATTTGATTATGAAGCAGACTGTTCATATAATACAAAGATGCTGCTTCTGCCATACACAAGTAACTGCAGAGTGCAGTAGAAATTTTGGAAGGCAGGCAGTTCGAGAGGGTCTTTGTGCAGCAATAACTTTCCCATTTTCCAGCAGTGCTAGAATTGGGATAATTTTCCCCTTTCCTTCTCAATCAGAACCACTCTCTGCTCTTTCAGGCCCCTCCTCTTTTTCCAGTCTCTGTTTCTCCAGCCTTAAAAACTCCTTTCTCCTTTCAGTGAGTTGTCTTACCTAGCCATTGCGTCTTTTACAACAATGTCGAGTTAGAGAAATGCATGGCCTCACTGAGGCAGGCCTGCGCCTAAAGTTAGAGGGAAATGGGAAATGATTGCCAGTGCTTCAATAGCCGAAGGAAACAAATTTCTCGTCAATTACATTTTGCCATGAGAACTCAGTCTTTAAACAGAAGCCAGCATGACGGCTTCAAATGTGCTGCCACAGGTGTGAGGCTGAGTTTCCTGCCGGCAGAGCATAAGCATCATTTAGACTCAGCTGCTTTTTCTGTAAAATGGGAATAAGGGTTGCCCTGCTTATCTCTCCAGGGTGCCAGAAAGATCATATAGGATGCTGCCTTAGTAAGTGTCTTGAGAAATAGGAAGTGTCATCAATATGCTTGGGATTGTCATTGTCAAGATCAGAAACAGGATTCTGAGAGTGGGGGAGTGTGGGTGTCCGACGTTGAAAGGAGAAGTTGCCCTGTACCTTGGGAGTTCTCAATCAGAAATCCACTTCCTTCTTCCACGTAGGTCCTAGAAAAGTGCTGCGGTATCAGAAGTTCTGCTCATTAAACACGGTGAGAGCAGCAGAGCCCCTGGCTGGAGAGCTAGGCTCCTCCGCATGATTGCTTTACTTTTTCACAACAGAGACTTTTGGGGATCAGTCATTTAGAGAGCATGTGCCGCCAGACCCTGGCCAATGGTAGAGTTTCTTGGTGAAGGTACTGGTTGTAGTGCCAAGAAGAGAGACAAGTTTAGAAAACAAGAAGGGGGATTCGACAGCCTCGGTTCTAGCTGCTTTCACAATCCAAGCTTTTAAGTCTAGGTAAGCTACCAGGCCTTGTTTCCTAAAGGTTTTTATGGCCCTGGTGCATTTCTTTCTCAACACATTTGTGTGCCTGTCTGTGTTATGGTGTTGATGTGGGTGGGGGAGGGATGAGGAAGCGGGGAAGAGCCAGCACAGCCTCATTCCTGCGCAAATCACAAGCCCACCGCCCATCCCCTGCAATCCAAGTCTCTTTTTCTGAAGAGCTTCCTATGTGCCAAATAATATTTAACAAACACAGATGAGCAATAGGAGATGAGGGAAAGAACTGGCATGCCAAGATATATTGGAGGAGATTTCGAGGGAATGTTGTCAATGACACAGCTCCAGTGGAGAAGGGGGGTGTGTAGGGAGTAGAGAGGAGTCCAGGATGGAGGTGGATGGAAGGAGCCGAGAGCAGTTTTCAGGAATCCTCCCGTTGTGGGATGCCATCCTGCGATGTTTTACATGCTGTTCCTACACATCCTTTCTTCTCTTTTGTTTACTTCATTGGTCTGCAGGCCAATGAAATCAACCTAGTTTAACTGAAGGTAGTGCTGATATGACACTGAATTACAATAAATGCCTGATGTTTGGCCAATAAGAAAAGGGATTTCTAGTCTCCCTCCAATTTGCAAAGGTATGTTGAAGTTCATTGCATCTTTATTGCAGACAGGACCAGTGACATAATTTTGTGGGGCTCAATTCAAAATAAAAATGTGTGACACCTTGTTCAAAAATTACTAAGAGTTTCAAGAGGACAACAGCAGAGCAGTAAAGTAAATGTGAGACCCTCTCAAGCACAGGGCCCTGTGCGATTGCACCAGCTGCATGCTCATAGCATTGGCCCTGATTGCAAGAGGAGGATGCAAAGCAAACTTCTCTGCCCCGCTCCCTTTCTCTGTAGCACTTGGGAAACTTCCGTGGTTTGAGTATCAATGTATTGAAAGGGAAGACACAAACAGATGACCCAGGATGAAGAAGGAAATAGATGGCACTGACCACAGATCCTGCATAGAAAGTGGGATGGAGTAAAAACAGGCTGGACAAGGATTCAGAAGTCCTGGCTTTACTCTCAAATCCTATCACTAATCTGATTTGTAAACTTACCCATGAGAGCGGGATAATTGGGCCTTCTTGCTCCATGAGTCTTCCACCACTGATGGGAGCCCGGGGATGATGAGGTGGGTGTCAGAGCATGGGGCACAGAGAACTGGCAAGTGGGTGCTCTTGGTTCAGATGATGTACACTGCAGGGTGGGGTAGGTGAGTTGATGAACCAGCCAGTCAGGATTTATGAGGCGGCCCTCATGCTCTATACTGTGGGGGATGTCAGAGTTACTGCAGTGATAATGATGCAGACACTGGTTGTTTGGAACCAGGCTGATGTCTCCCTTCTCTGAGTATTCCCCATGCCCCCGACTCAGGGAGAATATTTAAGTGAAGGTAGGCAAGTCCTTAGAGGCACATGGACCACCCATGAATGTTCACTGGGGCAGGGAAACCAGCCCTGGAAGAGCCTGGGTTAACCTTTCAGAATTACAGAATTACAAATAACAGTGAACTTAATGATGTACAGAAATAATGTCTGTTTGCTGAGGAGTAAGTACTGTTCGATTAGAGAGTTCCATTAAATAGCAAGATGCACAGCTTCAGATGCAGAGAAGAGAGGTGGGAGAGGTGTTTGGCCCTGACTCAGGCTCCATCCTCTTTCTGGCCATTTTTCTGACAGCTGTGTTTGATGGGGACAGATCAGGCCTTCCCCCTATCCCTTTTCATTTCTGTACCCCGACCATCCCCATCCCGACCCTCCCTCTGTCACTTCTGCATGGAGGGCAGGAATCTCTAAGGGAAGCATTACCATCACTGTGGCTGGGACCACTCTTCCCCAGTGAGCCTGATTTCTGTGTCCTGCTTTTGGGGGAAATTGCCCCTATTAAAGTGAGAGTGCCCAGCTAGCCCATGCCCACATCCCTGCCTCACAGAAACTGCAAGATAATGAATTTGCATTACTTTAAACCACCAAATTTGTGGCAATTTGTTACAAAGTCATAGAAAATGCATATATGTGGCAATATTTTATGATCATATAGTAATAGCTACCACTTATTGGGTATCTATTGTGTACCTGGCTTTGTATTAGAGGGTTTATACCTGTTCTCTTAATTGTCACAGCAACCTGGTGATGGAGGTATTTTGAAGCTTGTTTTAGGGAAGATGAAACTGTGAGTCAAGTCACTTGTTTAAGAGCTAAGAGATTGGGTGGAGGATTTAAACCCAGCTCTGTCTTATGCTAGATCTCATGTCAACTAAGCATAAGGACAATTACTTTTATTGTGATTTCTTCCCTTCTTTCCCAGCCTTCATTCAATCTATTGCATTACTGGTTTGGTAACATATCAAGACTCTGCTCTGCACTTGAATTTGCTTGTTTCCATTGTCATTTCTGCAAAGTGTTGGTAAACCTAGCTCATATCCTGTCCAAGTCGCTGAGCACCAAACCTTCCTTCACAGACTCATAGCATCCCTTTCCCTCAAATAGGATTGCCCTGATCTGGCATCTTTTCTCCCTCCTGGGATGGGGTTCCTGGGGGTGTAACCCTTTAGGCTCCAGTGACTTCTTACAAGGGCAACACCACCCAAACAGACACTGCCATTGACATCGTAGTATGCATTTGTTTTCTATAGTTTTGTAGCAAATTATCACAAATTTAGTGGCTTAAAGCATCAGAAATTTATTATCTCAGCATTTCCAAGGGGCAGGAGTCTTGGTATCAGTGAGTTGGGTCCTTGGCTCAGGGTCTCACCAGGCCGAAGTCAAGGTGTCAGCCACGACCGTGATTCGAGGTAAGTCATGGGATTCTCTTCCTAGTTCTCCAGTTGTTGGCAAGATTCAGTTATTGTGGTTGTAGGACTAAAGTCCCTGTTTTCTTCCTGGCTGGTGAGTAGGGACCACTTTTAGTACTTAGAGGCTGCCGTCAAGTCCTTGCCACGGCCTCCTTCATAGACAATTCGCACATGGTTGTTTGCTTTCTCAAGGCCAGCAGGAGATTCTCTTTTAAGAGGTTAGCTAATTAGACCAGGCACACTCAGGTAATCTCCCTGTTGATGAACTCAAAGTCAATTGCTTAGGAACCTTAATTATACCTGCAAAATATTTTCACCTTTGCCATGTAATGTAACCTAGTCATGGAAGTTACCTCTCATCACCTTCAGAGGTTCTGCCCATGTTCCAAGTATGAGGACTATACAAGACATGCACACCAGCTAATGGGTACCTTGAGAGCTGTCCAAATACTGCCTGCCATGCAGAATTGAAGAGAGTGTAGCTATCTCTGAAGACAAGAGGTCTCTGAGACATTAGCACGTAGCTGCTGTAATTCTAAAAGATGATTGAGGGAAATTCCACGTAGATGACAGCAGTTGCATATCATGGTCTTCCAACGTAGACTGTAATGCTGATGGCTTGGAGTCCCCTCATCTGGAGATGTTTAGAATTGCCTTCCAGTTTGCCCCTTCCTACAGTTAGTAACACATTTTCCTCCCATGCACTTTGTTTCTCTTACACTAGGGGAAAATTATGTCTTTTTTCCAGGAAAAAAATTTATTATCAGTGCTTGCAATGTTCCTTCTTCCTCTTGGTTTCTAACAGGGAATGATTATTGCTTGTAGGGACAGCTGTCAGGTTCTCCTTTGTTGTGGAAAACCTAGGTGATGGGCATATGATAGAGAATATGAAAGAAATCTGAAAGCTTCATAGACCAGGTAATGTAGTAGTTGAGAGCACAAACTCTGGAGCCAGACAGACTAGGGTCAAATTCTAGGGTGGGAGTTTCTACTTCAGATGGGATTGTCAAGGAATGTCTCCAAAATAAGGTGACATTTAATCAGAGACCAGAAGGAAGTAGGCAACGGAACCGTGTGGCTATCTGAGGGTTGAACATCCCAGATAACAGGAATAGCAAGTTCAAAGGGTCTGAGGCTGGGATGTTCTCCGTGTGTTTCAGCAACAGTAAGGAGGCCTGGATGACTGAAACAGCAGGATGAAGAGAATGATTGGGAGATGGAGTCAGAGAGATCATGGGGTCCACTTATATAGAGCCTTGAGGCCATGGGAAAGACTTTGACTTTTACTCTGAGTGAGACTAGCTTTTGAAATAAAGGTTTTGAAATGACATGATCTCACATTTTAAAGGGATCACTGTAGCTGCTGTGTTGAGAATATGTTGTAGAATGGGGCAAAGGCAGAAGCCGAGAGATCAGGTGAGAATAATATGGCTTAGAGCAGCATTGTATAGTGAGGTGGGAAGTGCTGGTGTCTTGATACAGTTCTGAATGTTAGAGCTTACAAGGTTTGTTGATGAGTCAGATATGACATGTGAGAGAAAAATAAAATCAAAGACCTGTCCAAAGGTTTTGGTCTCAGCAATTAGAAGGATAGAGTTGAATTTACCCAGCCAGGGAAGACTGTGGAGAGAATAGGCTTGGCTATGTAGAGAAATTAGGAGTCCATTTTGGGTATGTTAAACTCGAAATGTTTAGTAGACATCCACGTGGAAATGTTGAATAGACAGTTGGATATAAGAGTCTGGGGCCAGGTGCGGTGGCTCACACCTGTAATCCCAGCACTTTGGGAGGCTGAGGTGGGCGGATCATGAGGTCAGGAGATCGAGACCATCCTGGCTAACACGGTGAAACTGGTCTCTACTAAAAAAATACAAAAAAAAAAAATTAGCCGGGCTTGGTTGGGGGCACCTGTAGTCCCAGCCACGCGGGAGTCTGAGGCAGGAGAATGGTGTGAACCTGGGAGGCAGAGCTTGCAGTGAGCTGAGATCGCGCCACTGCACTCCAGCCTGGGTGACAGAGCGAGACTCCATCTCAAAAAAAAAAAAAAAAAAAAAAAAAAAAATATATATATATATATATATATAATATATATAGTCCAGCAGGAGCTCCACATTTGGGAGTTGTCAGTGCATAGATAATATTTCAATCCTTGAGACTGGTTAGGATCACTTAGGCGTGGTACATAACAGAGAGAAGTTTCATAGTCATTATTCTAGGGTGTTCCTAGTCCTGGTTTCCTTTGTAACTTCAAATATCACTAAATAAATCTCTAGTTGTAGTTTTATCATCTTTAGACTGTTTCTTCTGACTTTCAAGGTGAATGTATTCGTAGCTCCACTTTCTCTCTACCTCTTAACTTTGGTCAGTCATACCTTTGCTTTTTCATTGTCAGGGTTGATAACATTTACATTATTCTCTAACCATTCTTTTAGTCCTCTCCGTTAGGTCCATATGTTGCTTCTCAATGGTAAACAAACAAACAAACACACAAAAAAACCAGCAAACAGCATTTGTATTATTACAATTTATAAATTTTGGGCCCTCCTAAGCCAGGCAGTGCCAGAACTATATTTTCTTCTTTACTGGTTCATAGTCATTCATTAAATAAATAGTTATCGATTCCCTGATATATCTCAGGCACCGTTTTAGGTGTTAGCATTACACAGAGCAAATTGCCTGTCCTCATATCATTTACTTTCTTGCATGGACTCCACATCACTTGAGGGAGAATATTTCTAGAGTTAATATTAAAATGATTCTTTTTAAAACGTCTTTCTAATCTCTTTTACCATTGTGTTTGTCTGATATTAGTATCACTGTATCAGCTTTCTTTTGGTGTTTGCATGGTATAGTTTCCTGAAATGGATTATCTTCTCTTATAAATGATTGATTGCTTGAACTCATGCAACATTTTATATTTCTTTAATTTCACTTTCTTGTTTTTGCCTTCTGTTTTAAAAATTCTCCTAGAGTTTCTATTTGTTTTCCTTATTATGAAAAGGAGCACTTTGTTTTGTTTTCATTTCACAAATAGTTTCCAGCTTCTTGCTTATTCTGCAGCATTAAAAAATTTTTCTGAAGACATTTTTCTTGGAACCATTGGGTTCCTGTTCTAATTTGAACTATTAATAATTTCATCTCAGCCAGCTGCACAGCTGTCCACCTGTCCTTTTTATAACTTTTTAGTTTGTTTTACTCTTTCTTTATTCCACATCCTCCTCTTTCTTGGTTTTTACCTTCATCCTGTTGGAATACATCTCAAGTGAGTTTTTCAAAAAGAGTATATGGAAAATAATCTTTTGAATCGGTAAAAATTGAAGTCATTACTCTCATACTTGATTGATAGTTATATTGATATTATATTCTGGGTTCACATATTCAAAATCTGAATAGTGTTTTAAGGAGTAATAAAAAGTTCAAGCATCAATGAGAAAAACAATCAGGCAGAGGGAATCTATGCAAATGTATTGAGGCATGAAATGATAGTGTATGTCTTGGGAATCACAAGCAATTTAATATCTTAGGGACATGAAGAACAATAATTAGAGGAAAGCAAGAAAGTGGTAGAAAATAAAGCTGAAGAAAATGGTAGGGGTCATATCTTAAGGAGTCTTGTCTGCTATGTTAAGGGGATCAAATGTAATACTCAAGTGAAAAGGAACCCCAGAGTAGTCTTAATTGGGGAAATACCATGGTCACAGATGTGATATCAAAAGATGGATTGATTACAGCAGTAGTGTGGAGGATGGCCATGAGACAAAACAAAAAGGGACCAGCACAAGATAAGTAACTTACTATGGCAGGAGTAGAGAATGGCAGTGAAGTTACTAGAGACAGATTAGAAGGGATATTAAGAGCTATGGTAAGGAGTTTGGGCTTTATTCTGGAACAATGGTAAAAGTAAAACACACTAGATTTTGAAAAGAGGGAGAGATTAATGCTTTAGAAAAATCACTTCTGGTTACAATGGAGGCAAATGAATGGATGTGGTGTGGAAAGGCTAGAGGTAGGAAAGCCAATCACAATATTGTAAATTTGTTGCCATTGTAGATGCTAAGATAAGAGTCGATGGTGCCGTGAACCAAGGTACTGACATAGCAGCTGGAGAGAAGTGAATGGATTTCAATGATGTAAGGGAGATGAACTGACAACAAAATAATTGTTGATAAGATCTGGAGATTGAGAGAAGAATGACAGAATGACTGTAGGATCTTGATTTGCGCCAAGTGAATGGATGCTGCTCACTTAGAAGAAGATTTTTGTTTTGGAAAAATTCTTTTTAGATGAAGCAGGTTAGTCACTTGTACATCTCTTTCCTTTTCTCTTCAAATGTAAGCCAACTTTGTCTGGTAAAGCAAAGAAAATAATTTTCTGTTTTTCCTCCTTCAATCAATACCCCCAATCACTCCATCCTGTCTTGGAAACATCCTCTTTTTCGATCCCTGGCTACAAAGCAAGCCTTCTTTCAGGTCCTCAAATCCTCTCCATTTCCTCCAAACACAGGGCCTTTGCACTTGCTGTCCCCTGGACCTAGTACCATTTTCCTTCCTCTTTGATCACATGACACCACTCAACCTTTAGAGTTCAGTGCCAAGTCAGTTTTTCAGGGGAGTCAGCTTACTCCTCCCTCAGCTCCAGGAACTTCTGCTTCACTCCCCAAGTTCCTTTTCTTCATACTACTCAGCTCCTTTGCCAATGAAACACCTTTTAGTCGATGCAGTTCCTTTGTGTTTGTGAACAACTATCTCCTCCACTAGAGTATTGCCTCCATGAGGGTAAGAACTATATTTATTGTATGTCACTGTTGCTGTGAAGGCTAGAACAAATGTTTTTTGAAGGAATGAATGAGAAGACTGTCTCGCAGCTTCGCTGTAACTGTGACTACAGAGGCCCTTTGCCCCCGGAGTGAAATGACTCTTCTCAGACAACTCTCAGCAGCTGTCTGAGAAGTGGTGTGGCTGATTCCCAGACAGCAATTTATCACAGGCCATGCTGGGGCCACTGCACACAGTTCAAGCAAAACTGTAACTTCAAGGTTCCTAAAACACACTGCTTCAAGTTCTGAGTTGGAGAAGCCACACCCGCTGCCAAGTCCCTCGGGGGCAACAACAAGTAGGGAGTGGCAAATTTACCTGGGAGGAAAAGGGGGCACATGCAACCAAGATGCTCCACTTCTGGAAGGTTTGCCACCTTGTAGACCATGAGCTCCTTGACTGCAGACTTCATCCTGTCCCTGGTATCCCCCTGGGCCCAGCTGAGTTCTGGGCACATAAGATGAGCTCATTAAATGTGTTAAACAAGCAAATACATTAAGATGGTGCTACTGATCTACTATCTATCTATCTGTCTATCATCTATATCTATCTATCTATCTATCTATCTATCTATCTATCATCTATCTCTATCTATCTATCTATATCTATCTATCTATCTATCTATCTATCTATCTATCTATCTATCTATCATCTATCTCTGGTACAAATTGGTCCAGAACCTCCAGAAGCAAACAAGAGGACATTTTCTTTTATAACATGCTGCAGCCCCCTATCAACCATTGCTGACTAGACATCTAGTCTCAGTTATTTAAGGGGACTCTCTTTCTCCCTTGAGGTTGATCTAGAACCCCAGGGTTTATGGGACCCAGGAAGATTGAGGATGGACCTTGGGTCTCTAGTTAATTGTGTTTCTTGTCCGCTTGCTTCCTGCCTATAACACTAAAGGCTAGTAATGGAAGGTGACTCTATTAGGACACCTCTGCTATCCTGATGATTTGATGGCAGACCTCTTTTCCTCTGCCTTCAATGAACATACTTATCAATCTGCTTCACAGTCACCCATGCAGCAGTTCTCCCACCCTCTTGCTTCAGGGAAGCAGTTTTCTTCCTACTCCTAACCCAAACCCTGAATTCCCATCTCCTCCTAGGCACAAGGACCTGGGGCTGGTCTACATCCCTCCCTTCCTCTTTAGACACAAAAGCCTCCATCCGTTCCTTCTCAGGGACAGTGCTATTAACCCACAGATCTGATGATTAAAGGTTTGTAAAGTCCCCTGGAATAAATGGGCCAAATTCAAGAATGCAAAGACCAGGCTGTCCTTAAAGGGAAAGGAAGAAAATTTTCCTCCTCCCCCTTCTTCATTTCTTCTTAAGACTAGTACACAAGAAAGGCATCAGGTAAATTCTCAATTACTCAGTCTGTTAGATATATAAATAAGTATATTTTATGGGATCATGTGATTTACTGTATTTCATGAAATCTAAGATGCAATTGTAAGACACATCATCATTTTATGTTCTTCTAAGAAGAAAAAGATGCTACTATGATAAGTATTAAACACTGTTGATTGCATGATGCATCACAATTTCAAAAGTGATGGTATTTTAAAAAATGATCTTTAGGGCTGGGCTCGGTGGCTCATGCCTGTAATCCCAGCACTTTGAGAGGCCGAGGTGGGAGGATCACGAGGTCAGGAGTTTGAGACCAGCCTGACCAACATGGTGAAACCCTGTCTCTACTAAAAATACAAAAATTAGCCGGGCATGGTGGTATGCACCTGTAATCCCAGCTACTCAGGAGGCTGAGGCAGGAGAATCGCTTGAACCTGGGGGTAGAGGCTGCAGTGAGCCGAGATTGTGCCACTGCACTCCAGCCTGGGCAACAGAGCGAGACTCTGTCACAAAAAAAAAAAAAAAAATTGGAATCAACAAAATGTAATACTGCATTATTCAGCTCCTAGCCTTTTTTAGTTAATAATTTGCCTTGGATGTCTTTTTGTGTTGATTTATAAGGATCTACTTATTGTATAAATCATTTTATGGTATTAATCATTTATCTACTGGTAGATCTTATTTTTGCATTTGAAAACAATGTTTTAATGAAGACATATATTTTTGTGCATTTTGTAAGCATTTGTCAAAATGTAATATGATCTCGTAATTCTACCAGAATTACAGTCAATTTGTCCCATTAAAAAAGCCTACCTACTTATAATCTTGTGATAGTGTGTGAGGCTGTTGTTTTCTTCATGCCCTTGTCAAAACTGGATAATATCAGTATCAATATTTTCTATTTTTCAAATCTAATTGGCAAAAAAGGTATTATGTTATATTTTGCACTTGTCTGATTGTCAATAAAGTTAAGCGTATTTTCTTTTCTTCTTTCTTCTTTTTTTTTTTTTTTTGAGATGGAGTCTCGCTCTGTTGCTCAGGCTGGAGTGCAGTGGTGCAATCTTGGCTCACTGCAACCTCTGCCTCCCGGGTCCCAGCAATTCTCCTGCCTCAGCCTTCTGAGTAGCTGGGACTACAGGCATGCACCACCACGCCTGGCTAATTTTTGTATTTTTGGTAGAGACGGTACTTCACTATGTTGGCCAGGCTGGTCTCGAACTCCTGACCTTAAGTGATCTGTCCACCTTGGCCTACCAGAGTGCTGGGATTACAGATGTGAGCCACTGTGCCTGGCCCATATTTTCAAATGTTCATTGGCCATTTTTATTTCTTCCCTATTGACTATTTATGCCCATTGCCCATTTTACCACTGAATGGTATTTTTTTTTTTTTTTAAACAGGAGTCTCGCTCTGTCACCCAGGCTGGAGTGTAGTGGCACGATCTGGGCTCACTGAAAGCTCCGCCTCCCAGGTTCACGCATTCTCCTGCCTCAGCCTCCCGAGTAGCTGGGACTACAGGCACCTGCCACCACGCCTGGATAATTTTTTTTTTTTTTTTTTTGTATTTTTAGTAGAGACGGAGTTTCACCATGTTAGCCAGGATGGTCTTGATCTCCTGACCTCGTGATCCACCTGCCTTGGCCTCCCAAAGTGCTGGGATTACAGGCGTGAGCCACCGCCCCCAGCTGGTATAGTTTTTAAATTGACATATAAGTACACTTATAATACATAATACTTATAATGTACAATACATTACTTATACACTTATAAGTAATGTATTAAGACTTGATAGTCTATATATACTTAATATATATTTTATCTCTGCTTATTTTCTCTAACTTTTCTCATGCTTTTTGTTGTTATTGTTGCTGAGATGTAACTTTTATGTAGCCATATCTTTTATTTTACTTCTTTATGGCCTCTGGGTTTTATTTTGCTTAAAATGTCTTCTAAACTGCAAGATAATAAAATTAGTTTTCCAGAAGGTTCATGTATGTGTTATATGTGTGTGTGCTTGTGTGTTTGAATATACGTTTTCAACCTTTTGTCTGTCAATAATTCATTTTTGCATGTCATGAGATGCGAATCTAACTTTATTTCTTTGATATCATTAGCAAATTATTCCTATGGTATTTGTTGAATGGTTTATTTTTCCCTCCTGAATGGAAAATAATCTTTATAATAGACTAAATTTCTATGTTTGCTTGTATTGTTTCTAGATTTTTTATCTTTTTAGAGATAATGCCTTTCTCTGTCACCCAGGCCAAAGTGCAGTGGCATGATCATGGCTCACTTCAATCTCAAACTCCTGGACTTAAGTGATCCTCCTGCTTTAGCCTCCCAGGTAGCTGGGACTACAGGCATGCATGTGCACCACCATACCTGGCTATTTATTTATTTATGGAGATGGAGCCTCCTTGCTATGTTTCCCAGGCTGGTCTTGAACTCCTGGCCATAAACAACCCTTCCACCTCGGCCTCCCAAAAGGCTGCGATTACAGGTGTGAGCCACTGTGCCCAACCTGTTTCTGTGCCCAACCTGTTTCTGGATTTTCTAATCTGCTTCCTTGAACTGTTTTTGTCAATTCTTGAATTAATAATACATATTTAATTACTGTGATTATACATTTTGTTTTTATATCTATTGGGGCAAATCATAGAAACAATAGATAAAAATATACATTAATTCTCCAAATATTTATTGAGTGTCTTCTATGTGTCAGGTTCTGTTGTAAGTAATTGAGCATCTCTGACAACTTTATTGAACTTTAATATAATTTTAATACTTTTTAAATTGATTTTCTTTTTTACCAGTGTTTTCTTGGGTTTTGTTTAAAGCATTTTCTCTTTTCTTGAACATTAGAATAGTTGTGCTAAGATCTGTGAACAGTCCTCTAAAATTTGACTGTGATTACTTTAATTTATAAATTCATTGCATTAATTTGCAGGGTAAAGTTATTGAGTAAATTAGGAAAAATAAGCATATTTATCATTTTGCATGTTTCCATTAAAAAAGTTACCTTATCTCGATATATCCTAGTTTCCTTGTTTTGAAAAATGGACGATAGCCCAGGTGCAGTGGCTCACACCTGTAATCTCAGCACTTTGGAAGACTGAGGAGGGCGGATGACCTGAGGTTGGGAATTCGAGACCAGCCTGACCAACATGGAGAAACCTTGTCTCTACTAAAGATACAAAATTGGTTGGCATGGTGGCGCATGCCTGTAATCCCAGCTACTTGGGAGGCTGAGGCAGAAGAATCGCTTGAACCCAGGAGGTAGAGGTTGTGGTGAGCCAAGATGGTGCCATAGCACTCCAGCCTGGGCAACAAGAGCAAAACTCCGTCTCAAAAAAAAAAAAAAAAAAAAAAAAAAGGAAGAAAGGAAGGAAGGAAGGAAGGAAAAAAAGATGATGATAGTAGTGTTAACTGCCTCATGAAATTTCCGAGAAAATTAAAGAAATCACCTATGTAAAAATCTGAGAGAATTCTTGGCACATTAAAAGAACATAATAAATGTTAGTTACTATTATTATTAAAATTATTGTCTGTCTCTATTTTTTAGGTCTTCTTTATGGCTTTACAGTTTTATAGCTTTATTCCTAATGTTTTTTAGGGTTGGTTACTATATTATTTCCATTATATGTTCTAGTTGTTTATTTATAGCTTTGTTCCTAATATTTTATAGGTTTAGTTACTATTTTATTTCCATTGGATATTCTAGTTCTTTATTGCTAACACATAGAAAAAGTAGATTGAAATACACATTAATTCTCCAAATATTTATTAAGTATCCTCCAGGGCCTGGCGCGGTGGCTCACACCTGTAATCCCAGCACTTTGGGAGGCCAAGGCAGGCAGATCACGAGCTCAGGAGTTCGAGACCAGCCTGGCCAACATGGTGAAACCCTGTCTCTACTAAAAATACAAAAAGTTAGCCAGGCATGGTGGCGTGTGCCACCATGTAATCCCAGCTACTGGTGAGGCTGAGGCAAGAGAATCACTGGAACCTGGGAGGCGGAGGTTGCAGTGAGTCGAGATCATGCCATTGCACTCCAGCCTGGGCGACAGAGCAAGACTCCGTCTCGAGAAAACAAAACAAAACAAATAATATCCTTCAGGGTTTTTTTTCCCATTTCTTCCTCCAGTCTAGCTCTGGTGATATTGGGAAGTACCAAGGTGAAGAAACAAAGGCTAGAATCAGAAATATGTTATTTCCTCTCAAGGTTGATATGTTTGATCGCCAAAGTCAAATATAAATACAGTACATTTTCAGTGCTGTATTGTTCATACTAAACTTCTGTATGGCCAGTTTGGATACACTGAAGAATTGACTGCATTGAATATGGAAATAATTATTGCTATTAGAATCTTTGAATACTGGCTTATACTAAATGTGTATATTACTGCGTTTGACCATCTACTTTGTAAATAGCCATATTATCTAAATGTTAAAAAGGAAGTTTGTTTTGAGACAATTTGGAGAGTTCAGGATACCCAAAAGGAGGATATAGCGTGGTGGATTCCAACCATTGCTAAGAGAGGAAATCGCTAAATGTTGCATAAACTACTAGAAATTTTAGATGTGATACCTTGAACAAGAGATATTAATGGGTAGAACTCTAGGTGGGAGATAGCAGCTGAAGCTGCTATGAGGCTAAAAGAATATCACCTCTCCTTTGAACAAATTATCCGGGGACTCATCAGTTCATTGGGTAACTAAGTCCTTTTATTAATACTCAAAAGAATATTGTGATAATCTCTAGGATTTTTAGATTAAAATTCTCCCCAAAGGTCTCCACATGGAGATTTTCTTTTAGGGGTGAAGCTGTGTCCAGGTCTAGGAAGCAGTCACACAACTATACATTTATTTATATATTTCCATTCTTTCAAATGTCAGCAGAGCGCCTATAATTTATGCTTAGACAAGTTTAAAGTGAATATTGGTGTTCTGAACATTGTTGAACCTTTCCTTTTCTCTATTCATTGTAACTAGGATGGTATCCCCTCAAGCATTACTGGCCTTGTTCCACTATGTCAAATGTATGCAGCAGAGAAAGGGGATACACCAGCAGCTGGAGTGGCTGAGCGGAAGGAAGGACACTAGAACATATTAATCCCATTTTAAGCAACAGGCACTGTGTTAAGTGATTTCAGATACAATACCACATTTAATCCTCATAACAAGCTTGCAAGGAGAACATTGTCACGACTGTATTCATACATGAAGAAACTGAGGCTCGGAGACATTAAGATTTGAGCCAGGATCTGTGTTCTTCCAAAGCCCATGGGTCAGAAATGCCAGCTGATTCTGGTTCCAGCTAGAACTACCAGACATCTTAGGCCAGGTCTCAGGAATCCTTGAGGCAAAAATCTGCATAACATTGAGGCCAAAGATGAGCCTAATGGAGTTGGACCTACCCATTTAGTGGTAGACTTCTTTATTGGCAAAATATTCTGTCAAGATCTCCCCTGATGGACAAGTCAAAATTCTTTCCAACATAACAAAGACCTATTGTCATCATGGGAATGCTGCGATCTTGCTCTTTCAGCTCAAAAATCTACTTTCTGGAACCAGGTCATGGACTTGCAGGACTTTCCATCTACAATTTTGTTTAGGGAATTGAGATCAGATGAACAGGGCCGAGGAAGCTGTAGGCAGACAGAATTAGTGATAATTCTTTCCCACAATACTGCACTCCATTCTTCTAACATACCTCAAGTGCATGCCCTCGGCCAAAACAGATCTGGCAAGAGGAAGATTAACAATGATGACAAAAATAGTTCCTGACTTGATAAAACAAATATCAACTGGGACAAGAACAAGAACTGCCCATAAACCAACCTTGGGATCTAACATGTTCTTCATTAGGACAGGATTGCACCATCTTAAGTATGTCACCTCATGCTAACTCTGAAGTTAGACCTTAAACCACTGCCCTTGAACTTAGTCAATATTTGCAAACTGTGAAAAAAAGAGGATACAGATCAGCATGAGGGGTAAATGTAAGATATTCTGAAATAACTTTTTTTTTTTTCGTTTTTCTCTAAGCTCCTAAGTCTCTATTTGTTGATCTTTCAGAACCAACCTTTGGAGACTAGGTTACTTAGGCAGATGTTTCATGTAATATTGTGTGCATTGGGAGGGTGGGGTGGTGGTAAATTTTCATTGAATAAAACATGGCTTTGTCTGGGTCTGGGCTGCCTAATTTCCTCTCAAGATAAAGATGAGCTCATTTGAGCCTATCCGTCTCCAGATCAGTAAACACTCCGCATGGGTCAAATTCCAGTCCCAAACCCAGGGCTCCTGCACTTCGGGAGCACATCGATTTTCCCTTTCCTGAGGCTTCAGGGTGAGAGGTCAGGGCAGGTGTGGGCGTGGGTGGCCCAGATTTCCTCTGCCTTCCAGCTTTGCTTCTGTGCATGCTCTGCCCAAGGCTCAATTCCCAGAAGTGGGAGTGTTCATTCTCACTAAGCCCAAAGCACGTTTCAGCAGCAGCGTGCCTTCTTCACCATCTCCTTCCATTCTCCCATTTTGCCCTCTACTCAAACTCAGAGCGGGATTTTTGTGCCATCTGTTTTGCAAGTTAATTTCTTTTCTGATTACTTACCATGAACCCCCATCTTCCTAAATAAAGTTCTGCCTCTTTCCCCACTCTACTCCACTTTTCCCTTAACCATGGTAAGAACTGCAAACCCACGACCACACTGAGAACAGCACAATGCAGCATTACGACTTGTGTGTATTTGATGCCCTCCCTCCCATCTGTAACACACATACTTGTACACCCATTGGGAGCTTCCACCTTTTGAGAACAGGGCACATAGCTCACTCCTGTTCGTGTGTTCTGCTTGCCTCCTTTACCAGGTGCACAGTGTGGGTTGATTTGGGCTACTAAATTGAAGAAAAACAAGAAAAAAGGAATAAGGCACCAATGGTGGCATTTAAAATGCCAGTGACCACCCCGTAGGTGCACTCCTCAAGGTTAACAGTAATTTGTCCTATCCGACTTCTTCTTCCTCTACCCTCTACTAAGCACATGCTATTATACCAGGTACCTCCCACAGCACATCTCATTTATTACTCAGTTTGAGGGGTAGGTGTTATTTCATAAAAGAACAAACTATGACTCAAGAAGACTGACAAGTGAGCAAGTCATGGACTAGGCTTCAGACGCAGGTCTGTCTGACTCCATAGCCCAAGCCAGTAACTGTGCCACTGCTCCCTCCTGCCTTCTTCAGGTGGAGTCTCCAACAGCCGAGGCAAGCTGGTCAGTGCAGAGTGCCCATGGGCTAGCACAAACCAGACAAGGGGATGCATGCATCCAGGCCAGAATCTTGTTTCCTCTCTGACAGTGAAGGGTACATTCAGCCCCAAACCCTGCCCCACTGCTTCTCTGCTCTTGTCTCTTAATATGCTTCCTGCAAACAAAAGTTGTGCTTGCTTGCTAAAAAATTTCAAACACTTTGGAAATGCATAAAGTAAACATAAAAATTAACCCCTTACCTAAATGCTTCCTTGCCTATCTCCACTACTCAGAAATGACATTTATTTATTTATTTCTAAATTATTTTCTTTCATTTTAAGTTCTGAGATACTTGTGCAGTTACATAGGTAAACGTGTGCCATGGTGGTTTGCTGGACCTACCAACCCATCACCTAGGTATAAAGTCCAGCATGCATTAGCTATTTATCCTGATACTCTTCCTTCCCCAACACATCTCTGACAGGCCCCAGTGTGTGTGTTTCCCTCTCTGTGCCCATGTGTTCTCATTGTTGAACTCTCATAAGTGAGAACTTATAAGTGAGAACATGCAGTGTTTGGTTTTCTGTTCCCACATTAGTTTGCTGAGGATAATGGCTTCCAGCTCCATCCATGTCCATACAAAGGGCATGTTCTCAGTCCTTTTTATGGCCGCATAGTATTCCATGGTGTATATGTACCACATTGTCTTTATCCAGTCTGTCATTGATGGGCATTTGGGTTGATTCCACGTCTTTGCTATTGTGAATAGTGCTGCAATGAACATACATGTGCAAGTATCTTCATAATAGAATGATTTACATTCCTTTGGGACTATACCTAGTAATGGGATTGCTGGGTCAAATGGTATTTCTGGGTCCTTGAGGGATTGCCACACTGTCTTCCACAATGGTTGAACTAATTTACGTTCCCATCAACAGTGTAAAAGTGTTCTTATTTCTCCACAGCCTCATCAGCATCTGTTGTTTCTTGAAATTTAAAAATCTCCATTCTGACTGGCATGAGATGGTATCTCATTGTGGTTTTGATTTGCATATCCCTAATGATTGGTGATGTGGAGCATTTTTTTATATGTTTGTTGGCCGCATAAATGTCCTCTTTTGAGAAGTGCCTGTTCATGTCGTTTGCCCACTTTATAATGGGGTTGATTGTTTTTTTCTTGTAAATTTGTTTAAGTTCTTTGTAGATTCTGGATATTAGACCTTTTTCAGATGGATAGATTGCAAAAATTTTCTCCCATTCTATAGGTCATTTGTTTACTGTGATGACAGTTTCTTTTGCTGTACAGAAGCTCTTTAAATTAGATCCTATTTGTCAATTTTTGCTTTTGTTGCAATTACTTTCAATGTTTTTGTCATGAAATCTTTTCCCATGCCTATGTCCTGAATGGTATTGCCTAGATTTTCTTCTAGGGTGTTTATAGTCTTAGGTTTTACATTTAAGTCTTTAATCCATCTTGAGTTAATTTTTGTATAAGGTGTAAGGAAGGGGTCCAGTTTCAATCTTCTGCATATGGCTAGCCAGTTCTCCCAGCACCATTTATTAAACAGGAAATCCTTTCCCCCTTGCTTGTTTTTGTCAGATTTGTCAAAGATCAGATGATTGTAGATGTACAGTCTTATTTCTAAATTCTCTATTCTGTTCCATTGGTCTGTGTGTCTGTTTTTTGTACCAGTGCCATGCTGTTTTAGTTACTGTAGCCTTGTAGTATAGTTTGAAGTCAGGTAGTGTGATGCCTCCAGCTTTGGTCTTTTTGCTTATGATTGTCTTAGCTATATGGGCTCTTTTTTTGTTCCATATAAATTTTAAAGTAGTTTTTTCTAATTCTGTGAAAAATATCAATGGTAGTTTAATGAGAATAGCATTGACTCTATAAATTACTTTGGGCAGTATGGCCATTGCCATTTTCACAATATTGATTCTTCCTATCCATGAGCATGGAATGTTTTTCCATTTGTTTGTGTCCTCTCTGATTTCCTTGAGCAGTGGTTTGTAGTTCTCCTTGAAAATGTTCGTCACTTCCCTTGTTAACTGTATTCCTAGGTATCTTATTCTCTTTGTAGCAGTTGTGAATGGGAGTTCATTCATGATTTAGTTCTCTGCTTGTCGATTGTTGGTGTATAGGAATGCTTGTGAGTTTTGCACATTGATTCTGCATCCTGAGACTTTGCCAAAGTTGCTTATCAGCTTAAGAAGCTTTTGGGCTGAGACAATGGGGTTTTCTAGTTATAGGATCATGTAGAAATGACATTTATTATGATGTGGTGTGTTCTCACATATTGTGTGCGTGTGTGTGTGTGTGTGTGGGTGTGTGCGTGTGTGTGCTTTGTATATATACATGAAGATATATCACTTTTTTTTTTTGAGATGGAGTCTCACTCTGTCACCCAGGCTGGAGTGCAGTGGCATGATCTCAGCTCACTGCAACCTCTGTCTCCCAGGTTCAAGTGATTGTTGTTCCTCAGCCTCCTGAGTAGCTGGGATTACAGGCGTGCACCACCACACCTGGCTAATTGTTGTATTTTTAGCAGAGATGGGGTTTCACAATGTTGGCCAGGCTGGCCTTGAACTCCTGAACTCTGGTCATCCACCTGCCTTGGCCTCCCCAAAGTGCTGGGATTACAGGCATGAGCCACCATGCCCAGCTGATATATCAACTTAAAAAGCACAAACGTGGAGTTATGTTATCTAAAAATATTTCTGTATTTACTTTTCAAACTCCATAATATATTATGAATAACTTTTCACTTCACTGCATAGCTACAGCTCAATCTCAAACTTTTAGTAGATGTATAATATTCCACAAACCATGGAATCAAAATACAAATTTACACCTGAAAGCACAAATAAAGCTTTTTTTTATTTAAAGCAGGTATAATTTTTGTGTGGTTGTGGTGACATAACAGGGAAACAATTATTCTTAGGGTTAGTTCTACCCAATTTGAGTTCACCTTAAAGAGGCATAAAGTCACACAATTTATTTCAACAATTCACCTGCTGATGACATTTGGTTTGTCTACAATTTTCCATTACTACATATAATCCTGCAATGACTATTGCTGAACATGCAACATAAAATTTAGATGTATTAATGGAGGCCCACCCGCTTCAAATTCCAGTTACCTGTGACTCTTCCCCATTCAGTCATGGGCAAGCCCTGCTTCTAGAAGGGATGCATAAAGGAAATGCAGGGAACAAAGAATCAAGGTTTTGACCACTTAAATGTCTAAATAAGGTCTTAAAACTCAGTGTTGAGAAAATAGTCTTGAAAATCAAGGCTTTTAATTTGCTAGAGCATGGCTTTTTTGTGTGCATAATAAAAAGAGTGTTTTTAGTTTCAAAAGTTTTAGCACCAAAGAATCAAGGCATAAAGCTTAAGCCAGGGGTGTCCAATATTTTGGCTTCCCTGGGCCACATTGGAAGAAAAAAAATTGTCCTGGGACACACATAAAACACACTAATACTTATGATAGCTAATGAGCTGAAAAAAATTAAAATATTAAAAATAAAGAGACACATTTCATATATTATTTCTGTCAAAGAGTCCTCCTGTTGCATATAATGGCAACTCTTACAAGCTTTATCAAATTGATTGGGGTCAGCACTGCCCAACTCAAAACTTACCCTACTTATCCTTTCCTTTTAGAATGTAAACAAATAGGTTTTAATTTTAATTCAATATTTCACAAAGTAAAAATATCATGATTCCCTTTATGTAGAATGAATGGCCTATCTTTATTGGCATTACTTTGCTGGATTTGTTTTTTTTATTCTTCTTTATTTAAGTTAACTGAGGGAAGTCCTTAAAATTGCACAAGATGAATCTGGCTTTTTCCAAAAACTCAGAGTTCCAAAAAAGATTTGTTCAAGTAAGTCAGGGCCTCTGAGTCAGGCAACCTTGCACACGAAAATGGCTGAAAGAGCAAAGGCTATTTTGCCCTAGTAAAATAAAAAATTAGAAGACAGTAGCCCATAGTGATTGCCCAGTAGCAGATAGCTGACAGCCCAGAAAAGAAATATTTGCTTTCACCATTATTAGAAGTTAGAAAAAGCAAATCAATCTATCAAGAAACTTTCTCCTGCATTTCACTTAGAAGCAAGTCCAGATTCTTCTTCAAATCAGCTTGGTACAAGTAATGAGCCCTATTTGTAGTATAATATTATTTTTACTATATGTACTGCTGGACTGGATTTGATTATGTTTTGTACTTACATTAATACATATGGACTTTATAAAGAAATTGAGTTATATATAAACACTGTACATATGTGTATAAATACTGTATATATGTGTAATATGTATACTATTTATACAATATAACTTATTTTTGAATAGTTGATAGAATTCACCCATAAAACTCTGAAGGCCAGGTGCCTTTGGGGAGAGGAGAGGAGTTTTGATCTGATGTTTGTTCTGTTTTTAGAACAACTTTAAAATTTTCTTCTGTGGCCTTGATTGTCTTGAAGGTTTTTGCTTCTGGAGTAAATGTTGATACCTGTATTTTGCTTAGAAATGTATCCACTTTACTGAGATTTTTCACATACGTAACCACACTGTTGATTCTACAAATTCCTAGATGTTAAGTGAAGAAAAGACATCAATAATGCTCCATTGGTAACCTATGTGTTGTTCATGAATTTTTCTAGTTGTTCATGAATTTTTCTAGTTGTTCATGAATTTTTCTAGCAGGAGATACCTACACTCAGATGCCCAGGCTCATATTATGCTTGGACACCTGCACATCTACCTTCCTTTGTGCCAGACTTCAAGACTTGCTCAGTCTTACCGTCAGTTGCTGAGCCGTGAAGGGGAATTCAGGGAACACTTTTTTTTGTTTTCTGGTTACTAAAGATTTTTCAGTTGTGAATAATCGGAAGTATGACCATTGATTTGGGGAATTATTTCCCAACAGGTCAAGGGTAACAACAATGACAAGAAATCCATAACTTCAATTTTCATGGTCTAGAGCTACTTATACCAAGGAATTTCCAATACCAGCAAAGCACAGAGTACTATTTGCACAAGCACTGGGGAAAACCCAGTGCTTTCTACACTGGCAGATTTATTTGCAGAGACACAGGCATTTTTTCCAGGGTGGCTGCCAAACTATCTCCTGAGCCTGTCTAGCTAGCACCTGGGAGACTCAGCAGGGGGCTTTGCAAATAATACCCTCCCCTTTGCCAGGATTGAGGCAGCCTAAGTGATTCTGTTTCAGTGTGTTATGGCACCTTAATCTTTCTGAGCTGTCCCACTCTTATTCTGGAGCCTAGGCAAGCATGGCTGGCGGAAGGTGTGGCCACAGCAGCTATAGGCCTGAGGCTGAACACAGGGGCCTGGGGAAATGGCAAGAGTGGGGCAGAAGTTTTTAGTTCCTGCTGCACTTCTGTGTTCTTCAAAATTTGAATGTCCTGGGAAGTTGGAATGGGTGTGGGTGTTTAAGCCCTTAGATCACAACTTAAAACAACATGGCAAAGTAACTAAAACCACTGACTGGAAGAGAAGAAAGAGAACAGAGATTCAGTACAAACCAGGTGCCAGGCTCTGTGCTGTTTCCATGGTGCAAAAATAGTCTCTTTTTTAAAGGTTTATTATCATTTTATGTGTTATTATCTATTTTAATTTTCCTGTTCATCCTTAAAAATCTCTTACCCTACCCAATGAGAGTATTGAGTTGTGTTGTTGAGCAGAGAACTCCTTTCTTTAAATGAAGGTTTGGTAGAATTACTTGTTAATTAATACTCCCATTCATACATAGAAATCTGTTTTATCTTACTCAAAAAGATCACTGTTTTAAGCAGAGAACTCTTTATATTAAATGAATATTTTATTATACCTCAATATAAAGATGAAGCTCCTTTTGTTGAGGTCCTAATCTGGTGGCCCCTGAGATAATAACCACATTTCTCTAGCGATCTGGGGAATAAAAGCCACTGAGTTAGGTTATCTCTGAAATATCTTCAGTGATAATAATTTTTCTTTGGAACCAGAAAAACAAACCAGGCTTTAGTGGAGAAGTGTGCCTCCTCCTGTGAGTTCTTATGAATGATTTTTGGGGAGATGTAGAAGGACTCTATGATCATGGGCAGGAAGCCAGTCCTGGGGACGGAGGGGAAGGAGGCCTGGGAGACAGAAATGGCTTGACAGACCATACAGCCTTTTTGCAAGATGCAGCCAGGAGTGATACCATTCAAAAAGCCTAGCCTGATGTTTGGTGGGGAAGGCCTCCAGTCCATAATTACTTGCATTCAGGTGACATCAGACCTAATACAGAAGCAGTAAAAATGTATTCTTGTACACTGCATATCTTTTTATGAATGTACCATTGGTAAGAGAAACATATCAAGTCAGTGATATCTTAATGTTAACTTTCGTAGACGGCTTGTTGCTGTGAACAGAGGGAGGGCTGGGGCAACCCAGGAGCACCAGATGCTTGACAAGAAGCAGAGACACTTACCCAAGAGAGAACCAGTCATAAACAGAGAGAGAAGGATCTAGAGTCACACTTGGCTATCTTCAGAATTTTGCCCTTGTCACTTAAATTGCCTTCTCACGAGAAGCAAAAACATCCTAACACACCATTTTCTTGGCAGGTAGGAATCCTTGGCAGGTGAAAGTCAACATGGTGACCACACTGAATCTAGCAATCCTTTAGCTCTCATAATTATTTCAATTCTCCTGGGACACTGAAGCATTAAGTGACTTGCTTAGTTTTCTCCGGGTAGGCTGTGTAAAAAGTTTTAGAATTGAATGGATTGGAGACAGGTCTCCTAATACCCAAAGCAATACTCTCTTGATGACTTCTTTAGTTTCAAAAGCTACTATTTAGCTTTTTATCCCAATGTAAAGCCTCCCTCTACTACATGGTTATATCTTTGGTAAGGGAGTACAGCACAATTTATTTCTTCAGTAATCTTTAATAAATTTACTTAGTTATTATATCTGTTATTTTCTAAAATTGTATCTGCCATTTTCCTTTGTACACCCTTTTCTTATATTTTATGCCTTTTAAAATTCAGGAATGTCCATAGACCCCAGCATTTGGCAGTACATGACAAACATTTGATGTATTTCTATGACTTTTATTCAGGGGCATCTGTGTCTCACCTCTGCATGTATTAAATTAATTGTAAATATGTACTGATTTTTAGCCTTGCTTTTGAAGAAAAACGTTAATTTTTAAAAATTAATGGAGATAAAAATGAATAAAACCAATCTTTTCTTTATTATGAGGTTGAGAAGCTTATACATTCAACTCTAAAGTGGGCACTGGTCACACTGAGATGCATGTGGAACAGGGTTTATGATGACGGCTCAGATCAGTGTTGAAGGTGGTGCATTTTATTCTAGACTAATGACGCCAGATGATTTAGAGTCACAAAAGTAGGGCTTGAAGGTATGTTTTTAATAAACCTCCTACCTGCTGTAACCTGTTAGTGATTTGGTGGCTATGGAAATTATCCAATCTGGCATAAAGCAGATAACTGTTAAGTACAAGAAGATGGAGGAGTCACTACATTCCTGCAAATGTCTTTTCTCTTCCAAGAAGAGACAGTGGAAGGAGGGAATTTTTTTTTTTCCGATCAGGGAATAACTATTTTGGCATAGAGGGATTTAAGTATGCACTTTTGCACAATTTAGTTAGGAAGACTAGAATTTAAATATGTGGCATTGATAGAAAAAAGAGCTGAAAGTGGAAAAATGCTATCATCCTTTAACAAAGTTTTAATATTGCATTGACTCCAGGCACCCTTGTGTCAACAGGGTCAAAATATAAAGTTTTCATCATTAAGGGGAAAGCAAAAGAAGAAATCAGAGATGATGAAGACTCAGTCTGCAACAGCATGTACAGACACAAGTGAGGTACAGCTGCAGTGAATGGTGGATAATAGAGTCAATCTCAAATAGCAGGTGATTTCTGCTAGTTTCTCTTGTTCTTAATTTAAGAATAAAGGAGATATCATTTTAAAACAAAGTGAAATAGATAAAAAGAAATTTTCAATAGCCATAAAACTAATGCTCTTAGTATGGAACATGCTGCCAGCCATGTCAAGAGAAACATTTTAGAAAGGTTTTGAAAATTTACAATAGTACTTCTTAGTTCTGAGTTCATCCAGAAGTAAGAACAGTGCAAGCCCCAAATCCCCATATTTTAAGTAATATATTTGCCATTCTGTGACTTTTGGGAACATCTTTCCTTGTTCTTAGAATCATTCAACATTAACAATTGTTGAATTAAGAGTAAAATATTACTTTGAGCTAAAGCTTTTTTTTTTTTTTTTAAGTTTCAGGGCTAAATAAAGTTAAGCCTGAAAGATGTTTCAGAGAGAGAAATCCAAGCAATTATTCCAAGCATCTAAAGTAAAAGAGGTTGTTTCTAGGAGCTGCACGTTAGGCTAACAGAATGAAGAATTGTAGTGAAAGAAAATCTCCATACTTGACATTACTGGCACAACTAGCCTACTGTCCTACAATTGGATACAGGTCCAAAAATTAAAAGTCACTCTTTCTTTAAGAAAATCAAACGGCACTGAGCTTGTAATGTATATTTTATTTTGCACAAGCTTGCATATATACTGCACATACATTCAGTTTAAGAGGAGATGGAAGGCACACAAGGCAATTGGACTACTGTATCCTTTAAGTGGTACAAAGCAAAAGGTAAAAGTTTGGAGAGTATACAAAAGCTTAAAACACACAAAGTAAAACCCCTTTCCCACCCTCCCCACAACAACTTTTTTTTTTCCTGTTTTAAAATTTAGTAGCTGCCAAACTAATTTTTTTAACTTTTCCTTTAAAATCAATTGTCTACTGCACCTTTTTATTTTCTTTTTAATATGGACAGGGAGTCTCATTGTGTTTATCATATCAATTAATATTACAGTACATCCTTGGTAATACAAAATTGTACACCTTCATCAAATAAATTAGGATAAATTAAACCAATAAATTATGCAAAGTCTTCAGAACAATAGACAACAACAAAAATTCACAATTGAAATTGCCTCTAGCTAAAAAAAACAAACAAAAATCAAAAATTGACTTTATCAGTTCAGTTATTGTACTATATTCAAATCAAAGGGTCTTTATTACAAAAAAGAGCTTAATAATGCTATTTACAACATATTGCTAAATAATATAAAGGCAGTGTTTTGTCACGGTTTATACTATATACATATGAGAAATGGCTGGGACAATATTGAGGGAAGCCATGACCTTTGATTCTTCTAGGTAGCGCTGAGACCAATCCCAAATACATTTTTTTCTTAGTTCTAAATTTGAAGTCGTAATATACAATTTTAAAATATTTTCTCCCCATTTTTAGGGGAATTGAATATTTAAAAAAATACAGAATGAATACGTTTTCACAAAAGAAGGTAAGCTTGTTTGCCTTTTCTGCTTATGTTTGTGCATTCTGAGGGGGTGTCAGATTTGAGAGAAGGCTCAGTTGAAAAGACTCAAAGTCCAGACACTTCCACATTCTGTTATATTCTTAGAAGGATAATTATAAGAAGATGCAAAGGTTAAATACCAGTTTTGATCCCAGCTCTGAATATGAGCATTTTAGCTTTAGTTTTATAGATGGTTTACAACCAACAGATCTACAGAAAACAAAACTGCATTTCCTTCAACATAACATTTAAGTGCAATACGGTAACTGCTTACTCATATAAACCAGTTACATTTTTTAAGGGGAGCTTTTTGAAAACAATGCTTCTTGTAAATTTGCAAACACAGAGTTTGTACCAGAAGGAAACATTTGTACTATTCACACCAATGAATACGCTATAATATACATGGCAAAGAGATTTTTGCACTGTCTTCACATATACACTGCTTCTTTCAGGGGAGTCTGTAAACTACTCTTTCTTTCATAAATTTATGATTGTTCCTGGAGGACATCCTATTTTTTAAAGTCCCCAAATCATTAGCTTTATGACAGTGTGTGTGTTTGTGTGTGTGTGTGTGTGTGTGTGTGTGTGTATGCGCACATGTGCGCATGGGAAGGGGGGGTGTTACTTACTAAATGTCTTCATGTACATAGAAAAAGAAATTTCATAAATTTACAGAAACTGCATTACCCTTGCCCTTGACATCTGATAAAAGAGATTGTTAACTTTTAAAAGGAGAGAGCAGGATTTTCAAGAATGCTTTCAACTGTCTATACAGTCACTGTAGTGTTCCTAGTAAATTCAACAGATGTCGTGAGAATGTAGTTATTTATTAAAATCTCATGTCTTACATAATGACAGCCATGAGGTTAAATATTTACATTGCTTTATAAAAGTTCCCCTCTTGCTTTAGTGTTTCTGTTTTGCTTTTTTTTTGTTGTTTTAAATTTTTTTAAATGATATTCACCCACATCCCTAGTACAGTGACAAAGATTCTGCAAACATAAAACACTTCTTTAATTAAATAATACTCGGAGGCACAAAGCAAACTTCAGGAATATGTGGGTGAACGTTTACTTAAATAATTACTACATTCTAACATCTTCCATGTGTTTTACCATTTAATGTGAAACGTCCTCATTAAACAGCCAGAGATACAGTAAGAATTAAATGTTTTGTTGCAAATAGAACATTCTTTTCACAAAACATAACAAATGTCTAAAATAGGTTCTTAAATCTAGATAGGAAAAGGTAAGCTTTCCACTTCACACGCATATATATATATGTATATTTTTACATGTGTGTATATGTGTGTATGTGATTTTATGTTCACACATCTGCGCACACATATATAGCACATGGTATGAAATATTGCTTCTATACTACTTTTCATTAGGCTAAGAAAACACAAGATTTGCACCACAGTTACAAAAAATTGGCTTCTACAAGAATTTTCAAAACTCGAATGCTGCTCAAACAATTGAGGAAAAAATAATTTGCGGTATCAAACTGTTCTAAAAATTCTCTTCTTCAAAAACGTATTCTCCCGCTTTGTTTTAAAAAGACACAAAATATGCATAGCTATCAACGTTATGTCAAACAGCCAGAAAAAAAATCTAGTGTTTATTGCAGCTGTAGTAATTGGAAATAAAGTCAAAAAGATGAAATCGAAAGCCACAGAAGGCACAAGAACAATTGTACTTGTTGGGAAAAAACTGGTATTTTGAAGGATTTTTTAAAATCCCCCCCGCTGGTGCATTTTAGGTCTAGGCACAGACTATAACCTCAAGCGTATACGCAAAAATAATTTAGGGTTAGCAGAAAATAAGTGGTAGTGTGGTTTTTCAACATGGACTTTAGACTTTTTTTTTTCTTTTCCTATGTAAACTGTCCCTCATCCTTCACCATCCCACCATAGAAAGTTAACTTTCTCCCAAGTAGCCAATTTTCACTTGGTGAGAGTTGAGCTAAGATTTGAAAGATGGTGATTAAAAAAAAAAAATCAAACTGTTAAATAGGAATTTGGAGAGACAGGCTTTTGTCATTTTCCAATGCACTTGGGAGGCACAAGATTTCGATTGTAAAAGGGAAAACCACCGGAAAGCATAGTGATAAAGTTCTATTTTCAGAACAAAGAGGTGAGTTTATCCTCATGCTGCAATTTCTACTCTGAAATAATTTCTATGCCTCAGTGAACATTGAGAGGATATTATCAGTAGATAAGGGCATCAACATTTGGTTGTGAACACACACTTTTGCTTAATTTGTCTATTTAAATTAGAAAGGGAGGGGAAAATAATACTAAAAAAATCCAAATAAGTCTGGAATCAATATTGAACTCGCCCCAGATCAAAAAGATATCTAGCAATCTGTCTACATAGGTGAATACACTACAGCTTTGCCTTTTACCTTGCAAATGGCAACACAAAGTTGATATGAATTACACGGAACAGCAAAAACCCAGTGGCACACTGACACGAACAAGGACTGCCATCCTCTTTTAAAACAAAGCCAGTCAGAAAACTGTGACTACAAGTTGGGATTACTTCCCTATTTTGTGCTGATGGAATTTTTCCTTCCCACTTTATTCCAATGTCATGATTATCCAAACTGCTTTTTTTTAAAGCAAGTGAGAAAAATAACAAATTGGATCTAATGACTCTGTGCATTAGTAGAGTGTGAGCTGGGAGATGTGTGAGGCCGCGGGTGCAGAGTGAGGTGGCTGGTGCCCCCGCCCGTGTGGCTGCACCCTCTGTCTACACTGCGAGGCCCTGTTAGTCCCCTGGATGGTGCAGGGCATCATAGGACTGCACCATTTAATTTAAAGTCAGCAGGTTTTAAGGCTTTGTGCTGACAATAATTGAGTTCATACATTCCTGTCCATCAGCAGAATTTATAAATGACGTTAAATTACAGCGATCGGGTCAGCTAGTCAGTCACATGGGTCAAGACCTGTATTCTCCAAAGTCAAATGTAATTCTTATTAAAGTTGAATTAAAAAATGGCATTTATGTTCTATATGTTCTAAATACCAGATTTGTTACTGTGTCATTTTAGGAGGTGTATATCAAATTACCTAAGGGGAAGGAAGGGTCTGGAAAACAGTTTTAGGATGAACAATGAATTCTTACTGCATCTGGACACAAAAACCCACCTAAGAAAAAAAGTGTGAATGCCATACGAGTTTTTTCAATGCAAGTAGGGAACACTGTACATCATTGAAAAACAGGGAAAAATAAAAGGGAAAAAAGAGGAGAACCATGGAAGAAAGCATAAAATAGCAGCTAGCTTTCTTATGTGTGCTGGAATTGTGTCTTTTGGGTTAACCCCAAATTTTCCTATGCTATACACTCTTCTCACATTTTGGTCAATACTAGCTTCTGAATTGGAAGAGGCATTATCAATTGCTTTAAAATGTTATACCTAAAATGAAGAAACACTGAGTTAGACTGTCACCACTTTGCATACCCATCAGGATAGTGTGGAATTGCTTGTGAAAATATATGTGTTCCTCTTAGGAGATGACGATCAAGTCAGCTAATGGCTGTCAACAAACTTCTAGTGTAGGCAAGAATTTTATGGCCAAGTTGGGCTTTCCTTTATTCCTTACTGGAAGGAAGTATTCAGAAAATAGTATTTTAGGGGAAAAAATTGTTAAGTAAACAGAATCCTTTTAAGCATATAAACAAAGTTGAGCAGCGTAAATTGGAAACTTAGTGCCTTTTAGTATCTGAAGCAAAAATGATAACAAGTTATAGGATTTTTCTTTATGAAGAATGATGTAAGCTCACTTATGAAGAAGAACCTATTTTCAAGTTTAGAGAGGTGGCTACAAGACCAGGTATGAATTTCTAGTCTCATCTTGAGAGAGCTGGTTTTGTGCAAAATTGCTTTGCCTCCAGAAGAAACTGGTACGACTTTCAGAGTTTGCCTCTTTTCTTAGACAAGGCTTGAGAGTGATTATTTTTCTTTTTTAATTTGGCCTTTTGGGGTACTTTGGAAAAGTGAGCTGCTCATCTGTCATTGGAATTATTTTTAAACATGTAAGGAAAAGCTACTGATTGAGTTCAAACCAAACAAAATACTTAAATGTATGAAGTGGTTTCATTAAATTTTCAGACCTTCTTAGCAGTAGAAACAAGAGACACATCACTGTCTGTAGAGTTGTGCTGTGTCATGGGTTTTCCTCAGCCAACCGCCATTTGCAATAAGTCATCAATCAAGTGGATGCATCGTTAACAAATTCCCTTCATTGCTAATAGAGACTTTACACACGCCAACATTCTTTTTCCCTGAAAATTAACCCTATTTTAAGTGTCCAAATGTTAAGGGCCTTGGGCAAAAGCAAACTAAAGGCAGAAAGAAAACAACCATCCCCTTGCAATGGAAAACAAAAGAAAATGAGAGAAACGTGATGAGGAGGAATTACCAGCTGATTTCATAACATATCCATGCCTCCCATACACATATATATGAAATCAAAATCTAGACACATATAACTTGGACATCCAAAGGGGACTGCTACTCTTCATACATTCAAAAAGAGTTGTTGAAATTTCTACTCATGAAGCAGCTCTTGTAGGCAGTTCGGGGATTTGAAAATCTCAGGGACTTCACTATCCAGCTTGCAGATGACCTTGTATATGGCCTTCTTCCAGGAAGGATCAACATCTTTGCCTGCGATAATGGCATTGAAAAACTCCCGTAATGTGATCTGAGCAACTTCCAGGAATCTCTCTGGAACCTGCTGATACAAGGAGACAATGGCATTAATAAAGTTTTCAGTTTCAAGTCTACAGTTATTCCAAGGAAACTGAGCTAAGATCATTCTTGCAGAAAGGGGCTTACATGGCACCTGCATTTTCTAAAAATAGCTGGCTTCTATTCTTTTAATGTAAAGTCATTATATATAGAAGCATTGTGATGTGGGGTTGACAGCTTTGTTTTAAGAAGAGTGTATGAAAGATCCAACGCAGACCTATTGAAAAACTGGGATTTCATTGTGGATATTAGGATAGGAATATGGGATGTGACTTTTGGGATTCCTCACTTTATTAAATAAGTGCTATCCAGAAGAAAGTCTCCAATTATTTTTTCAGAATTTGAATCCTATTTCTTTTTGATTGCCATGATGAAAACAAAATACGTTCTCAAAATAGAATAACAAATAGTTGGGCTTCTTTATAAATTAAACCCAAGCTTTAAATGAAGAAAATCTTCTAAAATCTCAGTTATCTGTTTGTCTCAGAGGATTGTTGACTCAGATGCTAAGTTGTATATTAATCTGCAATATAAAGTATTCTATATACATAAAGGAGTAAAATAATAATATTAACATGAAGTCACAAAACTGATCCTAAAATATTACATCAGAAACTACTTAACCTTGAGATTAGAATTGCTCCATAAGAGAGTGATTTATTCAGCTGATAATAATAATAATACAAACTAACTTTTTTCGAGTATTTACTACTTGCCAGGCTATGTTTTATGTACTGAATGTGAATTATGTCATTCAGTTCTCCCAATCTCTCTAAGGGGTGTTATTATCCCAGTTACACAATAGAAAACTGAGGCTCAGAGAGGGTAAGGAAATTCCTCAAGGTCCTTATCATCCAAAATAAACATTCCCCAAATATTCATTTTAGAACCCCAATTTCTTAAGGCTTTTCTTCCACAGCAATTAATATGTATGTGTGTTGTGTGTGTGTGTGTGTTCTCTTAATTACTTATTAATCTGATCTCTTGACTAAGGAAAGCAGTAGCTACTGATGTACTTATTTAGTGTTCTTTGGAAGTTACTTATAGTACAGCATGGTCTATCTATCCCCACACCAACATAATGGAATCACAGAATAATCCATGAACTCATGATTTTCCAAGTACACATTGACACTTAGTAGATTTCTTTTAGTGGGGTACTTATACACCAGTAAAGTTTCATTTTTACATTAAGTGCAGACGTATGAGGACATAAACGTATCATAGGTGTACATGTAGCCATATTTATCTACGCATATACAAGAGATGAAAGACATTTCATCTAAGTTCAGACATGCCACGTACCAAAGTAAAAAGGAAGTAGTGTAATGTTGAACATGTTTCATCTCTTTCTTCCCACCTTGGGTGCAATGTACTTTTTAACAATAGTAGTAACTGGTAAAGAAAACCAGAATCATCACCCGACATCACTGTTTTTCACGTTTAAAATTGGACAAAGAAGTTCATTGTTCCCTATGGCAAGTTAATTGTTGTTTATAAAGAAATGTAATAACTCTGCAGAAAAAAATGAAAGGGACTCCTTTTGGGGCCAATCAGTCTTAAGCTTACATTTTTATCAGACCCTCCTAAAGACTTTCACACTGGCCCATTTCTTAGGACATAATTCCCAGTGTTGCCTGGAAAATCCTTCAAAGTGCCGCCTTGTCCGCCATGAATGTGCAAACCCATACACCTCAAGGGCCATTCTCTGCTGAGAATTCATGTGGATTTTCTACAGGCCTTTGGGTGATTTCCTCCCAAATGTCTTGTATACATGAGTATTTGTTGGAGGAGAGCTTAGCCCTCCCACTCACATTATACAAATAAAAATTCGTGAAGCAATCTTTTCTAGCACAGTCACCTCCACCCCCAAAGATAATCCTCCACATTCTATCAAATGAGCATCACTGAGGGAGGGAATGTGGCTGGAGAACAGTGAAGCGGAGCAACTGCCCACTCTCACTCCTTGGATTGGGAGCTGTTAGCCAAATGCTACAGAAACATAATCATAGGCATTTATTAATTTATTTATTTGAGATGGAGTTTTGCTCTGTCACCCAGGCTGGAGTGCAGTGGCATGATCCTGGCTCACTGCAACCTCTGCCTCCTGGGTTCATGAGACTCTCCTGCCTTAGCCTCCTGAGTAGCTGAGATTACAGGCAAGTGCCATCACGCCTGGCTAACTTTTGTATTTTCAGTAGAGATGGGGTTTCACCATGTTGGCCAGGCTGGTCTCCAACTCCCAACCTCAGGTGATCTGCCCGTCTTGGCCTCCCAAAGTGCTGAGATTACAGGTGTGAGCCACTGCACCTGGCCAATTATAGGCATTTATTAAAATAAACGTTTCAAGAAGGGTGGTTTCATCAGCCAACGGCAATACAGCCTCAGTGAAATTCTATGTTCCTTGAGCACTCAGGGATGCAGCATGACATGGCAGAGAGCTTTGAGGGGTGAAGGTGTGGGCAGCTGCCCCAGAGAAGCCAGAGAAGGCCGGAAGCCCTGCCCACACCAAGAACTGCACAGGAGGTCTGGGGAACCAGGGACAGGGGAAGGGCAGGCATTGTTCAAGACTGTCAGAGGAGAGAGAAGAGGTACATCTAGAACATCAGCAGCAGGGGAGGGAGGGAAGTGTAGTTGTAGGATTTGCATGAGAACAAGGCAACTTCTTTGGGGGTTGTATGCAGTCTCCTCTTCATCATTTTTATAGTTCGTCATGCTTGTTAATGGTTTTTAGTGGGTTTTAATCTGTTTTAAATATTCCTTTCTTGTGGTGGCAATCATAGGTTATCCTTTATCACCTTTTGCATTTGTGTCTTGATGCTGTTTAACTTTTTATCTACTTTTATGTACTTTCAATTACCTCATCATAAGGTGTCTCTAGATAAGGAGCCTCAGCAGAGTATCTTTTGCAAAGTTATTTGGTAAATAGCTCATAGTGAGATCTTGCCTTCTGCTTTACTCCATATTGCTCTAGAGTGGCAGTTACTTAATACTTTAACAATACTTAATAAAGGGAAGCTTCAGCCTGAGCAACATGATGAAACCCCGTCTCTACCAAAAATGCAAAAAAATTAGCTGGGTGTGGTGGCACATGCCTGTGGTCCCAGCTACTGGGAGGTGGAGGTGAGAGGATGGCTTGAGCCCAGGTGGCGGAGGTTGCAGTGAGCTGAGGTTGCACCATTGCACTACAGCCTGGGTGACAGTGAGACCCCATCTCAAAAATAAAAAAAAAAAAAGAAGTTTAAAATAATGGTAAAGTAAGGTAGAATTCAAAGAGTTCGAATAGATCTCAGAAATCATCACTTTATAGATGAAGAAAGCATGAGATTGTATGAGATGAAGAAATGATGAGATGAAGAGATTACTGTGAGGTAAGGTGTCTTTGCATTAAACGATGCTGGCTCCCTTTTAATGCTTTTTCAGCAATTTCTACTATTTATATGAGGCACCAAAACCTTGAAAAGCTGTGCCTCTGTAATCTTGAAAAACCACAGAGAATCTAGTAACTTCAAAATAAATGGAAATGGTATAAAAGATGCCCTGGAGGAGACTTTGGTTATTGGTTTATATTTGGGAAGAAATGAATTCTTTGTGAACAAATAAAATGATTAGTTAATATAGTGCTTACTTTGAGGTGATACTCATGCAATGGACTGGACTGGACAAAAGAAAGTTGTAATGAGATACTGAACTACTGGAGCAACTCATGTGTTTGGTGGCTCCCAGAGGTACACTTTTGGGTAGCAACTGATCTTCTGAGAGGGTTCCAGTGAATTTCATCCACACATAGAAACATCACCCATGGAAAAAGAGACCTTTACCTCTGCTTGAAAACACCCAGCTCCATTTAACAGAATAATAGGGGGTACTTTCTGATGTTTTGTGGGAGCATCTTAGAAACCAGTCTTATCAGAATGATGTTGTCCATATTTTTCTGCACCTCTTCACACCTAATGGCTTTCCCATCACCAATAAACATCTGCAGAAAATCCCTTAGTGACAAGTAATCCCTTATCTAGGTTTCTTTTAATAGAACCCAACAATCTGCAGAATGAACCCTAGAGTATCTCCTCAGCATCAGGTGGTAACAGTCAATCAAGTCACTGGAATGCAAGACAATGCAGGCGGCTGGGGAGGGCGGGCGGAGGAGGGGAGAAGGCCCTGCCTTTGGACATGCCACAGGGAAAAAACAAAAGGCTTCCAAAGTCTTTGGCTGGAACTCTGAGGCTATTGTGGGAGCTGCTTTGCCCAGCGTTCCTCAGGAGAGGAGAGTGGAAACTTTGTTTTGATAAAAAGGCATCCCAATATAGGAACGTCACCCCAGATGGTCTTGCCTTGATATTTGGAGAAGAATATAAAGTAATGAGGTACTTGAAGATATGCATAAATTTGAAGGGGGTTGGCTATCAGCTTCTACCAATTTCATCACAGACTTGAGTCTCCTCAGAGCAAACAAGAGCCTTCTGGGCTTCCATGAAATGCAGAAAATGAGAGGAGGTTTTCAAGTCTGCCCAGTCCACAGCTGGGTTGCGCGTGTGTGTGCGTGCGCGAATGCGCGCGCGCGCACACACACACACACACACACACACACACACACGGTGTGTTGGGTGGGTGGTTGTTTTGCTGTTCTTTTTTTTTTCCATCGGAATGAGTGGCAAAGACACATTTTTCTCCTGTCTTCCTCCTCTTCCCAGTTGCTTTACCTTCAAGGATGATTTGTTTTATTAAACTGACTGTCCCTAGCCTCTGCAGTACATAATAAAAGCCTGACATAGCAGGCTGCCTGCCTTCTGTGTCCTGCAGATACTCATCATAAGTGTCAGGACATACCAAGGTTAGCGGTCACTGGAAGTGTGCTCGCTGGCCCAAACCTTGCCAAACGCTCTTGGCAGCTGAATGAATGTCACAGAGAATAGAAGGGGAATTACAAAGGTTAAAAAGAAGACAGCCTCTCCTATTTTCTGGAGACAGAGAAGCTCATTTTTCACACCTCTGAACCGTCCGTAAGCTCATTCATCAGCCTCTTGCGGGGGACCTAAACCTTGCCCCTTGCTCAGTTCTCCATGGACACTCCTCCCTCCTCAATCCCCTTTAAAAATTGGCCCTCTGGCCTCATTTCATCACTGAAATGATCTTCACTGAAATGGACAGAAAACAAACCAGGCATCGACTTCTTTCCCTGGCCACCCACCCCCCAACCCGTAACCAAAGGCTCCAATGGCCTATCAAGCCTATCAATAGATTACAAACTTTTCAAGGGAAATCATCTTTATAGCTGATCTTTTAAGCTAATTTTTTTTTTCAAACTTGCTTCGATGGAGAAATGGAAAAGGACACGTGTACTGGCAGGCATGGCTAGCGAATGGGAAAGTACAATCCTGCCTAGTATTTTGGTGAATTAGTTTGTGTGTGGGTTTTCCTTCTTCTTCCTCCTCCATTTTTTTTTATACTATAAAAGGGCAATAAAATGCTGACTGTAAGAAGACAATGTCAAGGAGAAAAGGGTACTGGTATTTTGGATACTCTTCACTGCTCGCCTTGGAGAGAGAGTTATTCTTGTCACAAACCCTTTTGTCTGCATCTGCTGACTGCTTGCCTGTAGCCAGCAGCATACTTTAACTGTTTTGTCACCTCCTAACATCACATGCATCAGCTGTTGGGCTTTTGTTACGGGTATTGTAGAACTAATCCGCTGTGGCTGTTCTACTGTGCGGTAAATAAAACAGAAACGGGCTTCTCAGACTATTCTGCATGAATATTTCAGATGGCTTTTACAACTCCGATTCACAAAATCAAATAAATAAATAACTCCCCAGCCACCCCCCAGCCTCTCCCCACACCCAGAAACAAAACCCCTCGATCTAGCCCCAGATGCCTCCAAGTCAACTGCATTCAAGAGGCTGACTTGAGCCTTCAAGCAATTGTTTCAGGGAACTCGAAAGAACAGTGCTCTCTCAATTTTCACACCGTGGAATTCATATACAGTAGTAGAGTTAAATATATCTAATGCTGAAGCAGCTCTGAAAAATTGGAGAAAGTTACTTTTTGTCCCTGTGGGCCTTTAAAAATATATAGGTAATGCCATCAAAAATACATAGTGAAGAGCTGCCTTGTCAAACTGCTTTTATTGTTTCCATCCGTATTTTCTTCCCTTCCACTCATCTGAAAGGGGTCAAAGGTAGATGCTTGTGCATTTAGTTTATCCTAAGAGTCTCTTTTGTGCTCTATATAAGAGCACAAAAGAAGAACCAAACTTTGCTGGGTTAGAAAAACTGCATCTGCATCATTAGCTCCTTAACGGTATAATGATGTACCAATCATACATAGCGAGGTATTTTTCTAGATGACTTCGAAGTGTCTTTGGAGAAGTTAAAAAGAGAATGGGCATCTGCACACGTGTGTGCACACACACGTACACAAAAATCTTAGGGAAGGAGACAAATAGTTGAAGTACTTTCCCGAGCATTCATTCACCCTAGAGTGCACATGATTCCTCTAAACAAACTCTCCCATCCCTGCTGTTTGTTAAGTAAATATCGATCAAGGAGAGACTCATCTCCTGACAGCAGTGGCACAAGCTGGGGACTTACACTGCAGACAGAGTGGACTTAAATGGATAAACTCAGATGCTTTAGTAACTCCTCATAGAGATTATCAGATGAAAAGCCAAGAACAGATACGTTATTGCTGCTCCTCTTCACTGTCTCACTCACACTAAACTCTCCTGCCAGAGGCTGAAAAGAGGAATCATGGAGCTGTAAAATATGGTCACAAGATGTGGTTACTAAGGGTCTCCCTTTGCAGTCATGCATGCATTTATCCTGTGTGTACAGCCGGGGACTAACAGGCCCTCCAGAAGAGAAGGAATGGTGCAGGATGCTATACACAGTGAATCCTGAGATTCTATTCCAGTGCCCTCTCATTCCAGGGGAGGATCAAATGGAAAAGAAAACATGAATGCACTTTGGGAAGCATAAAATATCATCCAAATATAAGGTGGTTTACAAGTTTGAGATTTTAAAGAGGAGCCCTAATTCCTGGGAAGCATTCACTGTGATTAATAAATGTCTGCAAAGCATCGTTTTGAGAGGTGCTCTGAGGAGGTTCGCTTGGGTGAGTTTGTTGGCTGAGTCAACCGGTTGAGAAAAGTTGCTTTGTGTTCCCTAAGTTTTATTTTGGCCATTTCATAATTATGAGTCAAAATCCTGTTTTCTGCACTGTTCGTAGCTGAATGGATACGTGTACTTCTCTGGGAAGGTCAGTTTTAAAATCATCTTTAGAGATTAGGTTTTGTGTATTGAACACTGAGCACCGTGGTCAAAGGGCAAGATGTTATATTTAGAGTTCCCAAACAGCTAAATGGTGTTTGAATTTTATTAGGATGCTTGTGTTTGGAAAAACTAGCAGGATCCAGGAGCACTGGCTGTGAAGTTGCTTTCGGGTGCCTGCCGAGTTACCCCAAATGAGGCAGAGGAAGGTTCTCCAGCAACATCTGGGCTTAGGACTAAAGGCTTTCTCCCTCTGATGCTCCAGGTGGCATTCAGCTTTCAGGAACACTGAGGATTAGATTCGTCTAATACCCATGCAGTTTGGGCCCACTTTCTAGTTACATGTTTTGCTGTTTAAATATGTGAAAAGTAAATGCTTGTAGGAAGTGGCTATAGTTCAAGGCTGTCTTAAGAAAAAAAAAAACCTAAAAACTATGTTTCCTTGGTCTAAACAAAGGAACACATGGCAATAACAGTCTGTATCTCTTTTATATATATATATATATAAAGCTTCGAAAGAACAATGTTCTGTTGAGCAAAATTCAGTAGCATTCTGTAAACATTAATTTAAGGAAATCAATAGACTCAGTGAGCTAAAGCCATATTGCAAGATAAACTGGCCAGAGTGCCACTTTGTCAAATAGATTTTCGTTTTCTCGGCTAGATAAAGACAGTTTCAAAACGGGGCAGACGTGTTGCAACCAGGGTTTGAAAAGTATGTGGCCTTCAAACAGTCTGCTTGTTCCTACTACAAAGCTGGATAAACATACTTTAAAAATGATAAGCCTGGTTTAGAATTGACTTGGCTTTCAAATTTTACATATAGTAGATTTCTTGGTCATCTCACAGGAAAAGAATAAAACAAAGTACCATGCATTCAAAATAGAAAATGTACTTAGGTGAAAGGGGTTAAATTGTCTTGAGAGACAGAGCTTTGGGAGCAGTTTCGGTTGATGCTTGACTTTAAAAAAGAAGGGAAGAAAGAAATCTTTATTCATGCTGACCTGATGGGCAATCGGCCTTCTTGCCAAAATCCCGAAGCCAAACTCTCTAGTGAGTTTGAGATCAGAGGTTTCAGCTGGTGGAAGCTGCTCTCTTCTGTGCTCACCAGGCAATGTCATGTTAATGTGCGAGGGGGTGTGGGGGTTGGGGGAAGCAAACCCAGGGAAAGGCTAGAGAAGGAGCAGAAGTGATGAGCCACCCAATAGCCCCAAGGTTTTTGTCAGCCAGACGGAAAGAGTTGCAGGGATAATCCAAAAAGTGGCAACGGGAAAGCAGGTCTCTCCTCCTGTCACCTACATGGAGTTTGTGGCAGTACACTTCCAAGTCAGACCACTTGACATCCTCCAATGCCACACCAGCCCTTATAAATGCTGATAGCAAACAGATATGACATGGTGAAAATGGCCCCCTGGAGGAAATGTAATAAAAAGAATGAACAGTCACATGCAAACTGCCAAGGAGGGAGGTTGAGGATCTACCTTGAATTGACAGGGAAACTCCATGGAAAAGCATCACAGGAGCTGAATTTTGGTCTGCAGTGTACGGATCTGGGGGGCTGCTACCGGCCAAACCCCTCACACAGACTTCTCTGACCACAGCAATGAATGAAGGGCAGAGATACACCCTGAGTATCTTCTTTGTTTTTCTACCTGAATTTGAGTCTTTGTCTTTTAAGAGTATTTAGAAAATACAAAATTCACAATAAAATTTCTACAGCATTATGATGTTGATAACATATGTGTTGTTAAAATATTATATAATTATCAACAATGTTCTAGATTTGAGCATTTCGAATAATTGTGACTTTCAGGTAATAGAAAAGGATGTCTTAACATCTTCTATTCTACGTTTAATAAATTGTGCATACATTTTAAATTATGTAAGTATTCCATTGGCAATTCTGCATGTAGAGATCAAGGTAAGTAAAACCATCTCTTCCATAGCCCCAGTAGAAGATAGTACTAGCTTGCTAGGAGCAGAATGACAAATGTCTATGAGAGACTGTCAAAATTATTTCGTGGGGCTGAAATTTGGTCAGTGAACGTGCTTTAAGTGGCTAGTTTATTTGCTCACACATGGAGGTCTTGGTATTATACGTGTTAGGAAACATAATTGTCACATTATTGGTCGCGATGAAGCAAATTTTCCTTCTCTCCCAAACTCTGCATAGGTCTTAAAAAGTGATTCCAAGTTTAAACAAACAAACAAATATGCAAGCAAAATCAAGGAAAAAGCATCAAAAACTAAAACCTAATACCTCATTCTCTCCCCCTGAGATACTACACAGATACTGTTAAGATCTTAAAAACAACTGGAAGCACTGTGCAGAAATTGCTCATCTGGTAGGCTGTTCAGGTAAGAGCTGGACCAAGACTATTCCATCAAAGACTCATGGAATTGGCCGGGTGCGGTGGCTCACGCCTGTAATCCCAGCACTTTGGGAGGCTGAGGCGGGTGAATCATGAGGTCAGGAGTTCAATACCAACCTGGCCAAGATGGTGAAACCCCGTCTCTACTAGAAATACAAAAAAATTAGCCGGGCGTGGTGGCTGGCGCCCGCAATCCCAGCTATTCAGGAGGCTGAGGCAGAGAATTGCTTGAACCCAAGAGGCGGAGGTTGCAGTGAGCTGAGATCATGCCACTGCACTCCAGCCTGGGTGACAGAGTGAGACTCCATCTCAAAAAAAAAAAAAAAAAGGAATCACAGAATTTTGGAACTTCAGAACTAGAAGGAATCTCAGAGAGTTCATGTCCCACAGAAGAGAAAAAACCTTCAGCCGGTGGTCAGCAAAATTTGCCAGTAAAGGGCCAGGTAATAAATACATAGGCTCTGTGGGCCATATTTGGTCTAGGTTGGATATTCTCCTTATTTTTTACAACTGTTTAAAAATTTAAGTCATTCTTAGCTTGAAGCCATAAAAACAGATTGAGGGGCAGCTCTGCCCATAGGCCATACTTTGCCAGCCCCTGCTTTTAGCCAAACTTGAGGGCTAACAGCTTTTCTAGAGGCCTAATGGTCTTTCATTCTGCACTGATCCTGGGTCTTTCATTCTGCTCTATCTTGGAGGATAGTTCGATTGATTCACTTGAATTCGACCTGTAAGGCCAGACCATTCCCCCGATGGAGTTAAGGCTGCCTATGTCTACGGGAACAGAGTTAATAAACCACACACGTGGTGGTCAAGGACCAGGAAGACTTCAGTCTTACCCTGCTCTGATTAGGAACGTTTAATTGGGAGCTTTCCTGCCAGTACATATTTAAATGTGCTAAACAGAGGAATGTATCCCTGCTTCATGACACATCTGACAAATCAGCTCAATACTTAGGTGGAAAAATAAGCCCTGCAATCATATACCAGTCACTTTGTAGTGTTAACAAATTCCCCTTTAAGTCAGCCCCGTAAATTTGGTGCCATTGGTGTCTGAGTTCAAGACAAGCTGACAGCCCTTGAAGTTTAACTTTTGCTACAATTACTGGGTGAGGTGGTAAAAGAAGCAGGGCCAAGCTTGGTGCCATTCTTGGATGGGACATTATCCAAAAACAACATAGCACAAACACTCCAATATTGCATGAAGGGAAGCTGGGGCACAGATAATCCACAGTTACTCCTGTTTCGTTCGAGAATGTATTACGTGATTGTTTTCTGCCACAGCTTTACCTTCATAATTAAGCTTTGCCTAGGCTAATATTAAAACTAGTCTGTGTGCCCTGTATTGCTATTGATGGAGCAATGTGAGTAAGGAGCCTAGGGAGAAGCTGTTAGGAAGTGGGGTTCAGGCAGGTTGTGATGAGAAAGGGATTGCTCATAGTAAACACCAAAGAAAGCGCTTGTGATACAGATGGTAGGAAATCAGACAGAGCTTCAGAGAACACAAGTTCATGGGGGATGCTGGCACTCTGCTGGCAATAGCTTATGACACCCCAAATAATATCCGAGTTGCTTTAGGAAAGGATGGGGATTATTGGCCTCAATCCCATCCCTTGGTTTTGACTGCAAGATCTTTGTTCTGTCAGAGAAATTCTATTCTGTATTTCCAGGGAATTCTATTTGTCTTTCTCTGCAATCACCCTTTGCAAAACTAAGGATGGGCTGTATTTCAAATGCTACTTAAGAGCTTGTGAAGGGCTTTGGAATCCCTTTTTCAAGACAGGTAAATAGATTGCAAAGACAGGCAGATTGCAGAATGAACTCGGGGGCTTTTGGAAGTCCACTAGACTCCTACCCAATGGGACTTGAGGTAATGTTTAGGGTGGGACAACCTAGGATGCTGTCAATACCTAGGACTGGCCTTGTTGAAAGGCAGTTTCAGGTATCTACACAGATTATCTTGTACGCCTTCAGGTCACTGAAAATGATAAATCTTTAAAAGTGGATGCTCTAAATGAAAGGAAACACAGTGGCCTTGAAACCATGACCTTTCAGCTTCTTCTACATATGGTCAGCTTCCCATCATTTCTCTGTTTTCACCTCTACTCAAACCATCCCTCCCTGCCCAAGTATTTACTTGTTCTCAGGGAATACATTACCTTTTACTGAAAGTCACTTTTAGCACCATATTCTAATTTAAAATGTTAATGTAGCCTTAAGAAAACAGAACTTAGGTGCAATAGCCATAAGAAATATGAAGAATACATATCCAAATGGCTTGTATGAGGACTCAATACCTCCCAACCACAAACTCTCACACATACAAAACAATCTCAAGGGAAAAGACTTTCATGATCTATATTACTATCATTTGGGGAATATTTAAAGAAAAGGGTGGTGTTGCTTTTGCAAACACTACCAAGTAGGCTTAGTAGGGAAGGTAGTTATATCATCTAAAACTGCCAATTCTGGCTGGGCATAGTGATGCACACCTGTAATCCCAGCTACTTGGGAGGCTGAGGCAGGAGAATCGCTGGAGCCCGAGAGGTGGAGGTTGTGGTGAGCTGAAATCATGCCACTGTACTCCAGCTTAGGCAACAGTGCAACACTCTGTGTCTCAAAAAAATAAAAAAATAAAAGAATAAAAAAAAAAACATAGCCAATTCTGCTCTGAAAGAGAGGAGACGTACATTATATAGAAGTTAATGCATATTATAAATGCTGATAGTCTGTGTTGAGGCCTGCATGGAATGTGTGAGAAAACCCAATGGCATGAGGGCTTCACTGACAAATTTCCTCATTGTTTGGCCACCCTGGCCAAGGCAACAAATAAAGTGAGCAGCAAGTCTAATGATAGTGCCAATTCAGTCAATAAATTGTGTATGAATTTGAAAAATTAGTCTCTATAATCCCAGTAAGGGAATTGCCATGTCTCCAAGGGCACTGTTGAGATTCAGATCTGCAAATAGGGCCTTGGGAGAAAACGAAAATGGGCACCCTGGAGATTTTGACTGAGATAATTAAGCTGCAGCAGAGTCACCAGGGTAGAAGGGGCCTCACATGGAAGCCATCTGGATTCCCAGGGCCTCTATACTCACTGCTTAAAGCTTTGCAACATGACCAAGACTCAAAAGAGACTTTATTTAGAGAATGCAGAATACCCCTCTATTCTAGAGTCACAAAATTTCAGAGCTAGAATGAAACTGCCCCTCTACTCTAGAGTCACAAAATTTCAGAGCTAGAATGAAACTCTTGAATTTAATCTTATCACTTTCCAAAAGGTGAGCACAGTAGACCACAATGAGGCAGGTATGGCCAGAGCCAGACCCTCCAGGCCAGTGCTCCTTCCACCACCCCCAGCATCTCATCGTGTCCTTCTCATCTGGAACGGATGACCCCAGAGTCCTGGAGCTGTTCCAGGCTAGTGTCGCCTTTTCAGCCACATTCAGAGCAGGAACACTTGCTCTTGTGAAAACCAGTTTTACGTTGAATATATGTTCCAATTCTGATGAGAGCTCCCTCATTGCCCGTTTGTTTACTTTCCTATTTAGGGTCAGCAGGAAATGGTGCAATAATTGGACCACAGATGTCACAGCAACAAGGTAACATTTACTTGGCTCTGCAAATGAATAAATGTGAATGCTTATACAGCACTTACTTTGTGCTAATACAATTGTGTAGATTCATTTAATTCTCACAACACTCTGTGAAGTAGTCACTATTACATCCCCTATTTTACAGATAAGGAAACTGAAGTACAGGCAGGGTAAGACACTTGCCAGGGTTTCACTGCTAGAAAGCAGCAGAGCTGGGATTTGATCCCAGGGCCTGGCTGGAGAGTCCATGCTGTAAGTCCTACAACGGTATTGATCCAGGACCACTGACAGTGGAAAGACTCCCCAAAGCATTTTCTTTGTAAGATTTCAAGGGGATGTTTTATATAAAATATTGACTACTTGCAGGTGAACATTTCATTGCCTGCCTGAGAATAACATCAAATAAAGCAGAAACTGGAGCTTTCCCCCAGAGCTGTCATTATTATAGACTCAAGTTCAAGACTAAGGCTATCTCCTCATGATGTCAAATACCCCAGTGCTTGATCTACAAGAACACTGAAAACATCTGGAGGGCAGGGTGGATCTGCCTATTTTCTATTTGGCTGGGTATGTCCTATAGACACAATCATATTTGCCAGAGTATTTGCCAAGAGTCTGATCAGCTGGTCTCATAGGATCATTTTAACCAATAAGCACTACTGAGATCCAACTCAAGAATTCCAGCTTCTGAGGATAAACTTTTGGGGTAATCAAAAAAGTCCCATTGGGTGTGCACAAGGCACCATCACCAAACCGTGGCATGACTGCCCACACCTGGAGTTCTGCTGTGTGAGTTAGTAACTGTAACTGTCCCTCAGAAAAACACAGTCAGGCTGGAAGCGCATTACAGCAGGGCAGCTAAAATGATCCAGGGCAGCCCACTTACTGTATGAGATTAGGCTTTTAAAAAGGATTAGAGCTCCTTAATCTGGAGAGATGAAGATTAAGAGGGAGTAATGATCAAAGTCTGTAAAATCAGAAAGGAAATGGAGAATATGGACACAACCCTCTTCACAATCCCAGGATATTATAACAAGGGCTATCCCTGTGGAGTTCTAGGGGAATCACGTTTAGAGCCGTAAAAAGAAGATAGTATTTTCCCAGCAGGTAATACACTTAGAGAATTATTATCTTAAGGAGTGGTATATTCTGACAATGAGATTAAGTTTAAAAAAGGTTTAAGTAAAACTCATGGGTGATAAAACCATAATGGTGGGCAACTGGGAGGTTAGGAATATTTTGGATATATCTCGAGCCTTTTGAAAAATGATTCAATGACAGGTACCAGCCTCTCCCAATATGCTCCCTGCACAGGGCTGACAATGGGTTGGGGAGCCCACCCGCCTGATCTGACCACCTCTCTTCTCACCTTGTTGGCTACATTGGTCCTAATATTTGCAACATGCATATTCTTGTGCCCCTCTTTGATAGGTATTTGAAAATCTCAGCAACCCGGTACAATGTGGCAACTCATTCCTCTGAGGAAGTTTTCTTTAACCCTTAACAGAGTCTTTGTCTTGAATTTCAAATTACAATTCATGGCAGTGATCTAACCATGATTTCCATAAAATATACACTTAACTCCTTTAACTACACCTGAAAACTAAAATCTTATGGTTTGCTCAAAGATGGAGACATTTAAATCATTTTATGTTGCAGTAGTTAGAGAATTTAAAAACTAGTTAAACTCTATTGGAAAAGCTGCTCATAATATGCTAACACAGATCAATTAATTCAAATTTAAGGGAAAATTAAACATACCAATTATGTAGTATCCATCACAGCCCAAGATATTAAGCTCTAAAATTTACTGCAGCTAATGTAGAAACCAGTACACCTTCACAAAAGCTGTGGCTCTGTTAGATATATAGAATAAAACTTTAGAGAGAGAAATGTTTTAGCTGTTTCCAAAACAGCCAAGTGTTAATCACTGTAAGTATCTAATAGTAGGTCATTGTTGAGGGCTGGGGCAGAAGGAGGGGGCAGTGGTTTTGGGAGAGGGTAGAGTGGAGATGAAGATTCACTTAGAGAAAGGAACCTTCAGAAGACTGTAACGTGCACAGCGAGGCATGAAGAGTATTTTCTGTACTCACATTTCAAAGTGCTTTCAGAAAATTGGTAAAATGTGGCAATGCACAGGTGCAAATAAAGGATCCAAGGAAATAGTGAGGGGGGCAGAGTGGGGACGGAGGAGGAAGGCACACAGATAATAAGCAATATCTAATAATGCCAAACTCATTCTAACCCTGTCTCTCATCATAAACTGGAAGCAATCACTTGGTGTCTTTTCAGATTGCAAGTTTGAAAACGTTAGTCTTCATGGTGGCGAGCTATTCAAAGTCACTATTCATTTGGGGGAAAAAAAGTAGGAAAGGTGGTCAGGAGTGGGGAAGGATTCAAGGGTAAAGAGTCACTTCATTTCGCATTGTAGACTTCGGAGTGATTTGGGCAAGAAAACTGGGACATCTGGAGTTCAGAAGTCGAGGAAAATGGGGAAGAACCAGGAAGATGAATACATGATCATCAGCTACACAAAAGAACGGAGCAAAAAGAAGCCGGGATTTGGGCACAGGCGTCTGGCAAGGAGGCCGGCAGCAGGGCTAATGAAGCATTTGCGGCGTGGGACATTTGCCAACGCAACAAAGAAGATGTGCTTGGGCTCTGCAGATGTGCCAGGGCCCCCAGAGCAAAATAATGACATAATCACCATCAGTGTCACAGACCAGACTGTACACAAGGTGACAGGGGAGGGGAGGCCTGTAATGCGCACACAGGGAGGCCTCCCATGGCCCACGACGGCTGCTGCCCTGAGGGTCGGGATGCAGGCAGGACTACCCACCTAACGATCTCTGCCTAGATCTTAAATCCGAAGGTGAGGTTTGCACCCATCTTTGGTGGGTGTTTTCTATCCAACCCTAGTGAGGCAACAGAAATCTGAAAACCTTAAGTGAGATTTGAACTGAATGGAGGGGCAAAAGGAAAAGAGGCAGCAGGAGTTTTGTGAGTCAAACTCCCTGTCTTCTGCTAGAAGGGCACAAATTTCCCAGAACCCGTGCCTAGCCACACAGGTGTAAGGCAGAAATATGATCACGGATGTCAATGTTGCACACTGCAAAGAAAATGCACAACATATTTTGGGGAGCCTGTTTTGGGGTGGGGGGGCAAAAAGAGCAGTCAATGGGCCATCTCAAAGTGAGTGCAAAAGCAACGTTAAGGCACGAGAAAGTCACCCCTGCTCATTTTCAACAAGGTCTCTCAGCAGGCCTTGTCACCTGCCAGTGGCTCTTGCTCAGTAAGGTGGGTGTGTTAGTACAGCTGTCTGGCTTTTAAGTGACTTTTGTCAGTTTGAAAGTGAAAGTCTGTTTGAGGAGCTGAAAGAACAATAGCTCAGAGCCCGGAAGAAGAGCTTGTAGCACAAAGAACTTGGCTACACTAGTGTCCCTTTTCATTGCTTCTCATGAAAGATTCATAAGAAGAACTTTAATTTTTTATGACCCCCTTTTTGGTATGACTATATTAGTTGTGTCAACTTCCATATACAGGTTCTCTTTAAATACCAAAAGGTCTGTTGTGAAATTGTTTTCAAAGAGCAAAGGGGGCAGAATTGATTCTGGCCATCCTGTCGGTCTCTTCCTCCAAAAGAAACTGCTATAAGAGACACAGAGATTGCCTTTAAATATGGTTCCCTTCAGCCTTGAAGTTGTCATGAACACTACAATGTAGTTATTTTAAACCTCTGTGATTTACTAGTTCAACTGCTCTCCTCGGAAGAACGATTATATTTGTTTTTCTTGGCTTCACCCTATTTAACAGGAACAGTAGTATAATGATCATTAATAGACGGTTCTCTTTTTCCTACCCTTCTCAAATAGCTCTCTCCACACTGCATCTTTATTTTGTATCTCAGCCAAAAATTGGGGGGTGCAGGAAGACAAAATGCGTTTGTTTCACATCATCTTACAAGATAGAATTGAAGATTGGCTGAAGGCAGTCATTGAAGGAGAAACAATATTTTTAAACTAATTATCTGCTTTCAAGTATTAAACGTCTACGCTTCATCAAAAAGGATGTTAGCAAAAACTGTATTATTGTAAATTAATATTGATGTATTTAAGAGCAGTGAGTGAATAGTCATTAAAATTTCTGCCCTGTGACTGACAAAGAACCAAACAGTTCAAGTTAAATAACATCCTGCGGGGGGAAAAATGAAGAAATTTGATCTATAATGTTATCTGCCATGTGAAAAGGGGTGGCCAACTTCGAACAAGCTTTGGTTTGCTAAATGAATTTGTTTCATCTAGGCGAAATAAACAGGCTGTCTTTCAAAAGGTTGTTAGAACTTCTTCAGACATTTAATCCAGGATGGGCTGAACACAATGATAACATCCCACTGAAAGCTACAGCCACCACCAGCAGCTCTCAGAAGAGAACTTGCTCTCTTTCTCCCATTGATAACCCTTTGTGGGATGAAGAAAAAGAACCAAGGCAAGGAGAACTGAATATCAGACAATAGGCATCACTCCACACACTGTTTCTGAACTTTCCTCATCGCTGAAGGACAATTAATTATGAAGGCCTTAGGGGTAGGTCGAAGCAAGGGAAAACCCACCACTGTCCCAGCACCACAGCCGCTACCTCTGTGTTTGCTAAATGGCTTCGCCTGTTGGGGTACAGCCGCCGAGAGAGCCAATAGATCATTTGTGGGGGGGTGCGGGAGGTGAGGGAGGAAAGCAAAGATTTTTTTGTGTGTGCGCCTGCCCTTGTATAATTCTATTCTCACTGTGAACTCATCCATACACAAAACACAAGGACGATTTTTTTTTTTTTTAAAGAGAGAAAAGCCACAGGGTAGGTTACAGTCAGAAACGGCCTCTCAGTGGTGTGTTAAAAAGGATGGTCTTTTCACCAAATCATTTCACAGAGGCAAAACAGACAAACACAAAGAGTTGAGACTTTTTCTCCTACATTAAATGGAGTAACTGATAAGGTCAGACATATGATACCTAAAGACATGAATCTGTGAACTCTTGAAGTCAAAGGGCCTCTCTGTGCCGAGGAACAATCTTTCAAAGGAAATAGATCATAGAACTCCACTGAATCCCCTTTAAACTTTATGAAGCAGGAGGAGAAAAAGCTCTAAGTAGGGAAGCTTGACAGAAGAGCCTTGAACTATTTTCTGAAGGAAAGATGAGACCCTCCCTAGGCTGCCACAAAACATCTTTTTTTTTTTCTAAAGGCTCCTCTGAACTTTGATATGTGCCAAGACACTGCTATTGAAAGCTGTATAATTATGTGATATAGCCACTGTAGAAAATGCTTTGTTCACCCCAACAAAGGACAATAAGCAAAGTAAAGCGACATTACACTGTATCTTTTTCTTTAAGAATGTTGAGAAAGGTCATGGAATGCTATAACTAATAAAGCTGTTGAGTAAGGAGGTTTTAAAGTTGATCTTACTGTGCTTGAATGTAACCCAATGACAAAAAAGACACAGGGAGCTAAAAATGCAATGACATTACCAAATAGATGATAAATCAATGGGCCCGCTTCATTATACTGATGAACACCTTGAATCCCAAAAGGACAGTGTACAAAAGTGAAGCCTCATGCACGCATAGAATTCTACCTCCACTCCACCCCCTAGCCCTTCAACCCCACTTCCAACCTGGTGTCTTTACTGCGCTCTCCTTCAAATTTCAGGCAATCATTCTGTGGAAGGAATACGTTTCCAGGCAGCCATGTGTGTACATATATTTAGAGAACATTCATTTGATCTCTTAAAAGATCAATTTGGCTTGTCAACGGTGGGACTGGCAAGGGAAGAAATGGTAAGGGTTTCTTTTCCTCCTCGCCACCCACCAAGAGTGTGTTATGCGATTATTTAAACGGCTCAGCAGCTTTGAGGCCAAAAGACTGCAACAGCAGTGAAAGGCTCTCACTCATGTGCCAGTTTTCTAAACGATCACTCATATTTAAGGATCTATTTGGAGCAGAGGGAAGCGCTTCCTAAATCCACCTGTCCTCATTTTTCTTTAAAGAGATGACAATGCGAATAAAAGTCTTCCAAATATATTAAATCTTCTGAAATGTGGGTTCTATTGAAAGTGGGAGTAGGTTAAGAAAAGGGTAGGTATGGGGTAGAGAACATATTCAGCAAGTGTGTATGTATTAGTGTGTGTGTGTGTTGGGGGTGGGGTGGGGTGTTGTTTTTTATTTTCTATTTCCAAGAGGAAAGTAAGAAAACACATTCAAAGGTGTGCGGAAGTACCCTTCTTCCCTGTCATGTGTCACCCAGAAAAATGTCAAACCCACAGTCTCTAAGATGGAGCATCTGCCCAGTGAGGTATTAGTACCTTAGAAAATGGCATTCATAAGGCCACTAATGAGTGAATCAAGTTCCCTATTCAATTTATTTTGAAGCCTTCCATCCCCAAACCTGGGCCTTTAGCGAGGATAGGGGAGATCTGTCATTCTTACTGGAAACTTAGACCCTGCCTACAGGTGAATGACTAGCCACTGAGGGGCCCAGGAGGGATGTGTGGCTTACCATGGCGTGGGAAACACTACCTCCCGGTACCCTGGAATGAGAAAGAGAGCTCAATGTGACTGGATGAAGGAATCTGGCACATTCTTTTCTCAACCTACACTCAGGCGGTAACAAACCCTCCAACCTTTGGATGATTCTGCCTTTCGCAGCTGCACATATAGCTGCTATGTCTTTTGGCTCCTTACGTTGTGCAATTAACCTTTGTGAGTTACACAAGTTAGTTGTCTCGGTGGAGCTCTTTGCAAAACAGGTAAACCAGCCTCAGAAACTGACAGAGATCGTCATCTTCTTTTCCTGCCACAGTTGTGAGGAAAACAACAAAAGCGATAAAATCCAACTCATACGCCCCTAAAGTCACAAGTATCAGTATGATTTAAAAACTGGGAAGGAATCCCAAACTTGCTCTTTCTGCCCATAAAATTTTTTTTGGAAGCCCTTCAAAGTGAAGTGAGAATGAAGCATAGAAATATATACCATCACACCTGGAAAGACAAATTTATTGTTGCCAATCTCATTAAATGTGAGGAGCAGAAATGAAGGATACAGCACATAATTACACACCCCTCTCCTGCGTGCCTCACACACTCACGCACAGAAGCAAGACACCCCACCCGGTGTGATATGGCCAAGCTTCTGCCCTTTAGCACAAACTAAAAGTGTATTTCGTATTTTTCCCCTTGGGTGTCTTCTTCCACATCCCTTGGGTCTTCTCAAACGCTCACCACCCTAAGTCTGCACACCGTGCCAAGAATTCTGGCAATTGTGTAAACTGATACAAAAGGCAGAACAAGCTCTACTGCCACTTAGAAGGTCCTGTACTCATAAAGGCCAGGAAATGCAGGGTCTAGGAGAGGAGAGCAGGCAAGCCACTCCCTCTTCGCTGCTGATAAACTTTCCCCATCTGCTTTATTTTCCTGTAGGCCAGGGGTCAGCAGCCTCTCCAGCCTTGAGAGCCATCAGCAGCAGGGGCTGGACGGAGGTGGTGCTAAGCAGTGACAAAGGTGCCACTAGCAAGCTTCTGACAGAGGCAGAGATGGGAGTAGAAGGCTGAGAGAAGACAAGGGGTAGAGGAGAGAAAGAAGGAATAAAGTAGTAGTGAAGAGACGTCAAACCTCCTTCTCTCTCCCTGGCTCGATCTGCCTCTGCCCAGTTAGAATAACTTGAAGAATAGTAAAGCTTTGGGCAAACTGAAGTTTTTCTTGTTATTATATTGGTATCACTGTCATTATTATTACCCACATTAAATAAGCCCTATTTTGGTAAAACACTTAGAAGAGTGCCTAGGTCATTAGTAAACAGTCAATAAATGTTAGCTATTTTATTATTGTTCCCAACAATTGATTGAGAAGTCTGGGAATACAATCAATAAGACATTTTATTGTTTGACCAGCTCCTACTAAGCTGGGTGACACGATTCCTTGGAATCGACTGGATCTTGGGGCACCGTGTAGACGTAGCTTCAAAGTCCCTCTACCATGGTTTAGCTCTGTTTGTAGCACAGTTCTCCATTTTGCCATCCTCTTCACTTGCTAATACTTAAACTATAGGTTCATTTTACTTGACCTTAAGAGGAGAAACTTAAATACAAAAGTAAAGCCGTGCACACAGTATCAGTGGAGGTATTCAGCTGAAGGTGCCGGATCTACTTTTGGCTCTCAGCCACGGCCCACACTAGCAAAGCTACCACGATAAGAACGGTGGCTTTTTAAGCATCTCACTTAAGCAGTGACCTCCATGCACAAAGGCACGGAAAAGAAGGGCTCACCTTATCTGAAACTTTTGTCAGTAAATGAGCCAGACCGAGAGGCTAAAAGAAAAACGATTTCGTGATATTAGGATTATGTGTGGTGGTCGGTACGCGTGTGTGCATATGGATGTGTAAGTGTGTGAGTAGAGGGGGCAGGACACACTGCATGGTCCTGCTTTCTTCCCTTCTTTTCACTGAAGGAGGAATCAGATCCAGAATAGTCCAATAACTGTCCGAAGTCACATGAGAAGTGACAAAATTCCTGCCCGGGCCCCATACTCCTTGCAGTGAAGCAGTCTTAAAATAGACACTGCAGATAAAGGAGAGGTGGCCTGGCTGGAAGTGGATATGATTCACAAAGAGAGAAATATTAGATGTTAATCATATTAAAGAGGATTTAGATGATGCTAAATGGAGCAGCTTGTCGGGTACCTCCTGATGCCAGCCATCCCCTGTTTGTGTCATTTTGGCCCCTGGCCTGTGGGTAGCGGATTAAATTCCAACCAGGTAAGGTTTAAGCAACCCGAAAACCCTCGTGCGCACTTTAAGGACTTGTCCTCTTGGGTATTTTATATAGCAAAAATGCAGAAGTCATCTCATGAATCTTGGGCAATTCTTTCATGAAGCTTGATGTATGCTGCCAAACAGATACTTATGTCATCATGTAATGTAAATAATTCACTAGCACACAGAAGTCTCTTAGCTTAAGGTTTAGGGCAACAGGCTTAGCAGAAAGGCAGGGGAGAAAAGATGCTCTTAATGAGATTTCTTTAAAATGGTTAGCCATAATCATATTCTTCAGCTTTAGAAGAAGCCTGCTAGTGCTCTGTCATTATAGTGAGCCAGTGCTCTATTACAACTGAGACTTTAAAAACAGATTTTAAAATAGTGGAGCAGTACACGAAGAATTCTCACTTTTAATGTATTTAGCAAACACACACACACACACACACACACACACACCACCCAAACTTCATTTATCACACATTTGGCAAAAAATATATTAGTCTTAGAGAGCAAAGACAAATAGGTAGCTTACACTATAACTACTCAAACTTTCAAAGAAAAACTATGACTTCCCCATTGCTGAGCTTCCATATTCAATTCTTTATAAGCCACTATAACTGGTCTGCATTGCCAAGAACTGTAGGGACAAGAGCCGAAAAAAAGGAGGGGGGCAAGCAGGAAGAGTACTAGGGGTCAGACCCCTTAATTGACAGAGCGAGGCCAAGGTGTCCTCTTTCCTTTGAAATTTGGAACTTCCTGGGTATTCCTGGATACCTATCTACAAGAAGAAAGCAAGAATATTAACATAAGGTCCAAGTGCACACAGACGTTGGAGAAAAAATTCCTACCCTCAAGATGGCACAGCATCTAGCCAAGATAATACAAGAAATGGACCAACTTTGTCAAGCCACAGCCTGTCTGATCTCATCATCAGGGAGTTCAGCCTGCAGAATTCTTGCCATGTTCCCACCTCCAACTACTGTTGCCTCAGCCAGCAGGGCTCAGCAAAATGCCTTTGTGAGTACTGGGAGATTTGCTAGTGTTGTCTCACAGAGAGTCATCACGTTGTGATGAAAACTGTTTGCTGAGGCACCACATTAGCCCATAAAGAAATGCCTTACTCATAGCCACACATCTTTCATTGTTGCATGGATATTGCTTTCTGGGAATTCTCTATGCTGCTTTGTGTGGATCTAGAATATACACGTCACAGATATATATAAGTGTGTATGAGAGTGTTTGTACAAAGAGCAGCATGCTTGTGAAGGTACACTTAGGCAAAACACACGAGTCTCTCCTCCAAAAAGAACAAAAACAGAAACAAAATCCCAAAAAAAGATGTCAATGGATCTCTTATGCTATGTACTTAGTAAATTATCATACCATTTCCTCCACAAAGGGACTAAATGTCAAAGTCAGAAACCATGATCACTCCCCCATCAACGTTTCTAGACTTTTTAAGAAAATAACATTGGTAGCTACCATTGCACATAGCATGTATCAGCTCATTGACCTCTCAGAACCTAAATATGAAAAAGGTCTATTGGAGTAGGGACCTCTTCCTTGGAAAATGAATCACTCTGTCTTTGCTGCTTGCTGCCATTTTTCTTTGGATTCTACAGTTCCCTTTTCTGTGGCCAAATGAGTCTTCCACACAAGCTGAAAAGCCAGGGAATGGGGAAAAAATGGCAGTGGGTCAGAGCCTCATGATTCCAATGGGGACTATGGAAGCTCCTCATCACAGCTCTACCTGTTACTCTATTGGGGGATGCTTGTATGCGAAACCAACACAAAAACAGATTTGGGTACATTTCTAAAGAAAATAAATTTTTTAAAAAAGGAAAAGGGAGATGACCAAAAAATAAAGATTAGTTCCTACCTCAAAGTCATTTGCTTTATTGTAGTGCATGTTCAGAGCCCTGTACAGCTCACAGTCTCTGGTTATAGACAGCTCTTCAGTACTGGTGACCCCATCGTTGATGGCTTGACGTGCGTACTTCTCCATCTGAATGTAGTAAAACTCACGGAAATTGCTAAACCACTTGATGAGCTGAGAGGTAATGCATCTGTTGAACTGTTAAATTTAAATGTTGAAAAGGATAAGAACATTGCCATTTTCTTCATTTATTTTTTTAAGTGTCTGAAGCATTTTTAATGTTCCCGTCCCTTCTTTACTTGGAAAGATACGTATTTAACTCCACCAAAATGGTGGCAAGAGAGGCAAGAGGAAGAATATACTTACAAGAAATTATAAAAACCTGTCAGTAATGGAAATCATATCACAACCCTCTACCTTTCAAGTGGAAAAGTCACATTCTAAATCAGACTTTCCTTAAGCCGAACATCTTTATTTTTAACCATTGTTCTTCATCTTTCAGTAGAACAACTTGCATTTATATACTTCTTATGGACATTCATTGAAGCCATAGAATCCTGGAAGTGTTGTTACTCCCATGTACCAGAGGTGATGTGCCACATGACTCTACCACTAGTTTGATATACTTTTTTTTTTTAAGTGAGGATTTGTATCACCGCATTACAGCCCCCTTCAATGCAGACAAATGGCCTTCCCACAAAATGGGAGGAGTTGGCATTTGCTTATTTTTTTGGCAATGAGTGATTCCCATGTCCATCCAACTGTGATTCCACTTAATGTTTGCCCACGGCATTCATGTCTGGTGAGGTCTGGTCAGCTCCTGGTGCCTGTTCACCTGCTTCCTGAAGCCAGCATTGGATAAGACCCATGTCCCCCTCCCTTGGTATCTCTGCCATTTGGGAGGCATGGTTAGGACACAGTACACAGATGGCATAGACAGGAGCTTTATTACATTTTTTTAAATGCCAAGTTACTATAACATGGTTAGGCCTTAAAACTTTGTTTACCAAGGTTTCCTGATGACCTTTGAAATGAAGATGTCTTTCTGGATGCACTGCAAATGATACCATCCTTATTGACAGTCCTCTGCTCACGTAAAGGACAGATGAGTCTCAACTTGCCAAGTCAAAACCAATAAATCCATAGCTCTATATCAGGCGGGCTGACAGACAACCCCCTGCCTTTTGTCATCACAGGCATCCCCTTCCCTGGGCCCCCAGAAAAAGATGTACATTCATCAAAAATCAACAAAGAGCACTTATCAAACACAGGCCATGAGAACATCCAGACTCCAACAAGATGACAGCTAAAGTGTGTATTGGGGCTCTAATTACTACACAGAAAGTTGTTTCTATACTAGCAAAGATAATAAATGAATGAAAATTTATGGCAGAGAATGGAAGTCACAAGGAAACAGAAGCAGAGAGACTGGTGTTTCTCCCAAAAGGCCAACTTGCATCATAATTGCCATGGAGTTGCAAGGGCCCTTACAGATAATTGACCAGAAAATGATTAAGTCATCAGCAAATCGCTTCTGCTTGCAAGAGTTCAAACATGTACTTAACCTATCCAAGAATTATATTTTCACTCTGTGTGTCTGCTCTGTCTCTATTCAGCCTCGCGGGGAACCCGATTAAAAAGACAACTGAAGGACCCCCATTATCTGATCTTCTGGTTGCCGATTTCAATAGAACTTAAACCCATTACGATTTGCTGAACTTGGAGTTCTTTCCATTTTATCTCAGCAGTAAAATACACTGTCCAAATTTCCAGACACTGAGATAAGGACTACAGGCCCCCGTGACGGCTTACTGTTCCTTTTTAATTCTTTTAGAATAAGAAACAAAACATTACAAAATGATAGCAGGCTGTGCACTGGGGAATGAAAATTGCTTTGACATGGAGATTAGGCTTCTGCATTGTTACAAGACATTGTCTCATATGGACAAGAGTACTGTAGAGGAAAAAAATAGAAGGGTATTTTTTTTCTAGAATGGTCACGAATGACCTAATGGGGAGGACAAAAAAGTAAGTGCACTTGCCATTATTTACGAATGGGACATAAAGGGAGATTTAAAGCTTATTGTTGGAGAATGGAAATACCAGAGAGAAAGAATGGACAAAAACAACAGACTCCCCAAACATGAGGCAAGCGAAATGACCAGCCCAACAGCCTAAGGAACAGGGTTTCCCTCCAGGAGAAGTGAACTAAAATTTGTTCAGTTTTAGTCGCCGGCTAAAAGCAAAAGCAAGCCCCCGCTTTTCTAGATATTCACACTGGGGGAGAAAAAGTATTAAACTTTAAAGAGTTAATTTCCCTCATTCTGTAGTGGCTTACAAGAAAAGGATCAATTGTTCTATAAAGGAAAGCTCTGTAGTGTGTTAATGTGTTACTGCAAAAACTAATCGCTACAATAAAGAGGCTGTGTTTCCACAGTGTACGAGTCTCTGTGACTTTGATTAATGCTTCCCACGGGACATCTCAGCCTCAATATGGGCTGAAGAAACTTCCTAAATATTCAATGAGCATGGTCAAAAGATGTATAAAACAAATCAATCTGACACCTTAATCTGGCTAGGCAGCAGTTGACTCAAGGGGTGGAGGGAATGAGATACATCATTTAACACTGCCGGCTTGAAAAGCTGTGAGCGTCTGTTCTTCAAAGCTAAAATGACACTGAATCTGCTGTACTTAGTGGTCTAAGAGTTATTAGTTTGTACATTAAAATCAGCACCCAGTAGTGAACAGGGAGCTGGTGCGGCCCATCGATCCCTGGCAGCTCTCTCACATTTGTCCACTTGTCCTTCTCAAAGGATTTGTAGCCCCGATGAGCTGAGCTTTTTGTTTGGCTAAATGTCATTATGAGGGAATTAAGTTGGCTCTCTGTGAGAACATAGAACTTTGTTTAGATTCTTGCTCTAGGAGTTAAACTAGGTCGGCCCTGGTTTCATCCTTCATATACATCACCCCTGTAGAAGAAGAACTCTCGCCATGCCAACATCTCTGAATTGTATGATTTCCCTCTACCTCTTTCGTTCCAAGGTAATTGAAAAGCATTTACCTCTTACCCAGGTGGAAGTCATTTGTGGAGAGTTAAGCACTGTGTCCATTCCTAAGGAGAAATACAAAGGAGTGGGCACCACTTTGGCATGACTCACCTTCTAGAGCAAGTCAGAGGATTTACCCCATCTAGCTCTATCCTCCAAGTGTGGCTTTGATGGACCATTACGTTATACCATATTCAGGAAACAAGATATTTTCTGCTCACATTTTTTTCTCCTGGTTTTTTTTGTTGTTGTTGTTGTTGTTTGTTTTTTGTTTTTGCTTGCAAAATGAACTTATGATCACTAAATAAAATATGAGGGCTGAGCGCGGTGGCTCATGCCTGTAATCCCAGCACTTTGGGACGCCAAGGCAGGCAGATCATTTGAGGTCAGGAGTTCAAGACAAGCTTCGCCAACATGGTGAAACCCCGTCTCTACTAAAAAAAATACAAAAATTAGCCAGGCGTGGTGGCACATTCCTGTAATCCCAGCTTCTTGGGAGGCTGAGGCAGGAGAATCTCTTGAACCCAGGAGGTGGAGGTTGCAGTGAGCTGAGATTGCACCATTGCACTCCAGCCTGGGTGACAAGAGTGAAATTCCGTCTCAAAAAAAAAAAATTGAATAAAATAACTTTATTATTTGAAAGAGTACATTTTACTAAAGTTAGGAATTTTCTCCTAGATGAATGTGGCCATGACCAAGTAGAGCCTCATGTCATTATAACAAGCATTACATGGTCCATAGATACATGCATATATCTTGTTCCAGATAAATGATGCAGGTTTCATTTCTGAGAAGACCCTAAGTTCTCTTCCCCAATTTCTCTAGTGATTTCTTGAATCCTGGCCAAAATAAAAGTTTGGATTGTATATTCATATATAAAGAAATATCTATTTCTTTCAGCCTTGCAAATAAATAGACACACTTGTCTATCTGTATGTCAATGTCAAGCTATAGATATGTGTATATATGTATATGTGTATTGTGAACCCATGCACATGCACATATGTGTGTGTATACATTGTCAATATTCACATCTGTGATTATCCTTAATATTGAAGAAATCCCAGAATGCTCTGCCATTGTTTTCTGGAAAGTCTCTGGACCACATTGCCTGGACTACCTTTCCCTTTCTTTGCATGGCTTTCTACTCTCATCAGTGTAAGCTCAAGAAATACAAATTCATTTATTACTAACCAAAGAAAAAACATAATTAGGAAAGTTAAAAATGTATAATTCCTTCCAAAAATAAAAGAGAAGTGACCTTCAGTGATTTTCTGCTTTGCCTGATATGTTCTACTGTTTCCCCTCCATTACAGTGGATAATTGGTAGTAACCAGACTCACATATACTTTAACAGCCTTCTCTTCCAGTATGGGTAAGGTATGGATAGAATCAACAATCTGAATATTAGTGCTTTTGAAAATAAAATATTCACCCAGGTATTCCATTGTTATCTACACAGAGTCAGTGGTTATTTGCAAAGCTGAATTGCTAGGGGCATTCTAGAGGAATGGGAACAGTTTCTTGTTGGTTTGTATTGCATGGTATTTATAAAGCTACAGATCAATAATCTTCCCCACTTGCCACCACACACCACACACATGCACGCATGCTTGAACTCTCACAAAAAATGATTGTTTCTAATATTGACGTCTACTGTTGGGTAGTGTTGGCTCAGAATGGCTGCTGTTTCCCACCCTCCAGGTGGCTGTGTTTCCGTGGTGGGTGAGTGACACCTATGTGTGCAGTTGGTAAAGCTCTTTGGCCTACTTCTGGGTGAAAATTGCTATGCAAAGAATATAAGTTATTGTCATTATTATTTCACAACACTGAAGATCATTGCCCTAAAAGGAATGAGTAACATGGACATCTGCACACACAGACACACACACACACATATGTGCACACAATAACCCTTTTCTCCCTGTCCTCCATGTCCCCTCCTAGAACTAAAATGTTGGGAGGATTCCCTGGAAGACAAACTTTACCAGGTTCTACTAGACTCTAGAAGCTGGTCAGTCCTCAACCAGGTGACAAATTGCCTTCAATTTGTGTATTCTAGATTGTCCTCTACAAAGCCCAAACCCTTTTCCTGGCCTCTGTGTCACTCAGCCTTGTTTGTGCTCACTTAGTCTTATCCAGACATTTACGTGATGGACTTTCCCTGCCTCCCCATCTTGCCCAGTTTGCTGGTGCTGAACAAGGAGAAAACAAGCCTTCCACTTAAGGAGCACAGCCAGGGAAGGAGAAAGATAAAAGGCTGAAGTTGATACACAATTCAAAAGCAAACAGGAGGGAAAACAGAACTTTTCTTATAAGGCCAAATAAAACACCAGTGAAGGAAACTGAAATGAGTTGGCCTGCAAAATGGGGCCAATGAAGCCACTTGGGCATCAAGCACAAAACAAGCTGCGTGCGGGGAGCAGTGGAAGAGCGAGTGTGTTTTGGCAGCTTGTGAGTTCTCCATGGCAGAAAGAAGAACTTGTACATATGGGGGTGGGCAGGGGAGGAGTGGGGAAAAAACACCCACCCCTAATAAACTAATCTCAGCTAATGTAGTGTTTATCAAGTTCCTGGGATAATGATACCATGTGTGTCATTATCATCATCAAAACCCAATCTATGTTTTAAAAAGTTACAGATGATTAACACAACATCAAGTTGATGCAAACAATTACTTAAAACCCACACACAGACACAGACACATACACACACACACACACACACGCATACACACACAGAGAGAACCAGGAGGTCCCAATATTCTGTAGAATGAGGGAGGCTGCAGCTGTAGGCCGACAGCTTTCATATCCTCATTTGAATAATGTGTCCTGAATCTGTCACTTTATTCATTCTCCTTATGCTCAGTGTACTCTACATCAACAACAAATTAAGTTGTAAATAAGAGACAATCATCACTTTTGTTTTTAAGCAGCTACTGCATAGAGAATTTCAATGTACGCTCCTTTTCGACAGGGGGAAAAAGAGGTGCTAGAGTTTGCTTTCATAAGCACAAATATGGGGAAACCAACAGAAACAAAAACAGAAACAGTTTACTGTTGCTGAGGGGAGGGAAAAAACATTCTCTAAAGCACACCCATCCATTACCAGCTGAAATTTCTTCAAAGAAGCTACTCAAACATATAAAGACAGAGGCTAAGTTTTTCAGACTACATTGGAAACCCATGCAACTTATTAACACCAGTCTTCCAATCTTAATACACAAGTGGCATCTTTGCTTAACACACCTTTAGACAAAAAGACAAGTGCATTAAATCAATTATAACACAGGTGTAGGAATAAACCAATTCCACATTCATCTCCATTAACTTCCGGGAGTTCAAATTACTGCCACATGCATAGAAAATGAAAAAATTAAGAATAAAAAAAGTCCCTACCTTTACGTCGGAGAAGTAGGTCTTCAGCATATTGGAGCTGGGATAACGGGTATAAAAAAACATGAGCTTTGCTTTTTTCAAGTGATTGGGTGACAATCCTTCCTGCATGTAGGATGCAATTGGTTAAGGAAAAGCAATTCTGTAAGCACAAGGACTCCCACCTCCCTCCCTCCAGTCCCCACCTCCATAGAGTCTGGGGGTCCATCAAGCTGCGGTGGGAGTGCTGGAAGGTATATGACACTGGCTATGGCATCCATTGCTAACTTGCTGCCATTTGCTCAGTGACCGTCGCCTGTCAGAGGTTGCCACATGCAATGGTGAGGATGCACAATTGAGTTGCAGAATCTTGGCTACTTTAGGGTGAGGATGGCAAAATATTTTCCTTGCTTTAGGTCGGTAGGCTATCTATACATTCACTTGTTGCTAAGGAGACAAATGCACCCAACATGTACTACACAACTCTTGTCATAAGAGGTTTTTTTTTCTTCCTTGCAATTACAGTTCTGTTTGTTCTTCTCTCCACACTCTGCAGTTTAAAGCAAATTATTCTACTAATGTACATGAAAATATAAAATGCATTATTTTGAACACTGCTATGCAAGTTTCACATTTTACCTTTTAGTGTTAATCTAATGGAGCATCTTGACTCACTTGCTTTTTATCTTATTATATCCTTTTAATTGTTTTTCCTTTTAAATAATAGCTAAAACTTGGGAAGAGTAGTTTTGGCATGGAGAGGACAGGGAGGGGGCTGTTGCTTTTGTGAAAGCAATGGTCCAAAACCAAATACAATTTGCCTGTCTTGGATTTATAGTTAACTCCTTTGAGAGTGACGCAGTAGTTGGGGCTAACAAATCAATACATGTGGGTTAGCAGATCAATAAATGGCCACTTACCCAAAATAAGAAGGCCTATTTATCTGGAAACATCATTACCTTTTAGATCTGTAAACAGCAGCAACTAAAACAGTTCCCAAGAGAATGTGAGGCTAACCATAACAATCCAGGCTTCCTGATTCTCCCCCAGATTCTTGGCACTCCTCAGCAGACTCAGAGCTGGGATGGCTCTGGTCACATCTGTGCCGCAGCCTGGCCCTGCCATTTCCTCAGCAAATTAATGGCTTTATAATTTATCAGAAATGAAGATGCACGTGGAGAAAATCAATGTGGTCCCCCACAAGGTCAATTAAGGGCCCTTCCTAGAAGCTTCTCTAAGGATTTTCTTTTAGAAGAGTGTCTAAGAAAAATAAGAAAAAAAAGAAAAGAAAGTGTGCTTGTGTGTGCAAACACACACACAAACACACTCACACAACTACCCAACAAAAATTTCACCCCTTAGGCAGAAATGTCAAATAAACACAGATATTTAGGAAAGGTAAAATTTTCCAAATGACCTTCATCAAGTCTAGCGTGACTAATCTTAAGAATGGAGGGAAACCAGAAAGTTACTAGAGAAGCATAATCAAATTAATATGGATAAGCTCTTGACTACTTATAACAGGGTGTTTAACCAAATATTCTGCTGAGAATTTGTTCAATTAACATTCCCTTTAATATCCCATGCAATTTTAAAAAGATCACCTTGGTCTGTAAATAGAAAAGTTAAGTAGTGCAGGTTTTTTATTTTTTTATTTTTTGTTAAACTGAAAATAAACACTAAAGAAAGAAATTTTGATTTTATATCTGTAAGCCAAAGCAGCTTAACTGAACTTGTGTTTTTGTTTGAGATCCTTAATGATTACAAAGACGATAATTTATGACTGACATACTTCTTGTGCCAAGGAGAGGGCTGAAAGGCCCTCCAGTAACCTCCATTAGACTGATACAGAAGACTAAAGGAGCCCAGCACACTTCAGGACCATCTGTCCAAATGGATAAGTGAAATAATAGTTGCAAGCTGTCTGCGACTGCCTTGTGATAAGAGTTTTAGGCAAGTCCAAACTTTGACAGACACTCTCAGATCTGGGTTCTAATCTTTTCTTTCAGATGGCTACATTAAGACAACGTCATGCATTTAATTGGAAGTCACAAATCTTTTAAAATTTGGTGTCATACAAAATACAAAGTGTTTTTCTGTGTTTCTTAGATGGGCACTGAGCTACCAAAACTTCCTGAAGCTTTTAATACATCTAATTTATGCTAAGATGTTTTTGTTCTTTTTATCTAAAAAAAGTAAAATATCCATTTTATTTTGATCAGTATTTAGAGGCTTTTTATCTAACAAAAAATTATTCTGATTTGGATTTCTCAAGTTCATTTTTGCTTTAAAATGTTTCCTGTTGGTAATACTTGGAACTGATCAGTTGAAATGGAACACAGAATTAATCTTTATCTCTTGCTTATTGTGTAATTAAGATAAAATTCCCATAAAATATATGTTTCTAATAAACTATTAAAAATAACTAATGAAACATTTAAAAGGCAACAGTTAGATAATCCTTTTTTTCTCCTCAAAATAAATCTGAACTGACCAATTGGTTAATTTCCCTTTTAAGTGCTTGTGCTGAAAAGCAACTGTTCTTCCAAGAAAGCACTAGCTGTTTCCAGGATACTTACACACGCACAATGACTCATGATGGAATAGATTCAGTAAACATACAGCTGTACTGAACACGAGCTAAGCTCCATTCAAGGCCAGGAAAGAAAATGAGCACAAATAAATATTAAGGAGGTAAAGGGGAGTGGGGTGAGGGGGGATGGAACGCAAACAAGATCTGTCCCAGCAGCTCATGTGGCTGTGCCTCAATTCTCTTAGCCATAGCTTTGTGAAGACAGATGACATTCAATTCTATGTGTAATGCAAAATAGACAATAACTGTTGAAACTTGAGACAGCTGCCAGGTGTAAAAAAAAAAAAAAAAGAAAAAAGAAAAAAAAAAGAAAAGATGATAAATCCATAAATTAATGAAAGACATCTGCTCGGGAATATAAAAGATCAGAGAAGCAGGGTACTGCAGCTGAACGTAAAGCAGTGTTCAAACAACCTGAGAACCTAAGTGTTGTCTGTTTACCAAGTACAATATAACCTTACCTAAACAGCAGCCACGGGAGGAGCAGCGGAGGCAGCAAAAAGGCAAATGGGAGAATAATAAGCTGTGAAAGCGGAGGAAGAAAATTCTTTTTTTCCAGCTAAACTCTGGATTGTAGCTAGAGATTGTACGTGCTGCAGTTCCCAGCAAATGGGTTGAGACTACTTACATTTTCCAAAACATTTGAAACCTAAAGAATTTTAGTTCTGCCTTATTCCCTAATTTGCTAAGTTTCTAAGAGGTTTTCCCCCTAGAAACTAAAATGGGGAGAAAAGATCTAAACTCTCTCACATAATGACAGTGATAGAGCAAGTCGTAACTCCCACTAGGAAGTTCACCATAATCGGAGGGCTGTGTAGTGTAGGGATTTTTTTTTTTTAATTTACTTACTTTATAATTTTTTTCAGGGGAGGGGGGTAGTGTAGGAGCCCAAAGTCTTTTAGTCTTTAATCTACATGTTTTGCTCTAGCTAATATAAGTACTATAGCCTCCACAAGACTTCTAAAAATGTATAAGATCAATTTCTGTGGATGGTTTCAAATTTCAGAAATTCATTTCTAATCTATGGTTCCTGGTTGGATTTTAATTTCAAATTACTAAACCATTTTCCTTTCTAAACTTCAAGTCTTTCTAACATTCTCCCTAAAAGTTGAGTAGAAAAAGCCGGCTGTTTCAGAGAACAGGCTCAATTTCTTCACCTGCACGTCTTAACGGCTTATACTACTCCTCTTGTGCTTTAACTGGGTGCATGCAAATGTTTGGGGCCTAAACTAGGCTATTTTTCTTGAGATGCAAAGAGGATGAATGACAAGGAACATCATGAAGAAAAGCAATTGGCTGACTGTTTCTTTTGGAATTTGAATAAAACTTAATATTTGATTAAACAGATTCATTTGCAAAGATACTGAACATATTTTTAAAATCCAAGACATGAGCCCTTGGAGCAGGTGCACTGAAATTCAGTTTAACTTGCATACACATTCACTATTTCCCTTCTACTAGATGGGATAATGAGGTAGTGTGTTCTATCCTACAGAACATATATGTTTAATGTGGTGAATGTAGAATGGGTTGACCTGATAAGCTGGTGTTCTTAATAGTTCTTATCTTAGCTACTTTGTTCAAAAAACAGATGGTACCTTTTGGAGTGGGAGATAATTTTTCCTGAAAAATTAAATTATATATAACAGTTTGGAAAGCCATGAACGAAAAATTAAAACATAATAATAGCAATCACAGTTGTACCATTTCATTACATTTCTGCCCATTTCTATTGATCTTTTCGAGGAATAACTGTACAACCGGATCATATATGGCCCCGTATCCCTAAAATTGAAGTAAGACATCACTCACTGTGATTCCCAGATATTTCTTCAAAGTAAAAGCTTGAGAATTTTGCCTACACACTAACAGTTAAATCAAGGGAAGAACACACTGCCATACAGAGGTAGAGACAGGAGAAAAGTGGGCCCAATCTCTCTACAAACCAACAGATCCTCACTGGTTTCAGAATTGTGGGAACTATAGAAAAGGTTGTTTGCCTATCTTACTCTTCCTGAGAAATAATATACCAATGAGATAAATGGTTAAAAGTGCAATGTATTAATAGTAGAGGGGGGAAAAGAATAGGAGCATAGAAGGCCAAAAGGTGGAAAATGTAATCACTAATTGCCACGAGAGGCCGACATTATTTAGCTATATGAAAGAAACAATTCTGAGTGTGAGCAACTAACATTTCACATGAACACGGGTGTTTCCCAACAGAATCACCGCTCGACAGAAAGTTATGTTGATAGAAGAAAGGAGAAGTCATGCCTCTGAAGAAGAAGCAACTATATTTTCTTTAAAGCCTTTGATATGTATCAAAATAAAAGGAACTTATTTCAATTCAAATCCTCAAAATTCCTCCGGGGATTTGGAGAGGTTGAGACAATGAACATAGCCAACACTTAAAGCAATCTAAAAGATTTTTTTCCTAGAAGACTAAAAACAAAAAGCACAGCCATAATTATAATGATCTGGTTATAATGAAAAGTCTAATTTAAAGAAAAACCATAAACTGGCATCTTGAACTAAAGAGCTTAGTGTGGACTTACAGGAGTTTTGAAACCTGGCATTAAATCTTTAAATATTCACCAAAATTGGCACGCATGTCACTTTACTCTGTGTGTGTGTGTCTGTGTGTGTGTGTGTGTGTGTGTAAGAGAGAGAGAGAGACAGAAAGAACCCACTATCACAACTACCTGGTTCAAAATGAAGTTAAGAGATCTCTGGGGTGCAATGGGGTCTTAGCCCTAGACATTAGCCTTACATGAACCTCTGAAGATGCTCTTTTTGCAAAGGGCACAAAAACCATTCAAGCCATTGTGTCTTCTTACTTTGCCTTTCTCATCACCAACAGCGATATTCCAATCATTTGATCAATATTTACTGCCTGCTTATAATATGTAAGGCATGGTGCTTGGTGCAGCTTTGATTCATGGCTGGTGGATTGAATTTTAGATCTTCAAAAGGTCCAAGTGAAATCAACAACCAAGCTAAAACTCCATTTCTACGTATATGTAGAAATCTCCCACATCTTTCTCTTCCCTTTCTGTTACAATGTTCTTCTCTTGCTCAGTATAAGAGAGACTCCATGTTTAACTGCCCAAGCAGGACTCATGATTAGGGCCCTAGTAGTTCACCCTATCAGAAATCTACACTATTATCCTGAGAGGTGGCTTGAAGTACGACCTCCACTAACCAGGAAAACATATTTCCACCAATAGCTGGGACTTTGCACTTACGTGGCAGCCTCTGGAGTGGGCTTAGATATGAAAATGTCAATCTCTAGTCATCAAGACAATTGCTCAAAATCCTAAATTTAGTCACAGCCAACTTAATTGCTAAATTTTATATCCATCTGTTTATTATATAAGAAACATGCCTCCACCTGCCCCCAAATGCTACTATTTTACTACTCCCAAAAGACCAACGACCACAAGATTTTTAAAAAATTTACAGAAAGAACCGATATACAGAGAGAAAAAAAAATCTTCAGTTAAAAATAGCTGGAGTTCGGGATAGGCCTAATAAAAAAATATAACTGTTATCTCTACATAAACGTCAGTTTCAGAATTTAAAAGAATCATAAAAAGAGCCATTTTTAAGTCGAATACAGCTGAGTTTTATATTTAATTGTGCTCTCTCGCTTTCCAAAATAATTTGCTTTGTGTATGTTGGGACAAAAGATTTCTGTGTATGGCTGAACAGAGGTTAATCATGCATAGAGGCAGCTGCACCAGACCCAAAGAACAGACCTTGGGTGAACGGGAGAGAGACCGATGCTGTCTGAATAAATCAGTACCTGTATATTTCCTTAAAAAAAAAAGTCTCACTTAAAGATGAAAGAGAGACTAACTCCCCACCCACATCCATTTTTCTTCCTCCTCAACCTCCCACTTGTAAAGCGCTCTTCCTAAGATTTCATCGGGCTGTCTTTAAACGGACCAGAAGCCTTGCAGATGGTTTACACTGAGAATTCTTCTTATGGGATCTTAGGGATCTGAAAACTGACTTTTCTCCTTATTCTATTAAACTTACCATCTTTAAAAAATATCTGAGAGAATTCAATCAGTATTTACAATGAGACTGTTTTCTCATCTCTAAATCTACTTCTTTATTTTTTTTAAGAGATAGGGATAAGAAGATAATGCAGGAAGAACAGCAGAAAAAAAACACTGCTGAGAAAGCACATATTAAATAGGAGCTCCTCAAGGCAGTGAACAACTTGTGGAAGCTGCAAAGATGTTGGCTTAGTTTTAAGCTTTTCTGCAATCAGGAATGGCACACGCATGCTGATAAAAGCCTATTCCTTTGAATAATGGGAAAGGTTGCCTTCTTAAGAAGATACTAATCTACATTACTCTAGATATTGTGTAAACCCAACCTTTTGGGAAACCTTTTTTGGTTTGTTTTTTCCTCGAGGGGAAAATAAAAGGATATTGCACTTCCCGAATAAGGTGATATTTCAGACATATCTTGAAGATCGCCGCACTCGGACTTTATGAGCGACAAGGAGAGCCCTTCGGCGGTGCTGGGCGGGTGTGCTGGTGAACAAGGGTGGTGGCTCAGGTGGTGAGATGACATCTTGGTCCTCAGACTCGTGGTATCCCTAGTTAAGTCTAAGGATTCAGGAGAGGCTCTGTCTTTTCCAGAGAAGGAGCCGGAGGGAGCACCTAATGGGCTCTGAAATGGATAGGCCATCAAGGGAAGGGGGAAGGGGTGGCGGAAGGTGGACGTGGTGAAGCCCGTGGTGGCAGAGAGAGGCGACTGGTGCAGGGGCTGGTGGTGGCCGCCAGCGGCAGGGCCGGAGGCAGACTGGTCAGAGGAGTTTTTGCGGACAACCAGGGGCAGTGCTTCTGTCTGGTCAGTGGAACTGGCCATCTGCACATTGCCAAAGGTGTCCAGGGGGTTCGGAATGATGACGTCGCCAAAGCACTGCAGGCGCTGGTTGGCGGTGTGGAAATTGTGGTTTTCCCCATTGACTGCAAATCTGGCCTGGGGGATCTGGAGAGGTGGGAAGACCTGAGGAACCTGGCGGGAGGGCTTGGCCGAAAAGACTTTGACCACAGTGTCCACAACTTGCGACATGGCAGTGTTCAGTTCCTGTTTCAAGGTCTCAGCCAAATGTTTGCCTTCCGGTTGTAAGGAGTTTGGCCCATGGTCTCTTTCTTTGTTGTTGCCTTCTCGCTTCGGCTTGTTTTCAGCCATTTCCTGCTCTCTGATCAGGGCTCGAGCTCGGTCAATAAACTGTCCTGGGTCTAGCTCGCACATCTCATTATCTGACCTTCCGACAGAGTCCTGGGCCCTGGCATCCAGGATCTCCGAGCGCATGCTGTCTTCAGACAGGTTACCATCTTCATCATTTTCCGAATCAGTGCTGTCATAGATTTGGTAGAACTTTTCCTGCAGCTGGCGCAGCTGTTTCTGCATGTCCTCCAGCTGCTGTTTCAGCTGTCGGCGCTCCTCTCGCTTCTGTTCTTTTCGGGCTGAAACCAGCTGCTGGAAACTCTGTTGCTGCTGCTGGGGAAGCTTTTGCTTGCGTTTGTTTTCTCTGTAACTTTCTCGGGGACTCACAGACTGCGGGGCCATCTCTCTTTCATTTTCATTGCCCCTTAATGCCACACTGGGGGAATGGCTCATACCCCGAATTATATTCTCAACCCGGGCGCGCTTTGCTCTCAGGTGCTCATCACATAAGCGATCCATATCAAACTGGCTCATAGTAGGCCTGCCAAAAGGGGAAAGACACTCTGGGGGGCTGTCTCTTGAAGAGTTGCTGCATATATCCTCCTGATGTACTTCGGAGCCTGTACTAGAGAGACCGCTGGCTTGGAAACTGGGCTCCGTGCCACCATTTTTGTTCATGTTATTTTTCAACAGCTGGGAAATTATGGTTGCTCCTGGAAAAGGCATCATGGCATCTTCATACGAGTTCGCCCTCTTCAGCAGCTTGCGGAGTACATTTGACTTTTCCCCATCTGCATGCTGCACCACTGAATACTCAACATCCTGCTCAGAACCTTGGGGATTCATGGCACTAAAAAACGTTGCTCTTGCCTTAGCAAAAAATGCAGATGCTGTCCCTACCGTCCTTTTCACTCCAATGTCAACTCTTCTCCTCTTGGTTTGCCGGCTTAAGAGGGCTGTGCTGTCATGGTCAGGCATCACTGGACGGTTATTGTGCCATCTTCAAAAGCTCGTCAGCTGGGCACAGCTCAAGAATCCCGGGACCCTGGCCAACAGAACAAAAGGACTGATGAATCATTTTCTTTAAATTTCTCCAAATTTCCTGACCTCAATCCTGAATCAAATGCAAAATGCATAGGCTCTGGGATTTATGGCACATTACAATTATTGCAATTTATTATGCACTCTGCTTGAAATGAAACATTTTTAAATATTTCTGCTCCACTGGTTTAAGATGGATTAAGATTAAAAAAAAATTAAGCAAAAACTGCTTAAGCACCAGTAATATGATTCTCTCTCACAAATGCCTAAAATGATACTGTTTATCTTCAGAAGAAACAGTAGATTATAAGAACACAGCCTCTGACAACCAATTGATTAAATTTTGGGCATTGAGATTCATATTATAAGGAAGATGAAACTGCTCTATACTTAAGAAATAAGGTTAAATTTTGAGACTATGAGAAATTCACATGAAAAATTGCATTTCTGCATTACAATTAGTGTGGTTTTAACGCTATTAAAGGAAAAGGACTCTAAAATAAATGCAAATATATAATAGAGAGCTTTTATTCTTGAATTTTACAATATTTTTGTCATATGTAAAATGGGAAGGAGAACACCCTTAGCAGCAGCATCTTTCAAACATAAATGGTCAGTTTAGCATTGAAATAAATGCACAATAGTCATTTTATAAGTCTGCTTATTTAGCTTAGCTATGCATTTTTTACTTGTAAAATCATAGGTGAAGATGATATCTGTTGATATATCTTAATGTAACTATAAGAATATTTATACATTTTCATAATGTCCTTTTAATGACAAATTATTACAAAGTTGGATTCACTGCAAAACAAGGATGTTACCACATTTTAGAAATCAATATGAGGAATAATAAGTTATTGACCGAGATAAAGATAAATATATCTTCAGGACTAGTTTCCTTCTGTTTAAATCTGCCAAAATAATATGTCCAATGCCCAAAGAAACTCTTTAACATACAGGATTTGTGAACCTTATTTCCTGTGCCAAATTAAAGGAAAAAAAAAAACAGAAAAAACTGAAAGAAGATATATAAAGAAGAAAGAAAATAATGTCCATCAAATGTGTGAGAAAGGGAAATATTTCTTTGTATATGAACTTCCATTGTTTCTTGGAAACACAGTATAAAAAGAGAACATCCTTCTTTGAATTTCATAAAAGGCACTTGACATTGTGTAACTTATTAACTAGTGATGCTAATCCCAAATTTTGTAGACATATAAGATGTCACATCTTTTTGTTTATAATTAACATTTTATGAAGAAAATGAAAATTTTTTTCACGTTGGGTTTATCTAATATTAAACTTCACGTTTGCTTAACAGAGCACATCTTCACAATAACAGGGTCCATTGCCAAAGGCAGCATGCAGAGTGTCTGGAACGGCTCCCATCTCTTTCGGTTCACCTGTAAAAACATCTACGTGCTCCCTAGGACTGCATCTGTGGCTAGCTTTAAAGAATGACTATCCATGCAAATAGGCATAATTTCAGCATGAAATAACCTGTAAAAATCAAGAAAATGCTCAATGCTTAGATGGCAACAATATGTATATTTTTTTAAGTGACAGTGATTTCCTCATGAAATCTTTGCTCCTGGTTTCTATAGAAAGATAAAACATTTTAAAAGAGCCTGCTTTAGGGTATCATGAAAGCAAAATGATACCTCTTTATATATATATATATATATATATATATATATATATATATATATATATATATATTTGCATGCTTGAGAATGAAATACTTTTTGCATGCTTCAGGATAAAATTTCCTGAACTTAGAATGGAGATGGAGTTCTCAAGAACTACAACATTGGGTTCAAAATTGAATTCAGAATGATTGAGACCCTTTCAAACACTAATAATAAAATTGGTTTCAGGAATACAAAAATGCAGTGACAAATACTACACAAACACATTAGATCTGATAAATCAGGTTAGCTGTCAGATGACAGAAAGAACAAGGAGAGGCTGAGACAAGAAAAAGGATGAATCATTTCAAAGCTCTGTTAATCAAAGAAACACTTGCATGGGGGGCGGTTACAAGGAAGACTTTTTTCTGTGTGTATATCACCTTCCCCAAAATAGAGCTTATTGCCCTTATTTTTAAATTTTACATCTTTTCTATTTGTATGCAAATCCTTTTCTCTTGACTATCACCTGCAAAGCACATGGATCTCCAATCAAAATGTCAAACAAACTTTTTGCAGTATTTTTTCTCTCCCTGTTCACCCTAACACCCAAACTGGACTTTCCTCCTGCCATCCTTGCTGTGGGAAGAGCAGCTCTGCCACAGAGGCTTGGAAAGGACAGACTGGTGTCGCTGATGAGCACAAGGTCATCCCCAGGCATCCTTCCTTTTCCAACTGCCATTTACCTCTGCGTCAACTGCACTTCCTCTCATCTAGCCTAGGTATCAACAGCTGCATCCCTGCCCCATGCTGGAGCCAAGAGGAGGGCTGTGCTCTTCCTAAGGTGGAAAGAAATGCTTGTGGAGTCTGTTAAGAACAAGATATAACTCCCTTGATATTCACCAAACTAAACTAATTTTGTAATTCTATTTCAGTCAACATTTTTAGATTAAATAACGATTTGTATCTGTCTTGGGCTAAAAGAATTTAAATACTTTTAGGTCTTGTTGTAAAATGTCCAGCTGGAACATAACAAATAAGACAAAACAAATGGGAAAAATAAGATAAATTATATAATCCAGGACAAGGCATTATATTAATAGGCACAAATAAATATATCTCTCCATATAGCTTAGATTTAATTTAGAAATAAAAGTATAGTGGTAGCACACACTGGAACCATAACCCATGGAAGCTATAGGCATGATTAAATAATAATAACCGGTTGACACAGCACTTTATTAGCATCACATTTCATAAACAAGATATCTATATGAATATATTTACCACATAAGAAAATGTACTGTTACGTTACCATAATATAAATTAAATCTCTTAAAAACATTTCCCAAGTGCTTCCATGATATTCCAGTTCAGAATTTAAAGGAAGCCATGGAATGACTTTATCATTGATATTTTTTAAACTCCTTTATTTCTCAAGATATGTATTAAGCTATCATGTTTCACCTGCAATTATTATTGATGCATATCATATTTGCATTTTAACATTAATTTTCAGTTTCACTAGGCAATATGAAGCTTTTGATCAACACTGGTGGATGTCCAAATCAGCAAGGATGCAGAAAAATACTGATGAGAATTTGAACCCAAATGTATTATTGATCGGATACACTTACTCTATTCCTGTAAACCCCTCTTTAATTAATGTGAAAGTCTATATAGAGTTTTTCATCATTAAATATTTTGTTGCATCACTTCGTATATAACCTACACAAATGCTTTAGTAATTCTTATACAATGCATATCTTAACATAGCAGATTCCTCCCAGAAAAAGATATTAGAAGAATAAACATCCAGGTATAATCAAAACAGGTTTTAACTACTCCAAAAGAGTCTCCTTTAATATCTGAATTATCTGACATTCTCTTTAACATGCAAAATTCTAAGGAAACTGATGACTTAAGGTTAGGAGGAAAGAATTTTCAGTAAAGAATTTCAAAGGAACACTGCAGCGTGAAGTATAAAGTGGTTAAGTGCTCTACTTTAATAAAGAAGTTATTTCGGGGAGGAGGATTCAACTTTTACTGCATCTATCTGGAGTCCAGATTCTGGACAAAGAAGTGTTTCATTACGGTAATTATCCAGATAGTTCAGACAAATCTTTTATGAGGCAGGGAGAGTGTAAGGTTGGCATGGTTTCCTGCTTGGATTATTTAGATGATCTGTCTTTGTTGATAAAATTATTTGAAGAAATTGTGCAAGCCTACACTTGACTTCTTTTAGAAAATCATCTTTGTATGGGCCTCTAATCTACTTGGGTCAACCTGGTTATGAAATTTCAAATAGGATATCATTAACAAAGAATATTTCAAATCAATCTGGAAATTAGTGATTCAAAGGGGAAAAATCAGATGGTCTGATTTAAGTAGCCCCTGAATCATTAAATTGTCCCCTTCACTACATTCAAGAATTTGTTTCTGCTAATTAGCAACTTTTTCTTCAGAGATATTGGAGATATTTCTGCTCCCTATCAGGTTAAGAAAACCTTTGATATTTATTTTGAAGAACTCACTTGACATAAGTTAATACCTAAATTAACTAAGATTGCGTTATCAGGTTTTTAAATTTCCTGTCATAATATACTTCTCAAATCATTTAAGATTTCATTTAAGATTCTCCCATCCCATCAAAAATTCCACACACTTTTCACCTGCAAAATGAACACAGAACATTTTCTGAGACATGCCTAAAATATTAATTTCTACTTGTTTAAAAAGTAACAACTTATCAGATAGGTAAATAAGACAGAGTGTGAAATAATCTTAAGAAAATACACTTTTTTCTTTTTGCAGAAAATTGAACTCTCTAAATGTCCTTTGAGAATGCACAGGCAATAAGTCTGAGAAATTCCTTATGTATATGGTTCCTTTCCAAGTTACACAGGTACTTAATTAAAATCCTATAATGATACATCATGCACAATCTATTTTCATATTATAACATCAGTCACATTTTATAATTTCTTTTGTTAATCTGAAACCTAAAACTTCTTATATTAACACTGCAAATTCAAGACAATCCCTAAAATGATATAAGACATTCATGAAAAGAGGCCTGTTTGAGTTTTAAACAAATAAAGAGGAAGTCTGGCAACTTACAGAATAAGCCAGCTTAGGTTTTAAGATAGCATGTGCTGCTTATAGAGGAATGATGCTAGGAAATGAATAAAGTGAGAACAAAGATGCATGTTATGTATGCATGACTTTTTTTTCCCACAAGGTGGTGATTAAACTAAATAGAATTCTGCATAATGGACACATAAAATATCAATAAGTGCCAAGCACAGATAACCCCTATTAAAAATAAAGCAAATGAACATAGGCATAGATGACATTTTAATTACCAAAGAACTTCAAAAGCATCCAAGGAAAGTATTGGGTGTGTGTGTGTGTGTTTGGGAGGTGGGGGGACGTTAATGTTGAAGTCTACAGAATAAATGACACATACGATCTCATTTTCATGGAAACAATAACTACCCAAACACAAAGCCAATGAGCAAAAACCATTTGCCAACCAACCTATTCCTGTGCAACTCAGTCTACAGAAGTAGTCTGTTTAAAGATAATTTTAAAAGGTCAAGTTTTAAGAAGCCAGATATAGTGCTTACATTGAATTCCCAACAACTTTCCTCACACATCAAGCCACAGTCCTTAGCTTCACCTATTTTACTATTACATATACATGTCCATGTTTTAACCCATGGACAAGTTAATGTGAATACTCTCGTTTTCCTCCCTCAACACACACAAAAAATTTCATTTTGGAAATACTCAGAAGTTCTTGCAAGAAATTCCCTGTAGAACTGACTTCTCACATCTTGCATCAGAATAGAAAAGCACAGTTACCTTCTCATGTACTTGAGATTTTCTTTCTCCATCAAATTCATATCTAGGACATTTGGCACATGTCTGGGACAATGACAGGCTCATTCTACTTTATGAGATTATTTAACATATGACTTGAAAGAGTTTATGTACATACCTATTCTTTCTGGGCAAGGAGAAAGCATGCTTAAAAAGATAAGCTTTAACAACAGTAACACTTTCAAACTGACTTTGGAATTCTTGGCAGTTACACACCACTCATTGCTATCCAAAGCATACACCACACACACACAAACACACACACACACACACACACACACACACACACACACACACGACAGTTCTCTCTCTCTCTCTCTCTCTCTGCCAAGCACAGACCTGGGAGATAGGCATAAACTGGTAGGAAGCAAAGGAAAAGTCAGTCTCCCTCCACCTGCTGCCTAAAGTGGGGGTGCTTTGGGCTGACTGGCAGACAGAAGCCTGGGACACAGCCTCAGCAGTAGACTGCCAATATCCTTAAGAAAAATAAACAAACACATACCAACTTGCCCCCACCCCCCACCCCAAGAACTCACATGGCAGGGCTCAAAAGAACAACAGCCCAATTCCCATTAGCCCAGACAATCCTATTAACCAGGACAACCATAAATTCATAAACCTCTCCAACCCTCGAGCAAGCATTGTGGTCTAGAGCTGTACAGACACACACAGACACAGAGGAAATTTGCACCTGTCTTTCTTGACACAACACACCTGTCAGGCCCTGCCCATGCGCACTCTGCTAATAGATTTCTGCCTACCTAGGTTAGGAAAGGAAATGAGTTCTTTTTTTTTTCTTTTCTTTCTTTTTTTTTTTTTTTTTAAATAAGGGAGGGCATGAGTGGAAAAGAGAACAGGAGAAGGGAGTCTTCTAGCCTTGACTTTGCGAGGAGGCCACCCTGTGCTTCCTCTGTTTTTATAAGCTCAAGGAGACAGCACAGATCTTCTCGGAAAAATAAAAACAAGCAGGTGAGTTTCCAGCCTTCCCCCAGGCAGAGTAGCCTTCTGGGTTGCCAAGAACAGCAGTTTCACACTCCAACCTGCCTCCTTGAGCTATTTAAGACTAAGCACCACCCCTCCTTCTAGTTCTGTTCTCTGTCTGCCTGGAGGGCTCTCAATTTCCCAAGAAGCTGGGAAGGGGCCAGAGACCTGGGAGTCTGTGGAAAGCTACTTACTCCTCCTTTACCATCCCCACGCTCCATCACTCCACCAACCTTCAGCTTCAGCAGGGGGAGTAACGGGCTGGCACACCAGAAGAATCAACAACTTGCTAAACTGGACTTTGGGTGATGTCTCCCCCCGCCCACTGCGTCCCCCTCCTGATCTGCTCAGGCAAGATAGCAGCTCTTCCCTCCCTCTTCCCGCCCTCCTCACTAGTCTTCCCAGTAACAATTACTCTCACCTCTCCTGTCCTCCCTCCCCAGTCCTCCTAACTGGGGCAAAACGGTAGGTACCACCCAGACGAGACCAGACCGAAGCTGCCCAACACCATAGTCTGCCAGCGATGGCTGGGAGATTCATCGCCTCCCATTTCTGCTGCCCAAGAACCCCCTACTCTTACCCGGCCCGCGATCCTCCGGTCCTCCTCGTGCTGGTGTCCCAATCCCACCGCCACGCGACCCCCCGAGCCTCCCGGTGCCGCCTTACCCTACTCAACTTGACCCAGCCCTGGGTCCAGGAGCTCGGAAGAGGGGCGCCGCGCGCGTTTCCCGGGACCCATCACCGCTCCCCTCCAAGCCGGATTTCCACAATTCGGCTTCGACAGCGTTTTGAGACGAAAGTAACAGAGCGCCCCCCCACCTCCCTCTCTCCTCCTCCCAGTTCCCGGTCCTCTGCTGGGGTTAAAAAAGGAGAAGTGAAAGGTATGCAAATGACAAGCAAATTGGAAGAGCCGGGAAGAAAGGCAGCTATAATAAACAAGACAAAGAGAAAGGACAAGGGGACCGGCCCCGGAGTTTTAGCCTGGGGAGATCGGAAGGATGGGGTTTGGCGGAAAGCGGGGATCTCCACGAACAAAAAAGCGACCCGGTCCCTCTCGCGGTCCTCTCTCCTGAGAAGAGAGAGCAGGAGAAAGAAGGAAAGGGAGCAAACGCCTCCTCACACCCCAGAAACAGTACACAAAAGGTGACAAGATCAGCGACAAGTCCAGCAACATCAGCCTCCCCCCCATCGCCACCGCCACCCCCAGCCACCAGCAGGAAAGAGAAAGAAATAAAAGCCAAGAGGATCACTTACTCTTAGGAACTGGGAGGAGCGGAGCGCTGAGTTCCACGGAGGCTCCCGCTTAGAAACTGTTTAGAGGCTATTTTATTATGATTCATTTGAATAACACCATTTTCTCCTGGGGGGAATAATGTTTACACGGGTCTGAGTAATGGGAGGCTCTTTTCTTCCTTTCTCATTCAAGAACAAGACAGTGCAAGTGATTCTGGAAAAGGGGAGGGACTCACGAGGGGAAGAAGAAGATACTTACGCGGTGCAGGGAGCAGTGGGACCGAGCCTCTCTCTCTCTCTCTCTCTCTCTCTCTCTATCTCTCTCTCTCTCTTTTTTTTCCCCCGGCAGAGAGAGGAAAACACGCGAGTGCACACACGGTGATATCTTGCGGGTGATGAATATGATAATTGGACAAGGGACGGTGAGTCTGTGCGACAGCGAGCGAGCGAGCGGGGCGAGTGGGAGAGGGAGAGGGGAGAGAGAGGCGGGAGGGGAGGGGAGACGAGAGAAGAGGAGCAGGGGAGAGGCGAGGAGAGGGAAGAAGAGGAGAAGAAAAGAAGAGGAGCTAAGGGAAGAGGAGAGAGCAGGAGAGGAGGAGAGAGAAGAGCGGGAGGAGAGGAGAGAGCAGCAGAGGAGGAGAGAGGAGAAGGGTAAAGAAGAGAAGAGGAGCGAAGCGGAGAGGGAGCAGGCGGACCCGGCGAGAGCTCTTTTGCGCCGCTCTGCTTTCCCCGGCTGCAATGGTGTATTATTTCAGAGCGCTCCCTCAGCTGAGGGCTCCGCTCCACAACAAGATTTACTTTAAGACACAGCTGAAGGAAACAGGAAGACTGCACGTCACAGTCTATCTGACGTACCCGGCCCCAGCACCCAATCGCGAGGCGCCTTCGGATTCAAGGGGGGATAGCAAGGCAAGAGAACTTGGGAGGAAAAAAAAATATAAAAGGGGTGGGGGTGAGGGGCTGGGAAGAGAGGAGGGGAGAGGGGCCCTGCGCTCCCCCTCCCCGGCCTCCATCCCCGGCCCCCACCCCCACCCCCACCCTGCCACAGCTTCGGGACGACTGGATCGCCGCGCCTGGGCCGGAGCGAGCCATCTGCGGGCACTATGCAAAGCGGGAGACGGCGCGAGCGGCGCCCGGCTCACACTAGCTCTTCCAGGACGCAGGTCTTTTTTTTTTTTTTTCTTTTTCTTTTTTCATTTCCCAGATACAGCTGATCGAGTTCGCCGAGTGGCCGAGCGAGTGAGCGCTCCTCCGACTTGGGTGGAGGAAGGCACGGAAAAGTATACGGGAGAAAAAGTGGGGGTTTTAGGGGTGGGGGTGGCATAGGAGGAGGGAGGGGGGGATCTGCAAATCATTCCACTTTTTAAACGATCATAGGTAGTGTCAAGGATACGTGTCACCCTTGGTTCCTTTTAAAGGGGAGGTGGACAATAAAATACAGGTAGGTTTGGTATTAAAATAATAGGTGCCAGAGGTTTCACATCGGGTCCGCTGCATCTGTTATTAGACGAAGATCAACATTGGCTGAGTCCCAGTTTATCTCCAGTCCAAATTATCAGGAAGAGGAATATTTACCCTTGGTTACCTCTGACATTAGTTGGATTGTAGGTAAAGCAGCCTTTAAAAATATATATGTTGCAAACATCTGGCGATTACCCTTCACTAATTCACTCGCCCCAGAAAGACCAAAGATAGCTGTTCAATACAGGATTTACACAGTTTTGACGCCTGGGCAACAAACTTTAAAGTTTATTAGGCAAGAAATTTCAAACGCATAAATCGCAGGCTCTAAAATAAAGCCCTAGAAAATTTACTTTGGTTTGACATTTCTTGCTTGAAAAATAACCAGCAAAATTTCTTTAGATAATGTGGCTCTTAAAGATCTCCTTGGGCTTTGCAAGTTACAAATGCAAGCGAGCCTCAGCCGCAGCTAGAACGTCCCTTTCACCGGGCACAGTAAACGGCTTTTAATAAAGCAGCCGCGTTTATGACCTAAAGATCCTATAAAAGCTGGGACTTGCAAGAGCTGCGAAGCAGAAACATTCATACATAGTCTATTAGACACTCATTTTTGTAAGTAGGAGGAGGACAAGTAGTCTTCGTGTGTCCCTCAAATTTAATCAGATCAAAGGTTGAATCATGCTGTGTCGTGACAACAGGGTATTTATGAGGTGTGTTACAAGTACACTGGCCAAACACTACCAATGTCTTCTGCGACACACACACACACACACTCCTTCCTAGGGAATTTACAATTTCAGCCTCAAATTCACCAAACCGTAAAGAGGATATTAAGCCCTCCCTTTGAATAAGAATAGCGATGTTAGTATGTCCGAGTCTATCCCGGCAGGAAACTTTTGGCACGAATTTCAAACAGTGAAAAGGAGAAAAAAAATTAGGTCGGTCAGGTTAGGTGTCGGCGATAAGAAAAGAGATTGCGGGAGCATCCCCAGCCTTCTTCTTTCCCCTTTTGCCGCCCCCACACACTCCCCCCACGCGTCTATCACGGAAGCAACACAGAGGAGCGCACACGCACCACTCACACCTCCAACTATTGACTGTTGTATCAGGTGTTCTAACCGGGATGTGACAGTTGAGGCTGGGAGCAGAAATAATCAACATGCCCATTAGATACAGGACGGAATAATGCTTCTATTGGTTGGGTCCCTTCGAGGTAAGCGGGTGTATTGAGCGGGGAAACTTGGGATCTGAGAATGGATCAAAGCTACTTTCTTTCTTATTTTTCGTCCTACTAGTTTTCTTTAAGAATCTTGGTTTGTACATATAAGTTAGCGCCAGCCCACAAATAAACTGGTAGGAGTAAGGGCTATATACCTTTCCACACCTTAAAACCATCTGCTCAGTTTGACATTTAAAAGGGCGGAGAGCAGAGAAGGAGGAGGGGGGAGTAGGGGGAAGAAAGGAGTCAGGGACAGAGAAAAAGATTCAAACGCGAAAAAAATGGCTTGCACTTTAGCCCACAAGTTTGTGTCAATTGCACATAGCGCTTGAATGCACGTTTTGCACACACCACGCCCGGGAACTGGCGGCGGGAAAAGTTCCCTGAGAACCCCAGTAAGTCCTGTGTCACGCCGTGGGCAAAAGCAGGCCTGAGTCGAAGTCGGGGTAACCCGCTTGCCGAACAAGGAAGCTCTCCCACCCCCAGCCTCGGCGGCAGAGGCTCCCGGCTCGCGACGCTCTGCCGCGGCGGTTCGCAGCCCGCATTAGGGCGCAGGAGCGGCGACTTGAAATAGGAGCGCGCGCCACGCTAGGCGAGCGAGATCGGTTCGCAGCCCAGCTCCGTGAGCTGCCTCGGCGCAGCCCTGTCCCGTGTCCTGTCCTCTACTGTCGGGGAGGCGTACAGGCCAGGCTCCTGGCAACCTCTCTTGCTAGAGCTGCGGCATTCTCCTGGGTCTCGGGCTGCCCTGGACAAGACTTGAGGCCCGAGCCCCCTATCTCGGGCGACTCCCGCTTTGTTTTCTGATAGGGGAGAAGCCTGGAGACAAGGAGTCGCCTAGATATTGGCTCCATCTCTGAAACCAGCCGCCAAGCCTAGGGTTAAGACAACTCCTCCCTCCGCCCCACTTCCAACACAACCCCAGTAACTTAGAAGTTAACGCAAGTTCTGACCGGTCTTGTAACACACTCTATCCGTGCAGGTTGCATTTACTTATTTATCTGAAGGGTGATCTGTGTGTTCTTAGACAAACTCGCAGTTATCACCCATGCATCTGGTTCTGGGTTAAATACACTTCGCCTTGACATTTGCTCGGTGTATGCTCACGCCTCCTGTTCTTTCTTAAAGCTGTTAGGTGGGGGCAGGAGGGAAGACAGTGTGTATAAGTAATTTAAAACCTTACAAACAACTGTTATCAGATCCTAAACAAACCAATTCTGAGAATTACAACCAGATTCAGTTGAGAGGCAAAAGTGGACGTGGATTTTGGAAAAGGGTGCCTAAGGACTTCCAGGTCAGCCACCCACCGCTACCACCACCACCACCGCCACCACTACCACCATCACTATCAGCACCCTGAAGAAGGGAAGAGAGGAAAACCAACCCCAGGGTGCAGGCCTGCCTGCTGCAAGCTTTCTAGAGGCAAAACTGACTGACGGCCTCTCACTCTCATCTCCTGTGCTCAGTGTGACGCCAAGCCCAACCTGGATTTGTTCTGAATGGGGGGGAAGTGAAATGCCACAAGATCAGTAGCAAGTAGCAGCTGCAGCGTTTTCTCTCCTGGGAACCCCACTGCTTAGAAGCCTCCTGAGTGATGTTTGTTTAACCAACAGCTTTCAAAGTAAACAGAAGCCAATCACTCCAAAGAAGTTGAAATATAACCCTTACAAGAATTTGGATCCAGGGGTGCTGGCAGAAAGAAAGTAATTTTTAAAATGATAAAGAACCCACTCCCAAATAAGAGTCTGCCACATTGCTTTAAGGAGCGCAGAATTGTCATGAAAATATAATTTCATCGAAAGGGCTAATTACAATAAGTTGACCTCGAAGAAAATCACTCTTCGCCCACAAAGACACACCCGCGGGGATGAGGAGGTTGTCAGTGATTGAAGGGACACACTACTACTTGATTTTATGGAAGTGGGCGAAAACAATCAAAGGGAAGTACATTCCCTGCCCTGGAGTAGTGAAGTGTAGGCTGGGAGCTCTTCGCCGCCAACCCTGGCTTTGCCTCAGGCACCGAACTTTCCAATACCAAGATATTAACAGATGGTGGTGAGCACATGGAGGGCTGCTACTTACATAATCTAGCCACTCCGCCCGGCTGCCCAGAGCCCGGCGAGGAACCGGCCAGGCCGCGCGCGCGCCTTCCGAGGGGTGCTCCCTGACATAACTTGCCTTTCTCCAACCCCACCCATCGTTTTGAGGGTTAGCATTTGGAGAGGCCGTGATTTAAAAAAACCAAACAAAAACAAAAACACCCAAAACATTGATTTGGCTGTGCTTTGTCTTCTTCAGTCCATAGTAGCGAAGAAGCTGGAAACCCAAAGGCTGAGAGAAACGGAGGGGATGCCTTCGGCGAGAAAGGGGTGCTCTCCCTACGTATCTGGGGGTTCCCGCGAGTGGAATTTACACAATTTACAACACTCTTGCCCACCATCTTTGGTTCAAATCCACATATCTTTTGCTGTCGCTTAAGTACAAAGGCAGTCTCGGGCCGCAACTCAAGGGGAGTGAGATGGGGTGAGGGTGTGAGTGTGAAGGGGACACCTTTGCACGCGGGGGCGCAGTGGGCAAAGTTACGCAAAGCCTCTGGGCACCGCTACACTTCCAAGCTGTGGCAGGGTTTTAAGCGCTCGATCCCGCTCGCAGGGAGTCCCTTTCGGATGTGTGGCCGCCTGCTGCCTTCACGCCCTCAGCCGCCTCCCAAGAGGCCCTGTCCCTCCTGGTGTGCCTGTGTACCTCCTCCAGTGTGCCAGGGCACGTGTGCTTCCCGAGCCTCCTCCCTGACTGCGACTCGGGACCGCCGAATCCTGCGAGGAATACGCCTGCGTGTGTTGGAAAAGTTTCGGGTTGGGCAGGAAGGCTGGGAATCTCCTCTCCAGGCACTCGGCAGGAGCGGGGCTTCCTCGCCCGCGGCTTCCTCCCAGTGCCCTCCTCCCTCCCCGGCCCGCCCTTCCTAGCCTCGGCCCCGCGCTAGGTGTCGCGGCCTCTCCGGCCAGAGAGAGCGAGCGCCAGATGCTGCGGCTGCCGCGGCGCCGCGCTCCGCAGAGGGCGCGCCCCTCCTGCCTGCGCGGCCAAGTGGGGGTCCAGGCCGCCCTGCTGGTCCCTCCTCGCTCTGGCCCCGCGGCACTTGCCTCTTCCCGGGCCATCGCAGGGGCTGCAGCCTCGCTCAGCTAGCCTGGGCTCAGTACACGCCCTGGACGCAGAGGGCAACCACCTGCTCCCGGCGCGCCGCAGAGCCGGGGAACGTCGTGGTGGCCGGGGGATTTCGGCCGCCGCCAGGCCTGCGCTGCCCCCGCGGCCTCTCCTCCCCCGCCGCCCGCCTGTTGCTGTGGGGACAGCCGGTGGACGCGCTCGACCTGGGAGGGGGGACTCCCTCCCGGGACCGCGGGAGGGGCGTGCACGTTTGAAGGGATGGAAATCTCCCTTTCTGCCCACCCCCTTTCTTTTGTCAATTACTCTAAGGATGTTTGGCCGTTACTCCCAGCTTCCCTCTCTTTGGTCTTTCACGTCAAGGATGTGAATTCGGGGGTGCTCCATTTTCAGGGGCTTTGGTGATAGGACTGAAGTTTTCCATATTGTCCATCTTACCAGAAGCTTTTATTCAGGGTGAGGAGTGGGCTAGAAATAAGTAGGTGCCTGCCTGACGCAGCGAAAAGAGAAGGACGCTCCCAGTTTGGATGCATTTGGAGAGAGTAACTGGAAAGTTGCATTTTGTTTAAATTAGAGCAAGATGAAGTTGAAAGCCAGATTTCTATATTTTTTCTGGTAATATTTCTTTTATGAAGTATCTAAGTGTCTGTTTGTCATCATTTTGAGATCAAAAGGAAAATCCATATGCTGTATAGTTTTTCGAAATTGCTATTTAAATATGTTTTAAATGTTTTGTCCAACGTGGAGTAGGCTGCTTGGAGGCAAGGCTGGTGACAGGAATAGCGGGATGGTTTGATGTGGAGTGGTGCTTCCGAAGACCTGACGAATCATCGGAATCACCGAAGGGGTGTTTTGTTGTTGTTGTTGTTGTTGTTGTTGTTGTTTTAAATAAAGATTTCTGGGCCCACCCCAGTGAGGTAATCAGAAGAAGGACCTGGGAATCTGGGGGTCACCCTGTGTCTTTAATTACTGCTCAGCTGGTTTGTTACTGACTCTGTGACCTTCAGTGTGTTACTTAATCTGTTTGAGACTCAGTTCTTTTTATCTGTGAAGTGGGGATAATATCCAAATCATAGATTTATTGAGAGACTTCTACACGACTAAACTTGTTCAGCACATGACTAGTGCTCAATACTTGGAAGGTATGTTGCCCACAAATGAGTGCTGTGTACACTCGAGCTGACATGTATTCTTATAAGGACCTGTCCCTATCCCCAACGTTTTGGTGAAGCCAGCTGGACTGTCATGGGATATGTATGTGTATGCACATTTTAGCTCATGCATAGTTGTCACCTTTACATGCTTTCCCCTCCCCCGTCTTTTAGGCCATAAAATAAATCAGAATTGGCACATTTGGAAGCTAGGCCCTGTGCTTTTGGACCTAGAACTGTCCATCAGGCCTACTGGCAAAGGGGGGAATTTACCAATCTGAAGTCTACTTCCTCCTCCACCCCACCCCCACCTTTTTTTGGCCCGTTCACCCTCCCTGTTTTATAGATGGCAAGCATCTCCTAAAGAAACCGCTGGTCAGACCAATGAAACCACAGGACAAAGAGTTCTCTTCAAAAGGGAACAACAAGAAGGAGAGAAAAAAAAAAAAGACAACATTCCTAGGTAAAACAAAAGCAAATGTAGATCATATGTTATATGTTTTTACATGTTTGACTCAATAACCTCCCCCAAATCCATGTAAATTAAAATATAAACTTTCATAAAGTTATGTTCAAACCAATGAATAGAAGCATACCCCAAGGTGATTAGGGGACAGACAGCCAAGGACAGCTGTGAGAAGGGAAAGGAAGCTGGGCAGGAAGGTGCCATGCTCGGCTGTGACTGCAGAAGTGGGGGGAAGAAAGCCAAGGAAATGGAACGGGCTGAAGCAGCAGACAACAGCTCAAGAGGGCTGACAGTTTTTCAACTGCAGAGGCCTGTGAGCAGCTTATTAAACATCCCGAGAAAGGTGTTTTGCTGGTACCCTCAAAAGGCTTGAGATAAAGTAATCGTAGATTCCCGGGGGCGGGGGGAGTAAAGAAGGGATTGCCAGCGTGGGGTGTCGGTGGGCCCAGCCCCTAGTGAATGGACCCCAGGGGTCGGGGTGAAGGCACTGCACTCTCTGAATGAGGGAAAGAGGAAGCATCACCCCTAGATGCCTGTCCTCCTGGTGTCCGTGGTCTTTGGGCAAGCGTGGAAGGTTCCTGCTCTCTGGCTACTTTCTCTGTCCCTGTTTCCTAGGTGGAAAAAGTCCGTAACTTTAGGGGACAAAAACAAAGGGCGCCCCCCAAAAACTAGAGAGAAACATATTTGGGGTCAAACTGTACAAAAATGGATGGCAACTTCTGGCTTCTCCTCCCCAAGCACCCTCCTAGTGGAAAGAGCTCTATTCCCTACACTTGTAGGTGGACAGGGGGCAAAGGCCGAGAGGCAAAGGGTGTTGGTGGGTGAGTTGGGGGAGAACGGGATGGGGAGGGCTGGGGGAAGTGTGTCTGCAGAGTGTGAATGGGCGGGACAGGGGTAGTGTGTAGCTGTGTGTGTGTGGGAGGGGCAAGGGAGTGGAGTTGGGGGAGCGAGTGTGGGTGGGCTCTGTCGGGGGAACTTCGAACTGGGGGCGCGGGGGAGGTGGGTGGAGGGGAGTTGGGTGGGCGAAGAGCGCCAGTTTCCCCGGAGGAGGCCCGGGAAACAGGCGGGGAGGGGGCGTGTGGAAGCGTCGTTTGAAGGGCGGAGGGGCAGGCCGGAGAAAAGGCCAGGCGGGAGGCTAAATCTGGCAGGGGCTCCAGCCCGGCGAAGGCCGACGCGTCTCGGCTTCCTCTCGCCTAGACTTTTGAAGCGGCTGGCTCGCTAATCCCGGGTTGGCTGAAAGACTTGGACCCGCAGCCTCGGGGGCCCTGCGTCCCGGACTATCTCCCGGGGGGCGCTATGGGTAGGGAAGCGGGGCTGCCTTGACTCTCAGTGCGGGTCCCCGGCGCCCTCTCAGCCTACTGGGGGTGCGGGCTGCGCCTCGGTGTGTGCCCCCCTTCAGCGCCTCGACAGCGCCCCTCACGCTAGCTTCCTACTTCCTCCCAGCTCCATCTTCCTCCGTCCCCTCCCTAGGCCCTGCTGCTCCTTTCACTCCTCTGGGTCCCTGTTCCCTGCCCCACCGTCCTTTTCCCACCACCATCAGGCGAGTTCATCCCCTTCTCTCTCCATTGCTAATCTTCTGATGGCGGTGCTGGGGAGAGCGGGAGGGGGTGCTTAACCCAAAGTGGACTCAAAGAAAACAGAATAATTCAATTCATCGGATAATTACTGTTTGCAAGACACTGCTAAGCACGACAGTTGGTGACCCTTTGAGGGAGCAGAGTGGACCGAAGGATTTTGGTTCTGACCCAATATGGGCAGTTATGATCGGTGTTTGATTTAGGCAGATCTCGGAAACCTCAATTAGAAACTCTAGTCTAGAAGGATCTGGACGAGGGGCAAAAGTGTCAACACCTTCTTCTCTCCTATTCCAAAGTGATCTTTCCGTGGGAATGCGGCAAGGAGTCAGCAGGCATAGTGAAAATGGGCGGCGATGGATACTCCCAGCACTTGCTGAGCACTGCTACGCCTCAGGACTGGGACAGGTGCTTTACACCCCAAAATTCCCGTTTCTTGATTCCAAAATGTCGTAGATTATAAGACACACCATTTAAAGATGGCCTTTAGGAGAAAAGGAAAATACGAGGATCTTAAATGCACAATGGATTGTGAGACACTGATTTTAGGAACATAAGATATGAGAAAAAGTGAATCTTAGAAGTGAGGAAATAAAGTATAGTATGCGTAATTCTCCCAACAGCCAAGAGATGAATTATCGCCATGTTTGAATGAGGGAACTGAGACTGGGGAAGGCTTCACCACTTGCTCAAGGCCGCAAGGCCAGTAAGTGGCACAGCCAGAATTGGAATCCGGGTCTGCCTGTAGTCTGAGCTAGAGCAATTTCGCTTAGGGCAGTAGCTTCTGCAGGGATTGGGCTGTGTCAGCCCTTTTCCATAACCCTGTTTTTGTCTTGACCCTTTTACCATCAACACCTGCCCCCACACCCCAAGCTATGGCTATTGGGGGGAAGATAGGAAATAAATTACATTTTTCACATTCAAAATAAAGTATTTAAAGGGTAAAAATCATGTATGCCAGGTTTACTGTGCACCACAGGAAGTCGATGAATTCAAGGATCCCTGTATTGCTGAAAATAGAATTGTAAAAAATAAAAGGGGTGGGGGGAGAAAGTGAACGAAACTAATCCTATTAAACGTGGTAGCATGTTTTTGTGGCACGCAGGGAGAGATTAAGCACAGGAAAGGGGATAAGTACTGCTTCAGTTTCACTAAACTAATGTGACAACTTGTCATTGGAGATCTTTACAGCTTGTTAGTAGATGACTAGCTGATTCAGAAGTGTTTTCTATCATTCCCTTTGTGTCCCCATGAGTTTTTGTAAAAAAATTTTCTTTCTTTTCCTGTTTCTTTCTTACTCATGCTGCTCTATTTTGCTTTATAATCCTCAGTGTCTCCTTCAAGTCAAAACATTTAGCTGGCTCTAATCAAGATTTGGTTTTGAAAATGCCCCTTGACCTGGGGTAGCCCAGAGAAGCCCTTGTTCTTCATACTCAGCCCCGGAACGGTCCTGTGGCTTGAGAAACTGAGCTTCTGGGAGAAAAGCTCCCTTTTTGGATTTCACTTTTCTGCCGTCCTTCTCCTTTGCCCTCCTCCCTTTTCTTTATTTTTTGTTCTATCCTTTTATTCTTTTCTTTTTGCCTTTAATTTCTATTCCTCTATTCTCTTTTCCCCTTTCTTTATTTTTCTCTCCAATTTTCCTCTTCTCACTTACTTTCCTTCCATCTTCTCTTCCTTAGAATTCCTTTCTCTTCTTTCATGCATTCCAATAACTGTTTTCCCTTTTCTTCAGATAAGACAGTTACATTCATAGAGAAAAGCTATGAATTTTTGATGGTTTCTAAGTTGAAGTAGCTCCCAGTGAAGGGGGCAGTGGTGAGGGGAGGGGCAGGGAGCCCATCACAGACCCGCAGGGAACAAAAGGCTGATCAAAGTGAAGAGGAAGCCAGAAGTCTAGGCTTGGTCACTGTCTTTCCAAAGCAGGTGTCTAGCTTGTTTGGAAACCTGGCTGACCGTCCCGCTCTTTTGCTTTGGCATCACTCTCTCCCACTTTCCCCCTCCCCCGCTGCAACTTTCCTCACTGGCTTACCACCAGGCGAGATGTTGAGTCAATGGAAAAACAACATTCGCCAACATTAAAGGGAGACTGTTTAGAAAAGGAAGGCCCTGCTGAGGTGCAGAGGAAGCCTGTGCATTAACACGGGCCACCTCTTATCTGGGGCAGCTGGGCCTGAGCTGCCTGTACTCATTCCCTGGCTTTGCCAAGGGGCCTTGGGGAGTGCGGGGTGGATTCTCACCCACGGGCATCACCAGACCTTTTAGAGACAAAAAGCAAGTGCTTTTTTTTTTTTTTCTCCCAGGGACTTAACTGGAAAACCTTTACACATAAACACTGTTTTGCAAAAGGCACATTTCTCTAAGCCTCTGTCTCTGGACACTTGTCACGTGGACCTGGCCCCTCTCATTTTCGGTGCTCTTGAGGACTCCCACGCCTTGTAAGGACTGGCCATTCTGTCCTGAATGTGAATTATGGGGAGGGGCAAGCTAAAGTGACCCAAAGGAAAAGAAGAAAAAGGCATGTGTGTAGGTTCACCCTGGCTCTAAATTGCTTACCGTTAAGTCTTGAGCCAGCTCCTGACGGAAAGATAAGGTAAATCCCTAATCAGTCAATAATTAACCATAGCTCCATTAACGATCCAGTCAGCCAAATCCTGCTGACACCTTTAGAACCCTGCTTTGGTGGGAAGGATTAGGCAGAATCTTTCAACAGAAAGGCCCATCTATTCAGACTGCCATAGACCCCACTCATGGGTCATCACAAAAGGAGTAAAGTTATGCCTGTGTCTGCCAGTGAAGTCCTTTCTGGGGTTAACTCTGTAGGATAACTTCTGGAAATTTCACTTTTGGAAATCTCAGCGTGTGTGTCTGTGTGTGTGTGTGTGTGTGTGTGTGTGTATACACAGAACAGCTTGGAGATCCAATCTGGTTCCAGGTTGGTTTGAATCAAATCCCAGATGTGCTCTGATTGTTGTTACATTATTCTTCTGAGAGGATCATATTTTCTCTCCCTTGACCATGTTAGTTTGTAGTTTATTCCCAGCATCTCTAAATATTCTGGTTCCTTGTTTCTCAATGTTAGTTCTTCTTCGATTCGTGATAAAAGGAGAAGTGCTTTTGAAATGATAAACAACCGCACATTCCTATCAAAGCATGAAAATTATTTTTGAATTTCAAATAAGTAGAAAATTAAAAGACTAATAAATATTTGATTTTGGTACTTCTGGTGGATCTTTTTTCTTTTCCTTTTCTTTCTTTTTTTTTTTTTTTAACTTCTTACAGAAGCACATGTTTACGAAGGTGGGCTTAGATCTTTTTTTTTTTTTAATTTAAATTGTGGGCTTTTGGTTTGCTTTGCTTTGTTGTTCTAGACAGCATTTAGTATGTTACCAGATGCATGTAGTTATAGATATTATACCATTAGATGAGAAAAATCTGTATAATCAGTGTGGTTTAAGTGTTTCCTAAGGTCAAGTTGTAGGTCATGACCCTATGACAATCAATGAACTTTGCTCCTAATCTTATGTTTAAATCACTTGAAAAAGACATTCTTTTAGAAAGAGAAATAGAGTACAAGAGTGTGGTATGATATGAATCCATCTCTATCCCAGGACTAAAGAACAAAGATCGTTTGGCTGTGGGGGCACTCTTCCTGCATGTGGAAGATGGTTCATTCAGCTATACTTCTGTTGGTTCCACATCTCAGCCTCTGTAATCACCAACACACTGTTGTTCTCCTCTCCTCATAGAACCCAGTAGTCTGGGTGTTCAATTAATCTTTGGCTGCTTCGGGGAGTTGCCAATGAGTGGAAATTCTGCCAATGATCTGTGACACCCTTTTCAACAAACATTAATTGAATGACATTTCTTTTTTCCCCAAATCATCCATCTGTCCTTTCTTATGCAACTTTTGAGTTTCAAAGGGTAGAAGGCAAGATTTCTTTTGGTCACACATGTGGCCTAAGAAGACAGTCTATGTATTGAACACTATAATCTACTGTAGACTTGTAAATAAATCTAAATATTCACCAGTCTGAACCAACATGCTAAATATAAAATGAATTCATTCAGCCTTCTTTTCCATCTGCCCATGAAAACATCTTGCTTTTGTGAAGGCCTTTGGAAAATGTAAGATCCAAGGCTTCTGTATGCTTTTTAATTGTTTAGGGGCACAAATGGGAGTGGAAAAGTAAGGTGAAGGCAGGAAGAACATTTTCAAAATTCATAGGTTAAAAAATATAAGATCCAGTTTTTTTTAGTTTATACATAATTTTTAAAATTGTCTTAAAGTACCAAAAAGCATCTCACTTATAATAGTGCTGTTTAGTAAAGCAGAGAACATACATCAAGTTGTCTTTGAAGTCCCATTGCTTGGATATTAAAAAGAAATTTAAAAAAATTGAACTGGTATCTATTTTTCAGTAGGTCAAAAGGCATGTATAATTACACTCATGATTTTTGAGTATCATGCTAATGAGGCTAGGAAAATGTAGACCTTGACATTGCCTTGTTTAGTTACATTCACTATGAAAAAAAGAATATTGTTTACCCCTCAGGAGTTTTCTTAAGGAAAAGAAAAATCAATCTCTATCAATGAGCAATATTTTTCTCCCCAAGGGATATTGATCTGAACATTGACTTCACAATGGGTGAGTTATTTTCCTCAGACTCCCTACTATGAATTGTTAGGTGACATGTCTTTTGTGAGCCAATAAACATGTTGTGTCTAGTGTAGTAATCTCATCTGGGAGATGACAATTTCTGTAGAGTGGTTAGTTTGTAGTATTTCACCTTTTGTATGTCTGTGTTACATATTCCCGAGAAGTATATTTCAAGTTTAAAAAGCATTACCTCTCATATTCTTCTTAGGAGAACAGTTGGCAGTGAACAGTTTCTTTCCTACATGCTCCTCAACTGCATGTCCTCTAGGCTTGTGCATAGACCCATGACTCATGAATAGTCTTATAAATGTCTTCATGATTCCCTTTTCTCCCTTTATGCAATGGTACAATTTGGCATCTTTAATTTTGAAAATAAAACAAATATTCAATTTACCAGATAAACCATTCTTTAAAGGAACACTGTAATGGGTGGAGATAAGGGAAAGGATAAGGACTCTAGAATTCTTGTTAATGGGCATGATCATACTCTATCTGTTGGATTCATGTATAGTATATTTTCTTTGTATATGTAATCTTGTAATGTTTTCGTCTATAATATGTAATCCCAGCACTTTGGGAGGCTGAGGTGGGTGGGTCACTTGAGGCCAGGAGTTCGAGACCAGCCTGGCCAACATGGTAAAACCCTGTCTCTACTAAAAATACAAAAAAATTAGCCTGGCGTAGTGGTGCACACCTATAGTCCCAGCTACTCAGGAGGCTGAAGCAGAAGAATTGCTTGAACTTGGGAGGCAGAGGTTGCAGTGAGCTGAGATCATGCCACTGCACTCCAGCCACTGCACTCCAGCCTGGGCCACAGAGGGAGACTGTCTAAAAAAAAAGTTTTCTTTATTAGTTTTCTTAAAGGGCACATTTAGAGTTTATATTAGATTGCCTTGAGCTGATTTCTTTATTCACTTATTCTTTGAAAAATATTAATTTACACTTCTACCAAGGGCCAAATACTGTACTCAACACTGATGATACCAAGACCCACCAGAGACACTAACAGTGCCAGGAAGAAATTAGGTAGGATGGCTATGGACACACATTGGCACAAAATACTTTAGGAGTCCGGAGGCTTGTCTTCATGGTAGTTTGGTGTATCAGTGAAGCCTTCAAGAAGGAGGTGAACATAAGCAAGTAATTAGTCACACTGGGGGCTTAGGAGAGGAGCAGAAGTGGGTTTATGTCCCTGTTGCAAGGTAAGAGAACTCTTAAGCAAGCCCCTGTACCTCTCTGAGCCTTAGTTTGCTTGTCTTGTCTGTACATGGGGGATAGTAACAATATCTGCCTTATGAGATTGTTGTGAAGATGAAATGAGAATGCATGGAAAGGCCTCAACACTGTGCCTAGCACAAAGCAGGCACTCAGGAAGTGTGTACTAGAAAGGTGGAATAAGGGTGACATTTTAGCTCAATCCCTAAGATTTATTCAACAAATACTTTTTGGGCACCTGGCACGTGTCATGTTCTCCTAGGTCCTGGGCAGGAGACCAACCGTGAGCGTGAAGAGGGATAGAGTGACGGGCAGCTCGTGCAATGGCATGGGGGATATCTGTCCCATGTTTGGGGGGCCTGGGGTGGCCTCTTGCTGCTGGAATTCAGAAAACCAGGAGAGGCCTGGTGGAGGCAGAGGCAGCAAAGTGTCCTGCCACACTAGGAAGGGCCTTTTGTGGCAGTAATGGCCTTCAGGCAGTCAGGAAAGAGACAGTGAGTCAGTTCATCTGTGGTTTCTTGGTTTCCTCTAACTTTTCCATGGGTGTGTATTGCCTTTTGGTAGTGGGCTGGCTAGACTACATTCTCTTCAGGAACAAAGGCTGCCAACTTTTTGTGGTCACCACCCTCCCCACATTGCCTATTATAATCAGGTGCTTCTGGCTGATACTCAATAAATATGGTTAAGTTTTTCTACTTCTGTATGTTCTGAAATATTCCAGCAGCTTCTCATGCCCAATTTCAGAATGCTTACATGAAAATGCTTCCTTTTGTGCTTGGCAGAGAGATTCATGAATTAAGAACTTTGGTCATATCACTGCTTAAAACTCTCCATATTGCTCTTGGAGTAAGTCTACAATTTTGAACGTGTCCTACAAGATTTTGGATAATCTGGCTCTTGTCCATGGCTTCTGCCTCATCTCTTGACTCCCCCTTTCCTCACCATGATTCCACATCACTGGTCTTTTCCCCTTTATTTCAACCCCACAAATACCATTATACATGCTGGTGCCTCTCCTTGAAAGGCCTCCTAACCCCCTCTCTAGACAAGCTCTTCCTCATTATTCAGGGTCCAACTTAAAAGCCATTTGTTCAGGAAAGACCTCCCTCATTTCCTAGGTTAGAAACCCTAATTATACATGCTCATAACTATAGTTTTATTTTATTCTACTTTCTCTAATGGAAATGAATAGTCTCTTTGGACATAAGCCTTATTTATTCAACAGCATTCTTCGAGCTCTTAATGTGGCCTAAATGTTGGGTACACCACACAGGAAGACAGTCAAAGTCCCTGCTTCATGGAACTAGTATTTTAGTAAGTGATGCAATGAATAAAAAACAAATACAGATATGATATGATGTTAGGTAGTGATAAATACTTTGGAGAAAAGCCAAGCTGGGTAAGGGCACAGAGAGGACTGAAGATGAGTTGAGGATGTTCAGAGAGAAGGTTGTTCTGTGTAGAATTCCCATTACCTAGCACGGTGCCCTGTATCTGGAAAGTGCCTGACAAATATTTGCTGAGTGAGAATCACATTGGTGCCAGTAGACCTGAAGGAGTAAAAGAGATGTGAATAGGGCTAACTGGATTATATAATTGTGCTTCTTTCTCCCCAAGTTCCTTAATTACATCTGGGAAAATGTAGTCTGTGCATTAATTCTGTATCTAATATGAATTATCCACCTCGATTCTCTGCTAAAGTTGATTGCATTCACACCTGTCCAGTGGTAATATTGCATATTTTCTTAATTGCCATGGGCAAAATCACAACTGGTTGGTGAATGAAATATTTATGCTTTAAAGAATTGGTGTTCTAATTCCTTTCTATTTATACTGATGATCAATTATTTCTCAGTGAGGAGGAGGCGAATTTTTTCTGTGATCTATGTGCTTCTAAATGACTAATGAAGTCAATCTGGGCCTGGCAGATTTTGCCACCACTTGGACAGACGTAGCAGTCGTGGACGTTGTGTTACTTCTCAGCTTGCTGGTTCCCTGTTCCCTTTGCAATGATCTCATTATTGGCATTTTGTTTTCAAAGTGTTATCGTTCCCATTTTGCATTATGCCTCTGTGTGCTCTGTGTGGAGTGGTGTTTTTTTTTTTTTTTTTTTTTTCAGATGGAGTCTTGTCTTGCTCTGTCACCCAGGCTGGAGTGCAGTGGCATGGTCTTGGCTCACTGCAACCTCCGTCTCCCGGGTTCAAGTGATTCTCCTGCCTCAGCCTCCAGAGTAGCTTAAGGCACTGCCTGCCACTGTTCTTTCAACCAAGTTTATCTTCTTCAAGAATATTCTGAAGATTAAATGTCTTTGATTAGCAAATTTTTTTTTTAATTTTGGTGAAATTGGGAGAAGGGGACTTATGCTTTCATAAACATCTTCTTTAGTGGAATAAAAAACTGGACTTGGGGCCAATTGGAATGGAGATCAAGCCAAACGGTGTTCGTTTTCTAGACTTTGTTAGAAAACTGAACAGCATGAGGGAAACAAGGGACAAGAATGGTTCTTTTCCTCTTCTCTGGACCCTAGCACCCCTCTGTGTGCTGTTATCTGGTCCTGCTTCTTCGATGAGATAGTCTCTTTCCCTAGCCCAGAGACCTTTTCTGGTTTGGCACTTCTATAGCTATCAGTCCATTGCTCTGTTGTATCACTCTTTGGGCAAAAAAAAGCCCATCACCTCCATATTCTTAAGTTAATTTTCATTCTTATCCACACTATTTGGGGCTGTCCCACCTCTCTTTCTGTTGATTCTCTTTATCTCCATGACCAGATCCCAAATTCAACTCCCCAACAGAAAATCACCTATTTTGTATCTGCCATTAACCAGCTGCCTTAGCCACCCCATGCCGTTGTAATGAGGTCTTCAGGTTGCTGCTCGTGGGATTGGTTAAGAAAAATACTGAAAAGAATTGGAATCTATCTCCATCACCACGTTGTTTCTTTTTAATGTTAGCAGTTTGTAAATATATATATAACTTATCAGCAGCTCCTCCTTTCCTCAAAGTATAAGCCCTATACAATTTGGGAAATGTGTGTGTTTTGTTGACCAAAATATGCTTGATGCTGGCCAGAGTAAACATGCTGAATGAATCTCTATGGAATATAGGAGTGAATGTAGAGGAAGAGGAACTTATTTCACCCTAAAGAAGTGAAATGAAAGCAAACTTTGGTGGCTTTTGTCTAACTGTGGGCAAATTGGTATGGACTGAGAAATTCAATTAACTGTATCCATCAATTTTTGTCTTTGGGGAGGAGTCATGAGACTAAGACCCAGAATTCTTGGTCCCACCCCTTTTGTGGCATTAAAAAAAATAGCCCAAACTTGGCATATTATACCAACCAGATTTTTTTCTTTGTCTCAAAAAGGCTCAGCTGAACACTAGATTCTTCACCCAGTGCAACAATCAAAAACTCAGAAAACCTCAGCTGCCTCAGATGATGTCACAAAACCTTTAAGAATGCTTACTGCTGAGTTGGGCACAGGTCCAGCAAACACAATTCTTTCTGCCAGTTATTCAGGGTCTTTGACAGATTAGGTGGTCTTTTTTATTCTTCTTCATCTCCTTTTTTTTTTTCATCCTCTTAAAAGGCAGTTCAGTTTACCTCTAAGCAAGACATTAACTCTGGCTACCCCAAATAACATTTTAATTGAAGTCTCAGTCCAAACAAATGCCCAGCCTCTTTATTAACCCCAACAGTGTAATTTTTCAACCTAAGGCTGATTCAGGGGGAAACTGTCTCGCTTAAACTGCCATGCAATGGAACATGGCAGTTTTCCTCAATCAGTCTCTTTTCTGACCTTAATTTGAACCTTAATCTCTTTTAACCATGTTCTCTTTATTAGCTGCTCATAGCCGTGGCACAATACTAATTTTCCTGTTTTTAGGCTATCAGTTTACAAAGGTATTTCACTCCTCCTTCTACCGCCAAATGTAATCATTAAGGTTTCATGAACTCTTTTGGGAGAGAAAAGTTAATACTTACTCTTGTTTTTTGTTGTTGTTGTTGTTGTTATTTTGGTTTAGTAATTTAAATAGCTGCTTTGCAAAATGTTCTGTAGAATTTTAGATGGTTTATTCCTGAGGTATATAAGATTTATGTACCAAAACCCCTATATATTTAATTGTTATAAAAACCTAAAGAATCATTTAAGATTATTACAAAGGACTTTTTTTTTATCAATAGACAGACCCACACCTATAAAATAAAGTAGAAAACTAAGGGCATTATCTGAATAATTCAGGCAAAAATAATATATTTTCATTAGAAACCTCAACTTTTAGGAGAGACCTGAATTATCCAAATAATTGACTCAATTCTTTTTCTTGATTTTTGTACTTAAATATAAACTAAGTAAAGACAGGAAAAAATAATTGTTTTCTTAATTATACCTTCCCATTTTTTGACATTGGTCAAATGATCCAAAGTGAAAAGAAAAAAAAGCACCCTTTTCAATAACAATGAAAAAAAAAGTGTTTCTTTATTTGTAGTCTACCTTAATACAGCAAAACTATGTAAGTAGAAAAACAGTGCTTATGATCATGTGCTCAATTAAATTTATAATAGGTTTTTGTACTTTTTGGCATTAGCATGAAAGCATATTGGTTATTATTCTTTATAATCTAATTGGGGGCTTTGTATCTAGTTACCCCTCCATTCTCTGCTTAATACAATAGTTTGTTGATTGCAAAAATTACATTTCTATGACTTTAAAGTCCTAGAACTAGGATTGTCATTGAAAGTTGGAGATTCAGCTCGGTGTTTGGGGCAGGGACCATGTGCCCCCTCTGTGTGAGGAGGTAGGCAGCTGGGAACAATTGTCTGTTCCCTGCAGTGTTTAGTGGCATTAGCAGCGTGTTGGCATGGTAAACTTTGCCTTCCTTTCACTGGCTCAAACAATTAGTGGGATTGAATCAGAGTTCTCCTGGATCATAGTTTATTATATGTTATTAAATTCCATTATTCAAGAAGTTGCTGCTATGATGATAAAAACTTCTCATCATTTCCCACAAAACCTCCATCTTCTTTCCCATGTATTTTCTTTTCAGTTTATCATTTGCTTCTCTGATAGACAAGGTGTCTTTTTATTTCCTGTTGGTACTTATTTAAAGAGCTAAGAGCTAATTTGAAAATACATCTTTGAAAGGACAACAAAAATGAGATGTGAAAAAAATGGATGAAGATTCTTAATTAGTCCATTATTTGACACGCACGATTTAACATGGTATGCTTAGCATTGTGCATTCCCCAAAAGAACAAGGCTCTTTTTTTATCCCAAACTTTAACTCCCTCTCATTCATTATATCCCTTCTTGTCACTTTCCATTAGCTGATCATGACATCCTTTGCTGGAAGGGCGAGCAAGCAGATTACTTCCAAACTGGTGTAAGTGACACTCAAAAGACTGGCCTAAAGGAGCTTCTGTGATAGCAGCAAGCTCCTCGGGCCCTGGAGTTGGAGAATGTCACTTCAATAATATATTGGAGTCCATTGTCACATCTTTTCTGCAGCAACTTGGCAACCATCCAGGAGTGGCAGGAATGGGTCTTCTGCTGTAACTCATGGGGGATAGTATCTAATGTTATTACTGTTGCTGATAATAATAATAGCAACAACAATTTATAGTGCCAATCCAATCCTCCTAGCATCTTGCATTTTACAGATGAGGAAACTGAGGACCAAAGAGATTAAATAAATTGTCCACAGTCACACAGCTGATAAGCGACAGAGCTAAGGTTTTAAGTGAGGTCTGGTGGATTCCAAACTCATATCTGTTTCTATTATAGCAGCATACTGACTTCTGGAAGACTTCAGCACATCTCCCTGAATCTGAAAGGGAAAGAAATGGTCAAAGGACTAGTCGTTTTGATGCAAGTGTCACCAGGCACTTCTAAATGTTGTAGCAGAGGATGATGGAATGAGCCAGTCACAGTCAAATACACATAGATAGATTGTGCTGACTAATAAAAGAAGTGGAGAATCTGATGCTCCGATCAGATCAGCCCTGGATAAATGAATCGTTCCTCATCCTGGCCCCCCACAATCCCTCCCCTACTCCCAATGATCTGACCTGGGGAACAGATCCTCTGCCTTGGAATGGGATTGACATGGAAAGAGACAGCAGCAGACTCCGATCTGAACAGCACCAGGACCAATCCTAGGTACTATTCAGATCCTGACACCAACCTCTGGCCTTATATGGTTTTCTGCTCCTAAGAAAACCACGTTGTCTTCATTCATCAAGTTTCAGGTTCTTTTTTCCATTAAGCAAGTTTTAGTTTCTTATCCCAGTAACCTTTGAAAAGTTCTGATTATAAAATAGAGAATGTGGAAATACAGAGTAATACATTGGAGAAAATAAAAGTCACCTGTTATTCTATCACCAGGAGAAAACAGCCTATGGTCTATATCTTTCTAGTCTGGGCTGTACATACATATGCTGGGCAGTAAAATGTGGTGGTTATAGGGATAGATTCTGAAAACAGACTATCTGTATTTAAATCTAAACACCTCCTCTCGCAGTCTGACCTAACCTCTCTGGCCTCCAGTTTTCTCATATGCACAGTACTTTCCTCTTATAATTTTTGTGACACTCAATGATCTAACGGATGTAAAGTAGCTAGGCCATGGGAATCCCTTATTGCACATTAGCTACTGTTCCTTATGTTTTGGTCCAGTGTTCTTGTCTTGTTCGCTGATTCTGACTGTGCCCCAGCCTCCTTGATTTGAAGACCATGGATAACTTCATTCTCAGTGGTGATTCTGTTCCTTCTCAGTGCATTTGGTTTGATCAGCCTTCCCCTGACACTGCATCAGTGACTTTTCAGGTCTCAATTCCTACCCATTTAAACATAACTCTTAAGGAAGCATTGACAGCATCTTACCTTATTTTTGTTCCTGTCTGCTGGACATATTTCTGCCTGGATGCCCTGCTTACCCAGCCTGGCACTAAGGCAAAACCTAAGTAGCCCTTCCTGTTCTCATCTGTCTTGAACTCCTTGAGGTTAGTGCAGATGGAGGCAAGATCAGGAGTTCGTGATCACAGAGACACCAGCAGCATCAACCCACAATCTTGGGCCTCTGGAATGTCAGTGACAAACTAGGTTCCAAGTATATATAGGCAACACAAAGGCAAGTTTATTTGTTTAAACCATTTTGAATGTGAAAAAGAAGGTAATTATGAAGGATATTTCTTTATTATCTTCTTTAAAAATCCTCTGTTGGTAAGCCCATCTCTCAGAGACCTTTTCACCACTTAGTAAAAAACTCTGTCTATCTATCTATCTACTTACCTATCTACTTTTTTTAAATGGGGAACTATGTGTGATGGGTGAGTGGATGTCAACAACAGGAATCGGAGGGGTGGTGAGGGTGAATTACATTTAATGAAGCTGGAAGTTCACATGGACCTTTCAGACTTAAAAAAAAAATGTTGATTTTACATGCCAAAGTCTTGAAAGGGGCTTGACGGCTCACGGCTTTAGTGTGTTTTTCCAGATGGCAGATGCCATTTTGTGTTTTGCATAAACTGACTAAATTTGCTTGCTCTTTGTACTTATTTCAGAGAGAACCATTCTCTGCTTTCAATAGGACAGAAGAGCTCCTTGGCACTGGATGCCTCCGGGTCTGGTTGAGAGAGGAATGGTTAGGAGACTGTTCTGAGGATACGCAGACATCATCCAAAGCTTCCTACATTCAGATGAGGACAGAGGTTGGGCCAGAGCTTTGTAAGCTTGTTACCTAAGGATGGTTCTGACCATGTAAGCAGATCACAGAAGGTAAGCCATGCTGAAGAACTTACAATAGTTATACTTCCAGTTTGTCCATTTTTATCTCCATGGGTAGCAAATAGGTTCATGATGCTGTTATTTCAATTACTTTACATCCTGCTAATGGCTAGTTGTGTGATCCTGTAACTTAATTTCTCTGTGCCTCAGTTTTATCTGAAAGAAAAAAAAAGATAATAGCACTTATCTCTTAGGGTCATTGTGAGGATTCCATGAGTTAGTCCAGCCAAAGGCTTTAGAACAGTGCCTGGCATACAGTAAGTGCTCAAGAAATGTTGGTAATTATTATTGCTATGATTCATTTCCACAAGAATTTGCAATTTTTTTTCTTTTCTGCTAATTGACTTTGTCCAACTCCCATCATCTTTGGGTCATTTTTATGGAAATAGACTGGTAATAAGAGTGGTTAAGTTACAGGGTTTCTAGTCAAATAGAGTCAAGTTGAAGTTCTTAAAGCAATATTTAAGAGCTGTATCTTCTTGACTTACTTTCTCTAAGCCTCAGTTTCTTAATCTATAAAATAAGAAGGATTATAAATCATCCTACTATAAAAACACATGCACACGTATGTTCCTTGCAGCACTGTTCACAATAGCAAAGACTTGGAACCAATCCAAATGCCCATCAATGAACACCTGGATAAAGAAAATGTGGCACATACACAGCATGGAATACTATGCAGCCATAAATAAGGATGAATTCATGTCCTTTGCAGGGACATGGATGAAGCTGGAAAACATCATTCTCAGCAAACTAAGGCAAGAACAGAAAACGAAACACCGCATGTTCTCACTCATAAATGGGAGTTGAACAAAGAGAACACATGGACACAGGGAGGGGAATATCACACACCGGGGCCTGTCAGGGGGTGGAGGTCTAGGGGAGGGAGAGCATCAGGACAAATACCTAATGTAGATGACAGGTTGATGGGTGCAGCAAACCACCTGGCATGTGTATACCTATGTAACAAACCTACACGTTCTGCACATGTATCCCAGAACTTAAAGTATAATAAAAAAAATTTTAAAAAAGGATGATAATAATAGTTGCCTCTTAACACTTCAAGAGGATTAAATGGGACAATACTTGCACAATGTCTGGCAAGCATATAAAGATTATAAAGAATATTATGTATTGGTATGATTTTTGCTGCCCCGAATATACAAAACAGTGCTCTTATACTCAAAAGTGCTTCTAGAAGCTTGTCAAGTTTCCAGGGCTCTAGTGTCATGTCAATATTCCACCAGAAAAGAGGAAAAAATCCACAGAAATAGAAAGATGCTGGATGCTGTGACTTTACTAGGACCCTTTGCCAAATAATGAAGTGGAATTGAAAGGGTTGAGTCTTGCTCAGCATAGATTTTAATTCAAGTTAGAAAACTCAAATTTCTTTTTAAAAATTGAAATCATATATTTTTAAGATGCACAGTGTGAGGTTTTGATATACATATACATAGTGAGTTGATTTAAAAATCAAGATAATTAATATATGCATGTCTTCACATAGTTACCTTATTTGTGTGTGGTGAGAACACTTAAGACCTACTCTCTTAGCAAATTTCAAGTATACAATACAGTATTATAAACTACAGTCCCAGTGTTATACATTAGGTCTCTAGAACTTGTTCATCCTGCATAACTGAAACTTTGTATCTTTTGACCAACATCTCTCCATTTCCCTTACCCCTTTGTCCCTGAGAGCCCCTACTCTACTCTCTGCCTCTATGAATTCAACTCTTTTAGATTCCCCATGTAAGTGAGATCATCTAATATTCTTTCTGTGCTTGGCTTATTTCATTTAACATAATGTCCTCCAAGTTCATCTATGTTGTCATAAATGACAGGATTTCCTTCCTCTTAAAGGCTAAATAGTATTCCAATATATATATACACATACGTATATATATGCATATATACGTATGTATATATATGTGTAAATATCACAGAATTTATTTATCTGTCAACAGGCAATTAGTTTTTTTCTATATCCTGGTCATTGTGAATAATGTTGTAATGAACATGGGAGTGTAGATACCTCTTTGAGATGTTGATTTTATTTTCTTGGATATATACCAGTAGAGGAATTGCTGGATTATATTGAAGGTCTATTTTTAATTATTTGAAGAACCTCCATTTTGGAAAACTCAAATTTCTGAGCAGACTGATCCTGGACTCGACGCGGGGAATTGTTTGAAAGGGTAGGAACTAAAGCCTTATTCTTCTGTCCTAAACCAAAAAGTAAAGTGTAGAGCAAAGTAGCTTGTAGGGAAGAAATAGTTACTTGTGCTGGTTGCTTCTTATGGGGGATGTGGTATTTGCATATGATAAAATACTCAAATCTCACATTTAAAAAAATGTATATTTCTTTCCCCAAACTAAAAATGGATAGGAGTTACATCTGTAAATGAAAGAAAACTGTCTAAATATTATAATTGTGTTATTAAAGAGTTGAAAATGATTTCAGTCACATTTGCCATTCTCATCCAGCAGTAATGAGTGGTCCCTATTAATAATTGAATAAAGAGAAAATAACTAAACACTGGAAACTTTTACCCCAAAGCCAGCATGAAACCTGAAAAACTGAAGAACTTGGATCAAGGAAGCATAAAAAAATCAACAGTCTTGCAAATATCTTATTTGCCATATAGATTTGTTTTGACGTCTTCCTTCCAATGCCTATCACTCCTAACAGTCAGAATCAGATGCTATTTGAGTTGCAGGAAAAAGTGCTAAAGTAACTTCCTCCCACTAGATGACAGCCCCATCTTTTTCTCTCAACCTCATGCTTAGAAATTACTCAGAGTAGAGAGTAGGACGCTATGGTTAATTATTATTAGCAGTAAAATAAAAGAGAAAAGCAAGCTCAAATAAGAGATGAAAGGGAAAGTGCATGTCAAAAGAAAAAGGAAGAGAAGTTGGAAAGAACAGGAGGAAGCTGTACTATTAAAGTGGGGAAAATAAATTACATGGCAGCAAAAAAGAAACAAAAAGAAAACTTCGGAGTCCAATGCAGAAATGGCTAGCTGACCAATGAAGATTCATCCGCCTCTCCTTCCACAGTGTAGAATTCCTTCTAGGAAGCAATTGCTCAGCCAGAGAGACAATCTCTCTCTCTCTCTCTCTCAGTCTCTCTCTCTCTCTCTCTCTCTCCTTTCCCTTTCTTCATCTTCTGGCTGGATAATGCCAGGATAACCCTGATGCTAGAAGATGTAGAACCATAACATGAAAGAAATCGGGATCCCTGAATCTCTTTTCAGAGGAATATCCACATTAGACTTTTTGTGAGTGAGAAATAAACTTTTAGATGTTAAGCCATTGAGCTTTTGGGGATTGTTTGTTATGGCAGTGAGCATTACTTACCCTGACTAATACAGAAGTTGATATCAAAAGGGAGCTCTAGAAGTAGATGCTTGTTCTTTTTATCTTTGCTCAAAAACCAGTTAATTATTTCCTGATAGCCTCTTATTGTTTTACTGTGTTCCTAAAAGCAGTCAATAGCAACCAACACATGTTATTTTTCACCTACAAGCTCAAGAGTCATGTGGTCTTTCAGGGTACCAAAGGCAATAATATTGCCAAGTGTTTTTCCACTCCATGATATGGATCTCCAGCCATCCAGTCTATTATATCTGTTTCTAGAAACACTACTTGACTATGAAGTCTATATCACATATTTTACAATTTTGTTACAGGACACAGTATTTAGTATCAAATATAACCATCAGATTTAATTAAAGAAATAGAAGTCTGATAAGATGCAATGTGCTCATCATACCATTTCCTCCCTCTGGGCACAGAGGAAGACCATAGTCTCACCCTTCCTTACAATTTAATTGGGGCCTTGAGACCAGTTTTTTTGTTTTGTTTTGTTTTGTTTTGTTTCTAATGGAATGTGAGAAGTACTGTATCAACTTTATTCTAGCAGTGAAGAGGGTTTATGGGCTTTCTCTATGTACTGTCTTCCTCTTCCACAGAGATCTTAGGTACAAGATGAAGCCAATCAGCCTATGTCCTGAACAAAGAATAACCTTATCTTGTTATACTATTCAGAGTTTGGGGGGAGGGTATTTATTACTGAAATACATCTATCCCATTCTGACTAATATTCTCTAAGTATTTTAGTTCATTAGGAAGGAATACAATATATGGAATTAGAGGTTTTATGAAATCATTGGGAGGGCTGGGAGTGAAGGTCAACTTCCAGGAAGTATGAAGTGTTGGAATCCCTGGGAAGCCAAGTTGTCACCAATGGTCTTAGCTGTCTACAGCACTGAAGTGGATGATTCTCAGAAGGATGCTCAGAAGCTGACACATAGCCCCATGTCTGCTATCTGCCAGTGTGTCACAAACCCGCCTGTAGCTACTGAAAAATGTCTTTTTCTCTTCCATTTTCCAGTGATTGCAAGAGCACCTCTCAATGGAAGATTATACCAAGAACTCCATGGGCAAGAGAGCTTAGGAAATGTAGTTTCCAGGCTTTCAGTCCTTGTAATATGGGAGGACCTTAGGGTCAGAGATGGTACTTACTGAGTCTCAACAAAACAATGCCTGGCACACATGGTCCTTATCCTTCTTATGGGAAATTCAGGTGTCATACTTCCATAACCCATCACTCTGGAAAGCTCCTTGAGAATAGATCTTACAATTCTCCATCCCCAGTGCCAGACAATACCAGACAATAAATCATTTTGAATTGATTTGAATAAAATGATAATAGATTCAATAGAAAATAAGACTTTCCCATGTGTTGAAGCTAGATTTCAAGAACTTTGTCCATCAAATCTGATAATTCTCCTTAATGACTGCCCTAGATGCTGCCCCAGCTTAAGCTATTTTGCTCCCTAGCCTGCTCAGAGTGACCATGAAGGGCTGCTTGCCCAACAGGTGACCTTGAGCTTACTCTGGATCCTGTTTGTACAGACAAATAAAAAAGATTTGGTGATGGTTGGTTTATTGGGTCCATAGAGACCTTCAGTCATGTCTTTTTTGTTTTAAACTGCATCGTGAAGTTGATTGCGTAGAGTTAGTCAAAGAGCCTCTATATTTTATTCCATGTGCCTTCTGCCAATGCCTACAAACCTGCCTGTGGCTACTGAAAAATGTCTTTTCCCCTTCCATCTTCCAGTGATTGCAAGAGCACCTCTTTTGAACACAGCCTTTGGGCTCTGACAAAATTGGAATCACTTTGGGAATGGGGAGTTTGTGAATTCATGTTGGGGCAGGGTGGGGAGTATTCTGTAATTGAGAAGGAGGTAGGGTGGGTTTGTGCACTAAGAAGGACTTATTCTGCCATAAGAAATGGATACTCAGAAAAGAGAGGACCAGACCCTGATGTGGTTTCATCTGAAAAGGCACAAAGTTAAAACTCCAAGGAAGATTAAATACATCCTCTTGATATTTATTTTCCTCACCAAAAAAAAAAAAAAAAAAAAAGAAAAATGAAAGAAAAACAATTGTGCTTGTGGTAAGAATGATGGTAGAGTGACTCAGACTTATTGGCAACCATCAAAACAATGAAAGATGTGGATCATGTCATTAATTGATCTTCTTATCATTATGAAATGGTGACCATATCCAGCTAAAGAGCTCTGTGCACATAATGGCACAATTATGGGGGATGTGATGAGGTAAGAGCTGCTAGTGTCCAACATTTAGCCTCTTGTTTCCATTCCCACCCACCCTGATCTCTGGCTATATTTAGTTGCTTTACACAGTGTTATCTAGCTCAAAGTCTATTCTACAAAATTAAAGGAAGAGAGAGAAGAGTGAGAGTCTTCATAGAAAGATCAGGCTCCCCAAAGTCTGTTTTCTCTGGTTCCCCACGTTCCTTCTTGGTTAATATGTTTTCTTCTCCTTTGTCCCTAGGATCATGGCTGAAATGCAATCGTGAGTTTACTTTGTGGAAAGGGAAGTAGGGCACTGAGCAATCATCTAATGAATACGGTCAAGATGGTTAGTGAATTTGGAAAATTCCACTCTCAAAAAAATTACTTTCTCTATTCTGTAGCAGATTTCCTCTTGGCCTTAATTACCCACAGAGTTGTCTAATTTTCTGATAGTCTTTACTGTTGTTGACATCACCTAAATAATTTATTTAATGGATTTCACTGGGTTCATTTGGGAACCCTTTATTCTAAGTGGCTTTCTTTTATCAATCCATTTACTTATTCAATAAATATTGAACACTGTTTCAGTTATCTATTGTTGTGTAATAAGCTACCCTAAATCTAGTGACTTAAGGAAACAATTTATTACTATCACTCATGGTTCTTGGGACTGATGGACTCCGGTGGGCAGTTCTTGTCTCTCGTTTGGTTGTAGTCAGATTGTAGCTGAGACTGGAGCCATCTAAAGGTTTCTTCACTCATATGTCTGGCATTGGGCTAGTCAGGAATCTCTCTCTCTCCCTCTCTCCACATGGTTAGCAAAGCTTTTTGGTCTCTTGGTAATCAGGCTTTTCTCTTGTGACAGATTTCCTCAAAGCAAGTGTTCTAAGAAATCCAGGTGGAAGTTGCAAAAATTCTTAAACCTAACCTTGCAAGTCATACAGATCACTTCTTCCCTCTTGTATATGCCAAAGCAATCATGGGGGAACCCAGGATCCAGTAGTTGGACAAATAGATTCGGTCTCACAAGAGGGGAATAATTTGTGTATTCAACTAGGGAAAGAATTGATGTGTTCATCTTAATGAGAAGCTGCCACAAGCACCCACTGTGTGGCAGACACTATGCTATGTGCTGGTACAACATGTTGACAAAATGGGCACAATCCCCTTGGTTTGTGGAGGTTAAAATCTAGTTTAATTAGCTTTGACTTGACAGTTTTCACGACCAACTCTGTGCAATACATTTCAATATTAAGTCTATTTAGTTATGAAATGTGCAAAACATCTATTCTGGTCACTTGTGGTTTGGTCATTTTGACTTTTTCAATAACCAAACTGAATGAAATTTGTGGGTATGTGATCTGTAACTTGATGATCACCTTGATGAGCTGATTCATTCATGAATTCTTTTTTTAATGCATTCTTTAAAACACAGTCTGAGCAAAACTGGGGTGTTCACCTCTTGCTTAACAAGCATGTTGAGTTCCTGATGTGCATGGGGGCTGAAACTGAATTCGTTGACTCATAACAGGGAATATAAAATAAATTGAAAAGTCAGATTTTGCCCCGGATGAGCTTCCATTCTTGTTAGCAGTTTGGGTGGTATGCAGGTGGAGCAGCTTGTGACAATGACAAAGAAAAAGTGAACCCAGACAGTGCATGATAAACTAGACAGGTGGTATCAGTTTCCTTCCTAAGAATTATCTTTTGGAGAGAAGTAATTGATTATTTGCCTCCACTTTCTTCTCTCTTGTGCCATAAACAGAAAGTGATCTAGGTTTGTTAAGTAAAAGGAGATTTCAGGACAGGAATGTTGACAGAAGAATTGGTGGTGTTCAGCAAATCTCAGGTCTTATCGTTTCTGGCATAGGTTATGTCCATTCAGTGGTACAACTATGAGGGGCTGGGGGAGGAGGCTCATGATGACACAAGAGATACCTTGACATTTCAGAAACAAAGGTCAAAGCTTGAACAGGTCCAAGAGCATGCACAATTCTTGTGCACACATGTCAAGTTCCCGACATGAGGTTAGTATTATGTTGTGCCTTCTTATGTTGGTATCTTTATGTTGTCTTACACAGCATAAAAAGAAATTATGGGATATTTTAAGCAAAACAACAACAACAATATGAATGTTGCCTTACTTACCTGGATGTTTCAAGCAAAACTAAAATTTGGCTTGCCATACCAATTGTCCTTTATCAATCCATAACTTTAATTTCATAGCTCATACTTCATCCGTATGGGTCCTTTTCTCACATTAGTGAAACCCGTTTCCCCAGGGTGTGATTTGCTACATTAAACTTCTTTTCATTCATCACGCCAATTTATTTTTCTGAAATATTTGCCCCCCGTTTTTCCCTGGAAATTTATAATAATCAGATTTTAATTATATCCCACTCTTTTTTCTGCCAGCACATACTTGTTCGATATGTTTTATGCTATATTATTTTGTGCTTGCTGATATATCACTTCATAATTTTTCATGGGCATGTGATTTGCCCAACTAGATGGTAAACTGAATGGCAGGAGCTTCTCTATACATACAAATTTACATGTATGTGTTTACATATATAGATGCATGTGTAGTATATGTACCCAAACATACATAAGAAACACTTCTCAACAGCTGATCAGCTCTTTCCACTCCACTTTCCTTTTGTTTTCATAAGTTAGAGTCAAGTAGGCTATTTTGCAGTTACCTGGTGAATTGGATCAACGCATATGTCTGATGGATAATTCAGACTTTAAAAAAAAATTTTCAACTTCATATCCACTAAGATGAAAATAAGCTAGAGTATTGCTCATCTTTTCCCCTGGGAAAATTGTTTTCATAAATTCATGAAAAATGTAAGTACTTGAGCTAAGCAAGTGCTTGTGATTGATTATTTGGGACAAAAATGATTTTTTAATTGAATTAATGAAAGTCTTTATCTAACTCATCAACTCAGAAAAATTTCCTACCCAACATGTTAACCTTACCTTTTCTAACCAATTTGCTGTTCTTAAAACCTTTTTGTTTACTAAGTTTGCTTAAACCTTTGTATTTACTAACTTTGCTGCTGCCACTGTATATGCAGGTATGTACATTGATGAGGAGCTTCCCAACTTGTCCAAGATCAGGGCCACCAGGAAACATTTTCAATCCTCCAAATATCGTGAATTATTTTGGCATCCCTGACATCACATGAAAACAAAATAAAGCTTTCTTCTCATAATTAGACATATACTTAAAATGCAGATACTCCTGGAAGCCTCATTATAATGATGGGTCCTTATTCACAGATGATGATATTGACTACTAGCAGATATTTTCTTGAAAACAGGTTTTTGATTAGGCCAAAGTGGTGATTGGATTTGGGAGAATGACAGCTCACTGCATTTCTTAAAGCAGGGGGCTCAGATTTAGGGTATCTATAACTCATGAAGATTTCAAAATGATCCATTGGTGTGCAGAAAGAAGATATTTAACCTTCTATTTATTTCAATGTTTTATTTCATCTTAAATTTAGATTTTTTTGGTGCATGTGTTTTTGATGCATAGAATAGAGTAATACATATGTAATTTATAAATGAGAATACATAGGATGGACATGTTCAAAAATTTTTACCACATGTGATCTAAAAATTTAGAAACCATTGCTTTCCAAAGGTGAATTGAACATGAATAAGGGCTTCATGATGCTATGGGGAGGAACGGGAAATGATTACGGAACAAGTGTTTGTAATCTCGGAATTCTGACTCTGGTTACTACTAGTTCCAGTTATTTGATCAATAGGGAGTTCACTAACTCTTAATCTGACGCCAGGACAGTCCCTTTTAAGATGTGAAGAAATTGCTCAATGTTAGGATGTTGACCGAAGAAAGTAGATTTCAATCATGCTTTTTTTTTTTTTTTTCATTTTGTTTTCTCAAGGGTCCCATGGGAACAGAAAGTTTTGAGGGAGTTTACTGTTTGTGCAAGATGACTGGTTGGGTAAAGAAGTCCAAAGTTTTTTATCTGCAGAACAAATAAAACCTGGGCAAAGGTAACTTAAATGAACGTCTCCCACCTTGTCCCTTTTGCATGTCTAAGGTGATGTTTGTGCCGATGGTTGCACAATGGAGAACCTAATCTATTCACGTCAAATGGAGAGGAGGTGCATTTTAGAGTCCTCATGACTAAAAAGAGTCAGTGACCTTTATTCTTCTTACTTTGACAGGCAATTATTTGATGATAATGCCTATATAAAAATCATTTAAAATGAAAAATATATTTGTTGATGAATTATTGCCAAATACCCAGGTATTGTTTGTCAGACAGCCTCTGGGTGGCTGAGTTAGAGTTTTTCCTCTTTCTCCAAAGATAGACACACACAGCTCTAAGGAAGTATTAAAATAAATTTATAAATTCATGGTTACTCGGGACATTTGTTGTTGCTGGTTAATGACAACAAGGACAACTGGATTGTCCTTATGATTACTCCACAGCAATTACTAAAAAATATTCTGAATAAACAAGCATTCTGAAAATGTGAATCACAGTGTGGGGCTCAACTTGTGTTTTAAAAGATAAATTTCTATGTATAAATATTGACAAGAGAGTGGGATACGACTGAATTGTTGAGGTTAAGCATTTATTATGGGGAAAAAATTAAAATGCTTTGGAGCTCAGTGATCCTTACTGACCAGATATTTACTTAACCATTCTTTTCATTTTGACTCTTTGTTATTGTTGTTTCTGTAGGAACTTAGGTTTATAAGCCCCATTAAAGGGGCATTTTATATAGGATAGTCAAAAGGATGATAATGAATGAGCCAGCAGCCAATTATGGATAGAAACTAAGTAAATTACACAGCTGACTTCTCATTTTTAAATTAGTTGCTATAGAGTTTTACAAACTTTCCCCGAGACATTTATCATCCAACAATTTTTCCTCAAGGAAATATTTAGAAAAGGGTTTAGACATTAAGAACAAAGTGGTAAAAGTGAGACCCTCGGCCTTTTTTGGATATTTGAAAAAAAATTCTAATGGGACTGAAATTGTGAGGTGGGAAATCCACAGGGAATTGTGTTTGTCTATGTGAGTATGTATGGATATATGTATAATATAGAACAGGGGTCCCCAACCCCTGGTCTGTGATCTGGTAGGATCTGGGCCACACAGCAAGTGGTGAGTGGCGGGCCAGCAAGTAAAGCTTCATCTGTATTTTCAGCCGTTCCCCATCACTGGCATTACCACCTAAGCTCTGCCTCCTGTCAGATCAGTGGTGGCATTAGATTCTCATAGGTGCTCAAACCCTTTCATGAACTGTGTATGTGAGGAATCTAAGTTGCATGCTCCTTATGAGAAGCTAACGCCTGATGATTATCACTGTCTCCCATCATCTCCAGATGGGACCGTCTAGTTGCAGGAAAACAAGCTCAGGGCTCCCACTGATTCTACATTATGGTGAGTTGTATAATTATTTCATTATATATTACAATGTAATAATAATAAAGTGCACAATAACTCTAATGTGCTTGAATCATCCTGAAACCATCCCCCCACCCCGGTCTGTGGAAAAACAGTCTTCCACGAAACCAGTCCCTGGTGCCAAAAAGGTTGGGGATTGCTGGTATAGATAACAACTAAAATAAATGTCCAGATTATCTGAATAATTGCAACATTTACTGGTATAATTGTTTAAAATTTAAAAGAAAAAACTGAAATTTTCCAGTATGGAAAAGATAAATTCCAGTTTCTAAGCTTAAGCCTGCTATGACCTGTGGCTTGGAATTTCATGTGTGAGCAGCTATTCAAGTAGAATAACTAATTGTAGTAAAAACTTAGGTTAATTAGTTGGAAGCACTTCTACTATAGACTGTGAGCCACTGAACCAACCTGTAAATGGGGATGAACTCTTTCAAGGTCCAGGGTAGACTATGATCTTTCTGAGATTACAAATTTGTAGTTTTTCCTGAAAAAAAAAAAAATCTTTGGAGTTTCCATCAAGCTCTAGGATTCTACTAGCCAGGTATCCAGGGTTTGAAACATTGTGTGTATGAATAATCTGCCCTGATCTAAAAGGAGCTACTTTCTGAGGAAGGTTATTGGCTGTGGGGAGATGTGAGTGTTGAGAGACAGAGTGAACTGCATGAGTGGAGATGGTAGAAGAGTCTGTGATTCAAAAATGGGTTTTGAAACTTCTGGAGCCTATTAGATTAGTCAGTTAATAGTTGTGAAAAACGATGGGTGTATACCCAGGATCACTAAGTCACTCGAGTGAAGAAGATTACAGAATGGAAGAAAAAAGAGAGAGAGAGAAGGAAAGAGAGGAGAGAGACAGAGCCATAGCATGCATGAGGTGTGCGGCTGGCGGGCCTCATGCTCCAGCGCCTGGATTTCCAATCTGGCACTCAGCTTGATGAGTCTGTTTATTCAGCTCCAGTATCAGACGTTCCCTTTTCCTGCCTGAAGAAGTCCCCTTTGAAGAACGGCTCTGCTGGGGAGCAGTTTCCCCTTGGATGGGCTACTCCTGTTTGCAGTCCTAAAGGAAAAGATCTGGAAATACCACAAGAATGTTCTTTAAAACGATATTCCAGCGCCACGTGAGGGGAGGATGAAATAGCTGTAAAAGATGTATTTCCTGGTTGAGGTATTTTTTTCCCCTCTCAAGTGAATTTGGCGGTGAACAAAGGTGTCACATGAATGCGATTGGGGTCATATGTTCTTGGGTGCCTCCAGATCTGTGTGGGCAGGTGGAGGCTGGGGGTGGGAGGGTACTTCAAGCTTCTGTAGGCCTGGAGAGAGAGAGAGACAGAGAGAGAGACAGAGACAGAGAGAGAGAGCATGAGAGAGAGAGCATGAGAGAGAGAGACATAGGGAATTCCAGTAACCTAGTCTTGCATGTCTTTATCTGTAAAGGAATCAGTGGTGGTGACTTATCAGAGGACCAGCCTATACTTTCAAAGCAAAGCCACAATGAAACACTATCTAGAGAATTGAGGCACAATGTTCATAATCAAACTGGATATTTCCAAGATTGACTAATGTACTTTGGGTTTGATATTAATTTCTTGTACTTCAGGGACGTGTTTTACTTTTTTTTTTTTTTTTTTTGAGTCAGAGTTTCACTCTTGTTGCTCAGGCTGGAGTGCATTGGAGCAATCTCAGCTCACCGCAACCTCTGCCTCCTGGATTCAAGTGATTCTCCGGCCTCAGCCTCCTGAGTAGCTGGGATTACAGGCATGTGCCACCGCACCCAGCTAATTTTTTTTTGTTTTTAGTAGAGACGGGGTTTCTCCATATTGATCATGCTGGTCTCCAATTCCTCAGGTGATCCGCCTGCCTTGGCCTCCCAAAGTGTTAGGATTACAGGCGTGAGCCACTGCACATGGCCATGTTTTACTTTTTCAAAAGAGTTTTTCATCTTGTGAAGTAGCTGGAGTAGATGCTAATCTCCTGAATTTTCCTCTTTGGAAAAGGATGTGGCTAAAGAAAGAGAGATGGTTTCCTAGCCTGTTATTGGTAGGGCAGAACGGCAACCCAGGCCTCTTGTTTCTTGGACCAGGTCTCCTTTCTCTGTGTTCTTGAACCTGTACAAAGGGACAGTGGGAGTTTCAGAAAAAAGGAAGGTGACATTCTCTATCTCCTCCCAGGCATGTAGAAGGTTACTGTGACTTTGAAGCCACAGCTTTGCTGTGCCCAAATACTCTCTCGGGGACTAGCCGTAGGGAGGAGATTCAAAGTGGACCCTTCAGAGGGTGAGTCTCATGTTCTAGTTGCTGTGACTGCCCAGGTCTGTGGTTGGTTTGCTCAGTTTGCACCTAGGCCTCAGAAAACAGTAGTTCTCCGGTATGAAAAGGGTTCTTTGTTCAATATCAGAGATGAACCTTTTGAGTGAGAGAGATGCCACTTCACGGTGAGGCCTGGTTTTTCATGAGAGAGGATGGGATCCACACTCTCTCTCTGATTCCTGGCTGAGACTTCTAGGACTCACATTGGCTCTTGAGGTCTAGGAGCGAGGTTCATGCATAAGGGACCAGAAAGCACTGACAGTGTGTACTTTAGGAATAAGAGTGAACCAGAATTTCCTTTTCGGGAATATGAAGCCTCTTCTAGGTTCTGGTTCAAGGGGGAAACTAGAAGAGGTGTTACTCATTGGCTGCTTTTCTGCTTTGACACACAGAGCCTTACATTTTATCATTTCTGGATATTTGTCGTCTCTCTACATGTAGAGCCGGAGTTGTTTGACATTTGAGCAGTATCTTGTAATTATTTGTATCCTCTAAGGCTTCCTAGTACTTAAACTATCTGATGAATGAATAGGAATCAATTTTCAGCCAATCCCTTATCCCAGTGTCTCTCAGCCTGTAGTTCGAATAGGCCTCAGGCCTGGGAAACAGCCATGTGTACTTTGAAATGAAACCCGAGATGAATCTCATGTGCACCGAAGTTTGAGAACTGCTGTTTTATCCTTTTCTCCCTTGGCTTTAAGAACTTATTGTGACTTTGAATAATGCACAAACACAATCTCAGGTTTGTGTAATGTTTTATGACTCTTGTAAGGCTTATTTCACATGTTTGTCTAATTTAATCCTGATTTAATGAGGCTAATTTAATAACAGGCCTATGATGTGAGTTCTTTTTCCACCCATTGTACAGAGGCTGAGGCAGAGGAATGATATTTTTTCGATCCTGTTTGTGGCAGTATTTGCCAATTTGTGGCAGAGTCTGTACTCATCCCACCTTCTGAGTCCAGGGATGGTGTTCTTTCCCCTACAACCCCTGTGGCTCTATAGCTCTTTCAGGCATAGCTGTTCTTTGTGTGGAAGTGTTATTATTCCTGATAATGCTTGCTGTCCACATAGCTGGGGCTAGTTACCATGATATATATGTGAAACCAGCAGAAGCTAACACAGTCTGTATTCCTAATGAAGTCTATAGTAGGATAAGTGGATAAGACCATGAATGAAGTGTTCTTTCATGCAAATATTAGAGTACAACATTTTTGTTCGTTATCGGATTGGAAAAGCACAACTGGGAACTGGGGCTAGGTGAAAGTTCTTTCAGAGAAGGACAGCCTGTTTGGTGATGTGTGATTTAAATTGTGCTCCCCTGACTTTTATTTCCATCTTGTTTTACTGGGAATAATGGAGAAAGAATGGGAAGTGAGCTGAGACCCTTGAACTTGCTCTGCAACCTGTAGTCCCAGTAGGGTTAGCTCTATTGAGGCTCACTGTTTTAGATGTCTGTGAGGTTCACAGCTAGAGCCAAACAGGACTCCTGAGGAAGTAGCGTAGACCTGTGGAATGCTGTAAAGGTGGCTAGTCTCCCTTAATTCAAAAGATCAGAATGCTCAAACGTTCACTTGATGTTCAAGGGAACATGTAGCCATGCTTTCAGTGGCAATTTAATGGTTGCCAGAGTATTCTAAACAGGACTTTCTGGATGGCTGTTTATGCTTTTATTAATTGCAAAGTACAGACAGCCATCAGAAACTGAGACTTGTCAACTGAAAGAGAAGGTGGGCTTGAAACTTCTGCTGGTACCCAATTCTCTTCCACTTAGCTGAGAAAGGACCTCTTCTTTAATCATGGAGTAATGGATGATTGATATGACTGTACCCTGATTAGAAAAGGTTTCATTTTACTTGTGCATGGTACATGGAATTAGTTAAGGGTTGCATAGGAAAAGAAGTGATGGACTATTGTTCACATTAAATGATAATGACAGCCTTCCTAACCACTGTGTATTTATTATGTAAGAAAAGAAAATGTCTGGTAAAATTCTGTATAGGTTAATAACACCTTCATAATATACTCCTTCTTTTCTATTGACTTGAATAGCCCTCCTACTGACTTTTAATGGATTATTAGAGTTAATTACATCAATTGCAATATAATTGAGTCTTAAATACTATGTAGAAACCTCATACAATTATGGAAAAACAAAAGTTATCTAGACATCTCAAATCAAAAAAGATTTGGAATTCCTGCACATTTAATTTCTGATAATCACTAGTCAGTTTGGACATTAAGATTGCATGGTGTCTTGTTTTCTATTTGGTAGGTTTTGACAGAATTGATAGTTTTACAACATTTAACTCAATATGCATAGAAATATAAGATTAAAGCTGTGAGTGCACATTTTTTTTTTTCTAAAAAAAGATCACTCCATGGCTTAAAAGCTGAAATGTGTTACCTGCCTAACATTGACAGAAACAAACTCAAGGGAAAATCAAAAGTAGATTTGATGTTGACTTTTAGAAATCTCTTCTCTGCTGGTGTAAAGATTCCTGTGGGTCTTAGGATTTGTTACCTGGGGGCTTTAAAATATGACAAGGGGATGAATTGTGTAAAGGGGCCAAAAAAAAAAACCCTCCCATTTTATTACCTAGATATAGGCTATGTGTTCTTATGTCAAAACCACTGGTTGAAAAGTGAAACATCATTAATATCTGGTTTCTGATGTCATATAGATGAAAATAAATCCCTGTAATGGAGTTATCGGAATGCAATCTTTTTTTTTTAAACTGATTTTGAAAAACCAGTTTATGGATATTGACACTTGTAAGTGTGAGTTTTATTTGATGTAGTAGACAAGTCACAAGGATGAGAATCAGCAGACCTGATGTTTTCTGTCTACTTGGCTCAGTGACTTGAAATGTCTGGGTCTCAAACGTTCTTTTTTTGTAAAATAAGAGAGACACTCTAACTTCTCTGCCTTGACTCTCCTGCCTTTTTACTCTTAGTGCTCTTATTTTCTACAGTAACTCATTTGATTCCTCATATAAGCTGCCTTGTATCAATATGCATTAATCAATATGCCTTATATATCATATATATATATATATATGTCTTATTTTCTTAACTAGGTTGTAAGTTTTCGAGGACAAAGATAATGCCACATGTATCTCTGTATTCTCATAACAGATACTAGAGTTTTCTAACATAGAATAGGCTACTGTTTGGTGGATTGAACAGTCAATCAAAAGGAAGTGTTTCCATTTGTATCCCCTGAAAGTTTTGACATAACAAAAATAATGACAGTATACCCTATTTATTATAATAGTTTAATTTGTAAAAGCATTGTAAAATGTATGATTTTATTTTATGAAACATTGATTGTGCTTTAAATCAGACGAATTTAAGATGTAACATTTCACTCAGTTTCTTATCAACTGAAATGCAATGGGGTTTTTAATAGAACGTAAGCAGCCTATTCTAAAGTTCATTTGGGCCGGGCTGTGGCTCACGCCTGTAATTCTAGCACTTTTGGGAGGCTGAGGCGGGTGGATCACTTGAGGTCAGGAGTTCAAGACCAACCTGGCCAACAAGGTGAAACCCCATCTCTACTAAAAAAAAAAAAAAAAAAAAAAAATTATCCGAAATTGCTTGAACCCGGGAGGCGGAGGTTGCAGTGAGCCAAGATTGTGCCACTGCATTCTATCCTGGGCAACACAGTGAGACTCCATTTCAAAAAAAAAAAAAAAAAGAAAATTCATTTGGAAGGGAAACAAATGACAGTAGTCATAAAAAAAAAAACAGTTTGAGAGAAGACTCGCCTAGTAGTCATCAAACAAACTACACATCCTAAGAAATCTAATACATAAGTGTTGTGCTAGAAAAATCAACTAATCAAAAGGGCTAGAGTCCAGAAGCAGAACTAAGAATATAGAGGAATTTAACAGATAATATGGAGGCATTTCAAATGAGTGGCTAAATGGAGACTGTTCAGTAAATGGTATTGTGACAACTGGCTCTCCATCTGGACTCATACTATACACAAAAGTAAATTCCAGATGGAATAAAGCTCTAAACATAAAAATCAAATCTATACCAGTATCAGAATGAAATATAAATTAATAAAAAATAACCCTAGGTTAGGAGGTCTTTGTAAACAAGGTGAGAAATCCAGAGGCCATTAAGGAAAACCTGACAGATTTGACTTCATAAAAAAAAAGTTAAAGAAGAAGTGACAGATTGGGACAAAACATTTGAATTATACATGACAGAAAAAAGGGTTACTATCTATTATTCAAAGAATGCCTTCAAGTTAATGAGAAAAATATAACTAACACTTAAAAAATGGGCAAAAAGTATAAAATATGTCATTCTCAGAAGAAATCCAAATGTCTAGCAAACATTTGAAAAATATGCTCAACCTCAATGGTAAAAGACATGTAAAATTTAAAAGAGTATATGTTGCCATTTTGTACCTATCTGGTTGGCAAAAAATTAAGGGAGTTGACTGGATATATCAATTAAAATGAATGAATATACTGTATAAACTGTCAAGGACAGATGTCAGTAACATGTTGTTAGGTGAAAAGGCAAGTTGTAGAACATTGCACATTATGTTATGTCATTTTGGAATACTTTTTTAAAAACTAGTATATAAAATATATTTTAACAAGTGTTTATGCATTATAAACATAATATAGCAGTTATCTCTTGGGATGCTGTTAGGATAAGTAGAACTCTATTCTTTGGATTACTTTTCAGCTGGAAAACATTCTCTTATTATGCTTTATTTTACACTCATCAAGCTTTATAATTGATCTTTAGGAGGTAGTTACAAGTCATTAGTTCAGAGGATTTAGCTGAATCAAGTATTGTATGAATACAGTGTAGCATTTTATGGACTATCAGTCAATTCTGATCAAATTCTTCAAATCACCTTGTCGAATTGGGTGAATTAAATAGGGTTCTGTCCCTAAACTGTGGCTTCAGTCAGATCTTATCTTCAGTCTTTTAGGTTCCCAAGGTTTGTGCAAGGGCTATCATGCATCCGCCTCCTCTGTCAGCTGTCCTTATTCCATATGACATCCAGGCGCACTCCTCACCCTGAGTGTTATATGAATCCCGACATCCCGGAATCCAGGCCCTCAGCAGGGTTAAACAAGTCAATGTAAATACAGTCTTGTGATTCATTTGAACTTGCTTTCAAGTTGCTTGTTAACAGGGAGTTAACAAGTTCAGACCTTTGGTCAGATGGGTCTTTAAGGAAAGCTTTTTTCCCCATTCCAATGACTTCCTGTTCATGGGAAAATGAGAGGAAATGAACCTCTAACAGGAGGATGGACCCACCCTTTTCCAGTCGTGTGGCTAATTTGTCAGGTGTAATATTGGCACCTGGTGGCTTGTGTTGGCTTCCTGCCCACCCTTGGTGGGGAAGTATCCAAATACTTGTAACAGGCGGTGGAAGACTTCAAAGCCATTTGTAAAAGAAAAGGATATTGTCATTAAAGAACTCAATGGTGAATACTCCCAATCATTTAGTGATGTCAAGATAAAAGGAAAAATTTAAAAACACATTATCTGGAGTTTTTTCTGATGTATCATATGACCTGTTAAAACAAAGCAATGTAGTTGATTTGGTGATAATAAATGTTCAAATATATAAAAACAATATATATTTATTGATTATTTAGTGTTCTTGTTTTTGCAAAATTAGCACAGGTATCAATTATTTATAAGATGATTATGAGTTATTTCTTTAAGTATATAATCCTTCTTTCTTAAATTCACTTTTCAATAGGTACTCTCTTTGTGCCTGATAATGGAACTGTTTCCTTTGAATCAAAACAAAATAACTACAATAATATTGAGTGGTTCAATAAATGAAAAGGGATGATATGGATCGTCAGAATTCATTAGGAATTTTGGCTGGAAACACCTAGTTTAGTTCTATACCTCTCAATTTTCAGCTAAAGATAGTTACTGCCTTTTGAACAATGGTATAGTTAATAGTCCAGCAATTCAAAGTAGATCAGTCCATAAATGAGGATTAATTGAACTATAAGCAGTGGTCATTAAACCATAATAAATTCTGCAGAACAATGGAACTTCCTTCAGTTTTTGTAATTAATATAAGCTATATAGACTTAGTGTGTCTAAAACTCTCATGGCAGAGTCAACAGTCATGGGTACGGATAAAAAGATTAGTCTATTAAAACATACATTCATAGTGTCATCATCTGTAAACCTCAATCAGCGAACTGTTTCTATCAAATGATCCATGAATATTTATTGAATTTTTTTTGCCTAACATAGTATCAGACAAATTTAATAAATTATTAACTGAATAGATATTTGTTGAATAACTGCTCTCTTGAAGGCTATATCACTGGATTTGATCTGGCAGAGACTGGATGACTTTCACAGGGAACAGCAAGGATGAATTGCATAGGATTTCCTCAATCTTAAGAGTTGATGGCAAAGTGGTTCCAGTTTTCAAAGACCTTAGAATAGTTTATTATCTACCTGACTGGCAAGCTTGAAACACATAAATAATTAGAATTAATACATTGTATACACTAAACTGTCAATGGGATTAGGACTTGGGCAAAGAAGAGATCAGTGTTGATCAAAATAATCTTGGAGGAAGAGGTTAGTTAGCTGAATCTTGAGAATGAATAGTATTTAGACAAACAAAAAGGGAAATAGTGGATATTCTAAGTGGGTGGGAACTGGGAATGAGTGTAGAGTCAGGGAGGGTCTTGGGGAGGTCCAGATGACTACAGCATTGGTTTCAGGTTCCTGCATGGCAGGAAATAAGGTAGATGGGTTGGATGGCAATAATATGAAAGGTCTCATAAGCTTAGCAGAGGAACTTCCAGGTTTTTGAAGGGTAGGGGTAGGGTAGTGTGATTTAAGTAGTCATTTAGGAAGATTTTTCTGGCAGTTTGACTACAACAGGGAAAGGGTGTAGTGGGGAGATTTGTTAGACTCTTGTGGGAAACAGAGTGAAAAGACAGCCATAGATGGTGATGGTAGAAAAAGAGAAAGATAAATGAATTCAAGAGACATTTCGAAGGAAGGAAGGATGGGGTTAGGTGGCATTGGATATAGGGGTTGGGGAAGGAAAAATAAGTCAAAGATAACTCCAAAATTTCTACCCTAGAAGCCTGGATGGTTAATAATGCCACTGGCCACTTGATGAAGGAAAATGGTGAGTTTTTTTGTAGACAAATTAAATCTAGGTTCAATTGGGATATCTTGTGGAGCTATCTTATAAGTAACTAAAAACATGGGATTAGAGAGTAGCTAAGGGGCCAGAAAAAGACATAAAGAATTAATGATGAACAGTTACTCATTGCCCATAAATCAAATTTCATAGTTGGATTTTCAAGGCTGCTGTCATCTAGTCTCATACTGCTTATTCAACTCATCTTCAGCTACCCCATAGTCTGTCTTCCTCCTTCTGGGTCAGCTAGTTAGCAATTACGCTTTTCTTCACCTTGTGACGAAATCCTTGCTGTTTTTCTTGCCTGGAATTCTCTTCCTAGATCTCTAGTTATTAATATCTCCCCAAGCTTTAGGACCAGCACAGGTCCCTCTCACACCATGAAAATGTTCCTCAAAAATTCTAGTCCACAGTCTTCTCTCTCTGTTTCGAACATCTGTGGCATTTAGAGGTTGCGTTTGTATAAGCATTCACTCCTATGCAAGTCTATGTTGTTTAATTAGGTCAAACATAAATGTCTACCTTGTTTTGTCAGAAAACTATAAATGCCTTGAGGGTAAGGATCAATGTTCCTCTTGCATCAGTTAGGAATTATATTTGACTGTCAAGAACAGAGGGTCCTAATCAGAGGCTTAAAAATCAAGGGTTTTATTTTTATCATATTGTGAGATGTATGGAGGCAGGTAATCCCAAGCTGATTGATGTGGCAAATCTTGGTAAGAGCAGAGACTCACTCAGCCTCTCCCCACCTTCTCATTTAGCCCTCCTTAGCATGGATTTGTCACTTCAAAATCACAATCTGGCCGATCCTCTTCAAGCACAGCATCTGTGCAATAGACAGAGAAAAGTGGGAAGGCAAGGGGCAAACGGGGCTTGCAGACTGAATCAGCCTGGCTTTTTAACGTGCTGCCCTAGAAGCTCCATACCATGATTTCTGCTCACCTTTCATGGGTCAGCAGTTAGATATAGAGCCACCCCTATTTGCAAACAACGCTCCAAATATTTTCAGTTTGACATATTGCTATTCAACAAAGTCTGCATTATTTTAGTAAAGAGAAGGGCTATTGGTAACTAGAAGGCAACTAGTTGTCTATGATCTCTGTCCTTCTATGTATATCTCTTCAAACATGCATATATACATATGGATGTATACACATATAAACTTTTATTCAGATACCTACATGTATAACATTATATGTTATATATGCATATATTTTTATATTTAGAAAGACAGACAGAAACAGAGGGACAGAGATTATGCTTTATCTCTATCCCAGTATCTGTATCTCTCTATTTGAATAATAATAATATATATAATTTATATATACATATATATGGAGAGAGATTATGCTATATTACTCTCTTCATCTGAGCAAATCAAATAAAGATTACAATAAAAATAACCTGATATTTTAAATACTATGCTGATTACCATGCCTGTCATAGACACAATGGAGATATTTTTTCATAAGTAACTATTGCTTTCTTTACAGAATTAAACCAAGTATTTTTTCCTTATTGTCATAGAAGCTTTGATTGGTTTCCTATATTTGGCATTACTGTTTTTTTGTTTGTTTGTTTGTTTGTTGTTTTGAAACAAGGTCTCACTTGGTCACCCAGGATGGAGTGCAGTGGTGCGATCACAATTCACTATAGCTTCAAAGTCTCAGGCTCCAGTGATCCTCCCACCTCAGCCTCCTGACTAGCTAGGACTACAGGCACACACCACCACGACTGGTTAATTTTTCTTTTTCTTTTCTTTTTTTTTTTAGAGATGAGGTTTTGCCATGTCACCCAGGCTGGTCTCAAACCCCTGAGCTCAAGCCACCCTATCGCCTTGGCCTCCCAAAGTGCTGGGATTACAGCAGTGAGCCACTGCCCCTGGCTCAGCATTACTGTTGGCAGGAATCTCTGAAAACATTTATGCCTCACATTTCTTAGAAGTTAAAAGTACTGAATTAGTGATTAATGTCTGCATTTTAGGTTTCCCCCTTTGCTCCCTTCTATCTCTTTGATTTAACCAGGTGTCCTCAAACTATGTTTGTGACACATTTTTGAATCTTAGCATTATTATCAGCACATATGAAAAGATGAAAAGACTTTAGAGTAAAACCAGAGAAAAGACGTCGGAGTATTGTTTGATAACTCCACACAATGATAGCCTTTTAACACAGTCTCACAGAGCCGGTAGAAGCGTCCCCCTAGAAGAGTCCCCCAATATTGGGTCTTTTACTTTGTCACTGTATACTCTCTTATGTACTCCCAAGGAAGTGAGTTGATCAGTTTATGAGCAAAGCTATGATTAGGACTCAGGTCACTTAACTCCAGGCTCAAAGCTCTTCCTACTACATTATTCATGACAACAACAACAGCAGCACTTTACATCTGTGCAGAACCGCACAGACTGCCTCACCGATCATGCACTAGAGACAGAATGAATATTATTGAGCCCTTTTGATAAGGAAACATTATACAAAACTCATGGCAGGTAGTGGAAGAGCAGCTATTAGGATGTTCTTTCACACTCATTGGTCATTGTAGGGGCTTCCCCTGATAGATTACACATATCCTTGGGCCTGTTAACCAGGCCAACAGATCAGAATGCCCCAATCTGAATCCCTTGGATTAATCTGTTGGGATAAGGTGACATTTGCTTGCAGGGCCATTTCCTAGCCACTCTTCGTATTATTTAGTCTTCCTATTATTACATTAGTCTTAGCCAATGTAATTGTGTCTTGGTAGTGAAACAACCAAACCAATAAGAAAAAGAAAAATCTGCTATATCCCCTTGCTACACATCATTGCCTTCAATATGGCACTTGCACTTCTAATTTTCCAAGACAACATTATCACTTAGGGTTTAGGCACATCTTAATCTGCGGACTGATGGAGTGTGTGGCAGGCATTTTCACACTAGGACCATATGTGATATAATCACCTAAGCATTGCAAAGGAGATAGGTAGAGGGTCTATTGCATATCTATTAAGAAGATGACAGTGCTTAGGATAATAAGAGTGGTAGCCTGGATGGATGGCGGTGAAATAGTTAAAGACAATCAACATTAATTGGAACTTCCTTGTTTGTTTTCTTTTGAAACTTTAAAGTTATCCAAATGGAGTGTTAATTTAAGAAAAAAAAAGAAATGTTTTCTTGGGAGAAGACAATATTTTGAAATGTTTTTAATTTACAAGAGCCTGTTTCGTTCAGTTTCCCATTGCTGCGTGAGGTTGAACAAATGTTAGCTGCAACAAATTAATTAAGTTTGCAGAAAGTAGCAGCAGGGGATTGGAAACTTGAAGTGGAAGTGAGCATTTTGACTGTAAACATGTTGCCTGCCTGAGAGACTATATCTGGATTGAGTGGTTGTGGAGTTATCCAAAGAAATGCAGTATATCTGGGAAAGTACGTCTTGGCAGGGAGAAAAAATAACAATGTCTCTTGCTGGCAAATCTATTCATTTATTTCCTGGGATCATCTCATGTGTTTTGTTTGATTCTGGCCACACACTATTATTCTGCTCTCCTCTCTGCAAATGAAGGTGGTGCTACAGACTTGCCCTCAGAAGGAAAGGAACTAATATTTATCTGTGCCAGCCTCTTTATATATGCCATTTCTTTCTGAGGGTAGATATAATTTTCTTATTTTATCACTTCTTGGCCTTTTGGTGAAGACCAAGTGTAGTATCTGTTTTTATCAGTTTAATTTTCTTATTTTACAGACAAGGAAACTAAGACTCAGAGAATTTAGGAACTCACTCATAATCAGTTTAGAGGCAAAGAGATTGGAATTTGAACCCCAAATCATCTGATACTAGAGCTTTTTGAGCTACACCAGGATGCTTTCTCATGGTTACGGTGGGGGAAGGGCTGCAGGGATCCCTGGCAGCTTCTTGCCTGGTTTCCCTTATGCTTGGGGGAAAGGGAAAGGCCTGGGGCCATGGAATATGGAAAGATGATCCTCCGATTTGAAGGTGATCAGTGGATTATACCTTGAGAAAAAATGGATTAGAGAGATTTCTCAACAAGATACCTGAACTAGGGCCCTTGTAGGCTTCTGGCTATGTTGGACTAGTCATACTCCTTCTCTTAGGAATTTGAACCCAGACATAATACCAAATGAGAGGAGAGGATTTATGGCAGAAATGAAACCTGAATGAACCATGATACAGAGTGTCCAGGGCAGCCATAATGGACTCTGAGAGATCTGAGGTTGTGAGTAGAACAACCATGACTAATCAAAGGAAGGCTTTTCTTGAGAGAGGAAGCAAGAGCAGAGACACAGAGAGAAGAAAGGTCATGGCAAGTTGAGATAGAGTCAACCCCAAGTCCTTAGAGCTGTTTCAGCAACCAAGGTCTTTGTGTTCCAGTCATGATGCAAGGCATGTTGATCTTGCCATTACAAGCTTACCCCTTCAGTTTCATCATTTTGCTTTCTGCACTGCCAACACTAGACATTATTACTCTATAAAGACAGGCTTGTGCCAGAAATTTTTTAAGAATGCAATAGACCAATTCTTAATTCACACTGAATAGACCACTAGATACTACAAAATTTTTAGAATATCAGAGAAGAATTGCACACAATTTTCTTAGAGATTAAATAAGACTTAAGTACAGACATCATCTTTTATTAAGTTTTTAATAGATGTTACTGGTAAAAATGATCAATACAAAATAAAAATTACAATATCTGAAAGTACAAACTGTACTTGGTAAAATGTAGTACAGTCTAAAACTTGTCTGAAGAATGTAATCTTCTTGACTAAGTTTAGATATGCAAAATTCGAAGGTGTAAAATTAAACTTGGTCACAGATGAAAATTCTATGGTCACACATGAAAACTCACAATGGCAGATGCTATGAATGATGGAATTTCATATGGTCAAAGATACTGATCAATAAACCACATCTTGGTTGTAAATATACATGGTGAAAAATTGAACTAGATGAAAATCATGTTAGTAAAATAAGAATGAAATGCAAAAATACCAGGAAAAGCCTGACTATTCTATATAGAAAATTATTTGTGGAATTAATTTATAATAATGGGTGCTTGTGTGTTTCTGAGTAGAAGGTTGAGGCAAGTTGTTGATTTCTGCTGTAATAACTAGAAAAATTGGATAAATTAAGAAAATTATATTTTTAAAGACATAGGAGATGTAGGAAGCAAAAAGTTACAGATAAGTTAAAATTCCAGAGAGATGCCCCCTTCACAGATGAGCTGAGGTCACTGACCATTTTCTTCCCTAGGGACTATTGCAAGTGCGCTCACAGACTGTGGATTGGTCAGGCTTGGCTAGGCCAAGGGACTCTACCAGGAAAAGACAAACCTGCAGAGGATGCTGATAAGCTGGGATCTGGGGGATTTTAAAGGTCTTAGCCAATTTCCCAAAGGACCTTTGCTGAGTGCTGGGGCCTGGGGGAAGGGATGCTAAGAGACTAGGAGGCTGGGCTGGAAAGCCGAGTCAAGTGTCTCACTCTCTCACTGCCTCAAAGCACTTGGAAAATCCTTGAGACGAATAGCTACAACAAACACACAACTGTCCTTGAGATTTTTGAAAGCAGAGGTGAACTAAGTCTAGCTGAAGCTGCAATCTAGCTCTAAGCCAGTTCAATTTCTGATTGGATGGAGGTGATTGAGAGATAGTCCCTCTCCCTATCTGTTTTTCAAAGGAAAGCACAAATGCTCTGGGGGAAATAACAAAGACAGCCGTCTCGAAGATTATTTTACACATGATGTTCACCATACAATTAAATACTATGAGGCATGTGAAGAAGCAGAAAAACATGACTAAAAATAAAAAAAAAAGCAATAGGAGCAAACCTATAGATGATCCAGATATTGGAGTTACCTCAAAGGCCTTAAAATAACTATTATACATATGTTAAATAAAATGCAGAAAAATACATACAAAAGAGATGAAAAGATGAAGGTCAACTAAGAATTTGAATCTGTGTAAAAGGATCAATCAGATATTATATAACCTAAAAATATTATAGCTGACATTAAGAATTTGTTGGACAGGTTTAGCAAGAGCTTGGCTTGCGTACGGCAGAAGACAGGATTAGTACACTCAAAGATAGGCCCAAAGAAAATAGCAAAATTAAATCACAGAAAGAAAAATAAAGTTGAAAGAATGGAGCCAAGCAAAATAAATATGTGAGACATAGTAAATGGTTCTAACATATGTGTAATTGGAATCCCGAAAGGATAGGAGAGAGACAATGAGGAAGCAACAAATTTGGAGATAACTGTTGAATACTTTCTAAAAACTGACGAAAGACATTACGATTCAAGAGGCTCAGCAAATTCCAAGCAAAGTAAATATAAAGAAAATCACACTTAGGTACATCATAGTGGAACTGCTAAAAACCAGAGATACAGTGCTCACAGACTGAGCGCTGAAAACACTATGAAATTGAAACACTGAAAACGCTGAAAAACAATAGAATTTGCTCCAGAAAATTGTTTCTCGATGAAAAGTTTTTCATGTTGCTGTTAACTCTGATTGAAATGTTTACATTCACTAACACAAAGTCAACATGTTCTTGAGGTCAAATTGGAGGAGTTAAAACAAACCAAACCAAAACAACAGCCATGGTTAAAACATCATTTTTTTTTTCCCTCACATGAGTGGTTGAATTTGTTCCTTGCGAGAAAAGAACCTAACTGAAATCTTCCTCCAAGCATTTCTACCTTACCAAGACTCTTCTTCCCTTACCTGATCATTCTACCTTTTTGGCGGAAGATGGGGCTTTTAATTCTGCCCTTTTGTTTAATTGCTATTTGCAATCCTGGAATTCCTAGATTTTCAAAGTTGCCTCTCTCTTGCCATTGCTTTTTCACCAAGAAATGGCCAGAGAAGGGAGGGAATAGCTTGTGGGGTTCTAATAACACAATCAGCTTGGTTTTTGACCCTGAAAATCAGCATCCAGCACCATTCACTTTTACCTTTGGCATCTATTTACTATAGTAGAAGCAGGCAGTCAGTAAGGAACAGTACAATGGATTTTACTTCGTGTTCCAGATTTACTCAAGTGATTTTTAAAAATAGATGCATATACAAATATCACAAAAGGTGTTGTTCTTAACTTGGAGACAGATGGATAGTGGGAACATACTAAAGCACCTAGAGACTGATGGATTTCAGTTAGTGTCCTGTCTTTCATGCACATAAAGGGATGGATTGGTTTTGCCTGGTCCACATATTTGTCAGTGCCTACTTGTTTCCAGTTATGTTCTGCTGCAGGTCTTAAGGTTATTTCACCTCTTTTCTTTTCCCTTTCCAGTTCCTGAGCCAATACTTGTCAAACCTGGTACTGTATCAAGATCCTCATGACCTATACCAAATGCAGTCTGGAAGTGTGGTTGGCTGCTCAAATCAGGAGTCAAGTGTTCATATACAAACCCCTGCAAAACTCTCCCCCACCACTCGAGTTCTCCCACAGAGTCTGGAGCACAGTCAGAACTGAGATATTTTTTTTATTTGGGGCCCAGATTTTCTTCCTGGACCTTGTTATTCCCTCTCCCAGGAGATAGACTCTGATCTGGCATCCCTGACTGTTATCTGGAGTTCAGTCCTATGTGTTACAAGATTATTAGTTCATTTATTATTTTTTTTAATGAGTTTTTATTGATTACTTACTATGTGTGTGGCACCATGTTAGGTACTGAAAATACAGTGATGTATAAAATGATGTAAGCATAGTTCTCAGAGAGTAGTTTATTATTCTGGTGGGAAAGAAAAGCATTGAATAAATAAACAACTACATAGCTCATTAAAAACTGGTAAGTACTATGAAAGACAAGTACAAAATCCTAAAAAAAAAAAAAAAAATAAAAAAAAAGCAAAATCTGAGATTGGGTCAGGGAAAGCCTCCTGAAGTCAGCCAAGTGAAGACAAGGGGAAAGAGTGCTACAGGTAGAGAAAAAGCAAGTGCAAAGTCTTGGAGGTAACACTGAGGCCTTTTGAAGACTTTAGCAGAGGCCAGTAGGACTACAGTGGCTGTTGCTAACCTGCTGAATTAGTTTCCTTTGGCTGTCATAACTAATTACCACAAATTTAGTGCCTTAAAATAACAGAACATATTTTCTCATAGATCTGGAGGTTCAGAAGTCTGACATCAGAATGTCTGGGCTGAAATCAAGGCGTTGGCAAGGCGGTGCTCCCTCCAAGGCTCTAGGAGAGAATCTTTTTCTTGCCTTTTCTGGTGTCTAGTGGCTGCCAGCATTACCTGGCTTGTGGCCACATCAGTCCAATTTTCAAGGTCAGAACCTTCAAATCTCTCTGTGTTCTATCTTCATATCACCTTTCCCTCCGTGTGTGTCACGTCTCCCTCTGCCTCTCTTTTATTAGGATGCTTGTGACTGCATTTAGAGCACATCTGAAAAATGAAGGCAGTCTTCCCATCTCAACATCCTTAACTTAATCCCATCTGCAAAACCCAATTTTGCCATAAAAGGTAACATTTACAGGTTCCTGGAAGTAGGACTTGATATAATATTTGGGGGGGCCTTTATTCAGCCCACTACAATGGCTTGCAATGCAATCCCCATGGGAATGTTTTAAGATGCAATGCTCAGGCTCCATCCCTGATCCGTTAAGTCAGAATTTCTGGGTAAGACCTGGGCATGGGAATTTTTTTTATAGCTCCCCAGGTGACTCTAATATATAGCTAGGACTGGGAACTACTGGGCTAGAGCATAATGAGGGATGGGAAGTTGTCATGGCAGGCAGGGTATCACCCCTGGAGATTTTTGCTGTCCCATTAAGAACCCTTAAGTATCAATGCTGTCTGCATGAAGCTGTCACGTAATGTACTACTTTGAACTGTTTTGTAACCTGCTTTTCTTGGAGTTCTTGACCCTTTCTCCTTCAGTTCTTGCTTCTTCTTCCCTTCGAGCTGACACTGAGGCCCTAGAATGTGTGAAATGTGAGTCCATTCTTGTTGTGAAGAATATGCTAACAAATCAATAGAGAACACACTTAGCTGACTTCACACAAGCATGTTCCAATTCTGCTCTAGAATTGGAAGTGAAGGTCTGTAGAGCATGCAGTAAGGAAAACTAGTAAATTTGCTAAAAAAAAAAAAAAAAGATAGCTTCAGTCTGAGCAAAAACCACCTAGAAGCAGGCCCAGAATTAGGAAAGTATACCTGAGACCTAGGACCTCCAGCATTCACTACTTGTCTTAGTCATAAAAGAGGATGTCTTCTTTCCCACTCTTCTCACTTATCTATGAAAATATTGAGGTTTTTTTTTTCAGTGAACATATTTGGAACAAAATGGGGATTTGGCCTATCAATATCTATCAGGATCCCTAATGGTTATCAGTAGCTTTGGTCTTAAGGACAAATTTGGTCTCACAACCATATAGACACGTCATTTGGAAGCTATGAAAATGATCATGTAATTTGCTGAGAATTTGATAATAGGAGGGAAAAGAGGCAATTTAGGGAGTTTCTATAAAGCCTCAATAGCTACTTGCTAGTAGATAGACATTTTTAAATGTCAGGTTGGGAGAAATTCCCAAGCTCAACTTACCATTGGTCCATCAGGGATTAATTTGAGGGCAGCCATCTTTGCTTTTTCAAATCACTAAATTTTCTCTGGAGAAGTAAAGATGCAATTACCTCTCTTTGTAGACTACAGTCTTTCCATGGTCAGATCTACTAACAGACCCCATCCACAAGGGAATATTGGTGACACCTGGGAAATGTGGGTTGTGTTTCTAAGTACCGAGAGTGTTGAACTGGAAGTTCTTTGCAGATAGGTTCAAGGTCTACATAGCATCATCCTTCTGACTCTAACCTGACATCATCCCTAGCACAGCACCATGTTGTTTGCTGCTCTTTGCTGCTAACCATCACCTCAACTAGGGCTGGACATCATGAAATGATTCAATGAAAGCATGATGCTTCTTTTGGGAAGTCCTTCTACCACCTTCTTCTCTTTTCCACCCATAGCTACTCTCTTCTTGTTTCCATAATTACTTGCATCAAATTTTTTCATCTCTCTTGGAAAAAATATTAGTGTATCTGCTTACTAGTGGGTACTCCCTTTGGGAACTCTTTTAATATAGGGAGGCTAGGTGGTGGTGTTTCTTTCTGGGTCTTTATGGTTGAGCATGCTCACTGCTCAAATAAAGATCTGAATGAATGCTGGCCTCCTTTCAGAACCCCTCTTAAATGCTTTCTACTGAACACATCCTTCCTTTTCCTAAATGGCACTTGCACATCTTGTGAATATCTTGTCTTTTTTTCTCTTGATTACCCCATCTAAGTGGAAATCTGTGATACACATGGCAACCACAAAAAGAATTCTCACCTGCTAAGAAGGTCTGGCAGGTGGTCCCAGTAATACCTTTCTTATCTAGGAAGTAGCTCAATTATTTTCACCTCTGACAAAGTGATAAACTTCAGAATACTCACCAAAGCAAGAGGATAGAGGGAATGGAACTGCTAGCTCCAGCACCCCAATGTGGAGTAAGTTGTCTGAACACAGCCTCGCTCTCTAGCATAAATTCCCCTCTTTCTCCAAAGAGCCACAATGGCCGAGGTGTTGGCATGCAAATACTTGCAAAGTGAAAATAGATACACTTCCACAGCTCCTCATCCCTGGCCTCCAGTGGACAGCCTGCCAACCATGCATGCTTGTTGGTTTGGCACCGAGACAAATGTTCCCTGGAGCATAGACTGAAACCACCAAACTGATATCACACGGGATGCCAGCCAAATTCTGACCTTGCTCTCTGTAGGTGAGTGGCTGTGGAATTAACCTGTGATGGTTTCCTGCTCCTGCCTGGTTGGTAGCCTGGGTTTTTCTGTTTGTTTTTTCTTTCTTTTATTTTTTAACGCCACATTTGAATCTTGTTGTTCTCCCACTCCACTGGTATCTACGAGCCACAGACCACTCTCTTGGTCTTGGCTTGTTGACAGTGGGCAGCTACTTAGTTCCAAGAAATGGGCAAATGACAAAATTCCTTCTTGCCATGGGTCTTCTCGCCCCTTGAGAGGGAAGGGCCACCAATAGACTGCTCTAAAATCACACCCAGGTGGCGGGGCCTGTGGTCTGGCATCGCGGGCATCTGTGATTGCTGTCTGTTCCTTTTGCATCCTCTTCTTCTATTTTTCCCTGCTGCTCCAGCTTCTCCCATCCCCCTTTTCCGTTTCCAGCTCTTATGTATTCAGTGCTTCCAATAGTCTAAGTTTTTCATGAATTCAGGGCTTTAATTTAGCATGTGGGGTGCTGGCTCTTCCAGCAAGCTGCTTTGGTCATTATTTCCAACTTGAGGGGATAAAGAGGCAGCAGGGTGCAGTGGGAAGAGTCGGGGCCTGAAGCCAGAAGGCCTCGGGTACTAGTCCCAGCTCCGTTTCTAACTAGCTGTGGGACTCTGGCTGGGACACATCCTGGCCACGGGCCTCAGTTTCCTCACCGATGGGATGACGAGTTTGGATGAGAAGATTTTGAATGCTTGTCTCGTTTTATCATTCTATAGAGCTCACTGGTGATGTGAAATCTGTGTTGGGTTGTGCCAGTCTCACTTTTGTTTTTCTTTTGAAAAACTTTATTGTTGAATGGATGTTAATGAGGAGATGCGAGAAGAGTCCCTAAACAAGATTTCTCAAATGCAGAATATGGGGTGGGGGGAGGAATCTATTTTTAAAAATCACTATCTAGAGGTTTATAGCCTAGAAATAAAATTCCCCTTCCTATCATAAAACGTGAGACAATATTTTCCACCAGGGTAAGAAAATGATTCAAGTGGCATTTGTTGTTTTCTGAGGATCCTATTTCTGTACTGTGGCATAAGCACATAGAATGGTTCAAGTAAAATTGTACTTTTGGAAGGAAAAGGTTAAAGTTGGCTACTGATATTCATCAGGAGATGGATATTTAATCTTTAATCTCTTGTCCTAGGCCTCTACTCTGGATCAACTCATTATCCCGAATAAACGATGTGTCATTCCCATTATTTATGTTTCACTGCAGCCAAAGTATCTGGACCTCGTTTTAGTAAGCGCCATTCATTTCGACCCATTCAGTATTAATCTCCCTGCTAACATCTTTCCTGTTCTATGTGCTGCCCCTTATTTGCTTTTATGTTTTCTGCAGAGTGTTTATAAAAGGATAATCTTTTACAAAGCAGACAGAATTTTTGTGTATAAACTGCTCTGTTTGAATGCCTCATTGATATACCATCTAAAAACTGAAGTGTTCAGCAAGATTAGCAAAGCCCTGAGCTATTGAGATGGGGGAAAACATGAGAACCAGGCTCTTCTCTATAGGAGGCAAAGGTGACGGAAGATGCCTTTGCTTTCGCAGTAGTAGCAAAAACAGAGCCACTGCCCCCACCGGGCCCCGATAGACCTAGTTGCTTGGAAATGAAAGGGGCACAAAGCAAGCTGCTTGAAGTTGCTGAGGAAAAGGTGAAGAGTGTGGTCGTATGACTTCTTTCCTAGAATTTTCTTAGAAAATGCCATGACTCTACAAACACTGAATTTACATGTAGTCCCCACTTGAGCTAACTCTTTTAAACTTTCATGAAGTATCCACACGCTGTTGCTCAGTTGTTCATTGATGTTACATTACTTGTGTCATTCTAGTCTGCCCTATGGAAAAGGCAGTACTATAGAAACCAAGCAAAGATCCAAAGAAGGAGGATGGTCTCTTTCTGCCATCTGCATTTTCTCTTTCCAAGGATCAGGAGCTCCCCCAAACAGCTCTCTTTTGCAGAGAGGAGATAGAGATCACTTCATTCTACAATGGACAAAGAAGGGTACTTTGTGGAATTTTGCATGGCCTGGGGTCCCAGATATGCCACCGATTAAAAAACTTAACAGATGGACTCTGAGAATAGGAATATGTTCAAGAAAATTTAAAAAAAAAATCAGTGGAAGGGGGTTGCAAGTCTGGCCTCTGTGGGAGCTGAGCATGGGAAGCTTCACTGAGCAAATGCTTTGTACCTTAGGTAGGGTGAGTTCAGCTGGTAGAGATGGGTGGAAGCATCTGAAGCACAAACTGTGCTTGGGTTTTTAGTTGGCAATGCTATGAGGGAAAAAAATCCCAAGATGAACAGTGCCAAAAATTATACGTGCCTTCAAAGAGTATTTTCTTCCAACAAATTGATCACTTTGATTACTCAATAATAAGGCTTGTTATTTTATGAGATGTGCCCTTTGTATACATGAGAATTTTTGCTTACATTTCCACATTTATTAGAGACAAGTTCAAAACAGACATGTGGTCGTGTAATTTTAATGGCATAAGCCCTTAAATACTAAGGGCCTGCCAAATCTCCTCTGAAGATCTAAGCTATAAAAACACTCAGAATTTATCTGTCAAGACTATCAACAAGACACACTATTTAGGATTTTATCGTCACCAAATGGCAGCATTGTTGGCCATTTATTACGGTGTTAACTAGGATGGATGCCCTTGCCTTAATCGACAATCCCCACCAAGATGAGGGCTGACAAATGTTGGAGAAAAACTGAATCCGGCTTCCTCGGGGTGCCCCGTGTGGCCTTTGGAAAGATGACAACCTGACGACAGCTAGTTCTCACCACTTGGCAGGAAAGCTTGGTACTTGGGGTGGAGAGGGACTGGGGGAAACTGGGGAATTCTTACTGCGAGCCTGAGTCAGTTGCATTGTCTAAAAGAACAAAGTGACTAGGTTTTCATGGTCAGTCTCTTGACGATGGGAAATTCATGGTGTTGACTCCTTTTACTTTGTAAAGCCTCCTCAAGAATACACAAAATAGGCTCCTGAAAGAGTGGGGGGCTGCTTCAGTTAATCTCAGTAGTGCCTGGTTTGAACTTTCTTCTATTTTTCACTCTTTTTTACTTCTATAATTTTATTTCCTCCTCCCCCTGATTTTCTCTTTAATTTGCTTTGCTTCCTCCCTCCCTCCCTCCCTTCCTCTCTTCCACTCCCTTTCTCCATCACTTCCTTTCTTTGCCTTGGCACTATTGGAGACTACAAAGAGTATAGAAGACATGATCTTTGCTTCAAAAGGTTTACTGTGTGAATTGGTAAACAAGGCCAACACAAGAAGTGTCTAATGCAAGGATGGCCAATCGAGTTCATTTTGCATTTCAGCACCCATCACTCATTAAAGGCTGCCTGGAGCTCTGTGTTCGGAGGATTCTAACTTCAGAACCAGGCTCAGAGGGCATGAATGCCCTGATCAACTAGATGTGACAGCAAAGGACACAGGGAGACTAGGGAGGGAGAGCACTTGTGGCAGAAACTTGCCACCCTGGGTCTAAATCAGAGTTTCTCAACTGTGGCATGACTGACACTTAGCATTTAGGCTGGCTCGTTCTTTGTCATTGGGGGCTGTCCTGGGCATTGCAGGAGGTTCAGCAGCATCCCTGACCTCTCTCCACTAGATGCCAGTGGCACCCCTGCAGCTGGGACCATCCAAACAGTCTTTGGACATTGCCAAATGTCCCTGAGGAGGGAAGGAGTAAAATCGCCCCTGTTCTAAAACTAGTGGTCAAATAATTAACACGGAACTAAGTATAGAGAAGTAAATGAGAAAGTCAGAGGAGCTGGAAGAATGCACAGCTTTGGGAAGGGGGTGAAGCTGTGTAGGAAGTGTAGAAGGATTTGTCATGGCAGAGAAGAAATTCTCAGTCACTGTCATTGTTGCATTGGGATGTATTTCCATGGTTCTCAGGTTGTATTTGTGACTAGACCAGAGCCCTGGGAAATAGCCTTAGACCACAGCAGGAAGGATTGAAGTTACACTATAGTTTATTAATTGTAAGATTGGTGAAACTCTAGGCTACATTTTCAGTGCAGGTAAAGTTTTCTGTGCTGGAGAGCTCAATAAACAGATTGATGGTGTTCCGTAGGGCTGATTAGAAGGCAGAGGGGCCAGAGACAGGGAAACAAGAAGAAAAGTTCCCTGTGCAGCCCTAAGAATCTTAATGGGACCTGGGAATCTAGGAGAAGAGGGAAACTGGAATCACAGCCATTATCAACTCCCTTTATGGAGGTGGGTTTATTCACTTTAAATTTCTCGACTTGATCGGAATATCAGTAAACAATGAACAAAGACTAACGTATATTCGATGAAGTTAGCTGGTGGCTTCAGGACACATTCAAAGAGTACAGATCAGATCAGCTCCAGGCTCTGTTTCCATTTATGGCCCTGGGTCATTTCATGGGATGTGTGATGTAGTGGAAAGTTCTGGGTTTGATTTTGAGCTCTGCTTCTTGCTCAGATGCTGTGAGACTTGTTTGGGCTCCCCATGGCCAAGTCAAATTGACACATGAAATTAACTCTCTGTAGAATGGGGGTAACAATAGTACTTACAGGATTCGTGATATGAACCCTCTCTTGATTCCACGAGTTAATGAAAATAGAGTGCCCCTCGTAGTATCTCATTAAATATTATATTATCGTTGCTGGTGTTTTTTTTTTTTTTAACATTTATAGATAGGGACTAAGTTTCAGGCAGAGGGAGATGAGAGGGAGAGGAGGGTCCTTGGGAGGGCAGAGAGAGGCAGGGTCTTGGCTTCATTGGTGTGCAACCCATACAGTTACACATGCTAAGCATGGGCCCCACGCTTAGGAGGGCTCCATGCTTGGTTTAATGCTCTGCTGTTGCTGTCTCCAAATACTTAATAAGTTTTGACCAAGGTATCCTGCATTTTCACTTTGCACTGGGGCCCCACAAATTACGTAGCTGGTTCTGGAGTGAGAAATGGGGGAATCTTTTAAAAAATGTCCAAACAAGTATTAGTGAGCTATCTGGCCTCTGCAACATTTCAGGTTCCCTTTCCTCTCTCACTGAATTCTGCAGGCATGAAAACTGCCACAAGACATTCATTTTTAATGACTTGTTATGGGCTTCTTAGCAATATATCTTTGGGTATTAAGGTGTGGAGTCAGAGGCTTAAAATGATTGATGTCTTTGCTCTGCACAAGGGGTCTCCCACACTTACCTAGTGTCAGATATCCACTTGGGAAATTTATGAGAGCACTTGGCAGCCTAAGTGGCCATCAAATATTAATCAAAAATATGTAATAACTAATATATACTTAAAGAATTGAAGACAATTAATATTCAAGGGAAGAATTCAGGGACTCATAAAAATAACAAATGCTAAAGAGATTCAGTCAAGGTTGGCAGGTTCGGAATTAACCCTGCTCTTATGCTTGCTTTGAGATTCTGGGCTCACTGGTCGTTCTACAGATGCTGAGATGGCAAGAAGAGGGGCTTAGTGCGTTTTCCACCAGATTTCCAGATTAGGAGATCTGGGCTTATCCTAATGAAAGAAGCAAACTTCTACTTCAGGACACTGAATTTCTGAATGTTTACCCCCTTCTTTTGTCTGTACATCTTTTCCATAGCACCAAAACACCCAATTTGCAACTAATTCTTTATGGGATTCTCTCTTGATAGCCCTGGGAAGACAGACTGTTTCTTATCTTTATATCTTCAATACCCAGGACAGTGGCTTGCACAAAGGATCTGGTTGAACCATGTGGCTTTTCCACTTTTGTAAGTCACAAATCTGCAAATATCAGCCATTTACATGGTTCAACTTAATAAATGCTAAATAAAAGACTTAAATGAGTACATACTGAACCTGGCCTTTCTAGTAGCTTTTAAATTAGAATCTAATAGCTGCCCCAGAGCAGGTTGGAAACATTTTCATAATTCTGTTTCGATTGATTGCTGGAACTCCTGGAACTTCTGTGGATCCCATAGGCAGCAGACAAACGTCCAGTTATTTTTTGGGAAAGTCTCCTTTTGCCTTTCCTTCGTCAACATAAAGGGGCGCAGACGCGGACCTGCCTGGCGACTGGCAAGGTGCGTTTAACTGTCTCCCATTGCTCCTTTTGACTGAGGTCTTCCAGAGTCCTTTTCTCCCTTGCATTCTTGGTCACTAGCCCTTTCTCGCCACCGCTCTGTGTCACGTCTGCTCACCATGGCAGCATTGGGTACACAGAGAAGTTAAGTAATATATTTAATTTTTAAAATATTTCAAATTTTTAATTGACAAATTAAAATTGTATATATTTATGACATACAATATAAGGTTCTGATATATGCATATATTGTGAAATGGCTAAATCAAGCCAATTAATGTAGGCGTTACCTCACTTTCTTGCCATTTTTGGGGAATGAGAACAGTTACAATCTCTTAAAAATTGAAGGGATTTATTTTTATTTGCAAAATAAAAGTCATTTGGCAGCAGAACTCAGGTTAGTGGGGCTACCTGTATATGGCTCCCCAGTTGATATATATGGAAAGACAGAAATGCAGAGCTTCACTAGGGACAAGGGACTGCTCTTTAATCCCTGTAGAGAAGTAGATATGGGCAGGCCGTGGCTGCTTGGAAGAGAGTAGTTTGTTCGGGTGTTGGACCACCATGGCAGTTGCTGGTCTCTTCTGTTATTGTGGAAAATCAGGAGCGGAGCCTGTCACTTGTCATCTGTTCTTCGAGTGTAACCAACTTTTCTTCCATGGGCCATTTGGTGTGACTATGAATGATGGCTCTGGCTAAATGACACCATCCTGATGGTGGGGTAAACAGAAGTGATGCTGGAACAGGCGCCTTGGATCCGGCCTGTGTTTTCAGAGAGCTACAGAAAGGGCCTGGGATGGAGAGGAATGTTCAGCACAATTGGGGCAGAGATCTTACATTGAAACTCCTTTAGTCTCCAATGTGGTGAATGAGGATTAAACCCCTGAGCCACTGAGGCACAAACCAAGCTCCTGGTAGGAGAATAAATGTATATGAGCTCACTTGCATTTGATTCCATATGGCAATTTAGAAGGGGCATGAAATCGTAATGTCGTCTAGCTCAATTTCTGCATTTTATTTTAAGTCAGGAGATACAGGCTCAGGGAGGCCAAGAGGCTTGTCTCAGGTCACATGGCTGCTACTGGCAGAGCCTAAATGAGAACCAGATTTTCTGCCTCCCAGTCCTGTGCCCCTTCTACTCTGTGGTGCATATATTCCCAGGTCTATTTTCTCCATTCTTAGTTACCATCGCTTTACTACAGCCATTTGTTTTCTGAGGATTAGAAAAACAAAAAACCAAACCTCTGCTACTATATTAAGTGTGCACACCAGTCACAAAAATTCAGAAATATTAAAATGGGAAGAAAAGGCACCGAGAAGCAGTGTAGAGGCTAGAAAAGCGGGTTCTGGATTTCGGAAAGATTGGGCTCAAATTCTTTTTCTTTTTTAAGGCCACATCATTTTTTATTTTACTTTAAGTTCTGGGATACATGTGCAGAATGTGCAGATTTGTGACATAGGGATACATGTGCCATGGTGGTTTGCTGCACCTATCAACCCGTCATCTAGGTTTTAAGCCCTGCATGCATTAGGTGTTTTCCTAATGCTCTCCCTCCCCTTGCCTCCTACCCCCTGATAGGCCCCGGGTGTGATGTTCTCCTCCTTGTGTCCATGTGTTCTCATTGTTCAACTCCTATTTCTGAGTGAGAACATGCAGTGTTTGGTTTGCTGTTCCTGTGTTAGTTTGGTAAGAATGATGGCTTCCAGCTTCACCCATGTCCCTGCAAAGGACATGAACTCATTCTTTTTTATGGATGCATAGTATTCCATGGTGTATATGTGAGGTTGGGCTCAAATTCTAATTCTACCACTTACATCTGATCCCGGGAAAGTTATTCTCTCTGTCTCCAATTCATCATCTGGGGGCTAAAAATAGTATCTATTCCATGGGTTGATGTGATTAGTAATTGAGATAACATGTGTAAAAACACTTCGCACAATCTCTGGCACATAGTCAGCACTCAAGAAATTTGGACTTATTGTTTGTGTATGTATTTGTGTGTGTGTGTGTGTGTGTGTGTGTGTATGTGTCTAGTATTTGGGATGGAGGAAGTGAGGGAGAAGTGCTTCAGAGGTGGCAGCAATGTGCTTCTGAGCGTGGCTGCGTGGCTCCCTATTTCAATCTGCCTGTGAAGATTTCCTGAGGCATATGACCCTTCCTGCCATGACCCTTGGTTTCCAGAGGCATCTGCTGGTCAGCCCCTAGGCAACACTTAAATAGGAAAACTTTTGCCTATCTGTTACTAAGACATGCTGATTTCCAGATATCTTAGTACCCTTTTTATTATCTCTCTGCCTGGGGTTTAATAACAGTTAAAAGAGACAATTCATGCAATGTGCAACAAAGTTTACTTTGTGTACATATATTTGCTCTGCACATACCTGGCATATAGTAACTGCTCAATAAATATCAGTGGCTATTATAATCTAGAGCTTGTTGGGGAGTTGTCTGAGTGAGAAAAGAACAAAAGATACTCGTTTTACAAACAATTTTTGCTTCATCTCTGGATGGCATATTCATTTCTGAAGCATCTTCACACTCAGTTGCTAAGAATAGGATATATTCTTTCCATTGTACAGATGGAGTAACCGAGAGACTGGAAAGTGACATCACCAACAGGCGGTGACCTAGGGAGTCAGGGCCAGAACCAGGTCTGGAATACAGACTTCCTGACTCCTGACCCAGGTTCCCTTCTGCCCTGTGGCCTTCACAGGACGCCTGGAGAGACCAGGGAAGTATCTGTTTCAGGGCTCTCTGAGTTGCCCTTGGAAGTTTATCATCTATCAACTGACTGTTGACCAAAAACACACTGATTCCTGAGGAGACCTTACAGGATGTCCTGTTGAGACTTTTCCTCCTCTTTTCATTAGTGCTTTGCTGGCAGATTAAAATTCAGCGGATCCCATTTGTAGGAAGTCTGATAAAATATTCTCATCTCTATTGCAAACAACTTCTCCATCTGCCACTTGGCTGAGAGGATCCGACTCAAACACTCTCAAAGAGGAGAGAGTGATACCAGGCAGAAGAAGGTACAGGAAGCAGCAAGGGGTTTGTGTCTGGACGTGTCTACCTGATCTATTGTCTGATGGAGCTGACTAGCCAGCTCTGTTAAGCTGCTGGCTTTTCTTCCCTAAAATGCCTGAATGCACCTATAATTACTTACCCTATTATTTGGTATCTTATAGATGCGGCTCTATATATGCAGTGTACAAATCTCTAAGAGAAACAACACATTTGGCATTGGGCCTAGGATATAGATGAGCTATGGGAGGAAAAGATTGGAGAATATATGTAGTGAGATCAGAAAAGCTGATTTGAGAAAGGTAAGGCAGCTTGCAAATTGCAAAGCATTGAGGGAAGTCAGTGCAATTCACCTGAGAAGACATTTATACTAGTATTTGCAAAGAACTGTATTGGGATGAATAGAAAATGAAAAAGACATGACCCTAGATTTAAATTTGTAAGGGTAACATTCCTTCCTTCTACACATGCTCATGCTCAGTAAGTACCTATTATGTGCAAGGCACTTTGCTGGATCCTGGAGGTATACTGGTGAACAAGAAAGATGTGAGTCCACCCTCTCAGAACTTACAATTTACTGGGAGAGAGCAACAAGGAAAATAAGATCACAGTTTGGGATAAATCCTAAGAAGGTAATAAAGAAATTGGTGTGCTAGAAAGTCTAAGGGTTGGTGGGGTGGGTGGGGGGTGACATGGTGCTGTTTCAGATTGGTGAAGTCGAAGTCCTCTCTTAAGAGATGCCCTCAAGCCAGATATATGAAGAGCTAGGCAAGAGCATTATAAGCAAAGGGAATTTCAAATGCAAAGATCTAGAAGAGAAATCTTGGCACGTTCTAGAAACTATATGAAGGACTACATAGCTGGAATGTAGTGGGGAGAAAGATGACAAAGCCAAAATGGGAATCTAGATGAGAAGTGATGGTAATTGGACTAAGGTGTGGCAGTAGAATGGAGACAAGTGGATGCACTCAAGGTCCTGGGTTGCAGGGAGGGAGGGTAGTAAGATCAGTGGCCCTGTCTGAGGAATTGAATATGAAAGTCAAATAATACTCAAGTTTCTGGATTAAGAAATCTATGTAGCACCTGTTTCTGGTATATGGTGGTGCCACTTATCACGCTGTTATATGGTGGTGCCGCTTATCATGATGGGAAGCCTACAGAGAGAATATCTTTGTAGGGGGTGGAATCAAGATTTCCATTTGGAGGCTCATTATTTGAGGGGAATGTCCAGTTGAACACACTAAGTACACATGGTTAGATATGTGATTGTACCCAAGCTCAAGAAGAAGTCTGATTGAAGACAGATGTGCTATGTGTGTTTAGATAATGAGGCAATTAATTCAGATGAGGGCAATATAGAAGAGTTTTAAGGGCACACTAAATTCAGCAAAGAGCATAGGCAAAGGAGTAGAGAGTGGAAAGAGGAAGAGTTTGAGAAATGCCTTTCTTTGTATGATGAAAGGAGAGGATTGATGATTAGTGATTTTAAAAGGATTGCACTTCTACATCCTTCTCCAGAGAAATTTAAGTAGGGGAAGGGACCGGTAAGTATTGCTCTATCATTAAGAAAATGAATAGTCAAACCACAGACTGAGAAAACAAAATGCAATACGTATATATGACAAAGGGCTCATAAGCATAATATATAAAGAACTCCTACAAATCAATGACAATAAGACAAAATATGAGCAAAAATCTTGAAAAGACATTTCATGAAAGAATATGTACAAATAGCAAGAAGCAGATGAAAAGTTGTTAGTCATAAGGGAAATGCAAATTTCCCTGCAGTCAGCTACCATTTCACATACATGATAACGGCTAAAATAAAAAGGACTCTTGGCTGTGCATGGTGGCTCATGTCTGTAATCCCAGCACTTTGGGAGGACGAGGCAGGTGGATCACCTGAGGTCAGAAGTTCAAGACCAGCCTGGCCAACATGGTGAAACCTCGTCTCTACTAAAAATACAAAAATTAGCTGGGCATGGTGGCAGGCGCCTGTAATCCCAGCTACTTGGGAGGCTGAGGCAGGAGAATCACTTGAACCCAGGAGGTGGAGGTTGCAGTGAGCAGAAATCATGCCACTGCACTCTAGTCTGGGCAACAAGAGTAAGACTCCATCAAAAAAAAAAAAAAAAAAAAGACTCTCAATACAAAATGTGAGGATGTGGAGCAACAAGAACTTTGGTATATTGTTTGTTGGTAGGTAGTGTAAAATGGCACCTATTATAGGTACCATTTAGAAAAACTGTTCAGTAGTTTAAAAATTTGATATTCCCCTTCCTGTGTCCATGTGATCTCATTGTTCAATTCCCACCTATGAGTGAGAATATGCGGTGTTTGGTTTTTTGTTCTTGCGATAGTTTACTAAGAATGATGGTTTCCAATTTCATCCATGTCCCTATAAAGGACATGAACTCATCATTTTTTATGGCTGCATAGTATTCCATGGTGTATATGTGCCACATTTTCTTAATCCAGTCTATCATTGTTGGACATTTGGGTTGGTTCCAAGTCTTTGCTATTGTGAATAATGCCGCAATAAACATACGTGTGCATGTGTCTTTATAGCGGCATGATTTATAGTCATTTGGGTATATACCCAGTAATGGGATGGCTGGGTCAAATGGTATTTCTAGTTCTAGATCCCTGAGGAATCGCCACACTGACTTGTGGTGGGGTGGGGGGAGGGGGGAGGGATAGCATTGGGAGATATACCTAATGCTAGATGACGAGTTAGTGGGTGCAGTGCACCAGCATGGCACATGTATACATATGTAACTAACCTGCACAATGTGCACATGTACCCTAAAACTTAAAGTATAATAAAAAAAATAATTAAAAAAAAATTTGAACATATGTCTACTCTATGACCCAGCAATAGCAAATTTTAGGTATTTACCCAAGAAAAATGAAAACCTCTACACAATATGACTTGTACACAAATGCTTATAACAGTCTTAGTCATAATAGCCCCAAATTTAAAACAACCCAAATTTCCACTAACAAGGAAGTGGATCAACAAAACGATGTTCTATCTGTACAATGCAGCACTATTCAGTAATAGAAAGGAAGAAACCACTGACAAATGCAACATCGTCTGAAAAACACCACTTGAGTGAAAGAAGACAGGTGTAAAAGAAGAATATGTGCTATAGGATTCCATTTACATGAATTTCTAGAACACGCAAAAATAATCTATAGTAATAAAAATCAGAAAGCAGTTACCTGGCAAGGGTCATGAGGAATATTTCTGGGGTGATAAAAATGGTCTACATCTTGTTTAAGTGGTGGTTATATGGGCATATACAATTGCTAAAATGCACTGAAGTGAACATTCAAGATCTTATGGTCTATGCATTTTATTATATGTCAGTTATAACTTAATTTTTAAAAGAATCTATATAGTGTAACTCCAGATTCTGCATGCTTAAAGTACTTCACACTCTTAGGGGAGAAAAACAGGAGGTGACTACTTGCTGAAAATTTGAGATAAAATGGATGTATTTAAATTAGCAGGGTCTAATGGCTTGCTTTCTGAGAAACGCACACAGCTCTTAGATTGATCTGGACTCATGTGGACAGGAGTTGATACGTTGTTGAATTAGAGCCCTGAAATCATTTTGGTAGGTACAGTTAAATACAACTTGCATCTATGTAGCACCTGCTGTATGCTAGACCCTGATGTTCTGTGTTTTCTAAAGCAGCCTGTTGGCTCCCCAAGGGCGACGACTTTTGGCTTCTGCTTATCTGGCCTCCCCCACAGTATGGCTTTGCTCTTCCCCTAATTTCTCAGAGGACGATGTCCAGCACAGAGTGGGTACCAAGTAAATATTTATTCAATGAATGAATGAAGAAACGAATTAATAAAGGTCAAGTGTTTGACTTAATCTGCATGACTATAAGGGCTAAGTGTCTAATTTTACTTTTTAGAAAATAAATGTTACATGATTTGACATTGAAAAAAATCCAAAATTTTAAAAAGCCTTCAACAGTTTCTCTTCACTCTGTACCTAAGAGTAGAATAAGTAAACACAGGAAATAAAATTAATGGCCTCATTTTCTGTCACTTTTATACTTTTAATCTTAAAGGCCAAACTGGTGACAACTGGTCTAGCGGTTGGACTTTGGATTATTAAAAAATATTTTGCAAGAAATAAGCTTGGCTTATGTGAACCAACAATGAGATAACCTCCTTTGGTAAGAATGACAGCAACAGTTGATATTTCTGGGGGAAAACACTAACCAAAACAAGAACCAAAAAAATCCTTTCCATTCTCGAGGCAAGGGGATATGAAAGAGATTAAATGTAGCTGCAGATGCCAACAGACAAAGCCTCTGGAAGATGAGTTTAGTGAGAATCTTTTGTCAAAATTTACTAACTGCCAATAATTTTTACATGACATATAAAGTGGCAAAGTAAAGTATTTAATGATTTTGATTTTGTATCTAGAATATGTTTATAGAAATAAAACAGAACTAACCTGGGTCAAATGCTTCATTCTGTGAATGCTTAACACTGTGAATTAGCTTAGTGATAAAAGAAAATAAGTTTCAATAATTACTGTGTTAAAAAATAGAATGTAATAATTTATGAGTCAACAACCTTAACTTAAAAAGAAAATCTATTCTAGTTGTAATACATTTGATTTGAGATGGAAGAGAAAACTTGTTAAATATTTGAAAATTTATATAAAATTAAATTTTATGTATTGATTCTAAAATGTAAAGCCCAGGTAATAGGTATTTAGTGAGTGTTTTTCTAAAATTTTAAAATTAGTTTTTTGAAGACAATGAAAGAAAATAGAGGATTTGTTTCTTTGTCTTTTCATGGAATTTATGATTTCTTGCAAGAATATATAGCCTACTATAAAATAGAATACAAATATTGTAGTCTTCAGAGTAAAAATAGGACAGAGGGCAAAGACAATGTTTGTTACAGAGTGAGGACATGGTAAGAGAGAGAACTGCAAAAGAGGGAGAATTTGCAGATACACAGGCTTTAGCGTCTTTTACTGTTTAACTGACATTGAACCACAAATTTGGTTTTGAGTTTTCTGATGCCCAAATCGAAAAGGGAAACAGAATTTATTGACAAGTTTACAACAAAATTAAATATACTGACCTTAAGCAAAACGTATCCTAATCAAAAAAACAAACAAACAAAATTCTTAGGGTGAAAAGGTGTATGTGCGTGCGTTTGTGTATGTACGTGTATACATGTATGTTGATTTCAGTGGACTGAATATCAACATGGACAGTATTCTCAACAATATCCCTTCAATAAATACATTAGATAATTTTATTCTGTAATTTTGTCTTAGCATCAACTGTGTATGAGGCCAAGACAAAAAGAGCATACACATATTGGTCTTTGATGACTTTACTTAAGAATAAAACCTAGACATCTAGTGGAAAGATAAATTGCATTTCAAACCACCTGCCAGGTTCCCCCAAACATCCTTTCCAAATAAGTTGAGCTGTGAAGAATTTGGAGTTGACTTCATTGACATGGGTCTTCAGTGATGGCGTTGTGTCATGGTGATCAGTTAGCTTTATATATCAACTTAGGAGAGTGTCGCAGGCTAGTGAAAATTGAGAAGCCAAGTGAAGTGAGGATATGGCAAATGGGGAAGGTTAGGAAATGGCTGAGGACCACAGGTATGATGGAGCCCTCCTGCCCTGAGAGTCCATATATGTAGATGAGTCCATATACGTAGATGACACAGTGTCATTGGGCTTGGCATCACTTTTACTAATTGGGTATCATGAGGGAAATCTCTTAACTTCTCTCTGTTGGTTTCTTCACCTTTGCAATGATACAGAGGTGCTTGTTCTCCATTCCTGATGTTTCTTACCATGTTGAAGGTGTGGCATTTGGGACCCTCTTCATCTCTTTACTCGCTTCCTCCAGAGGAGGTAAAGTGACTTGCCTGATTGACACAGTTAGGAAAAATAAATGGAACATGTTTGACCCAACCCTCTCTTTTCCTTCTGGGGAAACAGCCGCCTGCAAGAAGCAGGAGTTCTCTTCCTATCTACAGTGAGCAGACTCCCTCCCCCAGTTCAACATGGCCAGTACCTAAAAGAGCAATTCTCCTAATTCTGCGGCTCTCATACTAAACAGTATTCTTCTGCTTGGTCTTTATTGTAATAAAGATTTTATTTCACCTTCCATCTGCCACTCCTTTGCTTTATTTATCAATTGCAGGCAAAGAGGGATGCCACTTATTAGCCCCCTCCAGAGACCCCCAACAGGATCAACAATTTAGTCACACCCATCTTCCACTAAGTGAGAGGTTTAAAGAAGATGGTGGTATCGTGGTGGTATGGCATGGAGAGTTATGCTGTTGGTAATTATGATGTTGACCATTTCCCCCCAGGTCCCGTTAGTCTGGAGGTAAAATTGAGGAATACCAACCACACTATCCATAATAAGACAGTAATCTCTGACACCACAAGAGCATCCTTGGAGTCTCAGTGCTTCCCGCCATATCCTTATGTCCTACAGATGCCTGCCAAGTGCTCTTCTTGAGCAGCTGTCCCTCTGGGCTATCTATAGTGTTTTGCTCCTCTGGGGTGACCCTGTTCGTCTTGGCTGCAGCTGTGGCTACTGTCCTCCTAACTGCTCTCAGGATCCTTTCCAACACAAGCATCATGCCAAAGTAGAGAATGTACCTTCACTCCTGTTGCTGGGTCACCACAACACTTCCTTCAGCTCTTAGTTCATGTTGGCCTTAAGGTGAAAAATATGGGGTCTCTACAAGTGGGCACCAAATTAACAAATATGTAATATTTCTAATACATATTAGGAAGAGCCACATGTTAAAGGTCCTGGTGGTCACATGTGCGGGGCCCAGAGGATGGTGTGGTAGGCGCTTCTGGTTCTTGCTGTTGGAGAACACGGCTGACATGAACACCATTTCTGGAAGCATGACTTCCCAGCATGGCTTCATATGCCTTCTCCATCTGTTCCAGAAGCATTATTCTGGGCACCTTGACAGGAGGAATCCAAATGAAAAGCAAGAACAAAAAAGTACATTTAAAAATTTTTCTCCATATACCTACAGATCATGGATATGAATTAACACTTGCCTTGTGATCTTTCAGGCCTGGTACATTGGGTGGAGGAGGGTTTGAGGGGGACAGAAAAAAATTACACAAGACAAAACCCAAAAACTATTAAAATAACAAAAGAACCATCTTGTTTCTTTTCTATCCTCATTTGCTCTTTATTTAAAAGGGAATTTTAAAAAACCCTGGTATTTAAACAAACCTGTTGACTGGCAGTTTGCTTTTATGTGACTTGGACCTCCTTTGAGCAAATACTAAATAGTATCCTTCTGCTTGGTCTTTATTGTAATAAAGATTTTATTTTGGCTTCCGTCTGCCACTGTTTTACTTTATTTGTCAATTGCAGGCAAAGAGGGATGCCACTTATTGGCCCTCTCCAGAGACACCACAGGATTGACAATTTAGTCACACCCATCTTCCACTAAGTGGGAGGTTTAAAGAACATGATGGCATCGTGGTGGTATGGTGTGGAGAGTTATGCTGTTGATAATTATGATGTTGGCCATTTCTCTCTAAAACATAGAGTGAGACTGTGTGGTTTAACAGTGATATAAAAACTGTTAGAGGGGCCTTCATCAGTTTCTTCATTATGGGGTATATCAGTCCATTTTCACGCTGGTATAAAGAACTGCCCAAGACTGAGACTGGGTAATTTGTAAAGGAGAGGGGTTTAAATTGACTCATAGTTCAGGATGGCTTGGGAGGCCTCAGGAAACTTACAGTCATGGCTGAAGACAAAGTGGAAGCAAGGCACCTTCTTCACAAGGTGGCAGGAAGGAGAAGTGCCAAGAAAAGGGACAAGAACCCCTTATAAAACCATTAGATCTTGTGAGAATTCCCTATCGTGAGAGCAGCATGGGGGAAACCACCCCCATCATTCAATAACCTCCACCTGGTCTCTCCCTTGACCTGTGGGGATTACGGGGATTGCAATTCAAGATGAGATTTGGGTGGGGACTACAAAGACTAATCATATCATGGGGTGATTATGTCTTGCTTTCAATCACCAAATACCACTTAAAACATTTCCCCAAAGCTATGAAGACAGAAAGCACGTATAGATTCCTTCACTTACAGGTAGGCTGAGCCAACTGAAAACTGTAAAATTGATGAGATCCTAAAGTGAAAAGAAAAGCAACTGCTAGATAAATCAAAGTGTCTGTTAAGTCAAGGACAAGGCAGGGAAAGACTCAGTGTTATCTGTTAGAGTCTGATATATGGGACAGTGAGGAGGAGGAGGAGGAGGAGGAACAGAAGGAGGAGGAGTAGGACTACTTTCCTTCTCCCAGGGAAAACTTCCCCTGCCCTGCTCCTTTCATGGGGCTCAAGAACATCATGGTGCTCACTTGATAATGCAGGTGACTCTCTTTCCTAGAGAGTCGGAGTTCTGCCTGGGATCAAAGGTGGTTAGACCTGCCCCAAACATCATAAGTGTATTAAAATTTCCATTGGTATTCACAATAAGGAAGGGGTCATGATGGTAATATTCTATTTGGATCTAGCCTCACGCAGGCCAATTTTAGGCAAATGTGTGAGGCTTATGTATATGCTGTGATGCCATATTTTATTTCTAAATTCTTTCTTGTCTTTTTAACAGAACATTCTTAATTCTGTCTTTCACAAATTCAAAAACTTACAACAACATAAAGTGCTACCCCTCAGAGGGATATGGATATTTCAGCAGGAACTGAGGCCTTCAGGAGTCTTTGGGACAGTGGGTGGAGGAGGGTTTGAGGCAGGAGAGAAAGGTCCACATAGACATTGCCAAAGTCCCACCACACAGATACAATTTCCTACCTTTCCAGGGGGCAGGAATCTAAGATGATGAGAAAAGTGGCTGAATTTCAAGTTTTCAAATTTTCTTAGTAATGTTTGATAGAGTATGAGTTTGGCTGCATGTAACAGAAAACCCAAAATAACAGAGACATTGTAGGGGATATACAAGCCAGTGCCTGTGATGGTGGGAGAGCAGTGCCTGCTGTCTGTCCGTGCTGCTGTGGAGCACTGTCCAGCTCCAGCAGCAGCACTGTTGCCTGGTGGCTCTTCAGCATGATTGGCTTGTGATCTTGGTAGCCTACCTAACCTGGTCCCTGGTTCCTGTCCTTTTTTTTTTTTTTTTTTTTTTGAGACGGAGTCTCACTCTGTTGCCCAGGCTGGAGTGGAGTGCAGTGGAGTGATCTTGGCTCACTGCAAGCTCTGCCTCCCGGGTTCACATCATTCTCCTGCCTCAGCCTCCCGAGTAGCTGGGACCACAGGTGCTTGTCACCATGCCCAGCTAATTTTTTGAATTTTTTTTAGTAGAGATGGGGTTTCACCATGTTAGCCTGGATGGTCTCTATCTCCTGACCTTGTGATTCGCCCTCCTCGGCCTCCCAAAGTGCTGGGATTACAGGCGTGAGCCACCGCACCCATCCAGTTCCTGTTCTTTTTGTGGTCTAGTTCTTTGGCCTTTCTGGTGATTCTGTGAATTTCCTTTCAATAAAAGTCTTCTCTTTTTAGCTATTCACAGATCATCATCAGCCAGAGGTGACTTCTGTTGCTTGCAGCTCAGAATCCTAGATGTTTCCGGTGGCACTGAAGAGCCTCTGCTGAAGCTCTATACCATTTGCCATTTACAAAGGGAAATGAAATAATAACGCTGACCATTTGTGGAGCACATTCTGTGTAAGTCGCTTTACCTAGATTGTCTCTTAATCTTCAGAAACCCTTGAGTAGACACTGTGATTATCATCATCTACATTTGATACATGGAAAGCTGTATTTTCAACCCAGAAATTTTGTCTCTAGAGCTTCTTCTCATAACAACCATGACAGAAGCCCTGTCCAAATCTCTAATTTCCTTCAAGGCTGTGTCAACTGTCAAACTCCCAGCAAAAAATGCTATTCTTTACCAAGTTTGCCTTGAGTACCCATCAATCTTTTCCTTATTTTTTATTTTACCTCTGGCTCACACTTTCAAGCCCTCATTTTCATGTCACCCTGAAGTTATTTCAGATCTCTTTATATCTTCCTCTTCTAACTCTAGTGTGAGCTCCTTGAGTGTTCTAATCCTGGCAGTACCACTCAGGAGAAAGTGGTCACAGGCTAGATACTTTGAGAATGTAAATGTGACCTCACCACATTGCTGTGGGTACAGGTGGTCTTTAAAAATGCTGTGTTTAATACCTGGTTCACAAGGACACTGGCCAATCAGAATAGTCGATGGCCGTACATACCTGGGATGCCTGTCCTGTGCAAATGAACTGAATATTCACTTTGGTTGTGAAAAAGTAATTGATGTGAAAAGTCTTTGTAAGTTGTACAGCATAACAAACATTCTAGGCATTATTACCTTCTCTTTCTGTCTCAGCTGCCACAAAGCCTAGCATATTCTTATGTACTTGGTAGGTACTTAATAAACCTCTGAATTAATGGACGAGTGAGTGGATAATCAGCATGGTCCATTTCTCCGACCTCCCAAGGTGAATGTCAAAACCAGTAATTCCCTATTTTGGTTGAATGATGAGACCCTGGGTCATCTCTTTGATTATTTGGTGGGAAAAGGTTCATGAACTTATCAAACAATTCTCCCACCGTACTTAACTTTGATTCACATATTTGACTGAACACTAAGTGATGTATCATACTACACCTTCAGAGAGATGGAGACCAGGGCCTTGCAATCAAACCAAGGAGGTTGCTGTGGCCAGTCCGGTCTCAGCTTTCCTGGGCTGCCTGGCTCAGGTGGGGTGATAGGTCTCCTCCTCTGTGCAGCCTTAGGAGTGGCCTGGCTACTTAAGGGCTCTGTGTGGCAAATCTCTACGGAAAGCAACAGCTCCCCAGAGCACCCAGTGAATCAGCCTCAACTGCCCCAGAGCCTGCCTATCTGCCTGGTACTCAGAGCCTGTTGCTGAACCCTCTTTTCATCCTTCTGTTCCGTCTTCCATTGCTTCCACACCGACAGCTGCAGAAACACATGGAGGTTGCTTGGCAGCTGCTAGACACAGATGTTGGGCTCTGTAATGCACTTTTTTCCCCCTCTGCCACTGCTTCTGAGTGTTTCTCTGGCTGCCTGGATGTCTTCGTTACTGCCTGTTGGGGGAGTGTGCTCCGAGGTGCTAGTGGGGTGTGAAACCTCGGGGGATTGACTGGTGCTGCTGAGCAGGCAGGATGGCTAGGTACTTAAGATCAACTTTGCCTTTTCCACACTCGACACCAGGTTTTAACTGTTCTGCCTGCCTGAGAATCATTTCAAGCTGTCTAGGAGGAAAATAATGTTGGGGTGTCTTTTTCTCTCCACCTCTGAAGCTCCTGCCTTCCTCCAGGCCCTGGTTAGTTTCCTGGTTGCCTTCTTGCAGTAATCTGTTTTAACTGGCCTCTTTGCCTCTGATTTACCCCTTTTCTTCTTTCAATAGTGCTCCCAGACTGATTTCCTGTAATCAAATCTTACCACGTCTCCTCTTTTCTTGGAATCCTCCTAGTTTGCAAGATAAAATTTGTACTTCTTAGTGTGAATTAAAGCACCTTCATGACTCAGCTCTGCTCACCACCCCAGCCTCATCTTTCATTCAGCCACGTCTGTTTTGACTGGAATATAACCGTTTCTTAACTGGGTCTTGCCTTTGTGTTCATTTGGTCAGTCCAAGAATTCTTTTCTTCCTCTCCTTGTCTATTCACCTGGTTCGCTCTGTCTGAGCTACAGCGGTTTCTAGGTATTCTCTTCTACCTTGACCTTATCCTCAATGGGCCAAACTGTAGAAGTTGCCTACAAAGCCATCTCCCTATGGAGACAATTATTTGAGCAAATCTGCTGGTTAAACAACCTACTGTGTTCCAGGCGCTGAGATGCAGACATGAATAAGAGACAGTGCCAGTCCTCAAGGAGTTAATAGATCATTGGACAGATGGATCACAAAGCACACAAATACATTTGAAAATGAAACGAGTTCTATGATAAAGTTAAGTACAAGATGTTGCAGGAATTAGAGTCCCTCCCGTGTGCTCCTGCAGCCTCCTGAACTTCTTTCTGTTAGCTCCTTAATACATTAGCTGTGTGTTTCAGTTTGTCTTTCCAACAGTCTCTGAGTTTCTTGAAGCAGGTATCGTATCTTTTGTTTTCTTCAGGAGCTTGGCACAGTGGCTCATGCCTGTAATCCCAGTGACTCAGGAGACTGAGGCAGGATGATCACTTGAGGCCAGGAGATCGAGGCTACACTGAACCAGGATCACACCACTGCACTCCAGCCTGGGTGACAGAGTGAGATCCTCTCTCTAAAAACAAAAGCAAACAAAAAATGAATTTGTATCCTTCATGCCCACCCAGTGCCCAGCACAGAGTAGGAGGTCAAAAAACACTTGTCGCAATGGCACTTGAATGATTGTGTCCACGTGGAGATGTCCATGCAAGAGGCTCTCCACCTCTCCACTTTGGGCCACCACGTGTCTGTCCAAGTGAGTGGCAACCCCAAGGAAGCATCCTGGAATCCTCTTGGGTTGAAGGGCGCAGTACAGATAATGAGGAATTAAGGGGCTTGTAGGTTCTAGAAATGTTCTACTTTGTTTTACAACATGAAAATCTAGCTTTCAATACGGTATTCAGGTCTGGGGATTGGGAACCATGATCCCTCTACTTGTTCCTCATCTTTCCCCTCTTCCTTGAGAAACCCTCTCCTCTGCTTTTCTTTTCTTTTCTTTTGCTTCTGGCCAGAGAAAGCATCCACTAAACAAAACGGCATGCTATTTAAAAGTAATATCTATATACATTTTAAAGAAAGTAATTTTTACATCTGCACTGGAGAGAGATTAGAAATCTCTGGCAAGCAAGAAGAAAAAACAAAACCTTGAGTAATCTTACTACCTAGAGCTGCCCAAATCACTGCTGAAGATGTAATGGTGTCTATCCTTCCAGAATTTGCTCTACATATATATATTAACAAAGTGTTTGAATGAAGACTCTGGATTCCGGTTGCTGAGTTTGAATTCTGGCTTCGCCACTTACTAGCTGGGTGACCTGGGTCATAATGCTTAACCTCTCTGTGCCTCAGCTTCCTCACAGCTCTGCAGAGTTCACAGAAAGACTTAGAGCATGGCGCTGCTGTGAAAATGAGATACTATACCATGCGTTTACAACAGTGCCTGCTGCATAGTAAGCAAGAATTTATTTAATTAACAAATATTTCTTGATTCCCTATTTTATGCCAGGCACTTTTCAAGATAGCATTTAACATCCAGAAGATCCACTGCTGGCATGCAGCTTTTATTTTGGTTTAACAACTAAACACATGAACTATTTTTGTTACTACAAAACTCATTGTATTATATATTGTGTGGAACCTGCTTTACTCATTTACAACATCTTGCTATGTATTATGACATTTTTTCTGTGTCATGAAACCTTACGTTATTACTACAAATGGTGAGATAGTATTTCATTGAATGAGTATTGTACTTTATTTAATAACCTACTTTTGCTACACATTTAGGTAGTCTCCAATTTTTCAGTGTTTTAAAGACTAGTCTGATGAAAATCCTTATACACACATCTTTGTCCATTTACCTGGGTATTCCACCCAGACATGACTTTAGAAGTGGAATTGCAGATTAGAGGAAATGCACACGGCTAGGGCTTTTGGTAGAAATGGTCTCCTGTGAAGGTTATGCACCAAACTGCAATCCCACTCACTTTGTAAGAGATCTGAACTCCCATCTGAACCAATAAGCAACTATTTCATTATTTCTAATTTTCTAAAATTAGGGCAAAAATGGTATCATATCATTTTTTATTTGCTTTCCTTTAACTTTCAGTGAGTCTGGATTTAAAATATCTATACATTTCATTGGCTATTTGTGTTTCTTATTTTCTGAGTTGACTATTCATATCCTTTGAAGCTTCAGTCCTGACTTTGATAAGATGATCTTGGATATTGCTTGAGATTGAATAGCCTTTCTCTGTGAAAGACCTAGACCTGGGTTAAACTTTGTGAGATAATGGTTTCAAGGGACATGTGCCCAACCTTCTCTGCTATGTATTTGCATTTTCCACTAAAAACGTCTAACATGTTATAAATTTGACTTTTCTGCACTTCGGCAGTGACACGGTTAAAATACTAATGAAAACTTTTTGTACGACATCCCAGTGGGAGCAGTGGCCACTTTTGCACAGGTTGAAAGATGTTAAACGCTATCTAGTATGTGTAATGGATATGTGATTTGCTGCATGCCTGTATTTCCTGTATGGTAGATGTTGGCATAGCTGAGGGCACATGTCCATATCTTGAGTTGAGGTCAGGAAACAGTGTATATATTTTTGAGTCTCTGTGAAATTACACAAGTTCTTCTGTATTTCAGAGTGCTGAATCTATCTCCCAAGGGACAGTTAGTTCAAAATTTGCTTCTTTGAGGAAGACTACCTTGGTTGCCCCCCGATCCTTAGATTATTTTCCTAACTCTGAACTTCCTAAGCACATGTATTTCACATCTAAATTTGCTAATGCATTGCTAAACATGTCCTCAATGTAACTTGTGCATATAGTTTTTCTCACAAGACAGGAAACGTATTTCTTCTTCCTTTGCCTATGAACTTCTTTAAGTTGGATTTGGGGCTTTAACACATCCCCTCAAACAGACTCAACCCATAAAGTATTAACGAATGATGCAGAGCTGACTATGATTTCATGGGGAGATGGAGGAGAAAGCTACATGAGACCACATGTACCAAGACCACAAAGACCAGGATTTTCACCTTCTCTCCTCAAGGTCCTCTTTAGCCATGGACCTCTGGGTCTCTTTCTGCTTCTCTTTCTCTCTGAACTCTTCCCCAAATATTCACTGAATACCTCCTTCTTTCTGTTACAAAGAAATTCAGTTCTCTTCTGAATTTTCCAGTTAAAGGCACCAGCTGATACTAATGCCCAGTAAAGCCAGCATCTTTTTCAACAAAAGTGAATTTCTTTCTATTGGGGAAGGTACTGCGAAGAGAAGGAAGGTCTCCTCCAAGTCGTTCTGCCAAGTTATTTCACAAGGATTGGTTTTGTCCCTTCAACCAGTTTGATGACAAGGACCCTGACTTGCATTTGTTTTATGTCTCATCTCAGCTGCCTTTTCTTCCCTTGCTTCCTCCCGGGCTGAGCACAAAGCAGGTTCTCAATAGACACTGGCCAGCCGGTCAGGATTCTCCTGTCTATTTCCATCACTTTTGCATGGCAGTTCGTTCTTAGGAGACCCATGAATCCGTGGACAAACAAATGATGGAGCCTTAGTATACATCTATGTTTTAAGACCACATGTGTTTTCATTTCCTCCTTTAAAGGCCCCTGATTGTAGGAACCATCCAGCAAGCATAACACCTCTGCCTGTGTCTTAATCAGATGCATCCTGCACCTCCTGGGCTGAAACTCATGCCCCTGCCCACTGTCTTGCGACAGGCTGTATGGAAGAACTCAGAGAGTCCTTGCCTGCTTCTGCTGTGTCCATATTCCAGTCCCTTCCTGATAATTCGCTAGCCTTCTGGACCCTAGGGTCTTGTTCCATAAACCCGTGGTGCTCACCCTGAGGCTGTGCCAGGCCCTACTTCCAGCCTGTCTGGCTCTGTGGGTTATACCTGTTCCCAAGCCTTGCCTGCCTCTTGCCTATCCAGTGCTCTTCCCTCTCCAGGCATCCAATCCTTACCTCTTCTGCCCAGACCTGCCCTGCTGAGGCCCCTGCCTGGCAGGACATGGCGCCTCTGATGACCAAAAATAGAAGTTGTATAAAAGAACGGTGGGACCCAAATAAAGTTTGAAGCAGGAAATATAATGATCCTCCAAAAATATGATTCTGGTGCTTCCACAGGAGCCCTGTCCCTGCTTCAAAGCATGTGAACTATCTTTATTTTGCATTCAAACTATCTTTTGGGGCCAGGTTTCCTTCATAACAGCTTATTGCAAAACGGATCTGAAACCCTAGGGAGTTTATCTGTAGTTAGGTTTCTTTTTCTTTCCAGTAACTGTGGGTCGGAGGTATTCCAGCCATTATTAACTAAAGGACTACTCTGTTTTATGACATCTAATCAGGTGGATGTCCCACTGGGAGGACAGATTGTGCTCTTTTTTTTCCCTCTGGACTGAGGAGATAAAGAGATAAAACTCATACGTTGTTTTATTTTTTTAAAAAATCAACAGCCTATCCCCCTGTGAGATCTTCACGTGAGCCTGTTATGCATGGGAGCCTGGTTTTAGTGGGGGAGACCTAAGGGCTTGTGGCTATGGTGTTTTGTCCTCTGAATGGCTGGGCTTGCTCTGGTCTACAAAAGTTTCTATTCAGGATCATCTTGGATCCTGGTGGCTTGGACGAAAATGGCAAACTCTTAATATGTCTATAGACCTGGGCTGTCCCCGGATGTCTCCACTTGGCTGAGAAACCAAGTTCACCCTCAGTTTGGAGATGGAAAAGGTCCCAGTGCTACAAATACTGAGAAAATACCCTCTCAGAGCTTCCATTTCCAGCTACATACAGTGCGCCTAATAATGTCTGACTTGAGAATTTCCCAGGGACCTGATGAGCTCCCAGGCAAGGGTAGATGGGAAACACCCAGCTCTATTCAAAGGCAAAGTGTTGATGGGGACTTGGTTATGATGCAACTCAAGCACCCTAGCTTCCCTATAACTAGAGTTATAGTAACTCTAGTATCCCCACCTTTATGAAAACCCTTCTTGAAGCTACTGTGCATGTGCTTTCACACCTGCTGCCTCTCTGCCAGTGTATCGAAGTAGGATTCCCTTTTATTTGTACTGAAACTTCTTCAAATCAGGAGATGTCCCCTGGGCTCAGGGCTTTGGAAACAAATCAGGAGGTGTCCCCTGGGCTCAGGGCTTTGGGATTTGTGAACAGATCTGTTTTCACTCTGTCTGTACTTTTCATGATTGCGTAAGTTTCCCTCATCTTCCATCAGGGTTTGCGTATGCACTGTGAGTAGGTTTTAGTCCTTCAGGCTGTGCACACACAAAGGTCCCTCCAAGGGATGATGATCATTTTAGAGTCTTTCCAACTCTATGATCATTTTAGAGTCTATCTGAATCGCTGTCAGACCTTTGGCATTTCCACATGTGCATCAGCAACTGTCTTGTATTCCATAAGTGTAGGTTCTCAGAGGACAGGAAACACCTTCTTGGTAATGTCTTAGCCCAGGGCCTGCCACAAAGCTATGGTTTGAAAGACATTTAGAAAATGAATTTTTGTGAACTTATGGCTAAGGACTTTTAGGCAAATCAGTCAGTTTCCCTGGCTCTGGCTTATCAAGTCTCAGCACTCAAGAAGCCTGTAGGAAGAGACCCCAGTGCTACCCAGGTTTTTGGTAGAGAGTAGGAGATAGATTTCGAAGTGAGATTTGAGAGTCTTAAAAGGGAACCCTACCTACAAGCACCTTTTCTACAAGGCCACAAACTTGTTTTATTCAAGACGTATCTCTTGTTTGAATGTAGGGACCATTGGGTTTAGTGGATAAACACATAGGCTCTGTGGCTGGGCTGCCTGGTTTTAATCTTGGCTCTGCCATTTGCTACATATTGACTTCACCTCTGTGCCTTATTTTTCCTGCCTGTAAAATGGGGATAATAATAGTTCCTACCTAAAAGGTTATTATGAGGATGAAATGAATTAATATTTTTTTTTTTTGAGACGGAGTCTTGCTCTGTCGCCCAGGCTGGAGTACAGTGGTGCACTGCAACCTCCACCTCCCAGGTTCAAGCAGAAATGAATTAATATTTCTAAAGTGTTAGGAGATGACTGGAAGAGAGTCAGTGCTGAATAAACAAACAAACAAATGTTCCCAGGAGGGGCATAGGTAGGATTAACACAGGAAAATACCAATATGTGAATAAATGTCTCCTCCCACCTCATGCAGGAGACAGCAAATAACAGGAGCTCTGGGTAGCACAAAGCAGTCAAGAACAGCCTTCCAGCCTGAGGGTGGAATTTACCTTTTCAGAAATAAGTGATAAAAATAGCAAAAATTATTATCATATATGGAACATCTACCCTAGGCTGGACCCTGAAGTAAGGATCCTTTGTTACCTAGTTCAGTCCTTACAGCAATCTTAAAAGAAAGGTGCTGTTTTCTTCCTATGGATGAGAACGCAGAGAGGAGAGTTGCGGAGACTCTTAACTTGCCCAACACTGTTGGGTCAACAAGGAAGAGCACCAGGAGTCAAAACCTGCGCTCTTCATCAACAGATCCTCTATGATTTCATCTATGTATCCATCAGGGCAACTTCTGATCTTGATTTCATTTCTCCAGTGAGTGTCCTCACTAGGATGCTGAAGTTTCTATTATCAGTTAGTCACTTAGCTTCTGGAAAGAGCACTGAATGAGGTGGCAGAAGACCCACCTTCTGGTCTAGCTGACACTTACCCCACCAGCTTGGACAAGCTCTTACCTCTGTGGGGCTACGGAACAGGAACTACTAATGCCTGCCCTGGCCATCTCAGTCGATGTGGTGAGGCTCAAATGATATCATTCAATTTAAATTCATCAAAGGAGTGTTCACTGTAGACTCAATACTATGCAAGCTGTGTTTACATGTATCTTTCATTGTAAAACTACTTAGGAAACACTTTAAAATGCCAGATACTTTTCCTATGAGATTGGCAATGTGAACTAGTCTTTCTTAGGGCCTGATTGCTCCTAGGCAAGCTAAATATTAAGGCCTCAGAGCTGGGAGACCAAACCCTGTATTTCAGAGAGTGAGCCTCACTCTTGAGGCTTCCCTGGCTTTCAGCCTGCCTCTTCCAACTATTACATGAGTAACAGGTATGTTTAGAGCTGCTTCAGAATGAAGATGTCAGCAAAGATGGAGGAATCCATCGGAAGCCCCACCATGAGGATCTCTGCCAAGTTGGGGTCTTCATGGAGCACAGGGACTTCTATCCCTGCGCCCATCCACTCGGGCAATTTTCAACAAGTATTTGTGATGTTGGGAAGTTGGGTTGGCTGTGTCCTTCGCTGAGAAGAAAGATATCAAGACAGAAAAGAAGGATCTGAAAGGTAAGGGGCTGATAAACAATAAATCCAGGATTCATATTCAGATAGGATGCACAAAGGTAGCAGCACTGGTTGGTCCCAGCCAGTATCTGTTCTGATTTGTTAGTGCCCATGTGGGAGGCTTATTGAAAATACTGACACTCACCTTGGATAAAGCTTGGCTGTTTTTTGGGCCTGTGGAAGGTCTCCCTGATTCTGTGCTCTGTCAGGTGCCAACTCTTTTCCCACCTGTCTCCTAGGAATATAGTAGTTGCACAGTAAATAACGTGGTCTCGGGGTTGGGATCCTCTGCAGGACACACTCGCGCCAACACACAGTAGCTACAGTGTCCATTCCCCTGACATCCAGAAGGACGGGAAGGTTTGCTTTCATTCCCCAAACTCTGAGAATATGACCAGATCTTTAATTCTTCAGCGACCACCCTGTGCTGATGCTCAGAAGGTGCTCAGTAAGTATCCAGTGAATGAATGACTGCATTTATCAGAAAGCATCCAGGCAGCACCAGTTTAGATGAGGTGCTGGGTTACTCAACCTACAGAATCAATGAGGAAGACTAAGTCACAGCTCTCAGGGAATTCCCAGCTTACGGTGAACAATCCCTATGTGACCAGTGTAAAGGACACACAGATACCCGCATGTTATTTGTTTAAACATTTAACTTTAAACTAAAATGAAAGGTTATTGTGGAGTGAAATGAAAGAACCAAGGGATCTTGAGCATGAATAAAGAGTTTTTTTGGAAGTAAAGGCCCGGGAGAGGCAAATTCCTTTGGAAACAGCCCAACATGTGGCATTTCTCATCCCTTCCTTTTTCAAAGGCTGGTTTTGTTGGGTTTTTAACTGAGAGCCTCAGGATGGAGGAGAAGCTATCTTCTCAGCACAGAGTTTTCTCCCCCTTTTCCAAAGGGAAGGCAGATTTGGGAAACTGGCACTGCCCCTGCCCAGATGGCAGCCAGCAGCTGGCTCTGGCAAGGGGAAGTTCTCACTCTCGGCTGCTGGCTGCCCGGCCCCTCCCGTTTCCCCAGCAATGCCGGCCGGGCCATTGGAAAGGAGAGCGTGTGAGAGCCTGGCCATGCCAGCAGTGCGTCGCCACCCTGACCCGGCTGCTCTGGCTCTGGCACCCAGGCCTGCAGCAGGGAGCAGGACACACGGGCCCAGCAACTCCAGCCAGCAGCTCCAGCCCTGCTTCCTGCCTCAGCTGCTGGCTTGGCCGTGTGCTCAACTGCACAATGGCTTCTGACATCCCCGGGGCTGCAGCGGGAGGGACAAAGGGTAGTGGGGATCTCAGGGAGAGTGGGCTGGCCACACAAGCATAGGCAGATTTGGGGAACGGGCCCCCAGATGATCAGGCTGGCCCATGGCTGCCACCTTCCCACGCCAGACACCTCTCTGCCTTTCAAGTCACCCTATGTGTCCTCATTTTCTCTATCCAAGGCGCATTTTATTTCCCTCCTTCTTCCCTCCCTCACCTCTCCCCTCCCTCCCTCCCTTCCTTCCTTTCTTCCTTCCTCCTTCCTTCCTTCTTGTCCTTCCTTCCTCCCTTGTCATTCCTTCCTCTCCCCTTCCCTACCTTTCTCCCTTCCTCCCTCCCTGCTTTTCATTTTTCCCTTCTTTCTACCTTTCCTTTTTCCCTCTCTTCCTACCTTTCCTACTTTTTTTTCTTTCTCTCCTCTCACGATGTCTTTCCCCTACATTTTTGCTTTCCTCCTCCTTCTTTCTTTTATTCTTCAAACATTTATGGCTGCACATTATGTATCAGATCTTCAATAGGTTCTGGGAGAACAAATATCATAATGCTTGGCCCTGCCACCGAGGAGCTCACAACCCATTGAGGACATCTGCGCATTGGGATGAGTCTATGACAATTAATGACAATAGATTGTGTTAAGTACAGCACTGTAAAAGTACACAAATGACTAATAATGCAGAAGAAAGAGCCATTAATTTCCACCTGACCCATTTTGGGGAAATGGAGCTGAGGAGCTGCCGTTTTTAAAATTTAGTTGTTCATTCTTTCTTCTCATGCTTCTGAGGAAAAGGTTTAATGTTTCTAGGTCTGGTTGGAAATAATGAAAGGTTTGCTTTTGTTTCAGCTCTTGCTTATGACCCAGGTCCTGAAGTTTGAGTAGGTAGTTATGCCATCTGGGAATGGGGCCTGCTCTGAGTTTCTGAGTGGCTTTAAACTCAGATACCTCAGTAAATATTTGTAACAAAAAGAGTCTTGCTGTATAACTTTTTTACATGATGGTCTTTGGCTGGGTTGTTTGTATTGAAATAAGTATTGGGGCTTTTAGTGAAATATGTTTGCTTTCTTCAATGATAATTAATGTTTGCTCCGAAATATAGTGAGCCCTCCATATCAGTGGGTTCTACATCTGTGGATTCAACCATTTTGCAGGTCAAAAATATTCAGGAAAAAATATACGATTGGTGTCTGTACTGTACATCATTGTATTAGGCATTGTAAGTAGGCACAAGAGGATGTACATAGGTTGTATGCAAACACCACACCATTTTATATCAGAGACTTGAGTATCCTTGAATTTTGATATTTGTAGGGGATGCTGGAACCAGTACTCCACAGACACTGGGGAATGACTATAATCTTTGTGTATCTTTCTCTTTCCTCAGTTGGAAAATCATACTAAGAAAAAAAAATATATCACCACTTAATTACTCCCAGCATTTTTTAGCATATGCAGGGTGGCTATGGTGGTTTGCAGGACCAATTGAGTTTCCCAACGTCGCTGGTACCCAGGGGATGCAGGCTGTAACTCTTGTCATAGTACTACATCTTGAAACACAGGTGTCCTGTCCTGGAGCTTTAGGAAGTAGTGCAGATGCTTCGTTGTCATTAGCATCACCCCTGGTAACATAATTATTATGTACAGTTAAAGGCGAAGGGTAATATTTAAGAACATCAAATAATGCTTTTCACAGTTGGAGGCAAGCAGAGTAGTCTGGAAAAGGTTGCTTGACCACTCTGTGTGTGTGAGTTAATGAGGAGGTCAGGAATCCAATGTCATCTGAGGCAGTTAGTGACATAGCAGAACATGACTGCAGACTGCACCCCAATTTGGGCTAGTTTTCTTGCAAAGGAAATGAAGTTTGTCCATATGAAATGTAAATACAATGTATTATTATGATCACTTATGTGAAAACCTATACACAAATGATAATCCCAGCTTTTATCATAACAGCCTCTGTTTTTGTTTTGTTGTGGTTTGTTTTGGTTTTGGGTTGTGTTGTCTTAATTTTTTTCAAATTTTAAAACAATACAATTCACTTTTTTGGGGAGTGTACAGATCTGAGGGTTTTGACAAATGCACAGCTGTGGATCTACTACACGGCCATGATAAAGCACGGCTCCATCACCATCCCCAGGCCCCTGCCCAGCCCCAGCTCCTGCCTTCCACATTTCCTGGGTCATACTTTGATATTCAGTCCCCTTCCTTACTCCCAAGGCCTGGCAAGTACTGATCTGTTCTTTGGATCTTTTCTAGAGTGCTATGGAGATGGAATTATACAACACCTAGCCTTTTAGACCTGGTTTCTTTCACTTGGCAGGTGTGTTGAGGTTCATCCTTTTGCTGTTGTATGCATCAGGAGTTTGCTCCTGTTTATTGCTGGGTGGTGTAGGTGTGTGTGCAGTTTATTTATCCATTCTTGGACTCACCAAAGGACTTTTGGTTTGGGGCTGTTATGAGAAAAACTGAGATTAACATTTGTAGGTTTTTACATAAAACCAAGTTTTTATTTCTCTTAGGTAAATATCTAGGAGTGAGATTACTGGGTCATGTAATACATGTGTTTTTAACTTTATGAGAATCTGCCAAAATGTGCCATTTTGTGTTTCTGCCAGCAATATGTGAGCATTCCAGTTGCTCCTCATGCTGGTACTTGGTATGGTTTAATAAATAAATAAAAAATTAGCCATTCAAGTAGGTCTGTAGTGGCATTGCATTGTGTTTTAATTTGTAATTTCTTAAGAACTAATGATTTTGAACCTTTTTTATGTGCTTATTTACTGTCTATACATCTTCTATTGTAAAGTGTCTATTCAAATCTTTTGCCCATTTCTTTGAATTGGGGACTTTGTTTTCTAATTATTGCTTTTTAAAAGCGTTTTTTATTTGTTTATTTTTTGTTTTTTGTTTTTTTGTTTTGAGATGTCATCTTGCTCTGTTGCCCAGGCTGGAGTGCAGTGGCGTGATCTCAGCTCACCACAACCTCTGCCTCCTGGGTTCAAGCGATTCTCCTGCTTCAGCCTCCCGAGTAGCTGGGACTACAGATGTGCACCACCCATGCCCAGCTAAATTTTGTATTTTTAGTAGAGACGGGGTTTCACTATGTTGGCCAGGCTGGTCTCAAACTGCTGACCTTGTGATCCACCCCCCTCAGCCTCCCAAAGTGCTAGGATTACAGGCATGAGCCACCACACCTAGCCTAAAAGTGATATATATATATATATATGTATCATCTATCTATATATATATGTATCTATATATATATATATGTATCATATATATATATATGATAGATACAAGTCCTTTTTAAGATACAAGATTTGCAAATGTCTTCTTCCAATCCGTGATTTGCTTCACCATTCTCCTAATAGTGTCTTTTGCAGAACAAAGATAAAAAAGTAAATTAGATAAAGCTCCATGTATCCATTTTTTTTCCTTTTGTGGATAGTACTTTTGATGTTGTATCAAATGACTTTTTGCCTAACTTAATGTTACAAAGATTTTCTCCTAGAAATTTTGTAATTTACATTTACATTTAAGTATATGATCCATTGTTAGTAAATGTTTGTAGATAGTATGTGTTACAATTCTTTCTTTTCTTTGTTTCTTTTTTCTTTTGGCATATTGACATTCAATTGTTCCACTACCATTTGTTGAAAAAGCCTATCCCTTCTCTATTAAATTGCCTTTGCACTTTTGCCAAAATATAAACAATTATATTTGTGTGGGTTTATTGCTGGATTCTTTGAGAGGGATATTTCTATGTCTAACATCTTATTTCACATAGTCTCTGTCTTTCAAAATAAGTGCTTTCCTACTGGATAAATGGCACCCTATGTATGAACTAGAGTACTTTAGTACTTGACTAGGCAGAAGAGAAGCAGCTTTGGCAAACCTAGATTAGAATTATTTTTGCCATTGATGTTGCAGTGTGACTTTTGTGTTTAGGACTTTTTGATCCTGCAGAAATGCAGGTGAGGCTCAAGAAAAAGTGTCATAAAGATTAATGAGGGCCATGGCTGGAAGAGGACCTGGGATTTACGTCATCAGCACCCAGATATTGGTATGATTTCTTCTGGCTCACTTTACAGTGAAAATATTTGGGAGCGGGAGAGCAGTGGTGAAGATACCTATGAGAATAAACGTGTTGTTAGATTATCAGCACTTTAAGAGGTCTGTCTTCTTTCATAAAAATGCAGCTCTTCCCATTGCCCCTACAGTAAATAGGCAGTAAGCAGGTCTCAGTATCTCTTGTTTACTTTCTGCTGCATCAGGTCAAATACACAAATTACACAGGAAATGTACTTAATGCCTGAGTCCCCATGACATTTCTTTGGCTCTCCTTTACCAATAGAATTATTCTTTTACAATTTTGGAATGAAAAGCATGCAAAATAGTGTCTTCATATTGCTTCAATGCTTTCCACCCATGCCACTCATTTCTAATTTTTCATGGCCTTAAACTACCATCTGCTAGAAGGGTGGGAAGGACACTCACAAGATCATTGTGTCCTGCCCTCCAGCCTCAGGCCTGGCTGCACTGGGGCCACGCAAGTCAGAAGCGTTTTTATCTTACTCTGAAAGGTTTTCAGAGCTTAGTTCCCATCTTTGGAGGTTGTATCTTTTGGGTGGGCCCAGATCTTTCTCCCAGGAATGCATTCTCTATTGATGGACGAGGGTCCTGCATTCATACCAAAAACTTGGAGGTTTGACCATGGTAATAATTTTGTGTCTCATTGGGTACAGTGTTTACTGCTTGGATGATGGGTGCACCAAAATCTTGGATATCACCACTAAATAATTTATCCATGTAACCAAGCACCACCTGTTCCCCCAAAACTCATTGAAATTTTAAAAAAGGTTAATTCCAAGGGGAGAGAGAAGAGTAGATGAAGAGATTTGTTAAAGAATAAAACATTATAGCAAGACAGGAGGGATAAGTTCTGGTGTGCTATAGCACTGTAGGATGATTATGGTTAACAATAATACAGTTTCAAATAGCTAGAATAGTATCAAATGTTCCCAACACAGAGAAATGACAAATGTTTGAGGTCATGGATATGCTAATTACCCTGATCTGATCACTTATAGTTTATATGTACCAAAACATTACTATGTACTCCATGAACATGTACAATTCTTATTTGTCAGCTTAAAAAATAAAATGAAAAGAATGTTGTTAAAAAATAAAAGTCTAAGGAAGTAAAAAAGAAATAATAATTTTTTGTCTTTGGCCAACTTTGCTTTTTTTCCTTTATAAATCATTCAAATATCTGAAGTCCAAATACTAATACTAAGGACAGTTTGTGATTAACCTTTCTCTGCTCCAAGAAGTAGCCAGCATCAGGGATTCTTCCTTCTAAAATAGCTTAACCAGTTTTTAATACACCAGAAAGACTTTTGCTCACAGCCTTCTGGTCATTTATTTTCCTTAATAGCCTTTTATGAGGGACCTTATCAAAAGCTTGCAAGGAAATCCAAGTAAATTATGTTCCTTGGTTCACCTTTACCTACTATTTCATTAACTTTTTCAAAAACAATATGACATAGTTTTCAACATAATTAAAGGGGTTGGGAAAAAGGGAACTTTAACTACCGCTTGACAGTTGCTGTGGTTGCTTAGGAGAGCTGGGTCACTGTTCATATTCTGCCTCCGCTTAAGGACACTAATTCATTTCTCAGGCTGTCTGGTGAGGTCAGCCACTAGTTCAAGGTGGAAATGACAAGTTTTTAGGCTTTCAAGTGTGCAGCACTCAGCTCTCCAGAGAGCACGAAGGAAGGAAACCGCAAGTTTATCCAGGTCTGACCCAGAGGAAGAGGAAATGATGGGAAGAACCAAGACAAGGGCAGAGGGAGGTGTCTCTTTGGAGGGGGAGTTACTCTGAAAGAGTCTCAGACACTCTCAAGTAACTCTTTTTATTATATTTTTTTATGAGAAAAGGAGGGACTGATAACAGAACTTGGGAAAACGTTTAGTGTTCTACTGTGGGTATGCAAGGCCAGAATGCGGGGGTGAGCAGAGGCTGGCTAGAACAACAAGGAAAGGGTTAGGAACTCAAATAAGCTCACACAGCTAGTAGTAGCAGTATTAAAAAATCATCATCATCATCATAACAATAGCAGCTGTATTTGTTGAGTGCCTCCTTTGTGCAAGTATGTGCTAAGCATGGGCACATGCCCATCTCATTGAAGCTTAATAACCAGGGATGGGAGATATCATTATCCTCATTTATAAATGAGAAAAATAAGGCACAGAGAGTTTAAAGGACCTGGTGAAGTTCACACAATTAATAAATTATCAGGTTTGGGATGCGATCTTCTCTTTTGAATTCTGAAGTACATGGATTTTCATGGTGCTAGTTAGTCAATTCTTAGCACATTCCATAGCAATACTGGCCCATAAGTCAAATATTTAAGTAGATGTTCTAAACATTCTAAATATTAATTACCAGTTTTCATAAGTATTATTACGCAATGGTTTTTAAAAATGCAGATCGTATTTAATTTATATTAATGACGCACCAAGGCATTTCAGGCTTGCAATTCTTAAAACATCTTTATGAATCTCCATTTCACTGGCTTGAGAAATTGGAAGTGCTTGTTTACAAAAGACTCTGGCTGACAAAATGCTAGTAAAATTGGCTTTTAATGCAGAAAGGAACTAGTAAGGAAAAGCAGGAAAGCTTCCATTTCTTTCTGGCTTCCTTCTTGGTTTCCACTGGCTCAATGCCTATTTTTCCTTATGTCCTAAGAAAGGGGCCATTTTTAGTCTTTTCCATGACTTCGGAAAGCCCACCATAATTGTCCTGCTACATGCTTCATGCTCCATAGGATGTGATGCCCGAATGTTGGAAAGCATTTGTTTTTAAAGTATCTTTTAAAGACTTGCATCCTCTCCCCAGGTGCTCCTGCAAGCTGCTAAGTTCCAAGTGACCATGACACCTTACCTTCTGGTCTGTCCATGGCTCTGGTGAAACACTCAGTATCTAAAGGGAGCACGTAAGCACCTGAAGGCACCTCTGCCAGGCTACATGGCCCAGCTAGCAGGCTCCCAGCTCCTGATTTGTCCAGACAATGACCATTCAGACCAGAAGCCTGAGAAGCTGAGGAACTAGAAAAGCAACTTGAACTTTTTGTCAATGAATGAATGTACTAATTGGAAAAAATGCAAATATCGCAGACTGAGAGAAAAAGAAATCTCCTTCAGGGAAGGAGGTGGAAGTACCCTCATGGTGGTGGGGGCAGGGGACCTTGGGTTTGCTTGTTACCTCCAAGTCCTTACTGGTCTCTGCAAGGTCTCTGAGTCTTGCTGCAGGATGGGTTTGGCCTGTTGCCTGGGTCCCTGGGCTGGCGTCGCAGAGGAGTGGCTCCTTTATTGTGTCTTTTAGAGTTTGCCCTTAGTCCTACCCATGGTCCTGGCCATTTGCATCTGGAGGTAGAGTCCTTACACTCTGTAGCCAACTTGTTCTAATCCCAGGCTTCCACATGTCCTCCTGCCTCTCAGTACCATTGTATCATGCCACAGGAGTATTTGCGAGCTTCTGGTTCCATGTGTACCAAGTACAGACAGACCTTGGGAAGCCAGAAACTCTATTTCATGGCACCTAGGCAACTACCTGAGCCAGGTGAACTTACCTGGCCATAGTACCGTATTACTGATTGTTGGATAATTCACAGTGGGTCCCTTGAAACCTGTCAGTGTTTCCATCTTGTCTCATTTGTTAAATGGGAAATATTTTACTTGCATTAAATCCCTCATAAGTAATTTTAAAGTAGGTTGAACCTGTGTTTTTAATATAAAAATGTTATTTTTGAAGCATCTAGTTGGTGACTGAGAAAAGAAAGATAAGAAAGATAATCTTTTCTCAGTTTATTCAGTCATCAATGAGGAGTCAAGTAAATGAATGACATATTGTAATACAACATAGATAGCCATAAAAATCACCAATCCCATTTCCTATCCCAGAGCACACAGGAAGACTTCGTTTTCTCCTTTTGCAGTTTTGTTGAGGCCATGTGACAGGGTTCCAGTCAAAAAAATTAGGACAGAGGGATATAAGCCACTTCTAGTCATGTCCCTTAAAAGCATCTTAAAGAATATTTCAGTTTTTGCTTCCTCTTCCACAATCAGCTAAGAGGCCATTGGTTTAAGACTCTAGCCTTAGAATATGGAAGGAGTTTGGGTTCCTGAGTCACTGCTTGGAAGAGAGCCTCCAAGGAGAACTTCTAGACTTGTATTGGATAGCTACCTAAGGAAGAAATAAAACTGTGTGTGAAATCACCGAGATTGCTGTTACAGCAACTGGTATTTATTGCTGTAATCTAGAAATTGGTACCAGAAGTGGGATATTGACATAATCAAACCATATTCCTTAACCTTTACATGATCCTAAGTATTTATCATTGGTTTAGTAATACAGAATCTGGCAGGAAGGAAACTAATACCAGAAAATGGAAAGATGGTAATTAATGTTATATAGTGATAAATCCAACTATTGCCTGCTATTAGTTAGAAGTTAGTCCATGTGCCTGGTATATATCTTTAGGGGAAATGGTTAGCAAACAAAATTTTAATAGTGGTATTGGCTAATGTTGGAATATCTCTTTCATGTATTACAAGAAAGTTACAAGAAAGAGATGACTCAGGAAATAATTATTGAGTTTGCAAGCAGAAATAGAGTGGAATACAGAATCAAGAAATTTGGACTCATAGGGTTGGAAAAAATAAATTTCTTTTAGACTCAAACAGTAAAATAGGGCACCAAAAATGACTTTAAGTGATAAATATCTAGCAAAAGTTCTCATCTGAATGAGGTCATTTGAGGTGAAAATCAGATAAGTCGAGTGGTCTTCTCACCTATTGTTTCTTATAGCCTCAATGTAATTTGGTAATTATGTTGGGAAAAAAAAGGCATGGAGGTGAAGAAACAAAGAAAAAAAGGTAAATTTGATAATAATGTTTAGAAAGTAACTCTAGGTATAATTACTGGCACTTGGGACTGACTAGAAGCAAATAGATCTACATCATCTAAGATTTTGATAATTGTATTACGATGAAACCAGGAGCCTGGACTTAAAAGGCCTTTGCTTGGTCCAGGCTTAAAACAACTTTTGAGTTCCCAACACATTGCAGACCAAGCAAATGTCAGGCTTCTAGAACTGTACTGCTCCGGAGGAAAATGTGTTCACCTGAGCCTACTTCACATGTGGCTAAGGAGAAGAGCAAATACAGGAGTCCTTCTCAGAGTCAAGTCCACACATCTCCACCCCACCCAGAATATCTGAGCTTCACCATGTTGGCACAGAAAGGTTTCAGCATTGCCAAGGACCATGATGTGTCTCGTCTCTTATTTCCCATTTCAAATAGGGTTATTTATTGCAGTTTTCCTGTCATTTTTTCCACCATTATACATGGTTTATGATGGTGGAGATGTGGAATATGGATAACTAATCTTTTACATATGTAGGTAACTGCACTGAGAGGTGCCATGTCAGACTGATGAATACGAAAGATGGTGCCTCACCCAGATATCCTGGACATTGATCTGGAGGTGGTGACTAAATGGGACTTAGGGTGTACCCCTTGGCATGGGGTGAGTGTGTTCTGTGAGAGGAAGAGTGAAATGAACATTTGGTGTTCAGAAGGGCAACCTATGGCAAGAGACTTTCAGTATTCACCATTTTTGAGTCTCTCCTTGGGCACGTAGGAAGGTTACATCTTCCAGGTGACCCTGCAGTTAGATGGGCCAATGGAATGTGAGAAGAAGCAATGACTGTCACTTGTAGAACAAGCGTTTTAAACTTGGTGTGTCTTCTCTGTATTTTCTCCCATCTGAACAGCTGGAGGCAAAGGATGCCAAGATGGGAAAGCCACATAATGGAAGGATCCTGGATTTCAGAGCTGTCACTTGGAGGAGGGGCACCCAGTGAAGGTGTCTTATCTAACCCACACCATATCTTCATGAGTAAGAAATAGCCTTGTATCGAAGTATAATACTTTGGAAGTTGTATTTGATAGTGGCCTGCATTGATTTCCATGACTAATATACTGTTCTAACTAAAGTCTGGTTCTAAAAACTGGGAAAGCTCTTTCTCTTGGAAGAAGTGAAATTGTCCCCCTACCCCATCATCACCATCACCATCATCATCATCACATTTGGTTCAAAAAAACTTTTTGAGTTTCTATAATGTGTCATGCACCATGGCAGATCTTAGAATGAAAAAAGGAATAAGACACTATTCCTGGCCTTGTCCATAATCTGGAGAGAAACTTTTCTAAACAAGTAATGAAATAATTATTTCCTAAGTGTGACACCATTAACGTATGACACAACTAGCTGTTTGGAAGCTGGGGCTGGGCAGTGATAGGTAAAGGCCTTGCAGAGGAGGTAACATATGTATCAGCTTTTAAAGGATGAAGAGGGATTTTCTAGGCAAACAGGGCAAATGGAAGGCTTCCTAAGTAAAGGAAGAAGTGTGTGCAAAGGCATATAGGTATGAAAATCAGGAAAGTGAAATTGATTTCTACAATTGGAGATAAAAAACATATTTATTACTCTCATAATTATTATCAACTTCATCATCCCATCAACATTATTTATTAATTTCCATGCAGAGTGGCCATATGGATTTGATCCCTATCCTTCAGAGGTGCTCAGCCTAAGGGAACACGGATAGTAGATTAAGCACTGACCAGGTGAGTTAAGCTCTATAATTTACTGGCTGTAATATAAGCCAAATCACTTGACTTGTCTTTATTTCATTAGTACTGTTGTACTGAAGAGATAACTCATATTTATTATTTCTGATCCATAGAATTGTTGTACAAATTCAGTAAGTAAAACATGTGAAACCTGGTTTGAAAAAAAAATAACATAATGTATATGTTTATGCTGTTATGGTAATGAAGGAGGGTTAGGGCAGTAGGACAAGAGTCATAGAAACTTGCGTGCTATCACACGAAAAGGACATGCTGTACTTCTTTCTGGTGGTAGTTTACTGGTATCCTCAAACAAATCATACCTGTGGGCTGGGGTACACCTGGTGAGCGAACGATTCTCGGGGGCTAGGGGCATGCTGATGTAGTGAAGCCCATGGGGAAGGCTGGGCCAGGTGGGATGTTTACTCAGTGTGCCTGAAGGTGGTATAGCCAGAGCAGGGGTCAGGATCAGAGATTAAGAGGAAAACATTCTCGTCAGAGAGTGGCTTGTTTTTGGCAGGGTTGAGGGGGGAGTGAGTGAGTAAAGCTGTAAAAGGTAAATAAATCCTAGCTCTGAAGCCAAAAAGATAAACAAGTCAGGATATAAAACATAAGTAAGATAGGACAAGTGGTTCAGAACTAAGGCTTCGAAGAGTCAAATCACTGAAGGGCTAACTTTCATTGTGTTCCCTTCTTCATGGCCTGGGTGTATGACAGGTGTATCACATTTTTACATGTGAGTGGTCTAGGCTGTGACAAAGAGATATAGACCTCAGTCCTTTTTTTTTTTTTTTTTTTTTTTGAGACAAAGTCTCACTCTGTCACCTAAGCTGGAGTGCGGTGGTGTGATCTTGGCTCACTGTAACCTCTACCTCCCAGGCTCAAGTGATTCTCATGCCTCAGCTTCCCTAGTAGCTGGGATTACAGGCATGTGCCACTATGCCTGGCTAATTTTTGTATTTTTAGTAGAGTCGGGGTTTCACTGTGTTGGCCAGGCTGGTCTCTAACTCCTATCCTCAGGTGATCTGACCACCTTGGCCTCCCAAAATGCTGGGATTACAGGTATAAGCCACTGCACCCAGCCTTAGTCCTTAAACTGAACATTATTGTCCTGGTCTTGAGACTTGAGAGCTCCAGGTGAAATAAAGATTTGGAATTTCCTGCCATCTTCCTTCCTCTCCATTTCTAGGTATTTGACACATTTCAAAGCTTCATCATAGCAGTGACTCTTGATCTATCAGTGGCACCTAAGGAGACCATGAAGTAGGCATGGGAATGTCATTGGCCCCCAGTAATTGGAAATAAGTCCCTAAAATATCCCATTTTGTCACAGCGATCCATCATGGAGCTGTTATCCATGCATCTCCTAAAACCTGCTTAAGCCTATTTAGATGGTCATAATATATAACCTTGCAAGGACACAAGGCCCTCATAGTCAACTGCTTTGTAAAATAGTACTTTCACATCTTTGAGATCCTAAATCTACCTCATTAAAGAGTGAATGCTCCTAGTATTTTGAGATCTGATAAACCGTTTCATTTTTATCTATTGAGATCTTAAAGATTCTGACTGAGGTGTAGAGCGTTATCTTTGTAACCTAACTAAGCCTATACGACATTACTTAACTGAAAGTTACTGGTGATGCATCTGAGAAGCTCAGACTCAACAAAACTCAGCCTAGAAACTTGGATGACATTGCAGCCCGTCCAAACCATCAGTAAATCCTTGGAGCTTTAGCTTTCTGCTCTTCCCCTCCCCCACATTTACAGTGCCCTCTCTTTTGGGAGAAGGATGGTGGAATTACTTTGGATTGGAATTAATGGTATAAAGAGCTACCTTCTCATCTGAGTAATGCTGATTCATCTCCATCTCTGGTCATTTGCTACCTATCAGAAATATCCTGACAGCCTGCATCTCATTACCATTGCAGCAGGGCCAGCTCCCAAGAATAACCTTCTAAGGAGGATGAAATGTACGCCCGTGGCTTCTAATACCAGGGCACTCACATTCATATTTTTAGCAGCATATATCAGAGTTAGCCCAACCTTTAGTGTACTGTATGTACTTTTAATAATCTCCATAAAAGCCTGATTTCCAATCCCTAGGCTCAAGCTGACAGTGTAAATAAAATCACCCAAATCCACAGGGTAAGAGAAATGAAAATGACATGGATTAAAATTTGGTCAAACCTCTTTCTTTTTAAAAATTCTGCTTCCCTTCCAATTGGATCACGACCCTCTGTGTGCTCAGCTTAAGACCAGACGGTATGCTTTCACTTTTATTCCTCTCTGCAGCAGGCTTACAGTATTTAGTGAGAGTCTGTAAAGAATGTGTGCTGGGTAGAGAGTTAATACCATAATCCCCCATCGTTGGGGTCAAATGCTGAATAGAGCAAAAGAATTAGAAAACATGTTACATACAATGGCAGGAAAAAATGCATCAGCACGCTGTTCTGTGAACACTAGCATTCATCACCCACAAGTAATGGCCATGAGGTAATAGAGTATATAAAGAGATGTGTACTTGAAGTGTAATATGTGCACAGATGCAGGAATGGAAGACTTAAGCAGAAGTCTAAATACCCATATACTCTGGGAAGTATTTGTCACTATGTTCAATTGCTTCTTTTTAAGTACCTGCTTGGATTTAGTTCCTAAGTAACACATTTAGCCACTAAATTGTTTCACAGAGTGGAACCTTGAGCTATCTCTTTTCACTCTTCAGCAATGGGTGTGAATATAGTTCTCAAAGTGCTGTAATACATCTGTCTCTGGAGAATTCTCTTAATGAACAAGTAGAAATTTGAGGCACCTCAGGAAAAAGAGTTGAACAGCCACCTTCTATTCTGTCTCGGGAAAGTCAACTAAACACCCCTGGAGTAAGATTACTAGCAAATAAATAACTTTGTATGGAATTTCTACAAGAAGGAATGAGTGTGTGTGTGCGCGTAGATGATTTGATCATAAAATGACAAGTTGGATTTATTTTAAATAAGATCCTTTTGTCTTAGTCCATTTTGCTATTGCTATAACAGAATACCACAGACTGGGTAATTTATACACAACAGAAGTTTATTTGGCTCATGGTTCTAGAGGCTGGGAAGTTTAACATTGAGGGGCTGCATCTGGTAAGGGCCTCCTTGCTGTGTTATCCCATGGGAGAAGATGAAAGAGCACAAGACGGTGCAAGAGGGAAAAAAAGAGAGCTGAATTTGCTCTTATAGAAAACCTGCTCTGGAGATAACAACATTAATGTATTCAAGAGAGGAGAGTAGAGCCCTCACACCCTAATCACCTCTTAAAGGTCCCGCCTCTCAGCACTGTTGCATTTGGGATTGTGTTTCAAACACATGAACTTTGGGGGACACATTCAAACCATAGCATCCTTTGAAGTAGTAACTATTAGAGATTGATATTTTAAGATTTTTATTTATTTTTAAATTTACATATAGTAAAATCTACTCTTTGAGGTTTAGAGTTTTATAGTTTTGACAAATGTATAGAATCATGTAAGCATCACTGTTATTAAGCTACAGAACACTTTTATCATTCTCAACAGTCCTTTGTGCTGTTGCTTTGTAGTTAAAATTTCCACCCCTCACCCCTGAAAGTCACTGATCTGTTCTTTGTTTCTATAAGTTTTGTCTTTTCCACAATGTCACATAAATGAAATCATGTGGTATTTGCCTTTTAGGTCTGTCTTCTTTCACTTAGCAAATGCATTTAAGATTAATCCATGTTGTAGTATCGATGGTTTGTTCATTTCTCTTATAGAGTAGCATTTTATCTTTGTAAATTTCAACGGCATTTCAAGACTAAATGACTGAAAGCTAATGGCCCTAAGAATAAAACTATTAGGAAAATTATTAATTAGGGTTTTAGAGCTTTCTGTGAGGGATTATCTTTTGTTTACTTACATAAGACACCAGGATATGTGAAAATACAAGTGAGGTTGGATTCTAACCGGGAAGTATAAGACATGCTATGAGTAATTTAGCATGTTAGCTCTTTCTCACAGGGCATATTGACTAAATTACTAAAGACATATTATTTCAAGTAAATAAGTTATTGGTGCTCAAAACATAAATATTAATATGACCTTAATTGTATACGTTATCTTTACATTTCTATTAGTCCACAGTCAGCCTCCCACTCTTCTCTGCTGGCTACTCCTCTTCTACCTGACCCATAAATGCTAATATTCCTTTTCTCACACTACACCTGTTTTCATGGAGAAATCATTTATACCCATAAATAGATAGGGATGGCCAGTCTACATCTCCAGCCCAGGTTTCCCTCATGAGTTACAGACACATACAACCCAAATATACACCATTCCAAACAGAGCTCAATATCTACCAAACCAAATGGTTCCCCCTTCGTAGGATTTTCCATACATTTCTCTTAGCTCTTATCTCACTTCCTGTTTCCTCCACCAGACTAAAGGCAATGAACATGTGTCTTTCCCCCTAGTGCCTGTTATATAGCAGGAATTTGTAAATATTTGTGGAAAGAATGAGTGCATATGATACTCATGCACATATAAATAGGGATTTATTTCTACTCCAAACTCCAATGTTTATAAATGGTTTTTATATGAACGAGTAACTAGGACACACATTTATTTCTGCCCCAACCACCAACCACCATACCTGCACAAAATCTAGAGGTCAATGTCTGTTTTATACAGCAGAGAAAATTATTAGCATATTTCACTTTTCTTCCTATTACATTTTCTCACTGAAGTCATATTTTTTATTCAATCTTATACTTTTTCATGTCTTACGAAGTTCCCAAGTATTATTTTCACTGGTTGAATAATATTGCCTCTAAAAGGAGTCCTTCTTGTTTTACACTGAAAGTTCAGTTTGAAGCATCATGAAGACCTCATGATAGAACTAACTCCTATTCAACAGTCTACACTCTGTACCATTGGTTCTCAAAGGGTGGTCCCTGAAGCAGCAGCATCAGCAGCCTCTAGGGACTTGTTAGAAATGCAGATTTTGGGGCACCACCCCACATTTTCTGAAACAGAAACTCTAGTGTGAGATCCAACAATCTGTGTTTTAACAAGCTCTTTGGGTGATTTCAGTGCTTGCAAAAGTGTATGCAACTATTGTCATACACTTCCTAGTGATGGTCCGCTTGTCATATAGTATCTTCCTGAATTAATTCTCACTCTTTTTATTCACTCAGGTCCCTCATCAGTCATAAATCACACTCATATTGAAAACAAGGCTGTGTATTTGACAATTAGTTTATAGAGTAAGGCCTGAGGTCTTGTTGTACATAAAACGTTAAGTATGGCAACGGTGTTTTTTTAAAACTTAGTTTTAGTAACAGAAAATTCCTTCAAATGTAATATTATGCAAAAGCCATGTGTGTGTTTGTGTGCATGCATGTGTGTGTAAGTGTGTGTGTGTATGTGTGTATATGTGTGTGTCAGATGAAAGGGAATTACCATGGTTGACTGTTAAGAAAGCAGTCTGCCTATTTGACTGGGCTTCCTCCTGGCTGTCCGCTTCTCCACAATACCTCCAGGCAACAGTTTGAAAACCTCTGAGTCAGTGGAAAGGGAACTAAATATGGATCTGGGGATCTTGGCTCTAGCCTGTTTCTTTGGACAATTCATTTAGCATTTCTGGGCCATACTTTCCTGATCTGAAAATGATAAGTTACCTTTAAAATTTCTCAACTGGTTGGAAGTTTATTTTTTTCTTCTGTATTTTTAGCTTCTGACAGAAAGGAATATGGGCTGTCTTGAACATTCTCCCTTCCTTGGAGACATAGGAAAGAGCTGTTGGCTTTGCCATTTGCTAGTCCTCTGACTTCTTCTTCAGTATTGACTTAGAGGCATTAATGAATAAACAGGGCCAGGCTGCCACCATTTTGAGTGCCAATAAAGAGAAGGAAAGCTTCCATGAGAGTCACATAAACATTTAACAGATTTTCAACCCCGGCACTTGACTGGGAATGTGGGCTGATGATGTGAGAAATTGAGAGAATAGCAAAACACAGTTGCATTGGACTTCTATGCCACCTCCTCCCACCTTCTCTCTCCCCTCTCCCCTCTTCTCCCCTTCACCCTTACTCCTCCTCTTTCTCCAAGAGCTTGCAAGGTGCTGGCCTAGAGTCACCCTTCCCATAGTACATTATCTAACTCTCTATGTTTCCTTGATACTCCCAAGGCCAAAATCTAAAATGGGTAACATAAATTTTGGTTTACTTTGACATTCCCTCCCACAACTCATTGGGTTGTGGAATTCCATCTTACTCTTTCTTGCTCCCTCCTGCTCCCCCATTTTCCCTTTCGGTTCCCCTGACCTTCCCTGAGGCCTCTTCTAAGGGACAACTCTAAGCCAGCTGGCCTTCTCTGAGTTAAAGGGAAGATGAGCCCAGGTGGGAACTGTGCTGTCCCACTCTCATGCAACAGTAGGGTTTACTGGCATGTGTCTTGGGGGAGCAGGGGGTGGAGCAATGGGGGACCTGAGGGAGCAAAGTGTTCTTATCTTATCTTCTTGTAGCTTTGCTCTGCATAAACTCTCCTCTGAAGCCATCTGGAAAGAAGGCCCTTCTGGCCTCTGCTCAGCTAGTGGCCAGGGGCTGATTCTCAGGGGTTCTGAATGCTCCGTCAGTCATTCCCTGGCAGAGATTTTGATAGAAATACAAGATATACTTTAATTAAATGTGTACTCCCAAAATGGCCTGGTAGGGAAAGCATACTGATAAATATCTGTGCTATTGCTTACATTTGACAACAGACTGTACTATTTGTGCACATACAATTACTTTTTAAATGGGGATTTAAAAAATGGAATCTAGATATATGTTTTTCTATTTTCTTTTATTTTATGGAAAGCTAAAGACAAGACTGCTTGGTCTGGATAGCTGTCAGCCCCTCTATGTCCCTTCCCTCTTTCTCCTGCATTTGTAGCTTCCCCGACACTTTGGTCTTCTTTCCTGCAGCTTGTAAATCGGTGCAAGTTTCACCTGTCCTTTTACTCTCACGTTCCTCTTTCTTTCCTGCTCTGCTTCTCTTTCTCTCTTGACCGTCAAACTCACAGAGACCAGAGTTAAAACAAAGGATCTGTGATGGTGCCCCACTTTCTTCCTCCAATCACCCATAAATCCTCTGGCTTCCACTGCCCTCTCCACACCCCCAACACTATTGAAACTATCCTGCCATTTCACATCCCATGGCAGCTTGTCAGTCATTGTCACATTTGACTTCCCTAAGGGAAATTGACAATTTCCTTTGGAGTCTCTTCCCTCTTTGGGAGCCCACAACCCCTTCTCTTCCATCTTTCCTTGTAGCTCATTAATTTATGCTTCCCAGCCTTTGCTGTTTTTTAAATGAGGGTGCTTCTTGTGGTTCTGTCTTTTGGCCTTGGCTTTTCTATGCTCTTTACTCCTCCTGGGCAAAATGAGCTATGCCCTGGGATTTAGCCATCACCTGTCACTGATAGTTTCCAAACCCAGTTCGTCATTCCAGATCTCCCTCTCGTGGGCTCTACACATAGGTATTTTGGAATGTCTTTACTAATAGGTATCTAAAAATTAGGTTTGTTAACAGATTAAGATATTCATCTTACCTTTAACTCTGTCCCTTTTGCTTGGTAAATAGCATCATTCGGCCACCCAAATGAGAAACAGAGATGCATCCATGTCTTGACTATGCCTAGATCCAATCAACCAAATCCCCCTAATCCTACATTTGACATTTCCCTTTAATGTCTCCACCAAACATGATTTCAACTGCTCCTGTTTCGGTTCAGGTTGTGATCACTTTTCACCTGGGTACATGCTCTCTGGAATCCTGCCTTCAGTCTCCCGCACCTCCAAATTACCTTCAATTCACTCTCCAGATGATATTTCTGGAATAGCATTATCCAGTACAGTAGCCACTAGCTGCCTTCATCTATTTAAGTTTAAATTTATTAAAATTAAATAAAATTTAAAATTCAGTTTCTTAGTTACCCTAGCTACATATTGAGTCCTCAGTAGCCCATGTGGCTAAGTGAATAGTGCAGACAGGGAATATTTCATTCATTCTAGGAACTTCTAATGGATGATGCTGTTCTAGAATATAGTATGTCATATCCCTGATTGCTTTGCTGATGATTCCATGCAGACTCCAGATTAAACTCTAAATTCATCAGCTTGGCATGTAAGGTCCTGCCCTCCACCTCCAATATTTGAACCTTGTGCTTCAGTCATGCCCACCTGCTGCCCCCATCCCCAGGCCTCTTTACTTTTGGTTATGCTGTGTCCTCCAGTTGGATAGGCTGCTTCCCTTTGTCCAGTTAGAACACCTGTGTGTTCTTCAAACACAGTTTAAGAACCATTCCATCTGTAATGCTTTTCTTTGCCTTTCTAGGCAGACTTCAGGCTCACCTGTTTATGATTTCCCCTGGCAGTTTATGCGACACCCATCATAAACTCTCTTAAAAAATGTACTTGTTCACTGTGGAAGGCTGAAAAATGGCTCCACATAATTGTGAATAATGGCAAGAGGGACTTTGGAGATATGATGAATGATCAAGAGATAGGGAGAGCATCTTGGATTATCTTGGAAGGCCCAATGATGCAATCACAAGAGTCCTTATAAGAGAGATGCAGGAGTGTCAAAGTCAGAGATGCAGAGAGAGGAAGGATATGAGACTATGGAAGCAGAGATTGGAGTGATGCATTTAAAGATGGAGGGCACCATAAGCCAACGAATGCAGGCAGCCTCTAGAAGCTGGAAAAGACAAACAGATTCTTCCCTGGAGCCTTCAGAAGCAACACAGCCCGGCTGCCTCATTTTGGATGTCTGACTTCCAGAACTATAATATCATAACTTTGTATTGTTTGAAACCACGTAGTTTGTGGTAATTTCTTTCAGCAGCAATAGGAAAGCATACACTTGCTTCCCTATTGCTGCTGAAATAGGAAACATCTTTTCCATTTATCCATCCGTCTATCTGTGCCACATATCACTGGACATAGATTTGGTGAGTACCTGAATGTACCAGTCCTGGTTGTGTACTGATGTTACAGTGATGAATTAGACCCGGCATTACTATTAGGGGAGGTATGAAAGGGGAAAAGAAGAAGGCAGGAGTCCTGGAAACTTGGAATTTTATAGGTAACTGGGGGCTAGACTCTGAAGGACCCCTTAGACCACTGTCTAAAGTTGGGATTATTTTCTGTGGAAAATGCAGAGCCATCGAAGATCTTTGCATTATGAATTCATAATCAGATTTATGTCTGAAATAGTTTGGAAATGGATAAATGCTGAAGGCAAGGAGACACAACCGGCTGCTGCAATTTTCTGGGTGAGAAATAAGGAGAGGGCAGTAAGGAAAGAGATCTGGTAATATTTGGGTGAAATTTCAGAGGCAGAATTGATAGGGGTTTGTGATCAGAGCAGCAGCATTGATAGGAGTTTGTGATCAGTTAGACACTGTGCAGAAGGGGGCGGTATCCAAGATGACTCTGCTCCAAGATGACTCTGAGAACGGATGACTCTAAGCTCAGTGCCTGGCACACAGTGGATAAGAAACAATTGTCTTGAACTGAATTATGCGGCAAAAAGACAATGGAGTAGATCATCACTGGGAGGAAAGGATGATGCCAATGAATATGAATAGTGGAGGAAAATAAATAGAAGAATAAGTGTGTGTGTGTGTGTGTGTGTGTGTGCATGTGTGTGTGCGCATGCCCCTGCAGGGTGCTGGGAAAAGAGGATGTAAAACATGTGCCCGGTTATCCTGTGTGACTTTTTCCTGCTCAATTTAAGCTTTTGCTCTTTAAGCTAGAACCATGTTTAGAGAGTGAATTCAGAAAACTGTGTAACAACCTCGAAGATGCCAGATTTCTCTCAATGGCAAGCTTACCAACTGTTTTGATCGGAAATCAAGGGTTTTGAGAAGGGGAGGGAGAACAAGTTTTTTGAATTGATTTTTGATGCATTTGTTGTTTCATTCTGGAATGAGGGAAGTACCTTTGTTTCCTCCCTCTCCTTACCTTCCCATTGTTATGGGGAATCATGGTGTCTAAACCCAGGAAAGGAATGTGCTCTGGTACTGCATGAGGTTATATAGGGCTCCTTTGCCCAAGACCCTCTGCAGGGGCTCATGGTGGTGAATATTTGTTACACTGAAAGGGCATTTATGATCTCTGCTCCTCAAAGAGGCATCCCACATTCACCACACTGATGGAGGAATAAGCACAATTATCTAGCAAAGGTCCTGGAGCTGATGATGTTTCCTTCCAACCATGCTCTGCTGCGTAAGGACGTGGTCCCAGCACAGCAGAACAGGGTCCCTGGTGGGCAGACAAAACTTTTCTTGTATTTTTGTTTCTAGAGAATATTGTTCTAACTGATATGACTTTGCAGATTGAAGGAAGGGGGAAAGTCTTACAGTCTAATTAGTTTGGGAAAGTCTGGGTTATACAAATATACCTGTCTATAGGACTTCTCAGGACTTTTACTTTATGAATATGACCTGTGACTGTCCGAGAATAGAATAAAGATTTTCCTGAACTTCCTGGACTGCAGAGCCCTGTAACATTGTGTGGAATAGCATTCCATGCACCATTCTGGAAAGTGCTGTCCTACGAACAGAGGATGGCCAAGGTGTTCTGATATGCCAGGCACACTCAGCACGAGGCACGACAAAGACACTTTGCCATTACCCATCTTCAGATTTTCCAGTGAGCATGAAACACCAAAAACAGACCAAAATGGTAATTGGACTAGTCTTTTTCTTCTGATACTTTTAGTTTGGGCTTGAATGAAACTTTGCTGATGGACCAGGACATAGGTATGAATCAGAGCCACTTCTATCATCAGCCCATATCCTACCACACTTGAAGTTTCATTTCCTCCTTTCCCCAACCCCCACCATGGCTTCTATCATAAAGCAATTCATGTTGGTTTCCTTCTTTAACATTGTTTTAAAAATACTTTGAAAATATTGGGCAATTTTCTTTGGATATTGGAGCATAATCCAAGAGGAGCTAGTCATTCATGTTCTGTTTCTCTTAATCCCATGTGACTACTTTACAAGTGTATAGTACTTTGCAGTTTTCAGGGATCTTTATTACCTACAATCTCATTTGATCCTTTAAACAACTGTATGAAGAGCAGAGGATTAAGCCCCATTTTATGGAAGAGTGAAGCAAATAGCATATTTGGATGCCTGCTTTGTGCCAGGTGTTCTGTGAAGTGTTTGGCATACACGAACATATTTAAAGCTCTTATCAACACTATACAGTAGGACATGTGTTATCCTCATGTAGAAATGAAGAAATTGAGGCTAAGAGAGTGAAGTCACTTGCCCAGGGCCACATAACTTATAACAGGAAAGTCTGGCATTTAAACTCATGTTCGTTCTACCCCCAAATCCACTCTCCTTACACCATGCCACCCTTAAAGAGGAAGCTGGGAAAAAGGGCACCTAAAGATCTGCCCAAGTTCACACGGAGAGTTTGGGAAAGTAGTGGGATTAAGACCTAATCCACTTAACTTTTAGTCCAAGGCTCTCTCTGCTACATATTTTGCTGTCCCACAGGAAGGCATTTTCAAGAATAAGTGATGATTTTTGAAATGCCAGCAGCAACAATAACAACTGCATGAGAGCAATGAAGAAGAGGGAAAAAGCAATGGCTCAAAGTCCCTACCCATCCCACAAGACCCTCAATGTTGACAGTAGAGGAGACCCTGCATTTTTTGAGAAAAATGCCACCTAAACATCACTTTCTTGTCACATAGGAAAGGGTCTGGGACCACTGAAATACTCTTAGGGAGATTTGGCTTTTCTTGCCTCTTCTTTTGATGAACAAGTTCTATCCTGCTCTAGTGATATCTCTTATTTCCACTAATCAGACAAATATAATTTAGTAACATTTACTGAGCCTCTCCCCCATGTGAATCCCCCATGCTGGTGTCAGGGGGATAGCACTGAAGGTGAGTAGGGCACACTTTCTCAGAGCCTGCAGACTACACAGAGAGGCAAGTGTGAGAAGCACTACTCCAGAAGTGCAAACTGCCAGGAAAGCAAGAGGTGAGGTACTTAGAGGGATTAAGAGGGAATCCTGGGCATTTCTCTCGTGTGATGTTCACCCTAATCACTTAGCATAATGACTGAAGGCATCTCTCTTGTAACTACCATGTACTTAGTTCATCAGGGACATTTACTGTGAAGCCCCTAAAACATAAGAATAGGGCACATTTTTGTTGCCACTCTTCCAAATCCACAGTCTTTTTAAAGGTTTCCTTGAAACCAGATTGGAACAAAAAGGTAGTTACGCTTCTTTATCCTGGTTCCACCTTGAGAGCTCCTTGACCCACACTAGACTGGAAAGTGAAGCAAACGAGAGAAGTGGTCTGGTCTTTATTTGGCTGCCGAGTCCCAGCCCTCTGCTTGGGAGCGACTACGTGTGTCTCAGCTCCAGCTCTGTTTCTAAACTGTCCCTTTCCCTCTCTGCAGGGGTAGCAGAGTCTGAGTGTGGAGGCTTGTGCAGGATTAGTACTGATGGGAACGGTGTGTGTCTCAGTCAGCTCCGGCTGCTATAACAAAATACCATAAACTGGGAGGCCTAAACAATAGAGATTTATGTTCTTACAGTTCTGGAGGCTGGAAGTGCAAGATTAAGGTTGTGGCTGACTCAGTTTCTGATCAGGGCTCTCTTCCTGGCCTGGAGATGGCTTCTGTCTCACTATGTCCTCACCTGGCCTTTCGTTGGGGTGGATTTGTTTGTGTGTGTGCATGTGCAAGGGTGCTGCTCTCTGGTATATCTTATAAGAACCCTAATCCTATTGGATCAGGACTCCACCCTTAAGATTTCATTTAACCTTGATTACTTCCTTAAAGGTCTCATCTCCAAATACAGCCACACTGGGGGTTATGGCTTCAACATATGAATTTGGGAGGGACGGAAGCATTCAGTTCACAAAATTTGCTCTCTGGCCCCACCCAAATTCATGTCCTTCTCACATGCAAAATACATTCATTCTATCCCAGCAGCCCTAAAAGTCTTAACCCATTGATTGTGAAATAGTCCAAAGTCTAGTCCAAAGTCTCATCTAAACTTCATCTAGATCAGATATGAGTGAGACTCAAGGTACGATTCATCCTGAGTCAAAATTTCTATCCAGTTCTGATCCTGTGAAGCCAGATGAATTATGTGCTTCCATAATACAATGGTGGAACAGGCACAGAAAGAAAGAGGTGCTTTCTCTTCCCAAAGGAAGAGACCCCAAAAGGAAGAAATCAGAAAGAAGAAAGGGGTGATGACTCCCAAGTAAGTCGACAACCTAGCAAGGTAAATTTCATTAGATGTTAAGGCTCAAGAACAGCCTTTGATTCAATGCTCAGCCCTCCAGGTCCACTGGGGCAACAGCATCACCCAACATAATTATAGGGTACCCTTTAGCTCCATGGGGGCAGCCTCACCCTCATAGCACCAGACCATGGCCTTGCCTCTGAGGCTCTTGGCAGTGGCAACCTGGTCCCCCAAAACTGAAGAGGCCCCACTGGGCCTATGCTGGAAGTATCAGCCCTGATGATCTCTGAATTGCCTTTGGGGTCATTCTTTCCTTTTCTTGAAGAATAAAGCATATTCTTGGCCAGATAGCTCTATTGTCCAGTCCTGTAGAATCCCAGAAGTCTGACAGTTTCTTTCATCTCCTACCATTTTTTCCATCCTCTTTAATCTTTTAGTCCAGCTGGCAGAGTTTCTGCTGGTATAATCCCATCTCTATTCCTGGGTTTGCTGAGGTGGCTGATTGAATTCAAGGTTTACACCCATACTAATCTCTTATTAAACAATTGTTTAGTCACACTTCTAGTGTTCTCTTCAGAACAAGCTTTCTCCTTTTTTTTTTTTTCAATATAGATAAGCTGAGAATTTTCCAAATCTTCAAATTCTGGTTCATTTTTTGCTTAACAATTCCTTCAATTTTTCTTTCTCCTCTCACATTTTACTATAAGTGATAAGGAAAATCCAAGCTCCTCCTTCAACACTTTGCTTGGAAATGTCCTCAGCTAAATATTTAATTTTGTTGCTGGCAAGTTTTGTCTTCCACAAAACATTAGAATACAATTCAGCCAAGTTCTTCGCCACCTTATAACAAGGATCACATTTCTTCTAGTTTTCAATAACCTGCTCTTCATTTTCATCTAAGACCTTACCAGAATGGCCTTTAACATCCATGTTTCTAATAGTCTGTTGATGATGATATACATATCCCATAAGATGATAGAGGCTTTCTCTGTACCTCTTGTCTTTTCTTTCTGAGCCCATACCAGAATTGCCTTTAACTTTCATATTTCTACCAAAAGTCCCTTCAAGGCAATCTAGGTTGAAGCTAGCATGTACCTCAAAACTCTTCTAGCCTTTCCCCATCACCCAGGTCCAAAGCCACTTCTGCATATATTTTCAGGTATTTGTTACGGTGGCACCCCACTTCTGATGTTAAAATCTGTATTAATTTGCTCAGGCTGCCATAATAAAAATGCCATAAATTGGGTGGCTCAACTGATAGTTCTAGAAGCTAGAAGTCCAAGATTAAATGTCTTGCAGGGTTGTTTTTTGGTGACAGTGCTCTTCCTCACATGGCAGAGAAAAAGGGAGAGAGAGAGAAGGAGAGAGAGAGAGAGAGAAATGTCATGTCTCTTCTTATAATAAAGATACTAAATCTATCAGATTGGGGCTGTGCCTTTATGACCTTATTTAATCTTAATTACTTTCTCAGAGGCCCCATCTTCAATAAAGCCATGCTAGGAGTTAGGCCTTTAACATATAAATTTAAGCGGGAGTTGGGGGTAGTCACAAACATTCAGTCCATAATGATGTGGGAAAGCATTCTGATTCTTTTCTTGCTCATTTGGGCTGTGGGGATTGACTGAAATGGTGTATCCTAAACGGGAAAGCTAGTGGATGGAGCAAAGGCCTGGGAGTCAGGGGAAAGGAATCTACTTCTAACTTCTTTTGGATCATTTTACTATTCATATATTAGTTTCTTTAGCTATTGATCGAGAATCTATAAATCAGGCCTTCTGTGATAAACAAAAAGTTTGAGGATTATGAGGGAAATGTGAAAAATGGTTTAGGCTTCATAGAGAAGAAAAGGCACTGTGTAAATCCAAGGCACTTACAGCCTCCTGAGTGAAAAATTCCAGCAGGTTCTTTCACATTGGCCACACTTATGTGTGCCAGTGCCCAATAATTTTCCCTCTTGCACATTTGGGCTTCCAGATCATTAGGCTGAGAGAAGAAAATTCTTCCCTTGAGAAAATGCAGAGTCACTACTTCCCCTCTGTCCCCCCAGTCATAGGCTCAGGGAATCTCTGAGAATCTCTGGAAGGGACTTAAAAGTCATTTAGTCCAGCTGCCAGTATATTCCCTTGATAAGCAGACAAGTGGGAATATAAAATAAAAGTGCAGTTAATTTTCAATTATTTGGTTACAGATTCTTCACAGACACAGAGTGAAAGATTTGTGTATTTGGAGGTGGTGATTGGGTTTCCTCTTATCTTTTTCTTCTGCAAGCGAAAACAATCACAAATCATTCCAGTGTTCCTTAGAGGATTGATTTCAAACTTTTGAAATCACATAAATTGAAGCCACCTTCATCTATGTTGATGCTGCCTTCATTTTCATTCCAGAAACTTTTGGCTATTCCCCATTCAGAAGGGATTGACTGCATTTGAAATCGGATGACAGAGGAATTGCTCTCCCTGATATTACCCTTCAGCTACATCCCAGTACCGAGAGACTCTGCTAACTGCTATTGTCATAATGACTAGCAATCAAGGCACAATCACTGAAATGAATTGAATTATTAATTTCAATAGCACCCCATGGTGCATTTATAAATTCCACCATCTGGGGAACATAAATATGGAGGTCCACATTCTAAACTTGGAGGCATAGTGCTGGGTGCCAAGGGCTGTATCTTTGAAGGCAGTAAAGATTTTTCAAGATACTGTATGTGGAGCAGCAAGCTGTGCATTTCAGAGAAGGCTCCGTCCCTGGGTCTCTATTAGTGTTACCATTTATTTTAAGGTTCCCTCCCTACTTATTTTTTTTAACCAGTTCTTATTGATAGACCCAAAGTATAAAAATATTAGTTTAGAAACAGTACAGGATAGGAAATAAAATGCTAGTCTGACTTGAACTATTTAGTCATCTACCTCATTTTCTCTTCATTAAATTTCCTTTCCTCCTTCCCCAAAGTCCCTTCTCTTATTGACTTTCTTCCAATATGTAAATCTCTGTATTAAAAAGTATGTTATCCTGAGACAGCTATTCCTGGGTTTCAAATGTTTTCAAAATCTGTCTAAAACTTCAAGATAATTGTTCCTGAAGCAGAGGAGATGGAGGATCCAGGATTGGTGTGTAACCACTCATATAAGAGATTTAACTCTCCTTCTTCAGGTGGAAACTATTGACCAGATGTTGGGGTTCAGTGAGCCTTCCGTGTTTGCCATCTGTGACATCCCCAAGGGCTAGGAAAAGAGGGGCACTTCTAAAGAGCATATGTAAATGACTTCCACGGAGCCCTGCAGGGGCACCATAGGCCAGCTTCTTCCTAAGGTGGATTACCCACTCAAAGCCAAGTCACAGACCTGTCCTCAGTTGCTACACACCATTTCTTACCATCTACAACAACTAGATTTTTAATGCATGGGTCCACTTAAGACACAGAAGAGAAATGAGAAATGCAGAGTTTTCTGAATGATAAATAATTCTAGAACACCAGCGGGGTTATGCAGCTCTTGATCTTCTTGTTCTCTGTGTTTCCAGAGCTTTGGTGTAATTTTGGGGTCTTGACTAGCTGGTGAGGAAGATGACTGTTCCCTCCAGTGCCCCTACATGTGCACATCTAATTAGACATAGTTTAGCCAGCCCTAGAAATTAGTGCAGGCTTGCAAGCCAGTGTGATTTCTAGTTGAGACTGAGGACATACTCCGAAGGTCTTCCCCTATCACCCATGCCACCCCCCTTTGCTGATGTTCACTGGCCATTCAACGGAAGATACCTCTGCTATGTGAGGTTAAGTGAAAATATTTCAGGATGGGATTTTTTAGTAATTGTATTTTAGGTTGATTACCTTCCATTCCCAGTAGAGCTAAACATCAGAGTAGCTTGAGATATAGTGGTCTGAAGCTTTGGGAAAGGGTGGGTTTGGGCTTGATTAGAATTTCATTTATATACTGTTTTAGATGCCATTCTCATAACTTAACCAAATTAGCTTGTTATTAACCATGTTTGGACAAGAGAATAAATAGACTCTGCAATCACAATGGAGTTAAATGCAACCTCTGACCTTCATTGCAGGTCCTTGCCAGCAGCTTCTTTTTCCTTCCCCAGGTTGTAAGCATAAATGTACTGTACGCTGAATTTGAGGCACTGGGCCTCTAGTAACTGCCATGTCCTGAGTTTATTAATGACAATGTAGGACCCAAAATCAGTGATTTATGCAATTTAGCCACGGCTCTCCCTAACCTCTATGGGAGTTAGTAGACTGGAATAATTACAGACTAAATAGTGATGATAAGGAGGAAATGTACTGTAGTTGGAGTTAGTGGGCTGAGAAAACAAATGCTGCCAGTCTCAGGAGAATCTGTTTGCTGTTGTAAAGGAGGAGAAAACTGGAAGCAAAGAGACCTTGCTCTGATCTGTATGAGTTCAGTAGCTGGGGAAGACTATGTAAAGTTGTCATGAAAAATCCAGGAGGTGGTAAACACAAAAACCTTTAGCATCCCACTCTCTGTTCAGCCTAACACCCAGCAACAGGAAGACAAATACTTGGCACTTTCTTTGAGGTGCAAATCTTAAACAGTTCCTGCTTTGCACTCAGAGCCAAGCTGGTGAGCCTGGAGGAGCTGGTGTAACTTCTCTTTGGTGCCTGACTTCCTTCTGACTCAAACACAGGAGAAAACCTATCACACAAAAGAACTGAGAAACTTCCTGGGTTTGGGGGTGAGCTGGAGTCACTCAGTGTGAGCCATTCACAACAACAACTCTTGGTAAGTACAGGGCTTCTTTTCTCTTTGAGTGTCAAAGTAGCTCACCCTAAACAACCAGCAGTTCCATGTTTCCCAGCTGAATCTCTCTGAGGCCCATGTCAAGTGGCCTGGCTGAGGCCATGGTGGAGAGCCCAGGTACAGGGGCATGTAGGAAGCATGGCTTCCTGCCAAAGAAAATGCCTCCCACCCACCCCCTGCCCGAGTCTCCTTGAGGCCCTCTACCTGGATAGACAACGCTACCTGACACTGCCCTGCAGCAGATAAAGGGAAAGAAGATCACTGGCACTTCTTTCTGACATGGAACCTTATGTGCCATTAAGCAAAGTGGGAAGAAGGATGCCTGGGAAAATTCAGAAGTATGTTGGTTATGCCTTCAAGGATAAGTAGTATGAGAAACAATTGTTTTCTCACTGCTTGGGTAATATCTACACAGCCTTCACCTCAGGAAGGCAGAAGCCTGCCTGAGTTTGGTTTGAAATAGACTCAGCACTTCCTTTTCAAGGGTATGTGCTTCCCCAGGTGACACCCTTTCAGGTAAATTTTTCTTTATAATAAGATTTGATGGCCAATTTAATTGGCCCCTAGGACCACAGGATACATAAATAATAAAGCTCTATGGAGAATTATTTGGGGAAATCTATATAAAATCCAGAGAATTCACAAAGTGATCTCTTATATACCCTTCACTCTTCTACTCGATGCTCTGCAAGTTTTTCATTAGGGAAGCAGCATCAGATCTTGCTTCTTTAGGGGGACTTTCGGAGGAGGTTTGGAAGAGATTGATTCCACTGCAGGGCTCTCTGGCTACTCCAGGCCCTGTATCCCTGCGCTGCAGGCTAAGAGAACAGTATCTCCCGGTGCACATCTGTAACCCATTCACGTGGGTGGGTTGTGATCCACCTGTGGCGAAGCGCTGCTGTTCTGTATCCAGGTGTGCTTGTTGGGACTCTCTTAAATGCGAGGGATCCTGCTTTACTAATGCCTCTGAATGGCTGATTGCAAGCCTGCATTGGGTGCTTTGACTTTTAGGGCTGCCTCCAAAGCTCCCAAGAAATTAATCACAGGAGTCCTCTACCTTTGAGAAAAATCCCACAACTCTGGTTCAAAGAGTTACTTATGGATTCCTTGGGGCCTTGCCTATGTGATGCTACGGGGTCATCATCGGATATTATTGTGTGTCCTTGGACATTACTGGGAATCATTGGATAATCTACATGATTATCATGTGGTTAGGTCAGGCCCACCCACATTCCAGGGCTACCTCTGGCCCTGAGCAAAGGCGGGCTGATTTGCTTCTGAAGATGGATGGCACAATGTCTAGCGTATGTGGGCTGCCCAGAACCAGCTATAGATCCTGTCCTCTGATTGTTCAGATATTTCATATTTGCCTGGATCTCTGATACTTGGCCCCTAACTCTTTTAGGGGAGGTTCTCTGGAAAACAAACTTTGAGATGGGCACTTGTCTGCATGTGGCTTATTGGGGAGTGCTGTCATAAGGGACCAAGCGAAGTGGGATTGGCCAGAGGCGAAAGTTGAACTGTGATATAATTTTAACAGGGGCTTGGCCAATCTCACCGTGAACTCTAGAGTTAGGATGGCTCTTTGGAGCTGTCCCAAATTGAGACAAGAGTGCCAGGAATTTTATGCTTCCTGGCTCCGAGTGAGGCAAGGGCGTTCAGCCTGAGCCAGTCATGAAGGTAGCTCTCGGCAATAGATGAAGGGCTGCCCCGGGGAAGGGGGTAGAATCTTGGTGAGGCTGCTGTCTTCAGTTTAGGGCAATCCCCAGAAAGGAACTCACCTATGAACTAATGGAGGGGAATAAGTGTCTTGGTCTTTAAGGAGTATGTGTGTATGTGTGTGTAGGGCTGAGTGACACATCATGGTAAACACTGTCTAGTCCACCCTTTGAGCCACTCAGATATGTTTCATTTGTCTAGTAAATTTGCCCATTCTGGAAATAGCCCCTCTAGAATTTTGAATGGTCTCCTTGGAAAAATTAACTGCAGTTCCCACTGCAAGAGCTGGTATTGAGGCTACAACTGGTATTTATCATCTCCTTCCTCTACGACCCATTCATATTTTCCCTACCTAGCAACGCCTCTGCCCTCAGTTAGCACTTAACGCTACAATAGCTCATACTCCACAGACCAAGGAACCCACCAAGTATGTCAATTTCAACTACCAAGTATGTCCATTCCAACTATACCACAAGCAGCCAAGGAAATGACCACAGAGTGGATCCACTGACCCAGTGGACTCACTGTGAGCCAGCCCTGGGCTAGGCCTCCATTTGCTACATTGTCTTTTTATGCTCCTGTTCTAAAAGGGTCCACAATGACATTTTGGACCCCCAGTTTCTTTTTGAGCACCTCAGACCTCGTGTCTGACAGTTCTCACATATCTGAAAGTTCTCAAATATCTAACAGTTCTCAAATATCCCCCTTTCCCTAATGTGTGGTTACCTCAACCAATAGCCATAGGTACTTTAAGGGAGGGTTTGGGGGAATTAGTACTGTAAATTTTTGCCATGATATTGCAGGGTCCTTCCTCTTGGGACCTGGCTTTTCCTTCAGGTGATGGACTCAGGTCCAGAAACTGGGCAAGGAGTCATGACTTACTGGGGCAGCTTCCCTCAATCCCTTCCTCCTCCATCCTTGATTTCTTTTGGTCATATAAACTACACAGTATGCTTGTTGGCTGTATATATATTTATAGTTTGCCCCTAGAACGCTAAGTTCTATGAACCATCTCCATGGCCTTAATTCCTGCTTCCCCTGCTGATCTTGATGCTTATACTCTTACTGCACCCAGCTTGCTTCTGATCGTGACTTGCCATCACCTGACTTCTATTATACAGCCATCCTATCATCTTCACAGCTATAAGGGAACAGTTTTGTAACAGCAACTCTTACTATCAACTCTGGTCAATAGAGGACAGCTAGCGCTGAGTTTTTGAACGATGCCGGTGCCCCTCTTACTAATGTACAGGCTTACTTTGGAGATAATTGCACGTTTGACTCAAGACCACTGCAATAAAGCAAATATTGCAATAAAGCAAGTCACACAATGTTTTTGGTTTCCCAGTATATATGAGTTATATTTCCACTATACTGTATCCTATTAAGTGTGAAATAGCATTATGTCTAAAAAAAAGTACATGCCTTAATTAAAAATACTTTATTGCTAAAAATGCTAACCATCATCGGAGTCTCCAGTGAGTTGTAATCTTTTTGCTGGTGGAGGGTCTCGCCTCAATGTTGGCTGCTGGGTGGTCCAGGGGGCTGGTGCTGAAGGTGGGGGTGGCTGTGGAAATTTAAAAAAACAAGACAACAGGGAAGTTCGATCCATTAGTGAACTGTTCCTTTCATGAAAGATTTCTCTGTAGTGTGTGATGCTGTTTGATAGCATTTTATCTATAGCAGAACCTCTATCAAAATTGGTGTCAATCTTAGCTAGATCTTCTGGATAACTTGCTGCAGCTTCTCCATAAGCACTTGCTGCTTCACCTTGCACTTTTATGTTACAGTGGTGGCTTCTTTCCTTAATGCCATGAACCAATCTCTGCTAGCTGCCAACTTTACTTCTGCAGCTTCCTCACCTTTCTCAGCCTTCACAGAGTTGAAGAGAGTTAGGGCCTTACTCTTAATTAGGTTTTGGCTTAAGGGAATGTTGTGGCTGATTTGTTCTTCTATCCAGACCACTCAAACTTTCTCCATCCCAGCAATCAGGCTGTTTTGCTTTCTTATCATTCCTGTGTTCACTGGAGTAGCACTTTTAATTTCCTTCAAGAATTTTTCCTTTGCATTCAGGACTTGACTGTTTGGTACAAGAGGCCCTGCTTTGGGCCTATGTTGGCTTTTGGCTTGCCTTCTCCACAAAGCTTCATCATTTCTGGATTTCGATTTAAAGTGAGAGATGTGCAACTCTTTCTTTTACTTGAACACTTAGAGGCCATTGCGGGGGTTGTTAATTGGCCTAATTTCAATACTATTGTGTCTACTAAAATAGGGAAGTACAGGGAGAGGAAAAGAGATGAGGAACAGCCCGTCAGTGGAGCAATCAGAACACACACAGCATGTATTGATTAAGTTTGCCATCTTATATGGGCCCAGTTCTTAGTACTCCAAAACAATGATAATAATAACAAAGATCTCCGATCACAGAGCACCATAACAGATATAATAATAATACATTAGAAACAACGCAAGAATTACCAAAATATGACACAAAGACACAAAGTGAGCACATGCTGTTAGAAAAAATGGTGCCAATAGACTTGCTGAACAAAGGGTTGCCACAAACCTTCGCTTGGTAAAAAACACAATACATGTGAAGTGCAATATCATCCTGTAAGATGACCCCCAAATTATCAGAAGCAGCCACCAAGTGTGACTGTGAGTCCGCACTATGCCAAAGAAATTTGGGTTAAAAGCATTTCCCAAATGTTCAGAAGTTTGTAAATTGGTAAAAACTAAATAGTCAAGTGACTGACGGATTTTTCCACTTTCATTTTAAACCGAATTACATGATGTCTATCACATGAAGTGTTAGGGACTTTTAGAACTTAGATCTGTATATCTTAGAGACCATGGACTCTTAAGTCAACAAACAAGAACTTCGGAGGATTCCCGCTCAGAAGGTTCCCAGGGTCCTGCTAAACTCTGGTCCACCAGGCAGGTTTCAATCTCTCCTGCCTGGCCTTTGAAAACAGGAAAGAGAAGGAGGACCTGGTTTGTCCTGTGGCTCCAAACTAGCAGGGGAAGGTGATTTGTGTAGGTGGCCAGGAACAGGGATCCGTGGTCGATGAGGTGGAAGTGTCTGTGTCCAGCCCGTCACAGGCACGATATCAGGACACAATCACTCTGCTCACTCCATGGAATGGCGTCAGCGTACAGGTGACAGGAGATACCTATGTATTCGACAAGGATGATGATGTAATGGAGGTGCTAGAGAGGGCTAGTCAAGAAGAGTGTTGATTTCTATGAAGGCCCTGATTCTTTCAAGTATGAAAGACAATGGCTTCAAGTGCTAAAAACCCAGGTTTGTTCTCAGTCCAGGGTGGGGTTTCTTCACATCTTTGTGGGGCTGGCGTCTGTTTAAGCTGAAATTGGACATTCACCGTAAGTTTATTTCTTGGTACTACTGCCCCTTGGCAAGCTCTTGGAGCAGTGTGGTTACTTGCCCAAGGTCTCCCCAGACTTTGACCTAGGCCCCCTGCTTTTCAACCACTTCCTTTGCTTTGAGACCGCTGTCTTCTCTGTGAATCGTTCTGTGGCTTTCTTATTTCTACCCTAGCAAGTTTAAACTACTCTGCCTGGCAGGTGTTTCTACCTTCTGGATGGCTCACCTGCCCCAACTTATTTTACTGATCAACACCCCTATTCTCTTCACCTGGCTGTCCTCCTTCTTGTCTAGCACACCTGACTTCCAGGACCTTGTCTGTACTGTTTCTCTTCTCGGATATACCCTTTCTTTTGCTCTATCCAATTTCTACCCTTCCTTAAGGCCCGTGTGAAATCTACCTTCTTGTGAAGACTTCTTCGGCTTTTTCTAGCATTCCTTTCTCTCTTCTCTGCAATCCTATGGTATCTAGAGGCACGTCAATGTAAAATGACACTAAAGTACCTATTGTTTAATAATGCTTTCACAGTACTGTATTTACTGCTTTGGTCCTAAAAACAAGGGCTCCTTAAGGAAAAGATCCAAATCTTCCTATACTTTTGGTGGCAGATGGCGAGTTCTTGTTGAACACTGGCAGACAGAGCTAATAGAGACTGGTACTCTCTCTTCATCGCTCCACCCCAATTTTCTAAGCTAGTATCGCCACCCCATATATACCCTGGGGGTTCAGGATATGCTAAAGTCCACACTTGGCACCCCATCTACCAATCTAGAAAGGTTCCATTGATTGAAAAATTTGTCAACATCTGTGCAAGAGTTTGAATTGTTAGTTTTCACATCAGATTGTTTCAATCTGGGAATTTTGAGCCTTTGCTTTTCACAGTGGCCTGACCATGCTGTAAATGTGCTTCACTTCTGACTTCTCTTAGGTCCTGCTTGGTTCTCAGCCTCTTTGTCTCATGTCAAGTGTCCTTAACCTCTATGCATAGGCACATCCTCTCCCAAACTCCAGGACAAACATTAAGTTTGCCCATGAACAATTTCAGGAATGACAGCACAGTCTTTTGTGATTCCAATACCCCAAACCTTGGGCTAGAAAGCTGAATTATTGACCTTGGCCTTGTTTCTGAGACATGTGCTCACATTTGCCCTGGGTCTGAGAGCTGGATCCAGTCTTATTACCTATCTCAGAAATGCAACTGGTACTCCAACATCTATCCATTTGAGGGTTTGTGCTGCCTTGCACACTTCTCTGATGCTGGCTGCTCTTCTGAGCCTCCTGGTGTTGACCTCAACTGAATTTCCTGCTAAAGCTTCCCTTTTTATGCCACACTGTATCTTGACACCAACCATGTTTCTAATTTCCACTAAGTCCACATGCCACCTGTTGGATTAGACTTCCTTCAGGCCTGTTGTAGACTCTGCTCCCTACTGCTCTACTGTAGAAGTGGGATTAGTTCTGGAACTTCATCCTTCTCAGGTTCCTCTGGGCTCATACGTATAACTTAACTACATCCTGGGACATGGCAAAAGCAATTGTCTTCAAAACTCAAGTGGGCTCTGCATGAGATGCACCAACAACCTGACTACCAAGGCCTGAAGTGGGAAGACAGACAGGGAGTGAGGAGCCTGTGGCTGCACGCTATGACAGCAGCACAGGGAAGATATGAAGGGAGCTTGCAAACCAGGAGAGGCTCAGATGGGGTCTAAATTCATGCCAGGGGATGGAATCCGAGTACAGGTGGCAGGCAGAAGATACCCAAAACTAAATTGATATTGGTGTTATGGCAGGGCTGGAGAGAGCTAGGCATGAATAATGTCAAATCCCCACTCAGAGGAGCTGATGGTAAGGGAAAACTGAGGCATAAAACTAGTCATATATCAGGGCCAATATTGAATGGAGAGCCTTAGTGAGCATTTAGGCTCCCAGAACTCTTCCCAAGACTTCAGGCACCTGATCTCCACTGTCTGAATGGCTGAGAGGTTGAAGTGCTTTCTTCTTTTGTGAGGCAACTGGGCTAGCCTATGGAAACAACCCCAAACTCTGAGTGGCTTAAAACACAAAGGCTGATTTCTTGCCCACCCTAACATCTAAAAGGTGGTATAGGGTCAAGGCCATCTTTGCTCCATATTGATGTCACTCAGGATCCCAGGATGACTAAGGACCAGCACTCCTAGTGCTCACATCTCAACAGGAGGCCCAGGTTTGCCGCCACAAAATCAGGAGAGTTGAATATAAGGACGTAAATGTTTTGAATGCTTCTGCTCACATTTCATTGGCCCAAGCCACTTACACTGGGCACACTTAACTTCAAAGGGCAGGGCTGTGTAATTTTCCTTGCACCTGTAAGTAGAGGAGAATGGGATTTTGGGACAATAGTAATGCCTATGAAACTGGGTCAGGATCAATTCATGACCTTGGCTTTGCAATGGCTGTAAATTTTATGTGTATGCTTGGGAGGTGGGACATAGGGGGAAGTTTAATTATTGTCTCACGTAGAGGAGAGGGGAAGAAAGCGTTAGCAGCTAAATACATAGGGTCAACAAATACTCTACAGAGTAAACCATACTCTGAAATACAGCTACAGTCTGGAGTCTGGAACTGTGATTCACCTTTGTATGGGCCAAATCTAGCTTCTGGGCATGTGTCTTCTTATTCATTAATTAATGCTGCCCTTAATATATGAGCATAGTATAAAGCTAAACAAATGCCATCGGAATTGGCCTTTTTTTTCTCTTTCCCAGTAGAGAGGATGTTTCTGCAATGAACTGTCCATGTGCTATCCCTCCTTGTCCTCATTATATAAATCACACCATGTGTGAGCTGGTTGGCCCTAGCTAGGGTTGTGGCCCATGGCTATAACTGGTCTGAGAGTCACGCCACTATTTTTGGCTTTACTAGCATCACATCTTAATTGACCAATTCAGTCATTGCATCACAGGAGCTCAATGAAATAACTTCAGCTTATATTAAAAAAACAACTATTTAGATGTAATTCAGCTTATATTTTAAAAATTCCTAAACAGTTACACAGACACATAAGCTTATGTACCCCCAAACATAAATCATACAAATCTCTATCTTTCAGAACAGGGAAGTTTTAAGAACCACTTTGAGGAACGTCTATGTTTTCATAGAGTAACAAGAGTCATTTCCATTGTCAAACTCATTGTTGAAGTGTGTCTGCCATAGATCCCTCAGTAGACACTCCAAAGAATAATTCTGTTCCTAGACAGAGCTTCAAGTGTCAGGACTTACAGTGTGGAAGGGATTCAAAGAGGGAGCTAGGAATGGGGATCACAACTGCAGAAGATTCAATAGGGCATGTGTCTTTGGCGTCTTTGTAAGAAAGTATACTCCAGTACACTTAGCACATTCGTCGTCTCGGAGTGATGCTCTCAAAGCCTTCATTACCTTCCAGACTAGACTACATTGATAACAATTCTTGCTAAACTGAGCCATTCAAGGAAGGGACAATTTCAAGAAATCTCTTGTGGATGTCCATTCTGTGATTATTTGACTGGAGAAGCATTGTCTTTTTAACAAACCAGCAGTCGTAGGCTTTTCTTGGCTCTAGGTGAAGAGGTGACTTCCCTCTTTGATTCAGTGTTCATAATTGGGCTGTCTGTTAGCCAAGGTGGTGAGAAAACAATGTTAATGAGGTCAGGGGTTCAATGCCCACGTGGGTCAGTTAGTGTTTCTTTGTTCTTTGGCCAAAAGTCTATATCCTCTGACTGTGTCCAGCCACTATGATGACAATAGAGATTGGGAGAGAGTGAGGGAATGTGGATGGCTCTCTGTAATATTATTCTTCCTACTGTGGAAAACAACTCCAAGTTCATGTCCTTTTGTCAGCAAAGTCATCTTCAGGGATGAAGGAGTACCCATTAAGAAGCAATTAAGAAAATAAAAGGTATAGTTCCAACAGCAGTGTCAAGGAGGCTGAAGCTACAAGATCAATTGTCGTAGCTAGAGATCAGCTGGAGAAGGCAGCAGCAGTAAAAATAATTATTATCCAGTGCCAATTTTCAATTTCTTATCATCCAAAGTTTCAATGTTTTCTACACATTTGTGTAAGGAATAAAGTGTATTCGTTTGAGTCTCATCTCTTTCTCTTTTGTTTTTGTCAGCCACATTCTATTGGAGATCCTAAATAGTAATAAAATGCCCATAGACAGCCAGAAAAAGAAGACTCAGATATTCCCACAAGCAGGATCTCAGCCCTGGAGTAACTTAGGTCTGGCTTTTTATCACAATTCATGATTGCCCCATGCTGTACACTGCTTCCTCAGAATTACTGTGCCTTCTGGGATGCTATGTGGCAACATGAATCAGGGAAGACACTAGCCCAGCATGATGGGAAAGACTATGGGCTTCTATGTTGCACAGACTTGATCTTATGACCTCCTAGTATTGTGTGTGTTTGTGTGCCTGGGAAAGCCACTTAACTGCCTACAGCCTCAGTTTCCTTACTTGTAAAATGGGGATATTAATGTTTACCTCATAAGGCTGTTGGGGAAGAATTCCATGGCCATATATGAAGTCTGGCAAAGCTAGTATGATACCTGGCATTTTGTAAGCATTTTCCCTGATGACTAGAATTTTTGTTGTTAACACTGCACACATTTCTTTTCATTGTTTGGTAAATTTCCCTCCACTTAATTGCAGAACCATCTGTGTAGAGCAGCCATTACTAATATCTCATTGGCAGATGCTGGTAATGGCTTTCCTGTATCCCTTAGCCCACCTGAATTCGCTAGAGCAACAATAGACAGTTGACATCTTCCCACTTCACGAGCCTGGGTCTGTCTGTTTGTTGGCCTGAGAACTCTCCAGGGCATTTGCAAAACTTAGAAGCATAAGAGTTTATGCTCCTAGTGGCAACCCTCAACCAAAAGGAAGATGGAGATGAGGGGGACTTACTCGCAACCAGGTGGAATGATTCTGAGATATATTTCACATGGCTTCTTAGAGGATTCTCAGCACGATGAAGCTCAAATTGCCCACAGCAGCCACCCATTAAGGCAGCTCTATTGGCTTTTCTCCTTTCTTTGTCTTGCTTTTTTCACTTTGTCCCCATTTCTTCACTTTTGATTCCTGAGTTAACCTAAAAAATAAATTTCTAGCACCTAATTTTTATCTCAGGATTTACTTTTGGGGAACCCAGACTAAAACTCCTACTTCATAATGTTTTTTACTTTTATTTTTAATTTGTATACAGTAAAATTAGCATTTTCTGATGTGTAGTTCTATGAGTCTTAAAAATGTATATGTTCATGTAACTACCACCATCATCAGGATACAGAACATTTCCCTCACCCTAGAAAAATGATCTCATACTGCCCTTTATAAGTCAAACCATTCCCCCTACCCTAACCTATGGCAGCCATCCTTCTAATAGAGATTTCCTTTTTGAGAATTTCGCACAGTGTGTAAATTTTTTAAGTCTGGCTTCTTTCACTTAGCATAATGCCTTTGAGATTCATCAATGTTGTTTTTATCAGTAATTCATTCTTTTTCATGGTTGAGCAGTATTCCAGTTTATTGGTTCACAGGTTGATGAACATTTGGATTGTTTCTAGTTTTTGAAGATTATAAATAGTGTTGTTCTATATATTTACATACAGGTTTTCATGTCAACATAAGTTTTTATTTCTCTATCTTAAATACCTAAGAGTGAGTTTGCTGGGTCATATGGTAAGTATATGTTTAACTTTATAAGAAACTTCCAACACTTTCCACAGTGGTATCACAATGTTGCACTCTCACCGCAATGTTTGAGAGTTCCAGTTGCTCTACATCCTTGCCAGCACCTGGCATTGTCATTATTTTTATTGTAGCCATTATAACACAGGTAGTGGTATTTCACTGTGGTATAATTTGCATTTCCCTAATAGCTAATGATGTTGAGCATTTTTTCATTTGCTTATCTGCCATCGTGTGTCTTTTGCTCATTGACTTAATTGGTTGAATTTTTTTTTCTGTTGAGTTTAGAGAGTTCTTTATATATTCTGGATACAAACCCATTGTCAGATATGTGATTTGCAGCTATTTTCTCCCAGTCTGCAGCTTGTCTTTTTATTCTCTTAATCATAGGGTTTTTATAAGAATGAATGTATTTACACTCTATAGGGTTTTTATAAGAATGAATGTATTTACACGCTAACTTCTTTGAAAGCTAAATACACATGCAATATACATATATGTCAAATTGTGGGGGGGGGGAGCTTTTGGAGAAAAGATATTGACTTGGAACTCACACAAACCTGGGCTTGAACTGTGGTTCGGTTACCCACTAATTCCTTTGCCACAAACTAGCCTGTTAGTTTCCTTATTTGTAAAGTATGATAATAGTACTTACCACATAGGGTTGTTGTGAGGATTAAATGAGACAATATATGTCAAGGCCTTACCCTAGTGCCAGAACATTATAAATTGTTCAATAAAGGTCAAGATTGTATTCATATTCTCATATTCCTTTTTGTCTCCAAGGCTTTGCTTTAGCTGCTCCTTCTGCTTGGACTATTTTCCTGCCCTCACTCGTACTCCTTACCCCTGACTCTCACCATTTTTTTGGCTGACTAAGATAATTCTTACTCGGGGAAGGCCTCCAGTGTGGGCCAGACTCCTTCTTGGTGCTGTCATAGCACCCTTTAATGAGCATCTATCACACTGTTTTTAAGCAACGTAAGCTGCAAGCAACTTGAGGGCAGAAATAATGCCCACCTAAAATAATCCAAGCTGTGTTGGATGAATGAGTGAATGAACGAGTGAATTTCATCTCATGCTTTGTCTGAGGATCCCAATTTGACATTTCATCTGTGTATTGCCAAATTCAGTCCCTTAAAGACAGTCTTAAGCACCCCAAATGGATGCCTGTGACTAACACCAGGACCCTGCTTGCGATCAGCCAGACAGTGCATCTTTGACAAGTTGGATGCTGAATGCAGAAACTTGAATGCTTTGCATCTATTTACTTTTACCACATGCCATAAAAATTAAAAATACATTGTACCACAAGTGCAGTATTTAGTGTCTCACTTTAATTACATTCAAGTGTGTTGCTAAATAGTCTTGAGAAAACCTTAATGACCAGCTGTTCTACCCTTTTCCCATATGTCAGAAATGGTTTCTGAAATCACATTCTGGGGCAGTAAGGTTGTATAATTAGACAGTGTATAGTCAACACTTCTAGATTTTCCCTTTAAACTGTGGACCTTTTACACTAACATATTGTGTGATTCTGCCAGTTTGGCGCAATACAATTAAATGGCATGCCAAACAGCAACCGAGATATGCAAACTCCATCAGACGTGTTATGATTGCATCATTATCTCCTCATATCTTTTTCATCGTCAGGACTGTATGTGTGTGTGTGTGTGTTTGTGTGTGTGTGTGCAATGCAATATTCAGCATCTACAGCTGACAAAAAAACTTAGTAAAAAGGGCTGTAAATTTTTAATATTCCCTTCATAATGCCATTTATCTCATTAGACTTAGATGTGAGAGTGGCTTTTGCATCTTTTCGAACAAAGAGCTATCACTCAAATACACAGCAACCATTTAAAGAAACAAAACAAAACTAAAATTCCCCATGGTTATAATAGAAGCCAGTATTTTATATTGCATCTGGTGGAGAGATGAGGATTTTATCAATCCCCAAACTAGATTTGAGAGATAAAAGAAGTTGCATTTAGACAAATTTGATTATTGTAAAAATAAGTCATTAGTTACTTACAGTTGCTTGACTCTGAGCTGAATAAGTTGTTCGGAAAACATAGTAATATTTTGTTTGATTAAGTCGGGCTAATTCTTTGATTTTTGAGTGTGGACAGAGACTGAAATAGAAATAGAAAATAAGGAAATGTGAAGATTCTATCAACTGGATAATATTCTCTGACTCTTCCTCTCCTTCTTCCCCAAGAAAATGTCCTTGATGCGGTGTCGAATCACAAGTAAAAAAATCTACCTTTGATTTCTGAATTCTGATCAGAAATTGCCCATATAAATACAAGGCGAAGTCATAACTGAAGCTCTCTTGGGTCCTAAAGCATCAGACTTATTTTTTAAAACGGCTAAGAGAGAGAGCTTCACTGTTCTGCTAAGACCGATTTACTACATTTTTCTCTTTAATGCCTGAATTTCCAATGACTTATTTAGATGTAAGCACTGACAGCTGTAATCATGTTTTAAATCTTGCTTTGTATCCTCAGTTATAATGTTGTTCAATTAATATTCAGAATATTGGTAGTGATGTGCCGTTTTGCAAACGACTTGAATACAATCCAATGCTTTGGGAAACTGACTCTCAAGAGGATTAATCAGCATTTAAAACTTGCATTAATAAAAATCTGATCTTCCACCATGGGGCACGCATAATACTTTTTGTTTTTAAACATTTTAGTGTAATACTATGGCATCCTTTGTCCAGATTTTTAAAGGGATTTTAAAATTGAGCTCCTTCAGATCAGTTCTGCTCTGACCCTTGCACATAATGAACACTTGCAATGCAAAAATATAAGGATGTTCTTCTGAGGAGCGTACCAAGCTGCATTTCCATTACTAAAAAGCAATAGTAGACTACAACATGGCACTTAGCATTTTAGTAGTTTCCTCCAATTTATACCCAAAGAGTTTTCAGTCTTTCTTTGACTATTCTAAAGCTCAATTCTTTAAATCCAATCCCTGAGAGAAAAAGATCAAAAAACCATGTTTAAATAATGAAAAGTGATCTATAGTAATAAGGGATCTGTTGCCAAAAATGGTATATTTCAAACAATTTTGATAATTAGTGGTCTCTTTTTATTTGTTTTTAAATAAGCATGAAGAACAGTGAGTTATTTACATGTAAACAAGGATTTGAGTTCTCAATGCAAAATAAAATGACATGATGGAAAATGAATGGGGAAGAGTGGACTGAGTACTCCTCAGTTATAGCTAAATGAGAGTGAAATAGAAACGGAGAAGAAAGAAGATTGCAAAAGCAGAGTAGAAAAAAAAAATCGCTGCTTTATCCTGGTACAGTAATTGATTCCTTTATGACCAGAAATAAATCACGTGCTCTGGTGCTTCTGGCCCTCTCCTCTCCCCTTAGACTAGCTGGCATGCACTCTGGCCCAGGGCCTACGGCTTTTCCTCTGCTGAGACCCAATGTGACCCTCCGGACCATCGGCAGAGAGGAAGGTCTCCTTGGTAAATATTGGGCCTGGAAGGATTCTATTCTTCTCCTTGCATGGTTTTAGAAATTTGATTTCCTAAAAGGAGAGCCGCACGATCCTCTTCATTTCCACGCTAATGCAGTCAACACCATGGAGCAAATTCTTATCGCGGCTGGGCCTTATTAGGACTACGTAGCATGTGCAGCAAATGGTCTATACGTGCTTATTGAAAGAATCCATTTCAAAGCCCTTATTAAGTGCCTGCCTGCCTGCCCCGGGTATGCTGGCTCCTGTGTGGGAAAGACCTGCTCACCTGCCCCCCGCTTTCTAGCCGCAGGACCCCTGCTCTTCCTTGAGGAGCAGCCTCTTTTGATCTCCTTGAAGTCTGCTTCTGAGATGGAGTGCGAGGGAAGTGCAAAGAGGGCGATGGTGGCACTGGAAAGGGAGCCCGGGGAGCAAAAAGGCAGGACTAGGGAATGGATGAGGTGCCAGCTTCAGACTCGGGTGTCAAACACCGGCAGGGCAGATCTGAAAGGAAGCAAAAGCATTTATTAAGATACGACTGGACAGTAAAATGTTCACATCATGCAACAACTCCGTGCATCTTCTGTTAATGAGGATGTTAAAACAAAATAAATGTTGAAAAACAGTGGAGCCAAAGGTAGGCTGCGACTCCAGTTCCTCCTGCCTGAGGAAGCGATAGTGGTGTAAATGCATATTCAGCTGTAAACTGTGCACATCTGCAGAGGTGGCTTGGAATGGCTTTGCATTGAGAGTGTGTGATGGCCATAGCGGCTGTTTTGCTACTAGCAAAGAGTCTTGTGTTTTAAAAGCTTCTTTCTCAGGCTACTGAAAAGATTCTTGTTGGTCAGTGTGTTTGTTTTCCTTGCCCTGCAACATTTTTATCTCCATCCACGTCCACGCTGTTATTGAGAGAGGGGACAGAGCCTGGCCCTGGGCCTGGGTGCGCACCCAGCTTTCTCTTAGAAAGTGTGCGGTGATAAGGTGTGGGGGCCTTCTCCCTGTATTCTTCCTGGATCCTGGCATTTGGGGAGTTTGTTTAGCTTCCTGGGATAAGGTTGAACCACTCCTGTTTTGGGGACAAATTATTAATATTTGGGCAGATTTAAGGCCCACTCTGAATCAGCCCTCTATCAGCTTTCTAAAACTCATCTAAGATCAAGTCAGCTTCTTGCTTTGAAACCTAAATAGCTTCCCTCAGCCTTTTAAAATAAATTTCAAAGCTTTAGCTGGGCATGGTGACTCAGGTCTGTAATCTCGACATTTTGGGAGGCTGAGGTGGAAGGATCACTTGAGGCCAGGGGTTTGAGACCATCCTGGCTAACATGGTGAAACACCATCTTTACAAAATATACAAAAATTAGCAGGGTATGTTGGTGCACGCCTGTAATATCAGCTACTTGGGAGGCTGAGGCAGAAGAATCGCTTGAACCCAGGAGGCAGAGGTTGCAGTGAGCGAAGATCGAACCACTGCACTCCAGCCTGGGTGGCAGAGTGAGACCCTGTGTCAAAAAAAAAAAAGAAAAGAAAAAGAGAAATCCCAAAGCTTTAGTGTTACCAACAGTGCTTCACCATGCGACTCCAGGCTCTGGCTGCGTCTTCTGCTTTTCTTCCACTGTTCTCAGGCACCTTGCACTGAAGTCCAATTAGCCTAAACATCACTCCTTAAACATATAGTGCTATTCCTGACTCTGTCCCCTTGCTAGAACACTCTCTCCTTTGCCTCTTCTCTGCATGCAGAATTCCTACTCATCCTTCAATGCCCAGCTCAAATGCCACCCCTTCTCTGTGGTTCTTCCTGAGCTTCCATGGTGCTTTCTTTTCCTTCTGTTTCCTCTACCCTACTTCCACTCAAGAAGAATTAATTGCTCCTATAGCTGTGAGCTCTTATTATGGTATTTCTCACTTCTGCTATAGGTATTTTTTTTTTGTTTCTCTTACACAATTTTGCCACTCAAGAATTGAAAGAGTAGATCCGAAATTGTTATTTCATAAATAGTCGTTGAAGTGAACTTACCCTTTAATAAGGGCTATGTGTATTTCAGAATCCTAGAATTCAGGGTTTATAGTAAAGAATTGATATTTAAAAAAATCTATCAAATATAATAATATAATAAAATTAAGAGCATAAGCCTACTCTTGATATTTAAGAACTTTCTTCATATATATACATACACCTATATATATTCAGATATATATAGATACATATGTATATATATCTGAATATATATACGTATCTATATTTACACCTTTTTTCTATGTCAGGCCCTAAAATACAATGATACATCTAGTAACCAACAGAAATATCCATTTTTTCCTGATCTCAAAAAAACTTAGACTATAATTAGATTTTTTTTTTGTTTAGACTGTATATCTAGTAAAACTCTCTACTTCCAAAAAGATGGGTGCTTACATTATGCATCTCTGAAAAGTATTTGAACAGATTCAATGTAAGCATACATCAACTGCATTGAAGGAATGATTTAAAAATATGGAGTTTTCCGTCCTATGGCATGAATGGGCAAAAGCAGTGTTACTATATTGATTGAGAAAAAGTTCCAAAAGCAAAAGCAACCCCTTTTTCCACCATAGATGGTGATACCTGTAAAGCACTCTCCAAAGTCACAGTATTTTCTGGACAAGCAGATCTCAAGCACAGTTAATGATAATAAGGGCCATCTAGAACGGGAGTCAGAAAACTATAGCCCACAAGCCAAATTCAGTGCACTGCTTGTTTTCATAATAATAAAACTTTATCAAAACACAGACAAACCCTCTTGTTCTCATATTGTCTAGGGCTGCTTTTGTGCTGCAATGGCAGAGGTGCGTCTTTACAATAGAAACCACATGACCCATAAAACTGAAAATATCTGGCTCTTTGCAGAAAATGTTTGCTGTTGCTTGACCTAGAAGCTTCATTCTGTTTTGTTTGAAAAATGATACAGATGCCTGAACCCCATCTTAGATCTACTAGGAACTGCAGGAATAAATCATGTTAATAATGCTTTTGCTAAATGAATATGAATAAACAGGCGAGGGGAGGGTGTTCAGATTACAGATACAACTAGAACCCACTCCAAATCACAATACATTGCAAGTACCCTCTCAGGCCCCGGACATATGCCCTATTACTTTCTTGTGAGATTCTCTCTTTCTTACAACTTTAACCTAACCTAGAAAAGCACAAATGCCACTGATTGCCTGTGGATCTGAAATTTCAAAAATATTTCCAAGAGTGTCAAATGATGCATGCCTTGGTCTGCATAAACATGGTCATCTTCTCATTGCTTGGGACATGCAGGAAAAAAAAGTCCAGCTCATCATGAGAAACGATGCAGATGGCATATTTGGCATCACCAGCCTGCATAGATCAGAGATGCATTTATTTACATGACTTTGTTTGCATTGTGACCATTTATCTGGGCCCTTGCTCCACATTTAACCTTTGAAAGGGTCAAGAGGGAGTGAGCCACTTTGCCCTTGGGATTGGATGGAGTGAGCCTCCTGTAGGGGGCATGTTTGCATTTCCTCCTACCTGCAAAATACTCATTTCTTACAGCATCAGAAAACATTTGGTTATGTTATCTTGTGGGTCCAGGAGGAATGTGGAGTGTGCCAAATTTAAGAGCCACTGCCAAATGCCATAGTCTGCATTATGTAGACAGAACATGCCAGTGGAACTGGCGCTAACTGGTTGTAGATTCCAGCTGTTGCCTCAGAGGCAAAAGATCCCTGTTAGTCATTTCCAACTGGGATCATGTCCTTTGCTCTGGTTATGAGATGTCTTTGTATCTGTGCAGCAATATTGGCCTGTGGGTGCAGCTGATTGACCACTGTTACTGACCTCTTTGAGGCTGGGACAACGAACCCTGAAAGCTGCATCAACTGGCCTCAGAACCACCGCCCCCCCAACATGTGACTTGAAGATGCTAAAAAAAAACACATCATGGTCCTTAGAAAGAGCCTTGAGGAGCTTGGTTCTTGACCTGGGAATGCCACTTGCTGGGTTAGTCACTGGAGTGCTCACCTGTAAAATGGGCACAAGTTAATCTCTTTGAGCTTTGGTTTCCTCATCTTTCAACAGGGATAATCATACAGTTGTTATGACAATGGAGATAATCCATACAAAGTATATGGCATGTAACTGGCATGGAGTAAGCTCCCAGTTAAAGTTTTTATTATTTATTACAATTATTATCATTATCATTGTTATTGATACGCATATCTTGCTTAATACACATGGTGGTTGAGATGATCAGATGAAATAACTGATGTTGCAGTGCTCTGTGAATATGCAGAACTTGGCTGATGTAAGAAGGGAGGAAGGGTAATTGCTTATAGAGCTTCTCTGTTAAACCTGATTTTGACATGACGTGAGCCTTTGGCCAAGAGTCCCTCTCCTATTTGGCATGAGAAGCTACTTTTCACTTTGTTAAACCCTTGGGAGACTGATGGCCTGTCCCTGGGTGAGCAGTGGTGCTGATGGGGCTGGACATCACCGAGGAGGTAGCTGATGTGCTGGTGGAAATTTTCCTGAGAAGAACCAGGCCAGGGCCCAGATGCTGCCCAAGCAGGACGTCCTGCTGTGTAGTGGGGGCAGTCTCCAGACACTGAGGGAGTACAGTGGGACATCTATCATAGAAAAAGTGTGCGATAGTAGCAAGCCTTCTGCCCAGAACAGTGTCAAGACAGAGAAATAATAATTCCCTGGTTGGTTTGAAAGTTTGTTACTTCAATGGGCCTGTTAGCCTAGTGGTTGCACTCCACAGGAATTTACTGCTTTCCCATTGCACCTAAATCCATGCAAAAAGGGGCTATGCCTTGAGGAGTCCTGGTGAAATGATCTGCCGTCTGGTTGCAGTGTGAAAAGAAGAAAGGAGTAAAGGCTGCCCCTGAGAATAACGGGAAGGTGTGAACACATTAAAGTCTGGTATTTTTATAAGTACCTCACACTGTTTTTATAAGCATAATTTTCATGAAGAAAGATTCTTGCCCTGGTAGAGAACTTGTATTATCTACTAGTTTTTCATGAGGAGTCTGAAATTCAACGGGAAGAAAGCCTAGATGCTCAAAATGGCAGCCACTGGTCATGACAATGGTGGCTCACAGACTTTGGTATCACATGCCACACCATTGGGAGGCCCATGGGTGTCCAGCAGTGTGGTGCACATCACTCCAAAACACTCCTTTGGGTCAATCAATTTGGTAAAAAGTCAACAATAACTAGCTTATTTTCATATGCCTCACCTGCCCAGTTTTAGGCATATAATATATATTCAATACAAATATAAGACTAATATCATAGCAATAGATCATATTTGTTAAACACTTACTAAAGGCCAAACTTTGTTATATGTGCGTTACATGTTTCAGTGAATTTTATTCTCACAATAACTTCATGAGCTAGCTTATGTTGTTATTACTATTTTTAGAGGTGAAGAAATGAAGTCTTTGAGAACTTAAGTGACTGGTGCTAGGTCACATCTAGAATTGCTGGAGTTGGGAATTCACCCCAGACACACTGACTACCAGCCCATCAAACCGTGTGCCTACACGATAGAATTGGTTTAAAAAAGAATGTACAGCTTTTAAAAGAAACAAAACATTGAACTTAGGGAAGTGCCCACTTACAGTGTTTCCTTAACAGATTGTGTTTTTATTCTTGGTGCAATACTTAGATTTTCTATGAGTATAACTTTAGTAAAAATTATGCAAAAAACGTAGTTTATAGCATGTAGAACAAACATTTGGTGATTGGGCTGAGGCCATAAAATAAAGGAAAGAAGGAATGGAGAAAGGAAATGGAGGAAGGAAGAAAGGGAGAAAGGAATAGAGGAGGGAAGGAAGGAAGGAGGGAAGGGAGGGAGGGAAGGAAGGAAGGATGGAGCAGAGAGAAACACAGAGAGAGAGAAAGAAGAAGGAAGAAAATATATGAAACTAATTTGGTGGTATAGACAGATGTGTGTGTGTATGTGCATGTGAGTGTATGCATGTGTGTGTATTATAGAAGCAGTAAGAAGAATTAAAGCACCTCTTCATTAGAAGTCCCATATTTTCTTTCTTTTTCCTCTCTGCTTTTCTTAGAGAAGTGTCTAACAGGGACCCGACACATTCCAGCCACCATATTCTCAGCTTGGTTTTATATCCTCCACTGTGTGTGTGTGAGGGGTCCACAGAGTTATAGTGAAAAAGACTGACGACAGTGTTTACCCTGTGAGTGACTCCACTCCAGGCCCCAAGGGAAAGCTTCAGCCGACAGTTCCCTTAAGTCTGGGAGAGGGAGTGAGTGACAGCCAGGCTCCCTCGTCACCTAATCACATATCCGCTGGTTGGGATGTTCTCCACTCCCTGCAGCCTCTGCCCAGGCAGACAGGAGGCATGGAAAAGAAGGGGAGTTTGCAGGCCTCCCATGGTACTGCCTGTATCCACACCAGCTACCGCCACTCTCCTGTAGCAATGGATGTGGAAAATCACACTGGGATGGAGAAACCCTCTTAAACCAGAGCCTAGTACAGCATTGCCTGCAAGGCAGACCACACAGAAGGATGGCAAGTCTGTCACCATGCCAGGAAAAGCTGGTCGTGGATGTGTTACACAGAGCTGAAGGGCCAAGGAGCAGTGATTTGCAGTGGACCGGGTAGCCAGCTCTTGGCTAGCACTGTATGAGGTAATAAGATGGTCTCCACCATCTAAAAAGGTTGCAAGAGAGATGAAAGGAGGGATTTCAGCCTGAGAGAAAGAAGCAGGGCACACACAAGCCCCCTGGAGAAGAGAGACAAGGGAAGGCACCCAAGGACAGATGCTAGGCTAGTGAAGAGGTTTTTAGCTGTTCCAGTGGAGAGGGAAGAGTGCATTGTCGGCAGAAGGAGCACATCTAGCCTATTATGAAGGTTCTCAGGCAGTGTCAGGTGACAAGGTTGTGGAGTTAGAGTCAGCCTAGCAAAAGAACTTCCCTAAAGTGCTTTGAAATACAAGAGAAGTGTTGTCAGCCTTGCTGAGTGGTGGCAGTAGTGACGGATGATACGACTTGATAAGCGTTTTTCATAGCTCATTTCTGGTACTGTGTAATTGACTGAAATAGACATCTGCTGTATTTGTGTCCATTTGACTTTGTTTTCTGGGAAAGTGCTATGGACTAAATTGCATCCCTCCCAAAATTCATATGTTGAAGCCCTAACCCCCAAGATGATTGTATTTGGGGTAGGAATATAATTAAGGTTAAATAAGGTCATAAGGAGGCATCCCTGATGGGGCTAGCATCCTTATTAGAAGGCACACCAGAGCTTGCTCTCCCTGTTTCCCCACCATGTGAGGACATGGTGTGAAAGCCGGCCAGGAGGAGAGCCCTCACCAGAAACCAAACAGGCCAGAACCTTGATCTTGGACTTGTAGCCTCCAGAACTGTGAGAAAATTAATTTCTGTGGCTAAGCCACACAGATTATGGTATCTTGTTATAGCTGCCTGAGTAGATGACTAAGACAGGGACCTGGGATAAGGCGGGGCATGGGCTGGACCCAGGCTCAGCGAAGACTCTAACCAGAGGCTGCTTGTAAAATTTTGGATTTCTGTACGATGCAGAGGAGTTACCCCCAAGTGGTCCATCTGAGTCCCAGGGTTTGCATTTCAGGGACTGACATTTATTTTGCAAGTCTGTAAACGTCTTTGAAGATGAAAAATGCTGTCTGGAAAGTAGTACCATTAAATCAGAGGGTGAATAAAAGAGTAGAGAAGGAACTCAAAGAAAGAAAGAAAGAAAGAGAGAGAGAGAGAGAAAGAAAGAAAGAAAGAAAGAAAGAAAGAAAGAAAGAAAGAAAGAAAGAAAGAGAAAGAAAGAGATTATATTGGCCTACAGAGAGTACAGTACTTTGGTACTGAATATTTCCTTTACAAATAAAATGCATGTCTCCTAAAACCTACTCCAAATGGAGTCATAGAAACTCAAACACTAGACTCAGGGGAATTTGCCAGTGGGGAAAGAACATTTTGGTGATATTTGTAATTTAGTTTTCTCATAAAGAACTGGAAAGGAAATTAATTCAATGATTTGTTAAAAGTAGCCCAGAAAATGAGTCGACTGCTACAGTCTCAGAGATTCGTGGGGAATCCAGTTCCTGCTAGAGGCAGCAATCCCCTGGTATGTTTGAGGAGATGAATTATCATATTCTATTTGTGGTTGAGGTAGGGGAGCTGTCCCCGAGGTCCTATCCTGCAGAGACTAACAGGGACTACATCTCCCGCTTTCTTGCCATGTTGACTTTCTGTTTTCAGTTTTCCCCTTCTTTTTCAATTTCACTTTGTTTCTTTGCTTTTGCCTCATCTTACAAAGGGAGATGTGAATCATTTTTAATAAGGGACCATAGGAAGAAATCGCACCAGTCACCTTCTTCTCAATGCTGGTGTTATATTTGAACAAACCAGGGTTATTTGTGGTGAGGACAAGAGAGGCAGTCGAGGGCTGAGTAGAATCCCAAGTGAAGCATGTGGATTAAGGCAATATGTGGTGTTCAGATGAGAGTTTAGAGCATCAGGAGTGAATCCAGTCACAGCCAACTCCAGACTGGCTCAGGCCATCAATCCAACCTGAATCCCCTTCTAGATTCATTGGTAAGATAGCAAAGAACTGTAAGTGATGGTGATAATTATGGTTCCCTTGAATTCAATATCTATTCAATGTGTCTTGAAGAGAAAACAAGTGTTAAGCCAAAGAAATGTAGAAGTCATAGGCATCATTGAAACAAAAGTGGAACAGCAAAACCCCAAAATCAAACCCATGTAAGGGAAGTATGCCTTACATTTCTTCTCACAGCATGGAGTATGCCTTCAATGAAAAGAAGCTACAATTATTTTGTGGTAGATAATAAGTGAGGCATTTTAGATCACATTGTTCTGGATAGCAGCACTTTGAGAAGGTTATTATCCTCATTTGACAGATGAAGCATTTGGGGCTCAAAGGGGTTAAGGACTGTGTGTTTATAGATTCCTCAGGCGCTCATGGTCCAGAGAACATCATGAATCATCTTGGCTCCATAATTTTTGGGGTTACAGATACTTAGAGAGATGGACAGGGGGTGTAGTTACCACACTGGCCTCCACCATGTGGCTGAAGGCCATGGCTTGATTAGTTATTTCTTAATACACATCTGCTGGCTGCAATTGCAAGCCGGGGGTGTGAGCTCCAGGCAGAGGCAGAGGGTGGCAGGAACTTCCAGAGACTTACTGGCAGAGCATAGATTAGCTGTTCTCCCCCTTGACAATTGCCTTGGGCCCCTTGTGTTCCAGAGGGATGGATGATCCAGATGCAAAATAGAGTGAAGATGAAGATACAGATTGGAGAGAAAATGGACTGAGTCCATGGGGAACTTCCTTTGGGATATTCCATGAGCTGGCTGCTCACTCCTTCTCTCTTTCCCAACAAACTACGATGCCCTCAATAAACTATATGTATTTACCAAGCAAATGTGTCACGCACACTTTGAGACTCTTGCGATACTAGCAGAATTAGATATTCTTTCTCTGTGCCCCTAAGATAAATAGATGGTGAATATCACTGTCAGGGTATTTGCTGTGTTACCTGTGTATGTTTGTCTCTCTGCCTTTCTCTGTGTGTGTTCATTGGGAGCTACGATTATGTTGTTATTATCATGAATCTTCGTGTTCCTAATGCTTAACAGAGTGCTTAAAAATGGTTTTTCAATAAAGAAATGTAGTTTTGGATAAAGAATTGAGGAAATGGCCATAACAAGCTTGTGTACTGTTATTTACAGGGAGACAAACAGATCCGAAAACAGATCTGTCGATTAAAAAGGCTGTGACATAAGTCTATGCCAGACTGCAAAAAAAGAAGTAGTAGGTTATTTTTGAGATCATTTAAAAAAGATAAATAGATGGTTTGCTAGATAGTTGGGTGGGGGAGGAGGTTGTAGAAGCATTACCAGTAAAAAAAAAAATTAGGTAAAGATATGTTCACAATAACATAGAATAGCAATGTGGATGACAGAGATGGGGAGATATGAGAAATTTTCTGCGACAAGAACACAGGATGTGGGCAGAAGTTTGGCAAGGGAAAGGTCTAGAGCAGAGAATCTGTATGCCATGCTAAGGAGATTAAACTGTATCTCAAGGGCAATGGAGGCTGTTAGAGGGTTTTAAGCACAGAAGTGATTTAAATAGAACTACTTTTTCTTTCTTTTTTTTTAAAGAAGGTCTCCGTTGATGATTATGTTCAGGAATGTTTGACAAGGTCAAGATCAGGGCAGACAAGTGTTTTAAGGAGAGAGAACAGTGGGCAGTATGTGGGAAAGAAAGCCCAGAGGTCAGAAAAAGCTTGGTGCATAAAAGAGAAAAACATTCAGAGCACAGAGGCTATACCAGGAGTTCCAAGAGAAATGCTTAGGGTCAGAGCTGCGGCAGGGACTGTGGGAGAGAGAAGAATAGCACAGGAGAACTCAAGGAGCGAAGACAGGCTGAATGGAGGCATTGACTGGATGTGCAGGAGAGGGAGAGGCTGGGGTGGCTCCCACGCTGGTTTGAGTGTCTGGGTGGACAGTGATGTCACGTGTGGCAATAAGAGAGTTGGTAGAAGGGCAGATTTGGTGGGGGAGGGACGACTCTGATCATGGGGTTTTGTCCATGTTGTTTTGAGGTGCTGGTGGAAACACAAGTTGAGGTGGTCCAGTAGACAGTGTGAGATTTAAGAGTGGGGTTTGAAATAGAAATGAGAACACTGGAGTCAGCAGCACATAGACGAGTGGAAGTTCAGGAAGTGAATGCGATTACCTGGGGGCAATCTCGCTCAACGTGTCATGAAATAAAAACAGTGCTAAAAGTAAAACCTGGAGTCAAGAGAGGGTGTCAACATTTAAGATGGAGGCAGGGGAAGATGAGCCAGCAAAGGGACTGCTGGGTTTCCACATTTATGACTGGAAAGAGAGAGAGAAAGTAGGGAGAAGATACAGAGATTTAAATCTAGATTGAAGACTTAAAGGAAGGTGAAGTTTCCAAGCCTGCAAAGAGGGAGAGGTTGCTAATACATCAGAGGTAGGTGATACAGAGATGATGGAATGGGTGAAGATGTCTTGTGGTGAAAGGTGATTTTTGTTTTTTGCATGAAACTGTAGGGAAGGGTGTCAACTAGGGAAAGTGGAGGGAGGACTCCAGAATTAGTCATAGATTTTAGGAATGGGAATTCTCACCTTGGTTTTCTCAGTGAAGTAGGAGGCAAGTTTCATTTGCTGAAAGAGGGGGTTGATGATGGGAATGGAATAAGGAAATTGATGAAGAGGTGGACTGGCTACTTTGGGAATGGGGAGAGGCACCTAGAAGGTATAAACACAGTTGAAAATTCGAAGGGCTCCATGGAGTCCCCTGTACCTACTCACTTCCTTGAGGGAAAACATGTTTCTGACTGTCAGAAAATAAAAAAGAAATTTACACAATACATGAAATCAGCTAACTAGATTGTGAAACAGAAATCATATTCTATTTTAAGGAAGTATGAGAATCCACAGAGTTTTTATATCAAGATTAAAAAAAAAAAAAGCCAAGTAAGCTAAGCATTGGGAGATGTTGGGGCTGGAATCACCAGTGTCCAAAGATTAAAGAGGAGAGAAACAACTAGCATGGATCATGGATATAAATCAATGTCATTGTGTCCCCTTAACTAACTAGGGAACAAACACGTAAAAAATACTCTAAGCCTAAGTGTAATGCTAGTAAGCAATATAGGTTTGGAGACAGTAACTTTGAGGCAACACAAATTGAAACAGTTGTGTGGGTGCTTAGTAGCTCATCGGAAAGAGCAATGTCAGACTGTAGATGGCCTGCCTGACCCAAAACAGGGGGTTTTAGTGTCCTGTGTAGCAGGGTAGAACAAAGCCTCCCTCTCCGGAGAAGCAGCTGAGTCCTAAGCGGCAGGCCAGTGTCCAGTTAAAAACATTGGATTGAAAACGTGAACATCCTTTTCACAGTAAAACACACAGTGTCCTGGTAGGTCTATTCAAGACAAAAAATATAAATTGAACATTGATGATCAATTGAAAAAACTCTTTGTGATCTAGTAATAGAAATGTGTTACCTTGATAGGATTTAAGATTTCTCTCTGAAAGCAACAGCCAACATCATACTTAAAAGTAAAATGGCAGAAGCATTCTTATTAAAGGTAGGAGCAAGATAAAGATTACTGTTATCACAATTATTTGTTTAACAATATTCTAAAGTTATAGCCAAAGAAGAGGGGCAGAAAAGAAAAATAAGAAATGTTACTATTGGAGAAGAAGGAAAAATTATCATTCTTTACAGACAATTTGATTGTCCGCCTAGAAAACCCATGAGAATAAACTGAAAAATTATTTGAACTAACTAGAAAGTTTAGAAAGATGATTGGTTATAAAATTAATATAAAAAGTTTACTACATGCAATAAATTATCAGTTAGAAAGCACAATGAAAAAAAAAATCCTGTCCACCAGAGTAATGTAATTTAAAATATTTAGGCCAAAATTTAATAAAACTTTTGCAGAAGCTACATGAAAAATTGTTGGAGAATTTTACTGAGAGACCTCAAAAAACTTAAATAAATGGAAGCTTCTGCTGTATTCATGAAAAGTAAAACATAGTGCAGTATTATAGATCTTGAGAATCCCTGAATAGATATATTAATTTAATGTGATTTATATACAGATCCTCAATTGTTTTATAAAACAAGTTAAAATTATTATAACTTTACCTACACACATGAGTTTATGAAAATAGCTGAGAAAAAGCTTTGAAAAAATGAATGAGGGAAATTGTACCACCAGAGAGCTGAAAAGTATTGTAACTATACATTTGTACATTCATAGGTAGAATCAGAAATAAACCCTAGTATAATTAAGAACTTAGAATATGGCAAAGTTGGAATTCAAATTGGTAAAGAAAGGGTTGATTATTCATTATAGGATAAATGGTAATGAAAGTTACATCCCCTAGTAGCCTAAGTATAGGAGCCTACATGGATTGCCAGGCTCCACCCCTATGGGCGTCTGCTGCTGTTGCTCACCTCCTAACAGCCCCTGTCTCTCACCTCCTGGGCACATCCTCCATTGCTCCTGTCTGTCACAGTGGGAGCCACAGCAGTTTTAGCACCCAGAGGTGACCCAGCTGAGTCCATGAAACCCAAACTTTCTTAGCAGCTGCTTGGAGTGTTTGGGAAACACAGCTCAGAAGTGCAAACTTTAACCATTGCAAGAGAGAGTTGATGACAGATTCCTCACTCCTCATTCCCTCTCTGTGCCACTGGACTCATGCACTGGTTCTGTCAGCCTCTGTTGACATCCTGCCACAGCTCTGTTTCCTGTGAAGTTGTGGCCAGCCCAGTAATGACATGCCATCTTTGATTTTGTCTCCTCCTTCTCTTCCTCACTTTCCCTTTTCTCTCACTCTTAATGCCCCGGGATTCCTCTCCCCTCAAACCTTGAACATGCAAACTTTGCCTCGGGCTCTGCTTTGAAAGGAACTACAATTAAGACCTTCTTCCCTCATACCAAAATAAATCATAGATGGGTTAGAGCATTACAATATAAAAAAAATCAAAAAGAAAATATTAGTTTACTGTATATCTATAAACATCTATGTTATTGAAGTGTGGACAATATAATGTAAGAATTTAGTAGCTTTGACTTTATACAAATCTAAAACCTCTGCAGGTTAGAAATATTATACAGTGTATGAAGGTTCTTGGGGAAATTAATATATATTAGAATATATGTATGGGTATATAACAGTTTTTAAAATATATGTGTGTGTCTATATGTGTATACACATATAGTATATACACACTAGTACATACACATATATACTATATGTGTATATAGTAAAGAATGAATTACTGATATACACATTAACATGAATGAATCTCAAAGTGACTGTGCTAAGTGAAAGGAGCCAGATACAAAGAAGCACATACTGTATGCTTGCATTAATATAAAATTCCAGAAACAGCAAACTAATCTGTAACAGCAAAAAGCAGATCAGTAGTTGCCTGTGGTCAGGAATAAAGGGAGGAATGAATGATATGGTGTACATGAATTTTGGGGTATTTTGAAAATGTTCTATATCTTGATTGTGGTGGTGATTTCACAAATATATATGTTTCTCAAAACCCATTGAATTGTATACTTTAAATAGATGTAGTTAACATTATATAAATTATACATCAATAATGTTAAAAATTATTATTTTCTGTATTCCCTCCTTAATGAGGTCTACCCAATCTGGATTACTGCTTTACTTTTGTATCTTCTTCTACTCAATATTGTGTCGTTATAGAAGACTTAGAGACAGAACTGCAATTGCTTCTCTCTCTTTCTCTCTGTGTGTGTGTATGTGTGTGTGTATGAGAGAAACAGAGAGAATCAAGGAGAAGAGATTAAAGATTTCAAAATGCTAAGGAATTTTTGGGATCCAGAATACAGATGGGCTTCAAAAGGAGTAAAAATAGGACACTGGGAAATTTGAGGTGGGTCCATAAGAGGCTGAGGTAGCCGTGTTTGATGACCTCAAATTTTTCTCAAATATACAATGGCGTCTTCTGAGAGAGGATCCTGGATGGGGCTGGTAGTTGAGGAAAGTAGGGGGTACCATAGACATCAACAAGGGATGCATAAAGGATTCAAGAGAAACAGGAGAGGGTCAAGGGATGGGCAGAACATTTCAGACCAAAGGAACCCTCTGCACACTTTCAGTGGGTTTCAGCCTCACCTGTCCTATGATGTGCATGAAGGATGGTGCTGCTACTGACTACTGATTATCATCTCCATTTCAGTTTCTCATCCAGACCTCACAGATATTTGACAAGGACTTTCAATGTGGAGAAATTAGAAAATGGAGTTACTTATGCCCTGATCATGGATAGGTCTTTGTCTGGTTTTGCTAAGTACCACCACTAAATCTGGTCCCTCTCCAACAGATGGAGGCGTGGTATTCATGGTACAGATCTATCTCCAACAAGCAACCTCCTGGGTCTTTCCTTGCTAAAAGGATTATATTATGTTGAATATAATGTGTCCATTAAGGACCCTTTCCTTTATATTGGTAGAAAATGTAGTCCTGCTAAGTAGAATCCCATGTGCCTACTAAGTGGGATGTGAGGTTGGAACTGTGGCTGTGAAGATCTATGCCAAATAAATTTTATTATAATGACTTTGGTCTGTATCATCAGTCTTCAATAATTGTACTGCAGCAGACATGACTTTCTTCCAGAGGCCAACTGTTAGAATGCATGACATAATAATAATGCCATGATTAATCTGACTTAGCTCTCACTGGAGGGTCAAGAGGTACAAATTCATAGGCTCCTACAACTACTTTAAAATTATACATGGACACAGCATTTGGGGGTGAAGTATCAACCCAAAAATATGTTGTTTGAAATAACACCCAAAGAAAATAAGTGCTTAGATCCCTGGACTCCTATGAAGAGGGAAATTAAGAGCTTATAAATTGGATAAATTTCTGATATTTTAATTGGGGATTTCATAATTTAAGCTTAGGTTGCAGATGCTCATCATGGCATCATTATTGAGACGATTGAAAGATTCCCTTCACACCCTACCCTTACTCTTATTTTAAAAAACTAGATAGAAAATTTATATATGATATAGATGAGTGATATGTTCCAAATATTAGTCTCTGATCTCTGTGCAATCAATTGTGCACTTGATTAGCTTTAATTGCCAGGACAGCAAAAAAGAGCACCTTTACTATATCTTGATGTTTTGTTTTTGATCATGGCTTAGTAGAACTAAAAGAAATTGGCTTCAGGAGAGAGTAATTAGCAAGCTAATTAGTTAAGGTCTGTTTATATTTTTATCGTCAAGGCATTTATTGGTCTTAACTAAAACGTTCTATTTTCTTTTGAGATATTAGGACCCACACAGGAGTGGTGAGGCAATGAAGTGGAGGCGCTGTTAGTGGGGAGCGCATTGGGTATGGAGTTCAGCAGAACTAACTTTAACACTGGTTGAGCTCTACCCTTTTTTCTTTTTCTTTCTTTTTTTTTGAGATGGAGTCTCGCTCTGTCACCCAGGCTGGAGTGCAGTGGTGTGATCTCGGTTCACTGCGACCTCCGCCTCCCAAGTTCAAGTGATTCTCCTGCCTCAGCCTCCCTAGTAGCTGGGACTACAGGCAAGTGCCACCACGCCAGGCTAATTTTTTTTTTTTTTTTTTTTTTAGTTGAGACGGGGTTTCACCATGTTGGCCAGGCTGGTCTTGAACTCCTGACCTCGTGATCCACCTACCTCAGCCTCCCAAAGTGCTGGGATTACGGGTGTGAGCCACCCCGCCCGGCCTGCCCTTTTTTCTTTTAAGCCTTATAAGAAGGAAGCCAAAGAGTCCAAAATGACAGGGGTTATCAGGTGGAAGAGAAATACCCTAGGGGTCCCTAAAGGCATAGGATCCAGGATCTACAGGGAGGAATTAGCTTTGGAGAATACTGTTTTAAGGGTTTTATGTTTAATCCTCACAATAACTCTATGAGGCAGGTATTATTATTGTCCCTATTTTTCACATGTGAAAATTGAGGCACAGAAGGATTATGTAATATGTATTCACAGAGCTAGAAAGTGGAGGAACCAGGATTTTTGTCCAGGCAATGTGGGCCAAAACTCTTGTAGGTGTATTACGATTAGGTAATATCTAGTACCTATCAAAAGTTGCTAATATAATGTCCTTCACATAACAAGATTCTTAATAGGTGCCCCCAAAATGTTACATAGTATTAACTTATTTGGATTTCATAGTAGAGACAAAGTCCATTGGTATCTATAGATTTTAAGGTCTTAAACCAATGACAAATGATAGCAGCATAGGCAAGAAATTAATAAATGTGCTCTTTGTTCTTCTCTACTGTAGTCAGTGTGGTTGATACAGGACCCAAATCAAAGTTAACAGGTGTGTGTAGTGTTGAAAAGCATGGGGGTGAGGTGGCCAGGGAGGAAAGCATTCCCCAAAATAACAAAGGGATGAGATCCCAGTTCTTTGGTTTGCCCTCACAATTTTAAGACAACCAGTTAAATCAATAACTTTGGGGTAGAAGGGGGAAGATTCAAACTTGTTAAACACCTGAAAAAACCAATCACTTGGGTGACAGCCTACAGTCAATAATTGCAAAATTAAGAAAGGAATTTTAACTGATTATTTATTTTCTCACAGACTCTAAATTCCTAGCTATTTTGTTAAAGAGGTTTACTGTAAGAATGAAGGCTAAGCCTTCACCCATGTAATTTTCCTTGTTTTGTCGGAGAGAGTGGGGTGGGGGTTGAAGTGCGGGGGCAGAAGCCCTCTGTCTGGAGGATTGACAAGTTTCTTCAGGCTGAATGCACTATGGCTGTATTTCCCGTAATGTGGGGGTGCTGGGGGGTTCTCAAAGGCTTTAACATGCTGAGGTGTTTTGTGCAGCTGGGGTGGAGGTAGGGAAGGTGTGCATCTGACTTCATACTTTTTACTTTTGCAAGATGCATCTTGCTGGACTAGTTTCTGAAGAACCATACTTAGTGGTGTATTTGCTTAAGAAACTCCAGCGTATTTATAGCCTTTCTCCATTCATATAAAACTGAGCTTTTAAAAATCCATTCTCTTATCAAATTTGATACCTTATAAATGCATCATCACATAAAAAATGCCTGTGATTTTCAAGCAGATTTTTATTTTATCTTATTTCTTGCTTTTTAACATTTTTATCTCTTGCTTGTAACTTTGGGAAGACCATATCAGGGCTTACATAGTTAATAAAAGCAAACTAAAGCAAATAATCACCTTCTAGTACTTCTTTCAGCATATTCTAATTTTTTAATGGAGAAAATGCATTCTTAAATTAAATATGCATAATAAGGAATACTAATAATAAGAATAAAGTGGAATATGTGAGAATGAATCTAGTGTTGTAAGCAAAATGCATTTGATTTGCTAAGGATAAAAGCTGGCTTGAATCAGTAAGAATCAGTGCAAAAAAGAAAAGCCTCATAATGTTCACAAATTGTCCATAATTGTATGAATTTTAAATATAAAAGTTGGCAGTGGCAAAAGCTAAAAGCCATTAGGAGAGTTACTATTGTGCAATGCACCAGGAACAGCAAGTCACAATCTTATGAAAAAAACCCTAGCTAGAGTTTTCTAAAATTTTGATAACCATACTTGAGACTTGTCTTGATGTTTATTACAATGTGTGCATTGTTCAGCATGGCATAGCCTAATGCATATATGAATCATATTTGAAAAGAGCTACTAATTAACATGAATACTCTTCTTCCATGAAGGCCATTTATTGCAAAGTTCTTTTTCTCTTCTTCTTTTTTTTTTTCCCCCTAGCTGAATATCACTAAAGGAGTCCTCAACAACAGCCATTAGTTTGAGAGACTACTCTGCTCTCTTTCTGACATTGGGTCATAGTTTTAAAGAGTCTTTTTCTTACACCAAGAAGCCATAAAAAAATAATATTTAAAGGCCAGAGAGAGAAAGAAGTGAAAAGAACAGAAGGGGTTAGAAAAGAAAGGAAAAAGGAAGATGGGAAAGAAAATCATCTTTCTCTTATTGAACAGTACATCTCACCCCCTAATCTATTCATTAAGTTTTATTCTATTATCAACTTCTTGTTATAGTATTTAAGAATTATTTTGGTGACATGATTACACTTTATTTCCAATGGGGTTGGTCAGGAGATTTTTTTCTTTGAAAACTGTGTTGGCCCATGCTTTTCTAAAATTCACTGGAATGGTCTCTGAAATGTTTTCCAGATATATAGAAGCACTTAGGAACTTTGTTCTACTATTCTGCACTGAAGGAACTTTCAGAACTTTCCAGTGCTTCAGGTTGGGGTCCGGTAAGCTTTTTGGCTTAGTTGTTTCAGGAAACTTAGCCAGGATGAAGAGCTTCCCAAGGCTTGTGGGGAAACAGTATTACCCTATGCCAAAAATGTCTCTTAGCCAACCACCTTCAGTTGGAGTTTTGTTTCCATTTGTAATGGTTGATCTTATGTGTCACCTTTGGCTAGGCTGTGGTGCCCAGTAGTTTCTTCAGACACCAGTCTGGATGTTGCTGTGAAGGTGTATTTTGGATGTGATTAACATTTAAATCAGTAGACTTTGAGTAAAGCAGATTACATTTAAAAATGTGGGCGGATCTCATCCAATCAGCAGAAGGTCTTAAGAGCAAAGACTGAGGTTTCCAGAAGAAAATGCAATTCTGTCTAGAGACTGCAACATGGAAACCCTGCCTAAGTTTTCAGCCTGTAGATTTCAGACTCAAGACTGCAATAACAACTTTTCCCTGAATTTCCAGCCTCTTGTCCTCTACTGATTTGCCAGCCCCACAATCATGTAAACCCATTCCTTAAAATAAATACATAGATTATATATCTCTAGCCTATTGGAGCTGTTTATCTGGAGAACCCTGACTAATCTAATACAGTACACTATTTAAGTAAAATTGGTAGTAAGCATATGGTATGAAAGATGTTCTTTTAACCACTTGGCCCCTAAAACAGAACTGGACTGGGGGCCAAGTTTGCATGATGCAACAAATTGATTAAAGAGTTTATCACTTTGTTATTTTGTCTACTTGATAGCAGATAACCTATTTGATAAACACATACATTATTTTTATTGCTCAATCTGGCTAGAAAAAAATCCAAGATAATTTGTCAACTGCATGCATTTTTCAATGTCTGAAGACCATGGAAGTGTTGTGGGGCTATTAGTAGAGTCAACTGAATCACGCTGGTGAGGATTGGCCTTGGGGGATGTCAGGCAAAAGTTCTCATGCTGAATTTGTAATGTATACCTTTTTATATTATTTTAAGCTTTCAACCAGGTAAGTATTTGACAAGTCAAAATAAAATAAAAGCTAACAGTCCCTGCATCTTGACTCCCCCAAAATATCTCTCACTGCCAGTTAGCCAGTGAAAGGGGCACAAATATGGTGGTGGAGGGGAGACAGGCCCTTAGGTACTGCCTCTCCTGTCTTCCTGATCACCCCATGAATGGACTCAACCTACAAAATCATGTATTTATTGATGGTTTGTCATATACGAGGCACTGTATTGTGCACTAATTTGTTATGGGAGGTTCCTCTTGAGACCACAGTGTTGCAGGAGGCAGTGTCCATAATACAAGGCAGAGTGTGATACACGCTAAAGACAAGGACTATGTGACTGTATGAAATGGAGCGATCACATCCAACCTGAAGATCAGGAGAAACTGGAGCCCTCCTGAGGACAGAGCCCTTGAATTAGATACAGAAAGGAGGTAGGATTTTGGTCAGTGAATGGGTAAAGAGGATTTCCAGTGTAAAAGCTGGTGTAAATAAAAGAGTGGGGGGAAGAACATGAAGATGGAAGTGGAAACACAGGCTGGTCCAGGTTGTCTTGAGCTAACCTGAAGTGCAATTGGGATTGTGATCAGAAGGACAGACTGAGGCCAGGGATCAGAGGGACTGAAATTCCAAGGGAAGTGATTTGGACGGCACTGATGAGTCATTGAAAACTTTTGCCTAGGGAGATGCAGGTTACTTCATAAGCCCTCCTTCACTTCTACTGAACACACTGTCTCAAACATCTTTGCTGGAAAAGTCTGATTTTATCATTAAGAAACTGTTTCCTTAAAAATTGGACAATTCCCCCTCCAAATGGAATCTTGCCCTTGTGCAGAAACATGTCTATGAGGGATAAAACTGAGCAGGGTTGGGAAGGCAATGGTGGGGATTGGGGGAGGAAGTGAGGAGACTCAGAATGAAGGAGTTTCCTCAAATGAATAGTAGCAAGAATGTTGGAGTGTGTTTTCCTGTTTGGGAGGTTTAATTCTTCATGGTTTGCTTGGCTGTCAGAACGCTTCACGTTTTTATTTGTGAACATACATGGTGATCATCCTTAAGACAAAAAATCTCATAGCAGGTCCCTAGATGCTCTTGTTCAGAGCAGATGTTGCAATCAGAGCTGGGCTTTCAATTCTCACCTCTGAGATGTTATAAATTGCATTAAGAAGCATCTCCTCCAATCTTCATGTTTTAAAAACAACTTGCTAGGGGCATGTTGGAGGAAAGAAGTTGCAATAGGCAAACTTAACAGATTTACAGATCATCAAGGCAGAACCATCTTATTGTTGATGCAATCATCCGTAGTTCATGTGACCATCACAGTAGACCAATTCAACAGGGGAGTCAAAAAAAGAAAGATGTACATACTCAGATCATTAATATGGAATGGCTCTGTGGAGCAATCAGGTTCAAAAAAATTTAAACATTTATTTTACTTTTGGGAGACCATAGAGAAGTGATAAAAGCAGAGAGGGGCAGCCTAAAAGACTGTGTCTTTACTTAGAAAACAGTAGAGCTCATCGGCTTGTGGATCCTGAGCTGGGAAAAAAGTTTTCTCTCAATGGGAAAAGAAGTTTTCTTGTCCCACTTCTCATCACAGTGAGATCTCCTCTCTAGCATCCCTAACGTGGGGCCATCTCACCTCTCCCTGAACTCTTCCACAGGCTCAAGTTTGTACATTCCAACTTGTTGTTTGGGCCTTGTTGGACATAACTGAAGTCTGGATGGCAGGGTGAAAATTGGATAAACAGCCACACTGACTCAGGGGAGATTTTTTTTTAATGCAAACATCTGTTTCTTGAATTTGGCCATGGTAAGACCTAAGGGAAGGGGGAATACCAGTTGACGAAATAAGATCAAGAAGATACTGCCTCATTTTTTCTTCTGTTTCAGGGGTATAAATCCTGCCTTCTCTCAGCCTTACAGAGGAAGAAAACCCTTTCCAAGTTTCCTCTGATACTGGGTTTATGCCCAATTATAGTTTAGGTGAGATCATGTGGATGCCTTTTCTGGTACTTTGCTGCACTATAAATATAACCTGTTTTGAAAGAAACTTCATATATGCATATAAAAATATAAACTCAGAGTAAAGATGAGTAGGGCAATCAATACGTGTTGAATGAGCACTCATTATGTGCCCAGCACATACTGAGTGTAGAAGAATGAATCTTTGCACTTATGAAACTTAAAGTTTTGACAGGGAAACTGATAAGTGGTAAAGAACAATAAAAGATAACTTATGACCTTGTATTAAATTGGGAGGTACTTATATTAATATTTATCATTATTTGTGACAGGAGAGGACAGGATGGACTACTGACATTAGAGAAGACTTTGAAAAGGAAGTTTGAATTAATGCAGGCTGTAAGGTGCTGAGAAGCTCCAAGCAGGCAGAACCTAGGCAAGAGGCATTTCTAGTGGGGGAAAGTGCACGAGCTGGCAACAGGAGTTGCTTAGTCGATGTATTGTCCACTTGCTGAGAGTTCATTGTATGGGGGCATTCTTATCCCCATTTACAAATAGGCAGATGAAGCTTGGTAGTAGGTAATTTACAATGGCAACAACAACAGTAATGGCTAACATTCATTCAGCACTGACGATGGTCCAGGAACTGTTCTAGGCTTTTTAACTATTTTAAGTTATTTAAGCCCCACAATAACCCTACTAGATCGGTATTATTCTTATATCTTATTTAGGCATGAAGAAACTGAAGCATGGAGGAAAAACTTAGCAACTAGCCCAACGTCACACAGGCAGTAAGTGGACAGCCTGGATGAAACCCAGGCCTCTCTAGTTCCAAAGCCCATACTGTATGGTAATGAACACCTGAGGAGAAAGGTAGTGTAGTGAGCAAAATGACACTGACCCTGCAGGAGGAATGAGGTTCCGAGGTGGGAGGGGGCGTGCACATGAGAGGCGAGGAGAGGTAGACAGGCATTCTTCTCATTCTCAACTTTTTGTTTTAACTTGTGAGAACCCATAATGAACTTAAAATGCGAGTTTGAATACCAAAATTCAGGGTACATGAACCATTTCAAGACATCACTATGACATAAAGTATGCCTCAAACTCCTTCAGAAAGGAAGGAAACTCATCGGAGTGTTTGGTCTCAAGACATTCAACAATCCTAGCCTTGCCCCAGGGCCAGGATGGCTGGAGAAGAGAGATACAAAAGCAGAGAGATGCACTTATGAAACTTAAAGTTTTGACAGGGAAACTGACACCTCTGTGCATCTCCTTCTCCTCTGAAGTACCTGTTATTAATTTTAAAATATTCCTTGGTTCTCTGGTTTTACCTTCTCCACAGGATTTGATCCCTGGTATTCAGTTACAACATAGGATTATGTTGGTCCTCTTTGCACCTCTCAGTAGAACAATGAACCAACCTAACTGTAAAAGTTACATGATATCAGGTTGTTACTCAGGCCACGTGGAAAGAAGAGAAAGTAATGGCATCAGGAGAGCATTCAGGCTAGACTTTCCTTATTAAAATGCTTTCATCTTACAGACACCATATTGCTAAAATCTCATCATTAGTGATTCATTTCTGTGGATTTCTTCCTATAAGAAAGCCAATAAATCTTCTGCTTTAAGCATCTAATCCAGTGGTTTTAAACATAGAATTTTGACAGAAGAATTAATTTCTCTCTAGTGAATCCTTACATGGAATCTCAATATATGAGATAAAAAAATGAGCAAGTCTGAGGAAATCTGGTGCCAGTAGAGGGAGAGTTCCTCCTGCCAGCTTAGCCTTTGCCTGGTCCTGCGCACCAGCTCCTGAGGCATTCCACAGAATTTGGAGGCTGTAGAACTTCATGTGAAATTTTGCATGCCTCTCATTTAGGTTGCAAGTAACAGGATACCTGACTAACCAATGGCTTAAACAAATAAGGTTTCATTTTTTTTTTTCTCAGAAAAATACAAATCGGAAGGTAGTGGGCTGCTACTGTTGGTTCAGTGGTTCAGAGATCTCAGAGCCAATGTCTTTGTAATTTTCTTACTTTTTGCCTCATGATCTAAAGAAGGCTGCTTCAGCTCCAGCCATCACTTCTTTGCTCAGGGAAAGAAGATGGAAGGGCCATGCCAGCCATATCTGTCTCCCAAAATCAAGAACATAAAGACTTCCTGAAAACTTCCAGTTGGCTTCTGCTTAGGTCTTCTTGGCTTGAAATATGTCACATGGTCATCCCAAGGGTCAAAGGAATCTGGGAAAACAAATATTTAGCTATATTTTCACTTCAAAAAAATACTGAGGTTCTATTCTCAAGGAAAAATATAGGTGTGACTATTGAATAGGTCACTAACTGTGCAAGCTGTAGCCTGATTTTTTTTTCATGAAGAAACACATCACACTTTAAAGTTTTCATGATAAAAATTACACACAAAATTCATTTATACTAGGAAACTAGTGACTTCTCTTTTAATGGGAGCGAGAGAGTAGAGGTTCCTGTCATTTGTACAAATGGTGCTGAAGAGACAAAGGTGTAAAGAAAATGATAGTAAAACGTGAAAGATAAATTACTGACAATTCATTGGGTTTTCCATGCAATTTTGACTGAGTGCACATAAATTCATCTAGTAGGATATGATATTTTCTGGAACAATGAGCCTATATGCAGCTTTGTTTAAAAAAAAAGGTTTGTCTCAAGTGTAAGTGGCATAGCTTGTTTAACAAAATATATTCACTTGATTATTCAGAAAACTGATTTGTTGAAGCAAAATTGAATTTAACAGATACATAATAAAATAGAGGTAAAAGTTAACATAGTAAAAAGTGTCCCATTTGCACATGTGCATGCACACACACACACGCACACACACACACTCAGCTGTAAAGATAAAAACCAGTGCAGGGTGCCTGCTCTATTAATGCCTTTCTGTTAAAAAGTAAATTCTGCTTGTGTGTCTCTCCCTCCTCTTTCTTGGGCAAATAGTCAGGGGACAGTTCTTCATGCCTGTCTTTGGGTACAGTTATGAAACATTTTCAGTGGAGAGCATGAATGAGTGGGGACTTCTGCTGAAAGACAGAACAAAAAGAAATTATTAATCATGTTTCCCTTTGTATATTTACTGTTTTGCTTCTGAAGAGAGTATTAGTCCACTAAGAGCTGCATAATTAGGAGATATGCCAGATGGGTAATCTATGTGATTTTAAATTTTTATAGAGAGAACAGAGTTGTAGCTTGATTTTTTTTCAGAAGGTGCTTCAGTTCCATGCAGTTAAAAACAAATATCTTGCCTTAGAGGGTTACTGTATTCCATGCAATGAGGTGAAATATGTTCTTTAGTCCCCTTTCTATTTTTAAAAAACTGGCCTGTTGGAACAGAGGAGCTGAATGGGCCTACCAGATGGAAGGGAAAAGCTAACCACAGCAGAGATGGGAGCTGGGGCTCCCATTGAGGAACTGCTGGGAGCTTTATTTAATCATAATCATCATTACAAAAAAACAAACAAACCATAAATTCCACTTCTCTTGTTTCCAGACCAGTTGAGATTTAATTGTTCTCTCCATTCTCAGGCTAGCAGAAAATCTAAATGAAGTGCTTCCTGAACTTATATTAAAGCAAACGGGGTAAAATATTCAGCCAAAGAGGTTGCTGATTGGGGTTGGTGACTGAAATCACCAGAGTCCCTGAGGGCAGTGTTTTTGAAACTATGGGTCCTGACACGTTAGTGAGCTATAAAATCAATTAAGAGGGTTCTGAGCACATATAATTTCTTAGCCAAATAGAGTTGGATAGAATAGAGTAAAAAAGAGTAAAAAATAAAAACGTGAGTCACATATGGCAATAGTAGGTATTATTTCAGAAACATTTGTTTCAATAATATATGTATATTTCTATATACATCATATATTTATCAATCAAAAAAGTTTGAAAAAACACTGCTATAGTACCATGTGTGAGAGGACACTTACTCTTTAACTCACATCAATTAGAAAGTGATGTAAGGGAAGGGGGATTTGAGGGGGGCTAGAGTGAGACTGAGAAGAGTGGGAAGAAGAAGAGGAAGGAGATGAAGAGTCTATGAGCTCTTCCCTTCCCTTTTAACACACATCATGGCTCCTAACACATTTAAGTGTGGTTGTGCATGTCTTCAACATTTTCACATAGATATTCTTCCACATGAAGTTTAGAAATGTTTTGCCAGGTTCCTCATTCAAAAACATCATTTGGAATTTGATTAGGGTTGCATTATATTTATAAAAATAATTTGGGGAGAATTGACATCTTTACTGAGTTGAATCTGGTCATCCAATTGTGTAAGATAGGCCTACATGCCTTCTGGTCTTGTTCTGTGTCCCTTAACTCTGTTGATACTATTTTTTATAAAAGCCTTCCATTTTTTACTCTCTTGCTAAGATGACTCCTGTGTGTTTGGCATGTTTTGATTCTCTTGTTTCTTTTCTTTTTTCTGTTTGGACTCCTTTTTCTCCAGGTATATCAAGTTCTCAACTCAGTAAAGATGTCAATTCTCCCCAAATTATTTTTATAAATATAATGCAATCCCAATCAAATTCCAAACAATGATTTTGAATGAGGAACCTGGCAAAACATTTCTAAACTTCACGTGGAAGAATATCTACATGCAAATAATGAAGACACACACACCCACACTTATATGTATTAGGAGCCGTGATGTGAGTTAAAAGGGAAGGGAAGAGCTCATAGACTCTTCATCTCCCTCCTCTTCCTCTTCTCACTCATCTCAGCCTCACTCTAGTCCCCCTCAAGTGAGGAACTTGGCAAAACATTTATAAACTTCATGTGGGAGAATATCTATGTGAAAATAATGAAGTGTGAGCCTGGTACTGGTGCTGTGAGCCTGGAACTGAGAGTTTGGTATACCTGGAGAAAAGGATCTCTTCCATGACATCCTGTTCATGCTATTCCTCTGTGCAGAAAGCCTCTCCTGCATTTCTTGAGGGATGTTAGTGCAGTTATTACTCCTGCTCAGCTGTCCTCCCTGCCAAGTCTGGCTCTCCAGGGGACTTCCGCAGCAGCCTCCTAACTGGTCGCCCAGTGCTTCCTCTCACCTGCCTTCCATCCCCAGCGTAGCCATTAGGGGAGTGATCTCTAAAACATAAAGCAGATGATGCCTCTTCCCTACCTAAGACATCTAATGGCCTCTGTTACCGATTCAAGAATCCAAACATATTTCAAAACTCACAGAGCTCCCTGTGATCAGGTTCCTGCTTACCTCTGTGATCCCATTTCCTGAACTTGTCCTTGCCATTCAAAGACTTCAGCCACACTGGCTTTCTTTTGGCTCCTCAGCATTCCAAGCCGGTCCTGCCTCTGGCTGTTGGCTTTTCCTAGGACACTCCTGCTCCAGATGCTTCCATGACTAGCTCCTTCTTGTCATGTGGACACTGACTGCATTTTTAATTTAATTTCGATTTTGAGAGGGCTTTCCTGAACCTCAATATAAATGGCACTCTTCATACATCTAGTCACCACCCATCATCTACTTTTTAATAGGCTTTATAGTGTCTGGTGTTTTTTCATTTGCTCGTCTATTATCTATTTCCCTCTCCCCCACCTCCCAGCACATACTAGAATGTCAATGAGAGACTTTGTCTTGATGGCTGCGATTTCCCCAGCCCTACGTAAGCACTAAATAAATGTGTGATGCATCCCTGGATGGTCTCAGTGAACTAGGTGCTGTATCAAATACAGAATGCGGAAAACAGTCCTTATCTTCAGAAAGCCTGCAGAGATACTGTGAAAATGACCTGCTCAGTTTTAGGAGATCATTTTGGGGTGTGTGTGTGTGTGTGTGTACGTGTGTGTGTGTGTGTTTGAGAAGGGCTCTATGGAGGTGACCCCATTAGAAATTAACTTTTAAGAATATATTTTAACCATTAGGGGTACCTTTTAAGAATAGGTTGTTAGTGATATATTTTAATTTTATTTTGCAATGTCTTTTGAAGACTTTGCTCTTGGTGAACTAGGCACTTTAGAGAGATACCTAGATGAATTATCTCCATCCTTAAAGGAAAATGCTTTTAGTGAGATAAAGAGACTTATAAAAACATAACAAGGGAATGGATTGGAACAGTGCCAGAGAGGATGCTCCTATGTGGACCAGTTTTGGAGCACTGGAGTTAGGGCTCTACTTGTCCCAGCATTGTGGTGAACAGTCTTTGCTTTTTCATATAAAACCATGGCCAGGCACAGTGGCTCATACCTGTAATCCCACCACTTTGGGAGGCCAAGGTGGGTGGATTGTTTGAGCTCAGGAGTTTGAGACCAGCCTGGGAAACCTGGCAAAACCCCATCTCTACAAAAAATTAGCTGGGTGCATTACCTGTAGTCCCAGCTACTTGGGAGGCTGAAGTGGGAGGATCACCTAAGCCTGAGGAGGTCAAAGCTGCAGTGAGCCGTGATTGTGCCACTGCACTCCAGCCTAGGAAATAATAGAATGAGACCTCATTCCTCCCCGAAAAAAGAACATAATAGACCATTACGAGCCTATCACACTTTAATTTATTTAACCTCATTTTGGGTGAAATTAACATTTTCCATGTGAAAGAGGAATTTTCTTCTAACTTCAGAAGCAAATCTAGAGAATGCATGAGCCTTTCAAAGATAAGTTCTGTGGTATGCTTTAAAAACAAATATGGTGTAAATGAGACTCAAAAGTTTTCCACCCACATGGTAGTGGGCCACCCTGACTTGTCCCACCTCTAGTAGCTGAGACAAAAGGAGACCTGTAGCCCAGCCCGCTACATGCATGCTGTCTCTCACACGTCAGGTGACATTTCTGTGCAGAGTAGCGCCAGGGTGTGGCGGGGTCAGGCCTATCTCCCTTCAGACCCTAAACTATTTACCAGGCTTCCATGTAAATTAAATTTATAAAGAGCACTGAATCTCCTCTGAAATACAAAGACCCTCTGCTGAATGAGTGTGGAGATCCCAGAGCCAAGATGTGGAGGATGAGGAGTCAAAGACACACAGAGAGAAACTCTTCTAGGTGGCAGGGAGGGTGTGTTAGCTCAGAACATCATCCATGGGTGAGGTCTTTCAGAAGCCTAGTTAATGTCAGTTTCACAAACAAATAAATGAGCCACAATTTGAATAGGAATGATAGAAATGATTTTTGCTTTCCTAGGAGAGAGAATGAGGGTATAATACTGGGCTCTTTGAAGACCGTATAACCTCCTGGGGCTCTGGATATCCATGGGGTACACCTTCTGATCCTGGCCCACAGTAGCACTTCTTGAGTTCATTTCAAGACCGTGGCCATGAAGGCCTGATAGGAAGGTCTGCTGTGTTGCCATCACAAAGGGAAGAAAGTGGTCATGCTTTGGCCTTTCTGGTCCACAATTTCCCATTCTGGGGTTCTGTGAATCTAAAATGCAGCTCCAGGCTCTGTGGGTTTAGTCCTCCCTCTTCTCTTCAGCATCCCCTGAAGCTTGTCTGCTGAAGGCTGGAGAGCTGTTTCCCCACATGGGTCTTCGGGGGTGTGGGCAGGGTCTGGGGCCTCTTGTTTCCACCCATTTTTTCTCCCTGCTCCTGGACTTTCATACTTCTCATTACTATTCTGTCAGGCTGCAGCTAAGTTAGGAGTTCACAGGAAGGGGAGGTCTATGGGAAGGCCTCAGTTAGTAGCAGTCTGTACCTTGTCACTGCAGGCCAAGACTTTAGGCATAATTTTCCACTAGACTGTGTTTATTCTTTTAAAAACCTACCTCGAAAGTTGTCACCAGAAAAAAATCACTCTAATGCAATCATGTTAAAGAGATGAATAATATGCTTTTTCTAAGTACTGCTTTTTAATAAATCACTCTAATGAAATGAGTTTCTAAGTCAATGTTTCAGCCATGGCCATCTTTATTTAGCCTTTCTCTTTACTCATTGGACTCAGAGCCAGCCTTGACAATGTGCTGATGGCAACCTAGAACATAAGCAGAGGAGTATACAGGACAAGAACTTGATGGTCTCGGGAAAATGGACAACATGACTCAGGTAGGTCTGGAGAGAACAACTCAGTGGTACAACAGCATGTGTTAAGGTGTGGATCAAATCCCCCCAGTCAAGCTAGCTTTTGATATTCACTCAAGAATCTATCCAAGGATGGCTTATGAATGTGGTTAAATTTGGGGGATAAAGAGGAAAGACATAGGGCCCAGAAAGGGATGAACAAGTATGACGTGGGGTCTTATGGCCCCAGTCAATGGATTGGGTTGAGGATGTAGCTTCTGGTCCCAGAACAGGAGTCCTCAACAGGTGAAGCAAATAGAATTAAGGCTTCTTCCCCCTAAGGTTAAGGTCTTAGGCAAATACCCAATCCCAAGGTGAAGCCAACACAGTAGGCAGATTCACTATAATGTTATAGCTACTCAAACTCCAGTATCTTGCTCACTAAACTTGAGACCCAGATAATTTTTGACTATGAAGAAGACCTGGAGGTGATACCACAGACCAAATACATGGGTCTTGGTTACAGTATTCAGAGTCTAAAAGAGTAGGTAGGTCAAGTTTAGGTCCACTAGACAAGAAACTACTGCTTCCTGCCATTCAAGAATAGGTGGGCTGGAGCCTGTATCTAGAGACCATTAAAGATCCAGTTGTAAGGACCTAGCGCAGAGGAAGCCAGGTAGGGGCTGACACTGTCTTGGCTCATATTCATACTAAGACTCACTTTTGAGCTGCACTTTGTCAACTTTTTATTGCATATCTACTTTGGTCCACATATCCAAATGATTCTTTAATTCCCTTAGTTACCATAACATCCTCATGAAGATAGCTTATGATTTCAATCTTAGAGATAAGAAGACAGATACTATTAATTTATATAAAATAAATTGTTACATTAATTATTATTGGAATTATAATTATTATAATACAAACACAAATCTTTATGTTTCCATAGGAGAAAGCTATATTAGTTTCCTCCTGCTATTGTGACAAATTACCACAAATGTAGTGGCTTAAAACAATATATATTTATTGTCTTATAGTTCCAGACATTAGAAGTCTGAAATCAAGGTGTCTGCAGGGATAGCTCCTTCAGGTGACTTCAGGGGAGAACTCATTGCCTGGCCTTTTGCAGCTCTTAGAGGCCACCTGCATTCCTTGGCTTGTGGCCCCTTCCTTACATCACTCCAACCTCTTGCTTCCATTGTCACACCTCCTACTACTGACTCTTATTCCCCAGTCTTCCTCTGATAAGGACCTTGTGATTAGATTGAGTCAACCTTGATAATCCCCCCATCTCAAGATCTTTAGTTTAATCACATCTGTAAAGTCCCTTTTTCCATGTGAGGTGACACCTTCACAGGTTCTGGGGATTAGGAAATAAACATTTTTTTAAAGCAGGGTGGGATTATTCTGCCTACCACCAGAGAGAACGAAGGGAAGTGCTTTAAGCTGGGGAGTTGAAGGTGGCCAGGCAGAAGGAAGAATCTTAACTTTCTCTGAGGCTGGTGTGGAGCAGGAATAGGAGCCCTCTGGCATGCAGGAACTTTAGTGAAGGATGGCTATAGGAGACTGGTCCTCAGCAGGGAAGGACCACTGGCAGGGGGGTCTTTGAGCTGCCCAGAGCAACAGAGACCAAGACATTTGGCAGAACCCACTGTCAACAGCAGCATCTTGTAGCTAAAGAAAGAGCCAGAAAGGTGATGACTATCCTGCAGACATGTGGGCCTACTCCCCTGGCTTTCTGAGGACATATAAGCCAGGATTTTTGTGTATAAAGTAAAAGAGTAGGGGAAGGGATCCCCCAAATGACTAAAATAGAATATCTAGTCAGGTTGACCCGTGAGGCTGAAACAAGATTCAATATCGTTTTGAGAGTTTTTTTTTTTTTTTTTTTAAAGAATGTGACATTGGACCTTTCTATTGTCATTTAAAAGCTATGCCTCTTGCAGTTACAAACTTTTCACCATGGCCGTTGAAGGTGGAGGGGCAAGTAAGGGCACAGAACAAAGAGTTTTCTGACAATATTCTCGAAGCAGTCTTTATACCGGGATTAGCAATGAAGGGCCACCACACTTCCAAATGCTCCTCACTTGGAGGCTAAACCTAAGCCAGACTACCTGCTCGTGAGTCAGGCTCCTTAAATGGCAGATATTATCAGAATAAAAATAACCATATTAATAAGTTTATCCATTGGGGGGATGAAAAGGTGGTAGGGTATTCTCAAAAGGAAAATTAATTTCTTTTTATAATCTGCTGTAGTTTATTTCACATATTCATGACCCGCCCAGTATGTTTTTTCTTTATGATGAGCCATAAAAATGACAAAATACATTAGCCAAGTTCTTCGTTTCTGCTAAAATGACCATATTCAAAAATAATAACAGAGACTTGTATCAGCGATGCAAAAGATGCATGAAGTAATTGGGGCTTAATTTGTACACAAACTGTCAAGGCAGTTTTCCTCACGGCCTGCATCTTCTGAATTCATTAGTCTCTAATTACGGCCAGTGGGGACCAGCAGTTAGAAGGTTAAAGAGGTTCTGACAGGCCTAATCATTGCTCAGGAAGCTGAAAATGTATGCAAAGTCTCGGCAGATGGGGTGAGAGCGGCTTCTGCCAAGTGATAACTGTTATTCCTTTGCACCTCCAAAGCTGTCATCCTAATAGGCACATTTTAAATTTATTAATGCTCTAGTTACAATGCATACACAGTCTCTAATGGTATGGCATTCTGAGTATATAAACTGAGCAATTAACACATATTACCTGGTAATGGTAAAATTATTTGTTGCCTGTTTGACTTTTTTGGGGGAGGGGGTGTCTCCTATTCCAGTAAGAATTGTCCCAGGGAAAGCTTGCTTCCCTTTGTTAAAATATAATCAGAGCTCCCTTGGAGATAAATTTCTCTCTTTACTTGGATACAACAAACCAATCTGAATGTCTTGGTTCGTGCTTTCCCCAACCTGCCTCGTCAATCCCCAATTTCTGACCTCTCATGCTAGAATCTGATAGTTAAAAACAATTCTGGTAAGATGCTTGGTTGGACTTTTGGGAAGAGGTGGAGCACTCCAGGCTTTGATGATATGACCCTTTAAAGTGAGAAGAAACCCAGGCTCATATTTCTCATCACTGATTTCTTACTAACACATAAAAGTAAAGCTATGTATGTACTTTCCGACTGACAATTCCACAGTCATCAATATCTTATCCTTCTTTTGTGGCCTCCCTGACTTTAATCCTGATTGCTTTAACACTAACTAATCACCAGCAAGAGGTGCTTTTTTTTTTTTTTTTTTTTGAAACAAACGAGGTCTCTTGTCTTTCCTGTGACTGTACCCATGACATGGGAAGGGCCTTTAATTAAATGCAGCACTTAATGCAACAATTGTTTGCATGTAGGAGGCTATAGAAATGGAGACAGCTGGAATGGATAGTCCCTAAATTGTAGGCTTCGTCGGGACTACAAGATTCATAAGTGGTCCTAATAGCATGATAAGGTGTTAATCTCAGCAACAGAGCAATTATCTGCCCAGTGACTGACTGCCACTCTCTGCACCCACTAGCCCGTTGCAGCTAATTGATTTACACTGTATAAAAGTAATATAACAACAACAAATGTCTTGGAGACTTTATGTTAATTAAAAACTGTGATTACATTTCCCCACTAGGTGATCTGTTTGAAATTTTTATACCACATAGGAAAGATATCAAACTACTAGGTAATAAGTTTTCTTTGCCAAGTACCAAATAACCCATCCACTGTGGTTCCTTCAGTAGCTGCAAGAATAACCCTGGTTGATTAACAAATATGAGCTCTGTGACTTCGGGCAAGTGTCTTCATCTCTCTGAGCTTCAGTTTTACTATCCCAGTGTGAGGGGTTGGGCCAGACAACTTCTCTAAGATCTTTTTCAGTTCTAAAAGTCCAAAATTTTATGAATTCCAATGCCACGTAGCCAGGAAAGGATTATACAACTGAGCCACCGCCCAGCTAGTTAGGAACAAGTCAGGCCTTTCATCTTCCATGTCTCATTCTGAACTTGGAAGTTCAATCCGGTTTCTGATTATTCTGTTTATTTATAACTTGTTTTTAAAACATGTGCACGGTGGACTTTTCCGGCCCCCTTGCTGTATTCTTGCTATATGAGATATCCATTCATTTCCAGAGATTTAAAAAAACTTGTTTTCAGCATTGCTTTAATGGGAAATCCAGTGAAGAGAGTCTAGACATGCCCTGCGGTGGGTGTCAGCTTACTGGGTGTGATGTGGCACTGTGGGGAGAAGGGACATCTTTGGGTTGCATGAACTGTGAGTATGCGGGGTCTGCTCAGTGACCTCACCTATGCATGTGAGTGTGGACCCCACTCTATGTCACTCTAGTCAGCTCTGGCCTCATCTGGCTTTCAGTTCCCTGTCTATAGAGTAAAAGTGCCAGGCTGAATGCTCTCTGAAGTCTATTTCATCAACAGCGTTTGATGACTCTGATCCATTCTGACAAAAAGGAATTTCCTCAAAATTAGAGCTTTTCAAGCCAAATGGTATTTAGAAGAAACAGCAGGTAGAGAGAGAAAGAAGAGGCCTGAAAACCCTTTATAAGGAGAAAAGTTTGCATGGAAACCTTCATCATTTTGTGGATGGCAGGTCATGGTGGGAGGCACAATTTATACTCCAGTAAAAATAAAAATATTGATTAAGATTATTAGCCGAAGTTAAAAAAGAATGACCTGGGACTCTAGCATCCATGTAGAAAGCTGGGGGCTGCATTCCCTCCTTCAGGTGTCTCATCCGACTAGTCTAAGCCCTGCTAGAAGTGGTGCTGTAGCTGGCTCATCCCTGATGGTGAAGGAGAGTGATCACCGACCCTCCCTTGGAAATGCTCCCATCATGTTAAGGTTATCCATTTTCTAGATGGTGATTCTTGAAGAATGCATCACCTACATCAGAAATCCTGAAAAGCTTGTTATATAAAAAGTAAGCATAGGAGCCAACTTTTTTTTTTCTTTGAAGTTGATCTTTATGCCCAACTGAAGTTGGAAAATCACAGTTCTAGAAAGCAGAGGGCCAGGCTGCCTAATGTTCTTCCCTCCAACAACAGTGCTCTTCATTTTCCACTCTATGTGGCTGACTCACAGCCCTCTATGGCGAGGGTGGAGTGCCTAGCATGGAGGTTCCTCCTGTGGGACCTGCCCAGGAGCAAGGCCACAGCCGTGAGCTAAAAGTTAAGGTTGTTGCAGGCAAGCCCAGCTCTGCCCAGAGACCCCATCCTTCCAGCACGAAATGGAACCAGGCTTATTGGAGTCTGGTGTGCCTTCTTGGTCTGAGCCATTTTCACCCAGAGCCTTAGCTGTGAAGCTTCAGCAGGCTTTGACTGTGGAGGTTCAATAACATGTGGGAGTCTAAGAAAAACTATGCCCGGCTCTCTGCATTCAGGCTTACTCGACTTTGCCCACATCCATCCAGTCACACATATGCAAAAGGCCCCTAGTCATTGCAGTTCCTTGGAACTGTGACAACCTCAGAGTTACTCAAGCCCAGCGTTAATCTTAGGAGAGAAGAAAATTAAAAGAGTCTGCGGAGTGGAAATCCATTAGTATAATTTCCAGACTCAGTTTGGGAGAATGACTACTAGAAGCAGCAGAGTGTAGCAATGTGATGGGACCTGAACCCAGTCTGCCTCAAAATCCTGTCGTGAAATCTTGGCTCTATTTCCTGTCCATGGATCCAAGGGTAAGATGCTTAACTTTTCTATGCCTTTGTTTCCTTATTATAGGTAGAGAATAATAGTACTTCCCCCCCTTCCCAGGGTTGTTCTGAGGATTAAAAGAGTTAATAAATGTACAGTCCTTAGATCTATGCTCAGCAGACAGCAAGAACTCATTAATTGTCAGCCATGGCTACCTCTGGATAATCTATGAGCAGGCCCTGACCTTAGAAGGGGCCCACACTTGGTTTAATGCCCTGCTTTTGCCATCTTAAAATTCTTAGTATTAATAATTTGTAAACAAAAAATCCCACATTTCCATTTCGCACTGGACCCCACAAATTATATAGCCGGTTCTGCCTACAAGGTTGTTGTAGGTAAAAATCTCAAGTCTATATAGTATTGAAACTAAAATGACCAACCTGAGCATTATCTTATGGAGAAAGACTAGATTTTTCTCTAAGCAAACTGTGGGCTAAGGTAAATATTCTATGCACATTTGCAGGGCACCAGTGATTACTTGTTTATAGTGATATAATTTAGTGATAATAATATTGTATATTTTCATTTGTGCTTCAAAAGTTTAGCATTACCTGGACATCTGTACTTGTCAACATTGAAATGAACAGTAGTCAGTCTTAAACTTAAAAAAATTCTATTATGATTCTAAATTTCCTGTATTAGTTTCTAGATTTTTAAAATATAGATTTGTCATTTTTTTCTCCTAAAGATGGAGACAATATAACATTAGTTTTCTGCATTCCCTAAAGTTCCCACCATAGTCCTTGGCAACTAGTCATTACTTAGTAAATCATTTTGAAGATGACCAATAAGACGATCATCTGTCATTGATCTAATGAGTGATGGTGGATATATCTGGGTAATAATGAAATTAATATACAATTAGCCCCTTCCCGAAGTACACATTTTGATTGTTTTCAGTTCATGGGCTTTAATTAAAATTTAAAAACTAGGTTATGTGGGAGACTTTACTGCTTATTTTGTGGGAATTCCTAGCAATCATTCCATGATGAGCAAAGGATATTTTCTCAAAAATATCCCACTATAGGCCTTTATTAAATTCCAGAATATTAGAACTACATAGGACCTTAGAAATCATTTTCTCAGTGCCTGATTTTGCAGATGAGGAGACTGATACCCACAAAGGTTGTGATTTCTGAAAATCTCGAAGTTCACTGGTGCTTGGCAAGGGGTTCACCAACTTCCTAGGTTGTTAAACAGGGGATGATCCATGTGGAGGGGCAGTCTGGGGCATAGATGAGTCACTCTAACCTGGGCAACCCATCAAAAATGAGCTGGCCACCACTGGCTGGCATTAACCCCCTTGTAGGATTGCAAAAAGAAAACCTCAGTCACAACTCAGTATCCCTCTAGCACCGGGTTCTTCCTGGGTCAGTAGCTTGAGATTTCTTAAGCTAATATTTTCTCCCTCCCTGCTCCCTCCCTCTTCCTTTATATTCCACTTTCTCTGGAAAAACTGCACTGCAAGTATGCCTTTAAATCTTTCTGTATCCAGGTTTAGACAAGCAGCTTTTGCACATAAAGTTTGAGTATTGGCAGTCTTTGTTTCTAGTGCTGTGGAAAGTGAGTCCTGTCTAGCTGTGAGGAGGGGACCCTGGGGGTATTCCTGAAAGCATTTGGTGCATCCAAGAGCAAGGTGGGGTAGATGTGAAGCATATTAATTGACGCTTCAGAGCCTTAACTATAAGTCAGGGGTCTTGCTTCTCCAGATGCCCTGTAACTCCTTTTGGAATTGGTTCCATTTATCTTTTTGCTTGCTCTCTTACTTGGAGAGACATCCCTCCCTCTCTCCCACTCTTTCTTCTCTGGCCTAGCACTGCCAGGGAGGGGGCAGAAGCCTGCTGGGAGCAATGCCCTTGTGCCTTGTCAGCTATCCCTGTGTGAGAAGCAGCAGCCTTTAGGCAGCCCGTTGGTCCCACTGCCAGGATTGCAGGAGGCGGGCATCAATGCATGTATTAGTTCATTTTCATACTGCTGATAAAAACATACCCAACACTGGGTAATTTATACAGGAAAAAGGGGTTTAATGGACTTGTAGTTCCGTGTGGCTGGGGAGGCCTCACAATCATGGCAGAAGGCAAGAAAGAGAAAGTCATGTCTTATATGGATGGCAGCAGACAAAGAGAGAGCTTGCGCAGGGAAACTCCCCCTTATAGGACCATCAGATCTCATGAGACTTATTCACTATCACGAGAACAGCATGGGACAAGACCTGCCCCCATGATTCAATTACCTCCAACCAGGTCCCTCCCACAACATGTGGGAATTCAAGACAAGATTTGGGTGGGGACATAGCCAAACCATATCAATGCATGAGCCTGAGGGTTCCTTGTCCTTAGCAGTGCAGGCGATGTGATTTTTTTCAGAGAGCCTTTTGCTTTAGGTGCTACCTCTCAGGTGAGGGGGTTGAGAACTGGGGGCACCAGGACTCCTGTTTACCAGATGGAGCTAAGCTAACAAGGGAGGATGAGGGAGAGGAAATTGCTACATGGATTCTGGCTGTTCACTTGAAGATGTGAGGCAAACGTGTCCTTCAACTGGGCTGGGAAACAGGGCCAGCTCTGAGTGACATGGAGCACCCTTAGAGGGTAAATGAGGGAAAAGGGCCCTATTGTGTCACTGTCTTGGTCATACTTTGGGTGGAAGCACATCACCTTTGTGGATATGGGGACCTAGGGTCTTTCTCCCTGTAACATAGGAGGCCCTTAATGTTCATTGCCCTTGTCTTTATGGGATTTTCAGAGCTTTGAGCAATCTGGACAGGGGGGACAGTAGGAGACTGGGACTTTCTATGGATAGCATCGCTAGAGACCTTATCCTAAACTGAAAACCTCAGAAATATTTGCCCTGTTCTCTTACTGGCTGTGTAAACTTTGGAAAGTTACTTAGTCCCTTTTGTGCCTCAGTTTCCTCATCTGATTGTGGAGATCAAATCTGCACCTGCTTTATAGGATTCTTAAGCCATCCTAATGAGATAATATATGTAAAAAGTTTAGAACAGTGCTTGGTTCAACGCAAGATCTTATTGAAAGTTTGCTATCATTTTTATCATTATTGGTTTGATGTGGTGTGGTGTGTGTGTGTGTGTGTGTGTGTGTGGCTGTGATAGCCAACACCAAGGATGTCATGGTCACTGCACGAAGAATAAAAACTTGAATGTTTTGGCTGGAGAAAATGGAAATGGCAAAGTGACCTCCTTGGGATCCTCCATTCTGTTGGGAAGAGGAGGTAGTGGTTACCATATATAAGGAAGTATTCTAAAAACTACAAACTCACATTGCAGTACAATCCTAATCCCACATCATTATTAGACTGCTGGCTCAAAGTTCCTCTGGCTCAAGGTTTTCAAGCATCAAGTCTGTATTGAGCTCTCACAGGATACAGAGCTGGGGGCCTGGCACACTCATTCATCAATTCATTCATTCACTTAAACACTTTTTGAGCATCTATCGTGTGCCAGGCACTAGGAAAGGGCACTGACGGAGACAACAATATTTGCTCTCACAGAACTTAGGCTCTAGTTGGTAGGTAGATAATAAACATATAAACAAGTCATGCTATCATATACTATCATGTGATCAGCATATTAAAGAAGGTAGGATGAAGGGATAAGTATTACTGATAATGGGATGGTCTATGAAAGCTTTTCCAGGGGAGGTGATACCGAACATCCTTGAATGAGTGGAGTGAGAGTGCCAGAGGCAGAGGAAGTAGGAAGTAGCAAGGCTTTGATTTATAGCTGAGTGAAGCAGGCAAAGGAGATGAATATTAGAGACACGGGCAGGGCCTGGGAAATAGGCAGGGTAAGGAGTTTAGATTTTATTCTGAGCATTATTGGAAGACATTGGAGTATTTGGGCTGGACAGAATGACACAATATGATGTATGCTTCAGAGTGATCACTCTGACTGCTGTAAAGATAGTAGATTATAGAAGGTCCAAGGGTAGAGGCAGAAGCAGAAACCAGTTAGGATGTCATTACACTAATCTAGGAAACAACCCCAGGAAACTTGGCCTAGGATGATAAGAGCAAAGACATGAGAAGTGAGGTTAGAGCTAAAAGAACTTACTTCTGTAACATGTTGGAGAAAGAGAAGAAGCCAGGATGACTATTAGGTTCTTGATCTGAGCAACCAGAGGAGTGGGGTTGTGCTTAACTGAAATGGGGAAGATTGGGAGAGGAACAAACTTGGCAGGGAAGTCTAGAGTCCTACTCTGAACTGCTTTGGTTGATCTGGACATACCAATTAGACATCTGAGTGGCGGTGTCTAAGTAGGCAGCTGGGTAAGAGTCTGAAGTTCAAAGAGAAGTCAGGGGACACAGATAAATATTTGGGACTTATCCTATATAGCATTAGGTGGGACCATTGAACTTGTCTTTTTTTTTTTACAGGTGAAAAAGATTGATCATCAGATGTTTCTTATGTATCAACCTGATATTTAAATCCATGAAGGACAGAGACGACAAAGGCAGGTGGAATAGATAGAGAAGAGATTCAAGGTCTGAGCTCTACATTACTCAAACTGTTAGAGATTAGGAAGAAGAGGAAGACCTGGCAAAAGAATGTCCTGGGATGTAGAAAGAAAACCAGAAGCTTGTGTTCTCTGGAAACCAAATGAAGAAAGGGCTTCCAGAAGGACAGACAAAGTGTAGTGTGTCAAAGGCTCCTGAGCAATCAGAGGAGAGCACAAAGGGGCTCACAGGACTTTGGTATCTGGATCACCCAGTGACACTTCCTGATCACGAGAAACTGTCAGACCAACAGGGGCACTTTCTGAAACCAGCAGTTCTTCAGTGCCCAAATGCAACCTTGATGGTTTGATTTTGGAGGATGGCAATTCATTAACAGCACTCCCCAGTGATAAATATGAAAACCAATAAAACCCCCCACCCAAGGCAATCTCTCCCAGCTCCTCGCTTTGAGTAAAGTGAGTAACCTCCATTTCTGCCAACTCCTGTCTTGTCTGAAGCCACATTTCCCCAGCAATGTCACATATGCATTTCTTGATCCTGGTCATTTCTCCTCTTGGGAGATGAATCATAAAGAAAATGAGATCTGTGTGCCCTGGTGACTATGGATGCAAGAGTCTGCTGCCCTGGAGGGAACAGCTGGAAAAGTAGATGGTGAAGACGTGTGGGGGGGAAACAGTGGAGAAGGCATCTTTGCAGGGGATCAAGGTGACAGAGTGATTAGTTACACTGTTTTGACATGTGAGAACAGGGGGTTATAAAAATGGATACAGGAAGAGGGAGAGAAAGTAAGGACCAAAACATGAAGCCAGTCATGAATGTTTTTACATAAAAAGCAGCAGATTTACGGCAAATATGTGATGTTTCCACATTTTCTGCCTCTAGTTAGCAGGGGCAGCACAAAGAGCATTACTGTGGAGCTGAACTTTGGGTAAAAGATTAACAGCCAGTCCTTTCTCTCCAGTGTCTGCTTCCTTCTGGGCTTGCCCTGGGGGAAAAGGAGGGCTGGCATGGATATGCCTGCAGCCCTCACCCTAGATGTTCTTCCACGCCTCTCTGTTCATTCATTGCTTAGTCATTCCTCAGGCATGGATTGAGACCACTGTGTGCCCAGGACCGACCTGGCCTAGGATGGACATAGAGATGGAAAAGGCACAGGGAGCAGGTGACAGAGACAAATCAAGGTCATGGAGAATAGCAGAGTAAGATAGAAGATGAAGGCAGGAGATGGGGTTCTTGAGAAAGCGAGAGCAGGACTGACCCGTGTCTGCCTCACCTGTTATTGCTGTAGCCTCTTCTCCTTGGAGTATCCCTCCTGCTCTTGCATCACCTTAGGAACTTGGATCAGAGAGGAAAGTTACGGCCTGGATATGTTGTAGTAGGAGGGGACAAACATGTTTGGAGACAGAAATGCTTGGGGAGCGGGTGTTTTTGGGGGATGAGACTTTCCAGGTCTCTCAATTCACACTATGTAGGTAGTTCACTGCACAGCTTAAATAAGAGACAACTCTCCGGAGTGGTTGGCTCTCATCCAAAAAATGTGTTTTGGGCCTCAGATTTCCAACGGAAGGGCTGAAGCGTGACTGGCCTGATGTCAACTACTGAAGTCCACCTGCCCCTGCCCTATCAGGTGTGGAAATGCTGGGGTTCCTCTCTCAGAACCTACTTCCTGAGATGTCGAAATATACCCAAGAGTATTTCTGGGCCTTCTCCAATCCGAAACTGTTTAGTTTTTGTGTGTGTGTGCCTACTTGGCCACACTAGAAGACAGAGGTGGCCTGGGTGAAATGCAGGTTTCTAGAGGCTCTCTGACAAAGCTCAGGCCACCAGCCCCAGGCCAGCCTGTGGGTAGTCCTGGCTGACAGTCACTTCATACCTCACCTGGGCTTTTTGCCAAATTCAAAGTGTGTGTATATGTGGAGTGCTGGGTTCCCACCACTGACAGTCTGTAAGTCATTCACTTAGCTCAATTTGTCTTACTTTCTTCTGAAATTTCTTCCTTCTTGTTCTTTTTCCCAGGAGAAACCAGGAGAAGGCAGTCCTAGGGCAGTCTCCGGGCCAGCTTTCCCTAATAAGAAGGCAGAGCTCCTCTTCACCCAGACTTCAGACCTATAGAGGCAGCCTGGGGTCCCGGGATGCCCTTGCACTCAGAGATGTCCCCAGAGTCCTAGGGAAATGGAGGATAACTAGGAGGAAGCTGTTCATGGCTGGCGATGAGGTCTATACCTTCTTGTCCGTCTCAGTGCTGTCTGCTATTGAATTTTTGTGCAGATCACATTAACTTAAAGCCAGTTCTCAAGAAGCTCCCCCTGCCGCCGGCATATCCACCAGTTGCTCCCCTTTCCTGCCATTAATCAGGGTCTGCTAGTTAGAGAACAAATTCCTATTTGTCCAAACAGTTGCCAACACCCCCACCCCAAGGTAGTTAAATGAGGATGAATGGGTCATTCTTATTAAAAAATGACTTAAATTTCTCAAATTCTATTTATGTTTCTTTTACATCCCAATTTTCTATAGATTTAGTGACTCCAAATGATAAGGTCTCAAGCTCATAATAATTTATCCCTTGGGTAACACACAAGGCTTGGTGGTATTTCAGTAATATTCATGACAACAGCAGCTGTCGTGCTAATAAGGACTGATGTCACCAGAGCACTTTCTATGTGCCAAGCATGGTGCACAACACTTTACATACATTATGTCATTTAATTTTCACAAAACCTCACAGAGGTAAATATTATTATCTTCCTCTGCATATAAGGAAATGAATGTTCGGAAAGATTAAGTCAACTCACTGAGGTCCCATCAGTGCTCTTTCATATGCCTCTGTTGCAGTCTCATTGAACTGCTGAAATCAGAAAAACCTGGAGACCTTGTTAACCTTCAGATTCCTGGGCCCCATCTTAGATGCAGGGAGTCAGACTTCCTGGGAGTGTGGCCCTGGAATTTTCATTTGTAAACACATTCCCCAAGAGACCTGTATGCACACTAAAGTGGGAGAATTCACGATCTCTGGCTTTTGTGATGTTTTAAACGCACTATATAATTTCAGTAGCAAAAGAATTGGGCTTTGGGAAGGGAGTGTGTGGTGAACCCTGAAAGCTGAATGGACTTCCTTCCTGTGGAGGAGCAGTGGGAGAAACTGGAGGCAGAGAGCTGTGTTTCATTCCTTGATTGAGCCTTTGTGAGTTATTTAATCTCTTTCAGTCTCTATTTTTTTCATTTGTAAACCAGGAAGGATACTTGTATTTTCCAGGTGGTTGTGAGGTGTGAAAGAGATGAGAGTAGAACAAAATTTTAAAAGTTGAAAGCACTCAACAAATGTATTTGGTATTAATCATGGGTTTCCCTGGGGCCGAGGAAGCCACCAGCCACCGCAGGCCTGTACACAATGCCAGCCACCATGTATGGATACGGAGGAGGCAAAAGGACTAGCGAACACTCCCAGGGACTGGATGTCTTGAATATCTGTCCAACTTTCTTGGGAGGGGCCATTTCTTCTGTAACTCAAAGGAATTTATTATTTTTCAGCCAGGGAGGCATGCTTTCTATCTACTGCTAGTACTCCCAGACCAAGCTGTTTCAGTGGGACTGAGGTGTGACTTCTGCCTCGGTTTCATCCATCTGTGCAGGGAAGAGAAAAATGCCTGCACCTCCACGGTCACACCCTCTGTTGGAACCACCTCCTTAAGCCAGAATTATTGAATGTTCTCTATGTGCCAGAATTATTATTATCTCATTTGATTCTCACAACAATGCCATGAAGTCTATACAGACATACCTTGGAAATACAGCGGGTTTGGTTCCAGACCACCGCAATAAAGCTAATACCGCAATAAAATGGGTCACACGAATTTTTTGGATTAGGCTTCGGCTTAAGGGAATGTTGTGGCTGGTTTGATGTTTTATCCAGACCGCTAACACTTTCTCCCTATCAGCAATGAGGCTGTTTTGCTTTCTTATCATTCCTGTGTTCACTGGAGTAGCACTTTTAATTTCCTTCAAGAACTTTTCCTTTGCATTCATAACTTGGCTAACTGTTTGGCACAAGAGGCCTGCCTAGCTTTTGGCCTATCTAAGCTTTTGACTTGCCTTCCTCACTGAGCTTAATCATCTCTAGCCTTGGATTTAACGTGGAAAATGTGTGACCCTTCCTTTCACTTGAACACTTGGAAGCTATTGTAGGGTTATTAACTGGCCTAATTCAATATTATTGTGTCTCAGGGAACAGGGAGGCCCAGAGAGAGAGAGACGGGAAAACAGAAAGTCAGTGGGGCAGGCAGAACACACACGTTTATTTATTAAGTTTGCTGTCATATGTTGGTGCAGTTCATGCTGCCCCAAAACAATTACAATAACAAGATCAAAGATTCCTGGTCATAGATTGCCATAACAGATACAGTAATCACGAAAAAGTTTGAGATATTGTGAGAATTACGCAGATATTGTGAGAAATATGACCCAGAGACAAGAAGCGAGCACATGCCGTTAGAAAAATGGCACCAACAGACTTGCTTGCTGCAGGGTTACACATACCTTCAATTTGTAAAAAAAAAAAACTGTAATATCTGCAAAACGCAATAAAGAAAAGTGTAATAAAATGCAGTCTGCCTGAACTTCAATTATTCCCATTTTATAGAAGAGGAAATAGATGCAGGGAGTTTGATCTGCCTGAACTAGTAAATGGTAGAACTCTGGGACTAACATTCCTATCCTCTATGCTACATTCCTAGGAAAGAACGCTCAGACAGGGTTGGACTGAGAGTGTGTTAAGCTTTGCACTGTTTTGAGCCCTCTGAAGGAGTGTCCGTATTTGAAAGCTGGCCTCCTTCCTTTCACTGGCCCTCCACAGTGTGGCCTAAGTTATTCAATTAGGAAGGGAAATAATTGGCAGTGGAGAATGCCTCTAGCAGTGGTAATTACCTCCAGTGCCTTGTAGGAATAGTCAAGCTACATTTCAGTTTATGCTGTAAAACCTTAATTATAATATAAACAGCTGCCCTTCAGCCCAGTGGGGCAGCCTTCCCCCGCCTTCCTTCTCTGGCCTCTGAATGGCCCTGCCTCCTGAATGGTCAGGGAGGTCCAGGGACGGAAGGAGACCTGGGAGGAGGGGAGCCGATGACTATGCGTGCGTTGGGGTTTGGAAGACTAAGCTGGAGGGAGCCACTGCCAGGGTCCCATCTTCAAGTGATGAAGCCAAAGGCAGCATCCCCATTCTTGGTACCACTCACACTGAGTCTCTTGGGGGAGCAGCCTCCAGCCATTAGCAGTCAGCCCAGTGCCATTAGGCTAGGATAGGGTTTAGCAGGCTATGGTATCATTTCAGGGTAACATCTCTTTCTATTTACTCCCCTATAAGGGAGAACAGAGTCTTCCCTTCTAGATCCAGACTTCCTGGCCATGTAGGAGCCCTGTTGAGTGCCTGGTGCACTCTAGGTAGTATGCGAGGCATGGTTGCAAGGGTTCCCCATTTCAACTTCACAGCACTTGGATACACAGAAAATTAACATCCTCATTTGACTATTGAGGAAAATGAGACTTTGAAAGTTTAAACGGAGATAAGGCTTGGGAGGCAGACAGCCCTGTAAGTGACTTAAGTTCAGGAAGGAGAAGGACACTCAATATTTTTGTTCAGAGCACTGGGAAGGAGAGAGAGGGATCAGTCACCATCGGGCATTTGAGAAGGTCCAGGAACAGGGGGCTGGTGAGCAGAGGGGGGAATAACACCAGAGGGGCTGAAATTGCTGATTGCTGGGTTCACAGATCTACCCACGAGCGGCCCAGGTACCCCATGAGCGGCTGCTCTGTGTCATCTGACCACTGGATTGTAACCTGGGCTGAAAGAATCAGAAGTCAGTGTGGCGAGGCAGGAGTCCTCAGATGGTCAGAGCTGACTCTTCAACTCTTAAGGGCAAAATGGAAAATGTGAGCTTGTTGGTGGTCTTCGAAACACAGTAAGCAATCCATGCCCCTGAAGAGCAGGGATAATTATAGGCATGCCCTTGTTTTATTGTGCTTTGCAGATATTGCATGTTTTTACAAATTGAAGATTTATGGCAACTCTGCATACAGCAAATCTATTGATGCCATCTTTTTCCAATATCACATGCTCACTCTGTGTCTCTGTCTCACATTTTGGTAGTTCTCCCAATATTTCACACCTTATTATTATTATTATATCTGTTATGATGATCTGTGGTCAGGGATCTTTGAGGTTACTATTGTAGTTGTTTTGAGGTGCCATGAACTGCACCCATGTAAGACAGCGAACATAATCAATAAATGTTGTGTGTTCTGACTGCTCCACCAACCGACTGTTTCCCTGTCTCTTTCTCTCTCCTCTGGCTCCCTATTCCCTGAGGCACAATCATATTGAAATTAGGCCAAATAATAACCCTACAATGGCTTCTAAAGGTTCAAGTAAAAGGAAGAGTCACATCTCTTACTCTAAATCAAAAGCTAGAAATGATTAAGCTTAGTGAGGAAGGCATGTGGAAAGCTGAGATGGGCTAAAAGCTAGGCCTCTTGCACCAGTTACAGAAGTTGTGAATGCAAAGGAAAAGTTCTTGAAGGAAATTAAAAGTGCTACTCCAGTGAACACAGGAATGATAAGAAAGCAAAACAGCCTTTTGCTAATAGCGAGAAAGTTAGAGTGGTCTGAATAAAAGATCAAACCAGCCACAACATTCCCTTAGAGTCAAAGCCTAATCCAGAAAATTGGTGGGACTCACTTTATTATGACATTTGCTTTATTGCAGTGATCTGGAACCAAACCCACTATGTTTCTGAGGTAGATCTATATTGAACTCCTATTTTTAAATTTGTTTTCGATTTCAGTTTATAAGTTCTACATGTTTCATAATGGTCATATGCACAATAGGACATCTTTCTAATCCATACACAAATATATGTTCAGGAATGTTTTACAACTTGGGGTGCATAACTAAAATGTTTGGAGTTCACTGGGATAGAAGCTAATGATTACATTAATTACTAGTTTGTTTTGTTTATTAACTATGCTCAACAGGTAGTGGCTTGTATTAGTCCATTCTCACACTGCATCGAAGAAACTGGGAAAGAGGTTTAATTGACTCACAGTTCCACATGGCTGGGAAGGCCTCAGGAAGCTTACAATCATGGTGGAAGGGGAAGTAAACGCATCCTTCTTCACAAGGTGGCAGGAGAAAGAAGTGCCAAGCAAAGGGAAAAAAGCCCCGTATAAAAACATCAGGTCTTATGAGAACTCACTCACTATCACGAGAACAGCATGGGGGTCACTGCCCCCATGATTCAATCATCCCCCAATGGCTCCCTCCCATGACACGTGGAGATTATGGAAACTACAATTCAAGATGAGATTTGGGTGGAGACACAGCCAAACCATATCATGGCTCAATGTTAATAACTTGGAGTGATAAGAATTATTACTCATGGAGAATCTATGAGTTTGCTGTCTCATTCAATCTTGCAGAAACAAGGTAAAGTTGTGTCCACAGCATGGACTCTGAAGCTGGACCCCCTGGATCCAAATCCTTGCTCTGTCATCTGTTAGCCTTGTGACTTGGAATAAGTTACTCAGCCTTGCTGTGCCTTCATGTCTTCATCTGGAGAATGAAGCTCACAAATTCTAGGCTACATTGTAAGGTACATATGAGGATTACATGAGTTAATGCATGTAAAGCCCTTATAATAGTGCTTAGCCCTGAATAACCATTCAGTGAATGGTTAGTGACATGGATTTTACTGATAAGAAGATGGAGCTTCAGGGAGGTGAGTGGAAGAACTGGCATTCTGGCTAATTCCAAAGCCTATGTGTTGGGATCCACAATGTAAACCATTCTAAGTCCTTACCAACAACCTGATGGATCCAAGAAAGCATATCTGCTTCTCCTTTAATCACCTATGATTCTAACTCTCCTTGCTATGCCCACCATATCCATTTCCCCAGCCAGAACAGAGAAAAGGACATCCACATAGCTCCTTCTCAGTTGGATGATGCCCAGCAAGTTGGCCCTTGCTGCCCTCATCCCAAGAGGTTTACTGCTCCCGTTGGTCATTTAGGCTTCGCCCAAGCCCCTCAGGTTGTCCTGCTCCAAGAAAGAATTCTAGAGCCTCCTGGAGTTGTAGACACGGAAGGCAGGAGTATTGCAGAGCAGAAGGTGCTGCAAAGGACTCAGGTAGCAAAGGATACATGCCAGCTGGACACACTGGAATTGGAACTCACATCACTGCCTCTGCTGTCTGGTTTTCCTTGACAGTCCTTGAGTACAGCATCCACATGTTCTAATTCTGTATAAAACTGAGGAGCAAGATATCTTTGTTCTAAAGACTTTAAACTCTGTGTGAGTTTTAGCAATTTAATAGGCATCTCAGGTCTCTCTAGTCCCAGCTTCCTGCTCTGAGAGCAGTGGTTGGGTGAGGTTTAGGCTCATACAATCTATGTAAAACTTCAAATTCAGGGACTTCAAGGTGAGAAGTGCTAATCGCTATGAGAAGAGTAGGAAACCACAGTGATCTGGGCATCCTATGCTATGGACTCCCAGAGACGAGCTTGCTGTTGGCAGCCCCCCTCTGCTCCTCTCGTAGAGATTAGGTCCCTGCTCCCCCACTTCCAAGGCCATCTATCGCTCTATCTTCCATGAGCACCACAGAACAGATTCTCCACCCTCCTTCTCCTGAAGAACACAGCCTTTGGGAGTTTTCTAAAGGTTTTTAGTGTTAGTAGCAGTGAGAAACTAACAGTAAATAAAATTTCCAGACAAAAACGGAAATTTGCAGTGTTTCAAGACACTTTAAACGATGCATTTGAAACGAGTGGCTTGCATTAGGATGCAAATTAACATCCTTGAGTGGCTTTTTATATTTTTTATTTCATGTTAACCTGACTACAACTTTCTCATCTTCATGTGTTTCCTAGGAGTTCTTTAATGAAAAGCTGAAGGATGAAGCCCGGGGTTGTTCAACATGGAACAGGCTGGGCTGGCTCCATCTCGTCAGTTATCTCTTGGTGGGCAGCAAGACAAGGGAGAGATGATTAAAATAATTGCACTTTAAGACATCTTCAGCTGAGATCATGCCATTGCACTCCAGCCTGGGTGACAGCGGGAGACAGAGCCTCGCTCTTTTGCCCAGGCTAGAGTGCAGTGGCGTGATCTCAGCTCACTGCAACTTCTGCCTCCCGGGTTCAAGTGATTCTCCTGCCTCAGCCTCCCAAGTAGCTGGGACTACAGTTGCGTGCCACCACACCCAGCTAATTTTTGCATTTTTAGTAGAGACGGGGTTTCACCATGTTGGCCAGGAAGGTCTTGATCTCTTGACCTCGTGATCCGCCCTTCTCAGCCTCCCAAAGTGCTGGGATTACAGGTTTGAGCCACCGTGCCCGGCCGACATCTTTAGCCATAAAAAATTGCTTACAGAATTGTAAAGCCTCTCTTCATGTCAGTTTTCTTAACCTCCTCAACTCAACTGTCCGATGATGGGTTTACAAGCCCTTCGGGACTGCTGTGTTAAGTAAGAGGAATTTAGCTCCCCACATTCAGTGGGAGTTAAATATCCAGGGCCAGGTATAGGAAGAGGAGCTGCCTACCAGGTCTTTCATAGAAGCCAGTCCCTAAAGTAGAAAGAACAGTTCCCTCAAGGCTTGCTCTGTGGATTGCCTTACACGAATTGGTTCATATTTATAAGCCAATTTATCTGGGAATAAATATCTCTTTAACACACACAACTAACTCCTCAAGGGTGTCCAATGGGAACCAGTCTTCCTAAATGAACTGTCTTTAAAAGGGCTTTAACAACGGCATTGTCAATCCCTGAATTTCCACATGAAGAAAAAAAATTCATAGGCTACTCGGGCACATAGAATACACAGAATTTAAGAAACTGCTAAATTAAATCAAGACACCTAAAAACAATTTTTTTCATACACTGTGTTAAGGAGATGGCTATGGAAAGAAACAGATTTTTGTTATACAACCCTGAAGTTCAGTAATAGTGCATCTGACCTGAGATTAACTCAGACAGTAGTTGGCTTTCCCTCTGCCACAGTTCCTTCCCATACTACCAAAAAGAGGACATGGAATCTTGAACGTATGAAGCCTGTCTTTCTTCCTTCCTTCTTTCCTTCCTTTCTCCCTTTCTTTTTGTCTTTCCTTTTCCCTCCCTCCTTTTCCTTCACTTCTCCCTCTCTCCCTCTTTTCTTTCCTTTTTTCTTAATTTCTTGAGAGTAAAGAAGGGCATCCCACAAAAGTTAAAGTGAAGCTTTAGAAGACTGTTTTTTGTTTGTTTTGTTTCTAAGAAATTGTGTACTACTTCATCTCAAAAATAGAGGTGTTTTATTACATATCTTTATTGAGATGTAATTAACACACAATAAAACTATCTAATTTACAAAGTTGTTTGGAGTCAAGAATTAAATAAGATTAAGTAATAGAACATATTTGAAGGTGTCTCACACAATGCTCAGTGGTTGAATTTCGATATGACATAACTGTTTATACCACCCTTGTGTTAAAAACCCTCAATGGCTCCTCATTTCCTACAGAGCAGTCTAAAGTCTAAAACACAAAAACTTAAGGTTCTTAATAATTCAACCCCATCTTTCTGGTCTTGAGCACTGCCATACTCTCTTACACACCCGACTTGGCAGAAAAACTGGATGACAGGGAACTTTCCTGTCTCCAGAATTTTTTATGCTGCCCCTTTTCTGCCCATTGAGGCTCTTCCTTTCCTTTAAGGTCAGAAGCCAACTCCTTCATGAGTCCTCCTGGAAGATGACTCCTGATCACTCCAGATGGTTATTAATGCCCTTTTCCTATGGCCTATCCCATTATACTGCATGGTTTCTAAGATCTTTGCCACATTCTGTTTTGTGCTATTTATCGTGAGCAGCTCCTTTCTTTCATGTAATTTTGATGAACATTCATTGAGCCTCTACAATACCTGGGCAGTGAAGTAGGCATGGGGATGGGCTGGGCAGAGGTGCAGAGATAAATGACATACTGTGTGCTCTGGAAAAGCCCATGTCCTGGTGAGAAGCACGGAGGTTGCGAGCCCCGCCACGTTCAATTCTGTATCTTTAGCAGTGTCTAAAATGTCCCATGCAGAGCAGATACAGATGTTGAATAAAATCAGTATTAAAGGTGAAAAATCTCAGAGTGTTAAATGTAATTGCCTCATTCTAGCAAAAGAGCAAATTAAGGCTCAGGAAGTTTAAATAACATGCTCAAGATTGCCAGTGGCTCTGGAGTTGTAAGTAGAGTGCTATAAATAACCACAAACCAAGCTGAGAAGAGTCCAGCTGGGAAGATCAGGCATGGGGACTATTTTGTTTTGTTTTAAGTTTCTTTAAATCCAGAGTTGTCCTTGGTCATAGGAATCCCATTCTTGCCCATGGAAGTAAACCCCATTTCCTATGAGATGCCACTCTCTGGCCTCAGTGGAAGCTGGGTTTGAATTCTAGACCAGCCACTTACCAGCTTTTTGCTGGGATGAGAGATGATATCTCTGAGCTTTATTTTTCTTATCTGTAAAATGAGGATGGTAACATTTATATCATAGAACTATTAAAAAGATTACATCAATAATGAATTAAATAAATACACAAAAATAAATGAGTTCAGGCCCTGACTCCTGGAAAGTGTTGGTAGCAGTGGTGATACTGGTGTTGGTGGTTGGAGTAGATATTATAATTCAAACTCACCTGTCAGAATTAACAGCTAATGGTGTTTGTTTCTTTACGCAGTCATTTGTAAACTTAGTCCCCTAGTTATTTGGGAAGTATCTGCAACTTTACTTTGTAGGGTTCCCACTTCCACATTTATCAACTAACCCCTTGTATCACTTTGATATGTCAGAAAGAAGTTCATTCCTCATGGTTTTCTGTATCTTCTTCCAATTCGGCCAAGCTCTATGTCTTAACCCAGGGACCATTGCCAGGCCAGGTATGCAGCAATGAATAAGACTGATGCTCTTATAAGAGCAATAATTTTGACACTTCTCTCCCCACCCTACCTAAGGTGTATTTTTCTACCTGTTCCTGATGTTCCCAGGAACTAGTCTTCTTCCTTAGATTATTGACCACATCTTCCCACTGATTTGTTGAGTCAACTGCCAGCATTACTTTGCTGGTTCAGACCCTCCTCCTCCTCAGGCTTGCTTCATACCCACTCCAAGCCTCAGTTTACTACTGCCCTAGGCAGCAACTTGCCTGATTCCACATTATTGCAATCCTCCAGTAGCCAGGCCCTCCAAGGCTTCTCAACGGCAATGATAAGAAATCAAAGGGTAAGGGTAGAGGATGGAAGTGATGGTGGTCATGGTGGATAGAGAGAGGTGAGAGGCTGGTTGTGGTGTATTTATGCCCTTTGCACACCAATATCCATAACTCAAGTATATTCCAGTCAATCTAGCAGTGAAAATTTCACAACTATTCCCAGCTTTACTTTCATTAAGCCAGATAGAAATGGCAAGGGAAGATTCTGGTAATCACAATTGGTTTAGAAAAATAACTTCCAGAGAATGCGATAGGGTGACAGTGGATTCAGATTCATCTTGTTTATGCTGTCTATTTACAGCATTACTGTACCATGATCTCTGATGTATGGATCACTGCCTTATTCTTGAAAGGGTCCCCCAGTGCCTTCTGAATCATCATAATGCAAACAAATGAAAAGGTTACATTGTAATGAGTATCCTCTTAATATGGAAGATACTGTACATATGTTTAGTTTCTTGAAAATGAATTATTTGTGAGGGCGTATGTAGTAAACT